>NC_000001.11:151934587-152559587 GCF_000001405.40 Homo sapiens | reverse complement strand
CCACAAAGCACAGGGCACAGCCTCTTTTAAGGACACATGTAGGCCTGGGTGGAAGATGCACAAGTGAGGACCAGGCTCTTTGTGGTCAAACATGCCATCCTGTTCCAGGGAAGGTGGATAAGTCCTGAAGCTGGGCTGGGGTACTTAGTGCTGTCAACTCCCCCAGCAGCCCACTCATGCTGCCCCTCACATGCTAGGAGCTCCTGTCCTGGGCTCCCCAGTCCACTGACTTCTCAAAATCAGCATTCTCTGGCTTCTATGAAATCAGATGGATGTCTAGCTGGAGACAGGACCTGAGCTGGAAGACCTAGGAAGACAAGCCCAGGCTTCCATCAGGGGAGAAGGAAGCAGAGGGTCTGGGATGGAGGCACCAGGAAGAGTGTGGGGTTAATGGGCACCCTCTCAGGATGTTTCAGGTGTCCTGTGACTGTGAAGGTAATGGGTTTTCAGCACACCCTCATCTTCTTCCTACATTTGTTCTGCGAGATGCACTGATCTCACCAGACATCATCAAGGAAGGTTTACCCAAACAGGCTTATTCTCCTCTGTGATTACATGGAGATAAGATACCTGAGGGGCCCAGTTAGAAAAGACTCAGCATCCTTTTCTAGTAGGAGACCAGAGAAAAACGCATTTTTCCAAGGTAAACTAACTCCAAGTAACTTTTCATTTCTTCCGTGTATTTCTTAGTTCAGTAGGAGAGCATGGGGTCTATGACACCCATCACAGAAGAGATATTGACAGAGGTTTGTGCATTACAAGCACATCTGATTCTATTGATGTCTTCTGAGATGCCCTCCAGCAAAACCAGCAGCAGTGATAACCCCCAAAGCCTTCAAAGTGCACACCCCAGTACTAAGCCTCATACCCACCTCCAGCCTTTCCCTGCAGCCCCAGTTCAGGGGTCACTTTAACTTTAGTGGGGCACTGCTGCTTGACCTATCAAAGGCCCCATCTTTTCTACTGGCACAGGCACCACAGCCTCTACTGCTGTGAGTGAGCCTGCCAGGGGCTCCAGCCATTGCTAGAGAATTACTGCTGACCTTGGCAGTACATTGAGATGAGCAATTTTAAAGGAACCAGAGACCAAAGTGCCCAGGATTAACCTCAGTCTGATGTACCCACTCCTAACCTCCTGCCCATGGTCTGAGCTCCTGAGTTCATCCTGAAGAGGGTTGTCAGTGATCTCCAGCGGTCTCCCTGGGTGTCCCTCATGGTTGTCTCCACACCCATGTTCTGTTCAGTGCTTAGCAGCACTTATGTCTCACTCTGTGAAAAATAAAGCTTCTCTTCTCCACCTACATTTCTATTTTGCCCCTCCCAAAGCTGCTCCATTGCTCTTCCCCTTCTTATCTCCCAGGCTGAGTGCCTCACAGGACAAGAAGAATGAGAAATGTCACTTATCTCCATTCATAGGGAGACCGTGAGGAGTTTATGTGTTAGGACTGGAAAGAGGTTGCAGAAGGACACACGGCTGCAGAGAAAACATTCATATTATTTCTATAGGGAAGATCTGGGTGTTGACGGGGTAGGAAGGGATCCTTGAAAGCTAATTAGGTGACAGGTGCAAAGAGAGAAATGGAGGTGTTTGCAAGGGCATATACTGAGAGGAACTTAGGGAAAGGGGAAAAAATGAGATCATTTCAGGAGTTGCAAATTGGATATGTATTCATAGGATCTATAATTTATATAGGACTCATAATGTACCAGTGGCTTGACATACAGTAAATAACTTAATCCTCACTGCAGTCCTTTGAGTTAGATACTAGCCTTCTCCCATTTTACAGAGGGGAATCAATGTAGAATGGGTGCCCAAGGTCTCCCAGAAGCTGCCGTGCAAACCCAGACAGTTTCACTGACCACATGCTCCTGACCACCATGGTACCCTGAATTCCTCTAAAATGTTTTAAGAAATATGAAAAAAAAAAAAAAGGATCCCTAGACCTGGGCACAGAGACCTAGCTGTGCCTGTGGAGTCAGATCTGTGCTCCAAAGTACCACCAGAACTCCTGCTGTCAGTGAATTACCCCAAGATGTAGAAAGGTGGCACCAGAATCAACTAAGAAAGTTTGGGTTGAGACATTAGTACAGTTCATGGGAGCCAGAAGTTATGGCAGTGGTGACCCGCCACTGGAAGCTGATTCCTACAAGTGAGGTCTCAGTAAGTGTGAAGACAGACTTTTCAGTCCTCATCAGGGGACTTCTAGGCCAAGCCTCATTCATTCAAAAATTTATTCATTCACTACATACTTATTTGGCACTGGTCTAGGTACTTGGATCAGTTTGAAACAAGACAAAGTCCCCTCTCAGGGAGCTTATGTTCCAGGGGCCCATTGGAGGCATCTTCTGGCTTCCTTGCTTGGCAGCAGATTTAGACAAAGGTGGCTCTATATTCAATTGGATTCCCACTCTGGGGCACTTGACAGATGCTGGTAAAGAGTAGCTAAACCCAGTGAAGGCACCCATCATGGGCAAACTTTTGACATTGGATATCATTGTCTTAGTGGATACAAAAAGGACATCTAATATCTGCTTGCTTCCACACCCAAGGTAAGAGTTTAGTGAGGCAAGGAATAGGTGGTTATTCCAACCATGAAATGTTTGTTTGAAAGTTGAAAAGTCCTCGTCCTTTCCCAGTCTCATTCTCAGGGAACAACCCCATTCACCCAAGTGTCTTGAAAGTGCTTTTGTTTCCTACTTGGCTATAATGTATGTGAGCAAATAAAAAAGATGGCCACACCTACAGACTTCCCTGTATCAGGATACTCAGACATGTTTAATGTAATAATAGTGTTTTTAAAATACCTATTAATAATTTTTTGAATAATGATTTTATTATATTATTTCAACTTTTATTTTACATTCAGCAAACAGAGAGAATTTGGCATCCTCTTTTCCTATTTGGATGCCTTGTATTCTTTCTCTTGGCTGATTGCACTGACTAGGACTTCTAGCACTATGTTGAATAGGTGTGGTAAGAGTGAGAATTAATGTCTTGTTCCTGTTCTTAAGGGGATGTTTCCAGCTTTTGCCCCTTCAGTATGATGTTGGCTGTGGGTTTGTCATAGACGGCTCTCATTATTTTGAGGTATGTTCCTTGAATACCTAGTTTGTTGAGGATTTTTATTATGAAACAATGATGGATTACATCAAAAGTTTTTTCTGTATCTATTGAGATTATCATATGGTTTTTGTTTTTAATTCCATTTAGCTGGTGAATCACATTTATTGATTTGCTTTTTGTTGAACCAACTCTGCATTCCAGGAATAAAGCCTACAAACTTGATCATGGTGCATTAGCTTTTTGAGCTACTGCTGCATTCAGTTTGTTTGTTAAGGATTTTTGCATCTGTTTCATCAGGGATATTTGCAATAGTTTTCCTTTTCATTGTCTCTTTTCCAGATTTTGGTATCAAAATGATACTGGGTTTGTAGAATGAGGTTGAGAGGAGCCCCTCATCCTCGTTTTTTTTGTAATAGTTTCAGTGGGATTGGTACCAGCTCTTCTCTGTACCTTTAGTATAATTTGGCTGTGAATCCCTCTGGTCCTGGGCTCATTTTGGTTGGTAAGTTTTTTTGTTATTGATTCAATTCTGGAACTCAATATTGGTCTGTTCAGGGTTTTGGTTTGTTCCTGATTCAGTCTTAGGGGGTTGTGTGTTTCTAGGAATGTATTCATTTTCTCTAGTTTATCTAGCTTGTGTGCATAGAGGTGGTCATAATAGTATCTGAGGATCTTTTATTTTTCTATGGGCTGGGTCATAATGTCAGCTTTGTCATTTGTAATTGTACTTTTCTTTCTTTGCTAATCTAGCTAGCAGTCTATTGATCTTGTTTATCCTTTCAAACAACAAGCTTTTGGTTTTATTGATCCTTTGGATGAATTTTTAGGTCTCTTCTATTTGATTTTGCTCTGATTTTAAGTATTTATTTTCTTCTCCTAGCTTTGGGGCTAGTTTTTCCTGCTTCCTGGTTCCTTTAGGGATGAAGTTAGATTGTTAATTTGAGATCTTTCTAACTTCTTTATGTAGACATTTAGTGCTATAAACTTTCCTCTTACCACTGCTTTTGCTGCATGCCAGATATTTTGGTATGTTGTGTGTCTGTTTTCATTTATTTCAAAGAATTGTTTGACTTATGCTTTAATTTTACTGTTCACCCAAAAGTCATTTGGGAACAAGTTGTTTAATTTCCAACTCATGTTGTAGTTTTTAAGAAATCTTTTTATATTGATTTCCATTTTATTCCACTATGATCAGAAAGTATGATTGGCATAATTTTAATGATTTTGAACATATTGAGACTTGCTTTATGGCCAAGCATGTATTCAATCCTAGAGTATGTTCTACACGCAAATAAGAAGATGTATTCTGTTGTTGATGGGTGGAGGGATCTGTAGATGTCTATTGGGTCCAATTGGTCAAATGTTGATTTTAAGTCCAGAATTGCTAGTTTTCTACCTTGATGCTCTGTCTAATGCTGTCAGTGGGGTATTGAAGTCCCCCACTATTATTGTATGGCTATCTAAGTCTTTTAATAGGTCTAGAAGTACTTGTTTTATAAATTTAAGTGTTCCAATGTTGGATGCATATATATCTAGGATAGTTAAATCTTCATGTTGAACTATAGTTTATGTAGTGCCCTTCTTTGCCCTTCTTTACTTGTTGATTTAAAGTCTGTTTTATCTGATATGCGTATATATATATATATATATATATATATATATATATATATATCCCTGTTCTTTTTTGTTTTTAGTTTACGTGATAGATCTTTCTCTAACCCATTTACTTTGAGACTATAGGTGTCATTACATATGAAATTAGTCTCTTGAAGACAGTATACAAATGGGTCTTGTTTTTTTTTTCCAATTTGCAGCTTTGTGCTATTTATGTGGGGCATTAGATCATTTACATTCAAGGTTAATATTGATATGTGAAGTTTTAATCCTCTTGTGAAGTTGATGGCTGATGGCTTTGTTGTTTCCATTGCATGGTTGCTGTATAGGGACTGTGGACTATGTATTTACATGTGATTTTGTGGTTGCACATGTTGTTCTTTCGTTTCTATGTTTATAAATCTCTTAAGGATCTTTTTTAAGGCTGGTCTAGTGGTAACAAATTAGTGATTGCTTGTTTGGAAAAGTTTTCGTTTCTCCTTTGCTTATGAAGTTCAGTTCGATGGGATATAAAATTCTTGCATGGAATTTCTTTCCTTTAGGAATGCTGTAAATGTGCCCCCAATTTCTTCTGGCTTGTAAGGTTTCTCATGAGTAATCCTCTGTTAGCCTGATGGGCTTCCCTTTGTACATGGTTTGACCTTTTTCTCTAACTGGCTTTAAGATTTTTTTCTTTAGCATTGACCTTTGACAGTCTGTGGCTATATGCCTTGGTGATGTTCATTTTGTACAGTATCTGCGAAGTGTTCTCTGGTTTTCCTATATCTGGATGTCTATCCCTCTAGCAAGATTAAGAAAATTTTCTTGAATTAATCCCTCATATATATTTTCCAAATTGTTGAGTCCTTCTCCTTCTCTCTCAGAAATGCCAATAATTCATAGGTTTGATCACTTTACAAAATTCCATATTTCTCAAAAACTTTGTTAATTTCTTAAATTCTTTTTCTTCATATTCTTCATTCAGACTAACACAGTCTGAGTGGGTTAGTTTGAGCCAAGATGGCTGAACAGGAACAGCTCCAGTCTACAGCTCCCAGTGTGAGCAATGCAGAAGATGAATGATTTCTGCATTTCCAACTGAGGTATCGGGTGCATCTCACTGGGGATTGTTGGGCAGTGGGTGCAGGATAGTGGGTGCAGTGCACCAAGCCTGAGCTGAAGCAGGGCGAGGCATCACCTCATGCGGGAAGTGCAAGGGGTCGGGGAATGCCCTTTCCTAGGGGTGATGGACGGCACCTGGAAAATCAGGTCACTCCCACCCTAATACTGCACTTTTCTGATGGTCTAAGCAAAAGGCACACCAGGAGATTATATCCCGTGCATGGCTCAGAAGGTCCTACGCCCACAGAGCCTCACTATTGCTAGCACAGCAGTCTAAGATCAAACTGCAAGGCAGCAACGAGGCTTGGGGAGGGGCGCCTGCCATTGTTGAGGCTTGAATAGATAAACAAAGCAGCTGGGAAGCTCGAACTGGGTGGAGCCCACCACAGCTCAAGGAGGCCTACCTGCCTCTGTAGACTCCACCTCTGGGGGCAGGGCATAGCCAAATAAAAGGCAGCAGAAACCTCTGCAGACTTAACTGTCCCTGTCTGACAGCTTGGAAGACAGTAGTGGTTCTCCCAGCATGCAGCTTGAGATCTGAGAACAGACAGACTGCCTCCTCAAGTGGGTCCCTGACCCCCGAGTAGCCTAACTGGGAGGCACCCCCCAGTAGGGGCAGACTGACACCTCACATGGCCAGGTACTCCTCTGAGACAAAACTTCCAGAGGAACGATCAGGCAGCAACATTTGCTGCTCACCAATATCCACTGTTCTGCAGCCTCCACTGCTGATACCCAGGCAAGCAGGGTCTGGAGTGGACCTCCGGCAAACTCCAAGAGACCTGCAGCTGAGGGTCCTGACTGTTAGAAGGAAAACCAACAAACAGAAAGAACATCCACACCAAAACCCCATCTGTACGTCACCATCATCAAAGACCACAGGTAGATAAAACCACAAAGTTGGGGAAAAAACAGCAGAAAAACTGAAAAATCTAAAAATCAAAGCACCTCTCCTCCTCCAAAGGAATGCAGCTCCTCACCAGCAACAGAACAAAGCTGGATGGAGAATGACTTTGAAGAGCTGAGAGAAGAAGGCTTCAGATGATCAAACTACTCCAAGCTAAAGGAGGAAGTTTGAACCCATGGCAAAGAAGTTAAAAACCTTGAAAAAAATTAGACGAATGGCTAACTAGAATAACCAATGCACAGAAGTCCTAAAAGGATGTGATGGAGCTGAAAACCATGGCACAAGAACTACATGATGAATGCACAAGCCTCAGTAGCCAATTGGATCAACTGGAAGAAAGGGTATCAGTGATGGAAGATCAAATGAATGAAATGAAGTGAGAAGAGAAGTTTAGAGAAAAAAGAATAAAAGGAAATGAACAAAGCCTCCAAGAAATATGGGACTATGTGAAAAGACCAAATCTATATCTGATTGGTGTACCTGAAAGTGACAGGGAGAATGGAACCAAGTTGGAAAACACTCTGCAGGATATCATCCAGGAGAACTTCCCCAATCTAGCAAGGCAGGCTGACATTCAGATTCAGGAAATACAGAGAACCCCACAAAGATACTCCTTGAGAAGAGCAGCTCCAAGACACATAATTGTCAGATTCACCAAAGTTGAAATGAACGAAAAAATGTTAAGTGCAGCCAGAGAGAAAGGTCGGGTTACCCGCAAAGGGAAGCCCATCAGACTAGCAGCTGATCTCTCAGCAGAAACTCTGCAAGCCAGAAGAGACTGAAGACCAACATTCAACATTCTTAAGAAAAGAATTTTCAACCCAGAATTTCATATCCAGCCAAACTAAGCTTCATAAGTGAAGGAGAAATAAAATCCTTTACAGACGAGCAAATGCTGAGAGATTTTGTCAACAACAGGCCTGCCCTAAAAGAGCTCCTGAAGGAAGCACTAAACATAGAAAGGAACAACCGGTACCAGCCACTGCAAAAACATGCCAAATTGTAAAGGCCATCGATGCTAGGAAGAAACTGCATCAACTAACGAGCAAAATAACCAGCTAACATCATAACGACAGGATCAAATTCACACATAACAATATTAATCTTAAATGTATATGGGCTAAATGCTCCAATTAAAAGACACAGACTGGCAAATTGGATAAAGAGTCAAGAACCATCAGTGTGCTGTATTCAGGAAACCCATCTCACGTGCAGAGACACACATACCCTCAAAAAAGAGGGATAGAGGAAGATCTACCAAGCAAATGGAAAACAAAAAAAGGCAGGGGTTGCAATCCTAGTCTCTGATAAAACAGACTTTAAACCAACAAAGAACAAAAGAGACAAAGAAGGCCATTATATAATGGTAAAGGGATCAATTCAACAAGAAAAGCTAACTATCCTAAATATATATGCACCCAATACAGGAGCACCCAGATTCATAAAGCAAGTCCTCAGAGACCTACAAAGAGACATAGACTCCCACAAAATAATAGTGGGAGACTTTAACACCCCACTGTCAACATTAGACAGATCAACGAGACAAAATTAACAAGGATATCCAGGAATTGAACTCAGCTCTGCACCAAGTGGACCTAATAGACATCTACAGAACTCTCCACCCCAAATCAACAGAATATATATTCTTCTCAGCATCACACCACACCTATTCCAAAATTGACCACATGGTTGGAAGTAAAGCACTCCCCAGCAAATGTAAAAGAACAGAAATTATAATAAACTGTCTCTCAGACCACAGTGCAATCAAACTAGAACTCAGGATTAAGAAACTCACTCGAAACCGCTCAACTACATGGAAACTGAACAACCTGCTCATGAATGACTACTGGGTACATAACGAAATGAAGGCAGAAATAAAGATGTTCTTTGAAACCAATGAGAGCAAAGACACAACATACCAGAATCTCTGGGACACATTCAAAGCAGTGTGTGGAGGGAAATTTATAGCACTAAATGCCCACAAGAGAAAGCAGGAAAGATCTAAAATTGACACCCTAACATCACAATTAAAAGAACTAGAGAAGCAAGAGCAAACACATTCAAAAGCTAGCAGAAGGCAAGAAATAACGAAGATCAGAGCAGAACTGAAGGAAATAGAGACACAAAAAACCCTTCAAAAAATCAATGAATCCAGGAGCTGGTTTTTTGAAAAGATCAACAAAATTGATAAACCACTAGCAAGAGTAATAAAGAAGAAAAGAGAGAAGAATAAAATAGACACAATAAAAAATGATAAAGGGGATATCACCACCGATCCCACAGAAATACAAACTACCATCAGAGAATACTATAAACACCTCTATGCAAATAAACTAGAAAAT
This sequence comes from Homo sapiens, assembly GCF_000001405.40. Taxonomy (NCBI): domain Eukaryota; kingdom Metazoa; phylum Chordata; class Mammalia; order Primates; family Hominidae; genus Homo; species Homo sapiens. Next base: position 152,550,559 of record NC_000001.11, on the reverse strand, counting down.
CTGGAAGAAATGGATAAATTCCTCAACACATACACCCTCCCAAGACTAAACCAGGAAGAAGTTGAATCTCTGAATAGACCAATAACAGACTCTGAAATTGAGGCAAAAATTAATAGCTTACCAACCCAAAAAAGTCCAGGACCAGATGGATTCACAGCCGAATTCTACCAGAGGTACAAGGAGGAGCTGGTACCATTCCTTCTGAAACTATTCCAATCAATAGAAAAAGAGGGAATCCTCCCTAACTCATTTTATGAGGCCAGCATCATCCTGATACCAAAGCTTGGCAGAGACACACACACAAAAAAAGAATTTTAGACTAATATCCCTGACGAACATCAATGCAAAAATCCTCAGTAAGATACTGGCAAACCGAATCCAGCAGCACGTCAAAAAGTTTATCCACCATGATCAAGTGGGCTTCATCCCTGGGATGCAAGGCTGGTTCAACATACACAAATCAATAAACGTAATCCAGCATATAAACAGAACCAACAACAAAAACCATATGATTATCTCAATAGATGCAGAAAAGGCCTTTGACAAAATTCAACAGCCCTTCATGATAAAAACTCTCAATAAATTAGGTATTGATGGGACGTATCTCAAAATAATAAGAGTTATTTATGACAAACCCACAGCCAATATCATACTGAATGGACAAAAACTGGAAGCATTCCCTTTGAAAACTGGCACAAGACAGGGATGCCCTCTCTCACCACTCCTATTCAACATAGTGTTGGAAGTTCTGGCCAGGGTAATCAGGCAGGAGAAGGAAATAAAGGGTATTCAGTTAGGAAAAGAGGAAGGCAAATTGTCCCTGTTTACAGATGACATGATTGTATATCTAGAAAACCCCAATGTCTCAGCCCAAAATCTCCTTAAGCTGATAGGCAGCTTCAGCAAAGTCTCAGGATACAAAATCAATGTGCAAAAATCACAAGCATTCTTATACACCAATAACAGACAAACACAGAGCCAAATCATGAGTGAACTCCCATTCACAATTGCTTCAAAGAGAATAAAATACCTAGGAATCCAACTCACAAGGGATGTGAAGGACTTCTTCAAGGAGAACTACAAACCACTGCTCAATGAAATAAAAGAGGATACAAACAAATGAAAGAACATTCCACATTCATGGACAGGAAGAATCAATATCATGAAAATGGCCATACTGCCCAAGGTAATTTATACATTCAATGCCATCCCCATCAAGCTACCAATGACTTTCTTCACAGAATTGGAAAAAAACTACTTTAAAGTTCATATGGAACCAAAAAAGAGCCCTCATTGCCAAGTCAATCCTAAGCCAAAAGAACAAAGCTGGAGGCATCACGCTAACTGACTTCAAACTCTACTACAAGGCTACAGTAACCAAAACAGCATGGTACTGGTACCAAAACAGAGATATAGATCAATGGAACAGAACAGAGCCCTCAGAAATAATGCCGCATATCTACAACTATCTGATCTTTGACAAACCTGAGAAAAACAAGCAATGGGGAAAGGATTCTCTATTTAATAAATGGTGCTGGGAAAACTGGCTAGCCATATGTAGAAAGCTGAAACTGGATCCCTTCCTTACACCTTATACAAAAAGCAATTCAAGATGGATTAAAGATTTAAATGTTAGATGTACAACCATAAAAACCCTAGAAGAAAACCTAGGCATTACCATTCAGGACATAGGCATGGGCAAGGTCTTCATGTCTAAAACACCAAAAGCAATGGCAACAAAAGCCAAAATTGACAAATGGGATCTAATTAAACTTAAGAGCTTCTGCACAGCAAAAGAAACTACTATCAGAGTGAACAGGCAACCTATAGGATGGGAGAAAATGTTTCCAATCTACTCATCTGACAAAGGGCTGATATCCAGAATCTACAATGAGCTCAAATAAATTTACAAGAAAAAAACAAACAACCCCATCAACAAGTGGGCAAAGGATATGAACAGACACTTCTCAAAAGAAGACATTTATGCAGCTAAAAAACACATGAGGAAATGCTCATCATCACTGGCCATCAGAGAAATGCAAATCAAAACCACAATGAGATACCATCTCACACCAGTTAGAATGGCAATCATTAAAAAGTCAGGAAACAACAGGTGCTGGAGAGGATGTGGAGAAATAGGACCACTTTTACACCGTTGGTGGGACTGTAAACTAGTTCAACCATTGTGGAAGTCAGTGTGGCGATTCCTCAGGGATCTAGAACTAGAAATACCATTTGACCCAGCCATCCCATTACTGGGTATATACCCAAAGGTTTATTAAGCATGCTGCTATAAAGACACACGCACACGTATGTTTATTGCAGCACTATTCACAATAGCAAAGACTTGGAACCAAGCCAAATGTCCAACAATGATAGACTGGATTAAGAAAATGTGGCACATATACACCATGGAATACTACGCAGCCGTAAAAAATGATGAGTTCATGTCGTTTGTAGGGACATGGATGAAGCTGGAAACCATCATTCTCAGCAAACTATTGCAAGGACAAAAAACGAAACACCGCATGTTCTCACTCATAGGTGGGAATTGAACAATGAGAACACATGGACACAGGAAGGGGAACATCACACACGGGGACCTGTTGTGGGGTGGGGGGACGGGGGAGGGATAGCACTCGGAGATATACCCAATGTTACATGACGAGTTAATGGGTGCAGCACACCAACATGGCATATGTATATATATATATGTCACAAACCTGCACGTTGTGCACATGTACCCTAAAACTTAAAGTATAATTAAAAAAACAAAAAAGAAAGACCAGTCTTCAAGCTATTAAATTATTTATTCTGTTTGGTTGAGTCTGTTGATAAAGCTTTCAACTTTATTTTGAAATTCCTAAGTGAGTTTTTCCATTTCATTACCTCCAATTGATTTATTTTTAAGATGTTTATCTCTTCCTTTGTTTCCTGCATTGCTTTAGAATTTTCTTTGTGTTGTTTTTCAACATCATCTTAGATATTGTTGAACTTCCTTGAAATCCATGTTTTGAATTCTTAATCTGTCATTTCTGTTTTTCCATTTGGTTAGGGACCATTGCTGTAGAACTAGTGTGATACTTTGGTGGTGTGTCAACATTCAGATTTTTCATGGTGCCAGATCCTATACCAGTTTGTTCTCATCTAGAAAGGCTGGCACTTCTAATTATTGTAATTATTTTCATGAAAATAGACTTTTTTTCTCTTTTCCTATATATTCTTTCTTTCCCTTTAGGGTATGACTGGAAAGTATATTGGAAAAAGTCTTTTGGCTTTGTTTTTATAGCTCTGTGCACTTATGTTAGTAGGTTTTATATTGGGCTGTGCAGTTCAACCTACAGGCCAGCAGATAGGGCTTGCAGGTAAGATCCAGCTGCAGCACAAGCAGGTGGGTATAATTTTTGTTTACTGTGAAGGGCTCTTTGTTATTTCAGGTGACAGGATGGACAGTGGAGCACCCAGGGCCCTGAGCTTCCTGCTCCACAGGGGGAGGGGCACACCACTGGGCAGAACTGGAGTCCCTGGCTTGCCCATGAATACTCCAATGGCAAGCACAGGCACAAGCCCTGAAAAGGGTGGCTGACAGGAACTTCTGGTGAAGCACACTGAAGTCTCCGTGGGGAGACAAGGAAGCTGCACTGCTTCCTCATCTTAGGTAGGCAGGAAGTTGATCTGTTTCCCTATCATACCCTTGACCCAGAACTCATGACTCCTAGTTCAGAAGCACACTGTAGTCTGTCTCTTGACCACAATGTGGTTGACAGCCATGGGAAATGCATGTTTTGTGATACTCCATGGGAGTGTTTTCAGAGCATAATGTTGTCACTCAGCCTAAAACAGATAGCTTTATTGCTCACCTGTTCTCTAATGAGGCAATACAGCCACTTCTTATAAGTAGAGGGGCTACATCACCGGGGCTGTGTGAGTGGGTACTGGTTGTGGTGGTGTTGGTTGGTTAGGTCAGCCCAACTTCAGGCCATGAGGCAAGTAGTCAGGTGCCAGCAGAGTTGTAATGGGGTGGGGAGTTCCCCAGTTCCTACATGGCCCCCTGGACAGTGCGTATGAGTCCTAAAGGGGTTGGACAAGGGTCAGGCTAGCCCAGTTCAGGTGTTGGCTGTGATGGGAAGGGCTGGGCTGGGTCATGGGCCAAACTCTTAGGCAGTGGCAGACAGAATGCTTAGGGTGGTAAGAGCCTTAGGAAGTATTATAGGCCTGTGAGGGTTCAGTTTTTAGAAGGGCTCTGGGCTGTAGCTGAAATGTTCAGGCAGGGCAGGTGGCTGTGCTGTGGGCCTTTCACTGGGGAGGGCAGGGCCTCTCCGTGGTGGCAATGGAGACTGGTGGCTATGGGGGCACATGGCATGCTCACACTTCTCTCCCACCAAGTGATGCATATACAAATGAACATCACCCAGGCATATAGTCAGACTTAAAGGCTCCTAGAGAAAAAGGTCAAATCACGTACAAAGGGAAGCCCATCAGGCTAACAGTGGACTACTCATCAGAAACCTTACAAGCTGGAAGAGACTGGGGACCCATTTTCAGCATGCTATGTGCCCCCATAGCCACCAGTCTCCATTGCTGCCACTGGATTTTGTGGTTGGGGGTATGCAAAAGTGCCAAGCCTTGTCTGTTACTCTGGGAGTTTTGCTGCAGAGGAGTATAGGACCATGACTAACTGCACTGTTCAGGTGGGGGTGAGGCCACTGCTCGGGGAGCCCAGGCATGCAGGCCTTATCTGTTAAGTAGCAGCAGGGGATGGAGTCTGAATCCTGGCCACTCCTCAGCCATGCAGCAGCAGCAGTTATCCCAGGGGTGTGCAAAAGAGCCCAGGCCCCCTTTTGGCTGGCCTAAAGCAGCTGGCACTGGCTGTTAGGGATACAAGGCCTATGGGGCTCCAAGTGGACTTAACTGGTGCCTCTGCACAGGCTCTCTGTGTTGGTCTGGAGGCTCAAGGAGTCAGAGGGGCTCTCCTATGCCTAGTATTGCAAAGGTTCATGGCAGAAGTGTGAGTCCCCGGGAACTCTCACTCACTCTTTCTCTGCTTTAGGGAGCTTCCCCCAGCTCTGTGCCAGTCTCAGATGAATGGCTGCCCAGCTTTGCTCCTCTCTGCTCTCTGTGGGTCCTGTCAATTCCTTGGTAAATCCCAATATGATCTCTTTGACAATTCACTTGAAGAGCTAGTATTTAGTCACTGCTTTGTATCCTCTCCATAAGAGCAGTGCACACTAGCTGCTTCTAGTCAACCATTTTAAACCAAAATAAATAAGAATATTTTATCAAAATCTTGCGATTTGAGCATATATTTGAAGTTTAAATATTTTTCTTACTTTCTTTTTTCCTTTTTTTTTGGTAGAGATGAGGTCTTCCTGTGTTGCCCAGGCTGGCCTCAAACTCCCAGACTCAAGGGATCCTCCTACCTCAGCCTCCCAAAGCACAGGAATCACAGATGTGAGCCACCAATCCTGGCCTCATTTTTACTTATTTTTAATATATCATGATTCAGGATGAAATGTGTGTGTGTGTGTGTGTGTGTGTGTATACATATATATGTGTGTGTATATATATATAAAATAAATAGTATGGAAAATAGTATAGAGTTTAGGTCTGTCTCTGCAAACTTAGTCTACTTTATGTCAGGTGTTCACGTTTATCCCATCAACCTCATTATAACACACCCATTAATTACCATTAATCGTTGGACTAATCTCTCTTAGCCATCCCAGCCATTTGAATCACTCTCTTTCCTGGCTCTCTTAGAATCAATACTATAGTCACTAAGATCCTGACATAATGTCTTAAATGTATGTTAATCTGTGACACATTACCATCACAGCCATTTTAGATTTCTTATCCCTGTCTCTGGTTTTACCTGGGACATCCCTGGATCATCTTGTCTCCATATAGATTTTTCTGCCTTGGGCATCTCTACCTTGACACAGCTATTAGGAGAAGTGGCCAAAGATTAAACTAGGAAGTTCCTGTCTCCAAACCAGATGCTCTGAATGAGCATATCATCTTGTCCTCAAGATTGTAGATGTCCCAATGTTTCTGTCAGCCCCATCCTTCCTCACCCCACCATTATCTCTTCCTCCTCATCACCCCCTTCATGCTTCTTGGGTCCACAAGTTCCTCTTAGTTGCCATGCCTGAGTTTACTGTCCTTGGACGGACACAGGATCCACATCTTACTCACCCCGTCAACCATCCCAAGTGACAGCAGGTGACACCATCTGTATTCATCATTCACTACAAGTCACTGCAGAGCAACAAGGGACTAACCTCCAACAACTCTGACCTCAGGCCTGAGGACTCCCACACACGTGTATCTCAGCACCCTCACTTGGCTCAGACTTAGTTTCCTACTTATCTCTCAGCCCCACTACCTCATCAGCCTAAGGGTAGGGATAGTATCTTTACTCTTGAATATGCCTTGCCCAGCACAGAGTGTGCCATTGAAATGGGAGGAGTTCCCTTATCCCATTTGCAGGGCATGCAACAGGGGTGTGACTCGCTTCTTTGATGTCCTGCTGCTCGAACCGCTAGGGGGAGCATGCAAATGGGCAGGTCCTGGGAGCATTTTTGGGCTGTGACCCCATGGCAGTGTCTAGGGTTGAGTGTTTACAGCTCCCAAAGCCCCAGTAGGCATGTGTTACAGTGTGCTCTTTCAGCTTTGCGGTCTGCAGGCAGCTTGTGTTAATCAGCTCAGTTAGACCCTCTGACTTATCACAAGGACAGAGAGCTTTCTGTATCCCATATTCTGTAGGCTCTAGTGTACTGGAAAAATCAGATTACATGTGGGCTTGGAGAATGACTGCAAGGTTTTATTGAGTGGTGGAAGTAGCTCTCAGTGAGATGGATGGGGGGGCCAGCAAGGGGATGGGGTGGGAAGATAGGCTTCAGCTGGAGTCGGACCACCCAGTGGCCAGCTGGCCTCCAACTGCCCCCACTGAATTCCATGAGGTCCTGCTGTTGATGGCCTGCTGGCGTCTGCTGGTATCAGTCAGTGTGCTCTTCTGCTCCTCTCCACGTCCAGCCACTTGTGTCCATGCCCACTAGGGTCTTGAAGATTTTATGGGCCCAGGATGTGGGGCATGGTGGGTCAGAGTGGGCTTAGAAAATGCAACATTTGGGTGCAAAACCAGGAGTGCCTGTCCTCACTTAGGTCCATGGGCATAGGCCTGAGGGTGGAGCCCTCACCAGGGACCCCACTCTTCTCTACCCAGCACTTCCCTGCCCGCCTCTCGTATCACCATCATCTCAATATAAATTGTTTAAATAACGGATGATGATAACAAATGAAAAATAAAGAGCTAAAGACCTACAGAAAGATTGAGGCAGAAATATATGAATATCTTGGATATTGGAGTTTCTTGGATCCCTGCTCTCCTCATAACTCCTGACACCTGCCATGGAGATGCAGAGGGCTTGGGGCTACAGAAGGGAAGAAGCTGACTCCTAAACAAGACTCATCACTCCCACCCCTCCCAATCCCACCACTCATTTCTTGCCTGCAAAACAAAATAAGAAAACAGCTCCAAGGTATAGTCAGTCCTCACTGGATGAAGACCCTTTTACCCAAGTTAACTTTCCATTTCCCACTCTCATCTGCTCAGGAATTTTCCCTAAGTTGTGGATTCAAAGCCACATTCTCTGAAGTAAATAAGAAAATAGCCAATTTTTAAAACTGATACAATTACATGCCATTATTCCCCTTTTTACTTTTTCTAGAGTCACTAAACTTCCCCTAAGGTGTCCTGGAAGTAAAACGAGGAAGAGTTTCAAGCCTCTCCCAAATGACTTTGGGGGCAAAGTGACCACCCAAACATGGTCTTCAGTGCCCACTGCAGTCTCTTCCCATGGAGCCCCAGCTCTAGGGGCTGCCATAGCCTCAGCTCTGGAGAACGCTCCTGCCTGAGCCATCACAAGCTTCACACCTCCAACTAAGCACAGCATCAGAGTTCTGGGTGCTGTCACTCATGCAGCAACCAGGGCTCTGAAAACCACAGAGGAGCAGGGCTGGATGATCCAGTGAAGCAAAAGAGAAGCCTCTCTCCAGTGTGATGCTTTTCCTCCTCCATCACCTCTGTATCTCCTGGGTGGAGAAGTTCCATGGAACATTAGGGAAGATGGTAGAGGTGGGGATTCCCTTACAGAATTTACCATTTAAGTTGGAAATCACATATAAACCATAAATCCTAATCTTTAAATAAAAACTTGCATTGATAAATATCTGGATTCCAGCACTCAGTGTGTGCTGGTATTAATAACCCCATCTTTGGCCTAATTTCCAGAAAGACTCTGACTCAGCAGATTGCCCAGGTGTAATGCCAGCCAACACAATATTGTGGTGCCCACTCCAGATTCTGTCAAATGTTCTTGGGTTCTTTCAATGCTCCCATTTATTTTCTCTTCCAACTACCCTGCATCTATCCATTCCACAATAAATAAACCTATTCCATGCCCCCTGGAGAGGAGAACTCTGTCAGAGCCAAAGTTTATTTCTTGAGTACCAAGTATCAGTCACTAACGTGATACACCTGCCTGGGATCTAGCACAGATCTTTTATGTCTCAGTACATTCACTCCTCTCCTTACATTCAGGATAGACAGAATGTTGGGAGAAAACATGGTACAAGAAAAGAATTGTAGCCAAGAATTGGGGAAGAAGATGGCAGATGTTGAATAAAAGGAACTTGGCAAGGGTCAGATTGATCAGGGTCTTCTACTGACTCCCCAAAAGTTTTCCTTTATTCTTTCTCCCCATGGACTACAGGTGAGTAGCACACAGTATTCTCACCATCCAGCACCCAACTTCCTCTCCTCCACCTCTTGACCTAAGATATTCCTCTCCCTAGAAGACTTCCTATCTGGCCCCCAAAATCCCAACATGTCTCCCACCCTCAAGAACTTCCCAGTTTCTACTTCCTATTGCCTTTGCATTACCCACATGTGGTCATTTTGAAGCCCTCAACCAACATCCCTGAACCTGCTTTTTTTTGTCCTTTGTGACATGGAATCTTGGCATTTATTGATTTCATTGATGTTAGAAAAGGTGGAGAATCCCAAAGATGATCCCTTGTTATAAAGACATTGTTAGAACCTTAAAAATAGTATATTAAACCTTATAAACTTGGTCTCATAAAAACAAGAAGCATTGTCTTATCCCATCATTATCTTCTCCTATGCTGTGTTGAATCTCTCCTGAAAATATCTCAGGGAAATTCCACATTTCTGGAGTGAATTTTATGGATATTAAAGTCCAGACCAGCTGAATTTAATTCGGTACGCATCTTCAAACTCAAATTCACCCTTCCCAGTGAGCACTGCCCATGGCTCTCCCAAGAGACTGGAGTTGGGAGGGAACATGTATGGCTCTTTGTCTCATTCACTACCACCTCTCCACCTTCTTCCTGAATAACACTTCCTCCTCCATTGTATTGGGAGATGGAAAAGGGGAGGGGAAATCATTACACATGTGACTGTACCACTAGCCTCCTCTGTTGGTTGCTTGCTCCCTGTGTGTGGCAGGCTCTGCAGGAGGGCTGTCTTATAGGGTGTTTTTGTGAGTCCTTCTGGAGCATCTGCAAGGGTTCTCCCCACAGCGCTACTCCCAGACATGGGATGAGCAGTCAGATTTAACCCTTCAGATACTCCTTAAGTTCCCACCTTCATTGACACCAGCCACAGCTTCTTGATGATGAGGTCTCACTGCTCAACAGAAAACCGTTCTAAACACAACACTAGGAAGAATGTGCAAGCTGGTCTTCCTTCCCAGATGTTGTCTACTATTATGTCTCAACATCCTGCTCTATCTCTTTAATTCCTTTTCTTTATTAAACAATAGGCTCAGAAGTTAAACAATCAAATCTACTACTGCAGCAGAACTTCTGCTGCTGGATGAAAATCCTGTCTTCCTTTTTTGAAGGGACCTCTAACATCTACAATTTCGAATCATGAGTCCTCCCCTTTCCATTGATCTCTGTTACAAGAGAGCAACCAGTTCCCTTCCTATACAAGATAAGGGTGAAACCATAGTACTGTCTTCTAGGACAATAACTCTCCTACCTAAAAAATTTTTATCAAAACTCAAACTTCCAGATATATAACTGGACCAGAGAAATAGAGTTATGTTTTTTCTTAGCAAGTCCTGCAGAGATTTTCAGCAGCTTATCCTGAGGTTACTTTAGTATAAGGGGATAAGGGGCACATATTATTTTTATCTTTCAACTCCAGCCAACATCCCAACACAAGAAAAAAATTCGAGTCCAACATTCTTTTACACACTGGGTCCAACCAGAACTTTCTCAGGAGACTAAAGAGGTATAAATAGCTCAAAATACTACTTAACCTGAGGGGAAAATTAGAATCCATATAAGAAACTTAGGCACATTGAAGGTATATGGCACTTTCTGGCTACCGAGTCCCATTTTCCTTAAGAATGACTCAGCTGCTTGCCATGGAATGTGACTGTCACAGTCATGGCAGGAACAGAATGGAGAAGGAACTGTGAGTTGTAAGCAAAGGGAGAAGAATTCTGTTTGTTTACTCATCTTTGATTGCTGATGTGGAATGTCCAAAATGTACTCCAAAGAGCTAAACCTGAGGTCCTGCAGTGCCTGTTCCTATAGTACCAATTGGAATGACTAAGTCATGAAATTTTTCCTGGATTCATCCAGCCAGAGCAGTCTCTGTATTTCCTTGATATCTGGGGACCACAGGAAGCCAAGTCTCCTCAGGATGGGGCTCCTGGGACTAGTGACTCTCAGGGAGGTGCCCTTGTGCTGTAAGGGAAGTGACCAGATCATGGTCTTATAGCTACCATGTGTCATCACAGGACAAATCCTGTGCATATGAGGACTGTGGACTCCTGATCTCAGGAGGAGGAGAGTGAGTGACAAGGGCAATCACTAAGGTAGAAAGGAGATTAATGAGCTCTCCAGGTCTTGTGGGGAGGCTTTCAAGACAGGTAGTCAAGAATGGGGCTGGAAGAAAGCCTAATAGTCATCCACTGTGTTTCATAAAACAGAGGTAACACGATGTACTGAAAGTCATTGGAAAAGATATTTTGATTCTTTGAAACTTGCCCAAAATGTGTGATTTATTTTCCTTTTTAATTCTGGCTCCTACCTCTTGCCTCCCCTGCTGCCAACGGCTCAGGGTTGCAATCTATGGAGGAAAATGGCTGCCATGGAGGAAAATGGCTGCCATGTTTGCCCTGTCTGGAGGATAAGGCTTGCTTATGATAACTGCAAGATATGAAAAAATAAATATTCAGTTTGCAACAAAGTATAGACTTCAATACCTTTTCTCTACATGCCCATAGCACATGGAACTCCTTCTGGGGTCCATTATCCCTAACAATTTACTCTTTTATGTTTGTTAGATCTGCTAGACTTTAAGCTCATTGAAGACAGATGCCATGATTTTCTCTTACCTACCCTATCACTACTACTGACCATGATGCCTGGCCCATAATTGATGCTGAGAAAAGAAGGAGTAGCCCAGATTTCTGGCAGCAAGCTGGCCTCGCTCTAGTAGCAAGGATCTGATGTTCTCCTGTTGAATATAAATACTTTTACAGAACTCTAACCTTAGATAAGCTAACTCTGTGACCTCGAGGGAGCAAGACAAAAACAAGACCACTCTGAGCATCAATGAAGCAAAAGCATTGCCCAAACCACAAAAATGACCAAACATTCACTTGTCTCAGCTCATATGAATGACTTCTACCTTTTTACTAGTTATAGCTTTAACCTTGCCTCATTGCTCCAACTTCCTAGTTAAAAATTAAGATACCTGCTTATTGAAGTGTCCTTGCTTTCTGACAGCATCAAATCCAGAACAAACTTTAATTCCGTCAACACTCCCCCAAACTACCTAACACACAAGCCCAAATCCTACAGTGAGCACCTCTTAATGCTTCCATATCATGTCCTATCTCCATCATTGCAACAAGTCAACAAACATAAAGTCATTCTACTATAGTTACTTTTCTGGTGCTCTTTGGATGGGAAACATTGCTAAGTCTCAATAGAAATTTATTAATGAAGGAATATGGGAATGAAGGACTTGAAGTAGGAGGAATTTCATGGAGTGAGGAGGGCTGGTGCTGGCCATTAGGAAGGGGAGGAGGCTGAAGCCAAATGATAAAGAAACACAGAAGGTGGTGTCTCCATCTACAGCCATGGACTAGGGACTGAGGTGGACCCTTTAGAAGGCCCAGAGCCCCACAATGACACAGCTTCATTAGACTGACTTTCTGCCCAGCTGACATTCTCTTGGCCTCCATCACCAGCAAAACTGGGGAAAATAGCACTGTGTTTTCCAACACTTTGTGTCCCCTCTTTGAGGGGACATCACAGACAAATCCTGTGTGTGTGAGGACTGTGGACACCTGATCTCAGGAGGAGGAGAGTGAGTGACAGGAGCACTTTGAGGGGACACAAAGTGTCTGTGCTCCCTGAGCCACCACAGGTGCCACAGGTCCCGCCAATGCAAGTGCCACAGCTCCAACTTCTGTGGCAGGGGCAGTGGTCAGCAAGGTGGGGGCTCAGGCTGCCACTGACCTGGATCTTTATGCTGAAATAAGCAACTTTAGAGGAAAGAAAGTCCAAGGAGCATCCTGGTCTGCTTTGCTCTCTCATACTCAAATCTCCTTTCCTTTGGTCAGCACTGAGAAGTTCCCCCGCAGAGAGCTCTGAGGTATCCCTAGTGGCTCTTCCTGTCCATTCTCCAGGATCCCACAGGATATCAACCCTGGTATCTGCCAGTGTGTGCAATATCTGCACAGCCAGTTGTCATCACCTGTGTCTGACCCTATGAAAAAATAAAGCCTTTGTTTTATCAGCACCACGTGGTACTCTCTGCCTTTGCTACAGCCCAGGCTGCTCTGTGAGTGTCTCCTCCCCTCTGCTACTCCAGCCAGCACTGCCTGGCACAAGAAACAGAGCTCAACTCCAGACCAGAAAAGTAGAAGTTCTAACATCTCTGAAGGGGCCTGTAGGACGATTACGTTGGGGCAGGAAGAGGAGGGGTACCAGTTCATAGCCACAGCAATGAGGCCTGATTTTCCCCTGTAATGTAGTGCCCAGGCTCTGGTTGAAGGCAACTGCTACCATCAGGTTATGAAAGATATTCCAGGATCCCCACCTATAAGACAGAGAATGGGGAGGCAAAGAATCCAAAAACTAGAAGAAAAGTTGCTGAGAGACCAGGGTGGGAAAGGAAGAACCCAGGAATAACTATTAACTCAATTTTTTCAGTAAATATCTGGAGTGCCTTAGGGAGAGTTAAACATGAAGAGGTTGTGGATGCAGGGAGAAAAATGAGACTGGGATTCTATGAACAAGTATCTTATGTAAGAAGACTGGAAAGAAGAAAAAAGTGGAAATGAGAAATGCTGCTGGTTTTATAAATGGATATAATCATAAAATCTAACATTTACTTAGCACTTATGATGAGCCAGGCATTGTTCTACGTGTCTTACCTACAGTTTCTCAATTAATCTTCCCAACAACCCTTTGGGGTAGGTACTCTTAGTCTTTCATGTTACAGTTATGGAAACATAATCATCACATGTTGCCTTCACTTGCCAAGGTCATACAGCAGTCTGGATGCAGAGACCATGAACACAACCACCATGCTATACTGATTTACTTCGAACCAGGAAGTAAAATTCTTTCTAAATTACTTTTTTCAGCCTAGCTCAATGTGTTTAACATCGCTTTTTGAAATGTATACAACTAAGATCCCAAACCATGTAAGTCATAGCTTCAATATGATCCTGTTTGGGTAAGAAAGGTGCTGTCCCAGATGAAAGTGCAGTGGTCAACTAACTATGCCTCTTTACCCCTTATTAAAACCATCACTTTGCACATAAAGCAACAGTGATATTTCCCACTGATGGTAAAGTGTTGAAATGAGAGTAAAGCACAAATCATAGCCAAATCTAAGCCAGGATATTCCTAAAATAAAACTAAAAAATCAAAACGACATCGTAGTATTCCATTTCTATGTATGCACCCCCTCAGGCCCCAGTTGCTACCAGGACCACTCGTTCGTCTAATCCATGTGGCACCTTTGAGTGAATTAGAAGAATGGACACAGACTTATGCTTACACACAGGTAGGCCAGCAACATTCAAGCTGGATTACAGTCCCCACTTTCCCCATAGGCCAGATATCCTTATGTAGTGACCACCCTACCCCACAATACTGGTTTGGAGGCTGCTGCTGATGGTGGCCCTAAGGTTTGCAGAGGAGCAATACTGGAAGAAACAAAGGATGGGTGACCTGTCCCAGTCTGATGTTCCCAGCAACTTCCTCTCCTCCAGTGTGGAAGCTGAGACCCAGGGTATTCTGTGAAGGAGCATTCTTTACAGGAGCAATGAAGTAGAACTGCCTTAATGTTCAACACGAAGGGAATAGTTAACTAAAGAACTGTGCATCCCTAAAATGGGTAAAATATTGTTCAGTCATTACAACCACTTTTAAAAGTGGACAAACTGTCATCATGTGATGTGAAAAAGCAGCATTTACAGAATGTAAAGTGTGTCTCCATTGTGTGTACACACACACCTTTTTCATGTTTCCATGGTTTTCAAAAATTTAGGGAATGTACATTACCGTAATTATCAGAAAATAATTTTATTTTTGAAAGAAAGTAATTCGGCAGGGTGAGATTCCAAAGAATTATGGATCCTGAGGTTATCTGGCACAGAGGAAGAAACAGCTTCAGGCTTCAGCCCTGGGCATGTCTCTGATTTTAAAACTCTGATTTTTTTTTTCCGAAGAAACGGATGGCCCTGCTCTTCCCTGGTCACCTCAAGTCAGTGACTGCCTCTCCTGACCACTGTTGTGCGGGAAAAGGGCAGCCCCTTACCCAGAAAATAAGAGGACAAGGGCCGTCGCTCAGGTGCGCAACCTGCCTGGGTCCTGCCCCAGACCTGGGAGGAGGACCTGTGGGCTCCCCAAACCGGTGGCAGCTCCTCCTGGAGGGGCCTGCTCCACTGGGAACAAATTAAAGCTACCCTGCCTGCCCTCATCTCAAAGTTGATGTTTCTGGTCCCCACCCACTTGCAGCACCGCTTTCACCACTTCCTACTGGCATTTTAGCACTTTTACTGTTGTTATTGGTTTTTCTGTTTGTTTGTTTGTGAAGAGGCCTCATAGTCTAGGGTAAATACCAGAGGTTCATTGTCTCATGCTAGGGAAATCGAGGATGCGGACACACAAGAAGTGAGTTTAAGAGTGGAGGTTTAATAGGTGAAAGAAAGAGAAAAGAGAATAGCTCTGTCTCCTGCAGAGAGAGACGGGTGCCCAAGTGGGTCTTCGGGTTTCCTGGTGAAACGCACAGGGTTTTATAGACAAGCTTGAGGAGGCAGTGTCTGATTAACATACGGCCTGAGAGATTGCTCGGACCAGGTGTGCTGTTTGTATAGAGTGTGAAGAAGCTGGCCATCCCCCGCTAATATTTTATTATGCAGATGGGGTCTCTACCAGTCCGGACCATGTTGCCTGCCTTTTTACTGCCCAAGTGGCGACAAAGAAAAGAGAAGAGGGATCCTCCATGTTGAACATGCCTGGCCCCCAGGTAGCCTTTTTTCTATCAGCACAGCTAACAGCATCTAACTATGCAAGCTTCCAGCTTGCTTGTTTAGGTCTGCAGCTCAGTTTTACAAGCTGTTCTTTGCTGGAAAAGAAATTATTTGGAGGCTGCTTTTTGTTAAAAGGGAAGCCTTACGGAGGACTCTCTTACACTCACTAACTGCCTAAATAATTTCTTTATAGCTCCTGTATCATTTGTTTGTTTTTCAAATAACTTAATTCTAATGTATCCATCTGAACTATCTATGACATTAAAATGCTCTGCTTTTGAACCCTTATCTCAGACAAAAATCCAAAAGTTACGGGGAAGCTCTCTTGGATCTTTGCTAAGCAGAAACTGGATGCTGGGAAAGCCAGCCACGACCTGAATTTAGGGATCCATTCGCACCCTGCTTCGCGCCCCTTTCTCAAAAAACAAAACAAACAAAAACAAAACAACAACAACAAAACCTTCTTTTGCTTCTAGGTGCCTCAGGGAGCAGAACGAAGAGGGAAGAGACTGGGGACGCTAGAACGCTAGAACATGTCTGTGTACAGAACGGCGCCACCTTTGCTCCTGCCGCCCCGGCAGGAGGCCCGACGGGAGCGGAGAAGACTTGGAAGAAACCCTTTGGGAGTAAACAATACCCAGTACCGTAGGATTTTAACTCTGTCTTACTTATGCACTCGCCCAGTTAGGAATTTTCTTTCTTTTTTTTCTTTTTTTTTTTTTTTTTTTTTTTTTTTTTGAGACAGAGTCTCTTGTCGCCCAGGCTGGAGTGCAGTGGCCCAGTCTCGGCTCACTGCAACCTCCGCCTCCCGGGTTCAAGCAATTCTCCTGCCTCAACTTCCTGAGTAGCTGGGATTACAGGCACCAGCCACCACGCCGGCTACTTTGTGTACTTCAGTAGAGACGGGGTTTCGCCATGTTGGCCAGGCTGGTCTCAAACTCCTGACTTCAGGTGATCCGCCTGCCTCAGCCTCCCAAAGTGCTGGGATTACAGGCGTGAGCCACTGCACCCGGCCAGGAATTTTCTTTAGGAAAGTTGTAGTTTCTATTTTCTGCCTAGTTGTCAAGACAATTTAAAATTACATTGAATTAGATAGAAAAAAAAAATATTTAAACCTATGGTCATTTTAAACTTGCAGAACATTTCATGGGTTTTAATTGTACCTCAATTCCACATCATCGCAGCTGGTGTTAAGAGAAAATGACAGCATTTAGGGATAATTTGTTTTCCCAACACACACGAGTGCTTGCTTATTCACACATTTTCGCCTGGACACCAAGCACTGCCTGGAGCCCCAAAAAGGTTCGCATACGTATTTTTACAAAATTCTAGAGTAGAAGGTAGTATCACTGAAGCACAAAGAGTCTGCTTAATTTGGACATCTAACCTCAGGAAGAACTGACAGCTGCCTCTCCTTGAAATTCCCCGAGGTGTCTGTAGAGGGCAGCATGGGACAGAGGAAGGAGCACAGGATTTGGATTCCTGGGGCGGGGGTTTAAATAGGACAGTGCTACTTCCTTTATGATGTAGGTAAGCATCATCCCTCTTGCCTACATAAAAGTGTTAAAAAATACAGTTAAGAGATAATGCCTTAAAGAAAATGTGGGCTAAACATAAAAACTAATACAAATGATTACTTATGGAACAGAAGGGAGGAAGAAGGGGGACAAAGATGTAAGCTAGACTTTGTTGAATACATCTTGTTTGATAGTTTTGACTTTGGATTAATGTAAATGTTATATACATAATTAAAAACAAAATTATTAAATAAAAATCTACAAACAGTAAAAACAAACCAAAATAAGTCCAAATGCATATCAGGGTTGGTGGCATAACTATATACAGAAAAGAATTACTGCAAGTAATTCTAAAGCACATTTTTACTCCACATTTCTATTCCAAGGACAAATGAGTCTCAAAGAAAATGTAAATAGCATTGAATGATCTTACTGATAATAATAATGTTCGCATTATCACTTGGAAGAAAACATAG
Source organism: Homo sapiens (assembly GCF_000001405.40). Lineage (NCBI taxonomy): Eukaryota > Metazoa > Chordata > Mammalia > Primates > Hominidae > Homo > Homo sapiens. The sequence continues at coordinate 152,532,970 of NC_000001.11, read as the reverse complement.
CCATATTGTAGGATAAAACAAAGAGAAAACAAAATTTTCAGCATAAGAAAAAAAAATGCAAGTATAGAACCAAAGAGGTTAAGTGCTTATTCTGAAATGTTAAATTTGAATTGGTTATTAATTCATTCTTTTAAAATGTGTTTTCTAACTGCTCACAAAAAAAATCTCGCAACAATAAAAACGCAGTCACATTTTGTCTCCATAGTGTCTAGAGTAAGGTCTCTACATACCATTTACCACTAAAAAAAAAAAATAAAAAAAAAAGGCAAGAAACCACTGGAGAAATACCTGGGTCTAGATCTGAGGCAGGTAATATACAGAATTAGCCCAGGATATCTTATTGTACCAGAAAGCAAGCAAACTATGGTAGACTCTGGGGGTTGTGTCAAAAAAAAAAAAACACAGGAGGCAATTTTAAAGAACTCCCAGTGTCTAAAAAATGAGAGAAATAATCATTGCAATTGATCAAGATGCATTAAAGAAAAAGAGAAACCCATGAATCTATAATGATACTATTTTAAAAAAATAAAAAGAGTTATCTTTGGAAATTGTTGGGCCACCAACTTATTATTCTGAAAACTGGCAAGAGGAGGAGTTTTGCATTTACTCTATATTTCCTATAAAACTGTAATTTGGATTACCAGATAATTGATGAGGAAAGTTATTTTTTATTAAAAAATCCAGTTAATAAATGAAGACGAGGGAGAGAAAGTTACTGTTTATTAACCCATAATGAAAAAAAAGTGGGTCTAGAAACAATAACCAAGAGGTGCTTATATCATTGGGTGAAAGGATTGTGGAGAACCTTAAAATGGATAAATGGATGGTGCTGACACCTAAATCTGCAGTTGAATCTTAACATCACTAAACTTAGAAGTCCTAGACAGTATGTGCCTCCTCTATGGTATAATAAGAAGTGCACATCACATCCGATTTATGCTTATCACAAAAAAAATTGAACTTGAATTTAGTTTAAGCTTCTAAATCTAATTGCCAATTTATAAGAAATACTGGGGAATATAGAAACATAACAAGAAAGTCAAGTGACACAAGAAAGAAGCAATCAGCCAAACTCAAAATGTGAGAAATTTTTCAGGATGCACAACCTATTTATTTAAAAAGTAAATGATGTGAAAGAGTACAGGGGTTGCTACAGATTAGAAGAAACTTAAGAGACAAACCAACTAAATGTGTGGATTTCGTTTGCATCCTAACTCAAAGAAATCAACTTGAAAGCTGTTGGGAGTAAAGCTGAGTGTTGGGAGAGAAGCTGAGGCAGGGCTAGCATGTCTGCCAGACTTGCTGGCTCCTTGTTTCTAGCACTGCCGTTATCTCAAGCAGCCATATGTTTCTTATTCACTTGATACACTGTTTCATTTCAACCCCCATCCTCACCACCTGTTTTTTTGTTTGAACACCAATAAATTGTATGGGCTCCCAGAGCTCAGGGCCTTCGCAGCCTCTACACTTGCAATGGCCCCCTGGTCCCACTTTCCCTCTCAAACTGTCTTTTTCTAATTCCTTTGACTCCGCCGGACTTCATCACCCCCACGACCTGGTGTTGGGTCTGATCGCCCCAACAAAAGCTGCATTTTTGAGATAATTGTGGAAATGTAAACAAGAACTATGTGTTATGTGATATTAAAGAAGTACTGTTAGGTCGGTTAGAAATGGTAATGCACATTTAAATACACAGATGAGTAACACTATAAAGCAACCACACAACAAGCCAGCGTAATAACCAACTAACAAGACAATGACAGGATCAAATCTACACATATCAATACTAACCTTGAATATAAATTTGCTAAATGCTCCACTTAAAAGGCACAGAATAGCAAGCTGAATAAAAAAGCAAGACTCAATGGAATGCTGTCTTTAGAGACTCGTCTCACATGTAATGACATCCCTAGGCTCAAAATAAAGGGATGGAGGAAATTTACGAAGCAAATGGAAATCATAACAAGCAGAAGTTGCAATCCTAATTTCAGACAAAAGAGACTGTAAACCAACAAAGATGAAAAAAGACAAGGGCATTGCATAACGGTAAAGGGTTCAATTCAACAAGAAGACCTAACTGTCCTAAATATATATGCACCCAACACAGGAGCACCCAGATTCATAAAGCAAGCTCTTAGAGACCTACAAAGAGACTTAGACTCCCACAAAATAATAGTGGGAGACTTCAACACTCCACTGACATTATTAGATGGATAACCGAGGAAGAAAATTAATGAAGATATTCAGGATCTGAACTCAAAATTGCACCAAATAGATATAATAGACCTCTACAGAACTCTCCACCACAAAACAACAGAATATACATTTTTTTCATTGCCACATGGTACATACTCTAAAGCTGATCATATAATTGAAATTATACCAAACACACTCTCAGACCACAGCGCATTAAAAATAGAAGACTAAAAAAACTCTCAAAACCATGCAATTACATGGAAATTAAACAACGTGCTCCTGAATGACTTTTGAGTAAATAATGAAATTAAGGCAGAAATCAAGAAGATCTTTGAAATTAATGAAAACAAAGTTACAACATACCAGAACCCCTGGAACATAATGAAGGCAGTGTTAACAGGGAAATTAAGAGCACTAAATGCCCACATCAAAAAGTTAAAAAGATCTCAAATGAACAACCTAACGTCACAACTGAAAGAATTAGAGAAGCAGGAGCAAACCAACCCAAAGCTAGCAGAAGACAAGACATTACCAAAATCAGAGCTGAACTGAAGGAAATCAAGACATGAAAAGCCATTCAAAAGATCAACAAATCCAGGAGGTGGTTTTTTGAAAAAGTTAATAAGATAAATAGGCCACTAACTAGATTAATAAAGAAGAAAAGAGAGGGAGCCAAGTAAACACAATTAGAAATGACAAAGGGGATGTTACCACTGACCCCAAAGAAATAAAAATAACCACTGGAAACTACTATGAACACCTCTGTGCACATGAACTAGAAAGCCTAGATGAGATGGGTAAACTCCTGGACACACACACTCTCAAGACTGAATTGAAGAAAGAAATTGATGCCCTAAGCAGACCAATATTGAGCTCAAAAATTGAACCAGTAACAAATAGCATGCCAATCAAAAAAGCCCAGGACCAGATAGATTCACAGCTGAATTCTACCAGATGTAAAAATAAGAACTAGTGCTACTTTTACTAAAACTATTCGCAAAAATTCAAGGAGGAGGGATTCCTCCCAACTCATTCTATGAGGCTAGCATCATCCTGATGCCAAAACCTGCCAGAGACACAACAAAAAAAGAAAACTGCAGGCCAAAATCCTTGATGAAAATTGATGCAAAAATCAACAAAACATTTGCAAACTGAATCCAGCAGCACATCAAAAAGCTAATCCACCATGATCAAGCAGGCTTCATCCCTAGGATGCAAGGTTGGTTCAACATACACAAAACAATAAATGTGATTCATCACATAAACAGAACTAAAGGCAAAAAACACATGATTATCTCAATAAATGTAGCAAAGGCTTTTGATAAAGTGCAACATTCCTTCATGTTAAAAACTCTCAATAAACTAGATATGGAAGGAACATATGTCAAAATAACAAGACCCATCTATGACAAACTCATAGCCAACATCATACTGAATTGGGAAAAGATGGAAGCACTCCCCTTAAAAGTGGCACAAGTCAAGGATGCCCTCTCTCACCATCCCTATTCAACACAGTATGTGAAGTCCTGGCCAGAGCAATCAGGGAAGATAAAGAAATAAGGGGCATCAAAATAGGAAGAGAGGAAGTCAAACTATCCCTGTTTACAGATTACGTGATTCCATATCTGGAAAATCCCATGGTCTTGGCTCAAAAGCTCCTTCAGCTGATAAACAATGTCAGCAAAGTTTCAGGATACAAAATCAATGTACAAAAATCACTAGCACTACTATACACCAACAACAGTCAAGCCAAGAGCCAAATCAGGAACACAATCCCATTCACAACTACCACACAAAGAGTAAAATATCTAGGAATACAGCTAACCACGGAGGTGAAAGAGCTCTACAAGAAGAGTTACAAAACACTTCTCAGAGAAATCAGAGGTTACACAAACAAATTAAAAAAAAATTCCATGCTCATGGATAGAAAGAATCAATGTCATTAGAATGTCCATACTTCCCAAAGAAATTTACAGATTCAATGCTATTCCTATCAAACTACCAATGGCATTTTTCACAGAACCAGAAAGAACTATTTTAAAATTCATATGGAGCCCAAATAGCCAAAGCAAGCCTAAGCAAAAAGAACAAAGCTGGAGGCATCATGTTACCTGACTTCAAACTACACTACAGGGCTACAGTAACCAAAACAGCACAGTACTGGTACAAAAACAGACACATAGACCAATGAAACAGAATAGGGAGCCAAGAAATAAGGCCACAAACCTATGATCATCTGATCTTTGACAAAGCTGACAAAAACAAGCAATGGGGAAAGGACTCTCTATTCAGTAAACGGTTACCCATATGCAAAAGATTAAAATGGGACCCCTTCCTCTCACCATATACAAAACTCAATTCAAGATGGATTAAAGATTTAAATGTAAAACCCTAAACTATAAAAACCCCAGAAGACAACCTAGGCAATACCATTCAGGACGTAGAAACAGGCAAAGATTTCATGATGCCAAAAGCAATTTCAACAAAAGCAAAAATTGATAAATGGGATCTGATTAAACTAAAGAGCTTCTGCATAGCAAAAGAAACTATCAACAGAGTAAACAGATAACCTACAGAATGGGAGAGAATATTTGCAAACTGTCCACCTGACAAAGGTCTAAAATCCAGCATCTATAAGGAACTTAAATAAATTTACAAGAAAAAAGCAAACACCCCATTAAAAAGTGGGCAAAGGACATGAACAGACACTTTTCAAAAGAAGACATACATGTGGCCAACAAGCATATGAAAGAAAGTTCAGTATCACTGATCATTGGAGAAATGCAAAACCGCAATGAGATACCATCTTACACCAGACAGAATGGCTATCATTAAAAAGTCAAAACCATAACAGATGCTGGTAAGGCTGCAGAGAAAAGGGAATACTTATATACCCTTGGTGGGCATGTAAATTAGTTCAACCATTGTGGAAAATAATGTGATGATTACTCAAAGACCTAAAATCGGAACTGCCATTTGCCATTACTGGGTAAGTACCCAGAAGAATATATGTAATTCTATGATAAAGACACATGCACACATATTCATTGCAGCACTATTCACAATAGCAAAGACATGGAATCAACCTAAATGCCCATCAATGATAGACTGGATAAAGAAAATGTGGTACATGTACACCATGGAATACTATGCAGCCATAAAAAAGAATGAGATTATGTCTTTTACAGAACATGGATGGAGCTGGTGGCCATTATCCTCAGCAAACTAATGCAGGAACAGAAAACCAAATTCCACATGTTCTCACTTATAAGTGGGAGCTAAACGATGAGAACTCATGGACACAAAGAAGGGACCAACCAACATTGGGGCCTACTTGAGGGCCGAGGGTGGGAGGAAGGAAAGGAGCAGAAAAAGTAACTATTGGGTACTAGGCTTAGTACCTGGGTGAAAAATAATCTGCACAACAAACCCCCATGACATGAGTTTACTTATATAACAAACCGGCACATGTACCCCTGAACCTAAAAGTTTAACAAACAAAAAAAGAAATGGTAATGGCATTGAAGATATGCAAGAAAGAAAAATGTCTATGTCAATTACAGACATGTACTCCAGTATTAGTGGGTGGGGGAAAATGTTATATGTGGGCTTTGCTTTAAAATAGTCCAGAAAAAAAGAATAGGGGGCCAGAGAACAAATGAAACAATATGGGAACAATGCTGATTTCTTTTTCATCTGGGTGCTGAGGAATTGAGGGATCATTATCCTACCCTCTCTTTTGGTGCAGATTTGAACATTTACGTAATAAAATATAGAAACAAAATAATTAATGCATTAAGTTAGCATGTGAAACTTGTTTGTAAAGTATAAAGTCCTATACATGTGAGGGACAATATTTTTATGAGGCAAATAGAGAAGAAATGGTGCTGAGGTGGTGCAGAGGGCAGGACTAGGGCCCAGAGTGGGAGCAAGGTGCAAGACAGTGTTGGTAAGCACTCCAAGAAGCAGGCCTTCTCCACCACAGTGGGAGGATAGCTTAATAGAAAATGCAGCAATTCCAATTCTACAGGTTCATCTAAGGTTTATCCTATGGATATGTGACACAACGTTATTTCCCCTCCTAAATTACAGACTGAGCCTTGTCACTATCTCATTAACCCATCTTATTTTTTTCATGGCAATTATCACTCTTTGTGATTATCTGATATTTGTGCTCTGATTATTTGTTTATTTTCAATCTCCATCTCCCCCTTCAGAAGTTAACACTGAAGACAGGAACTTCGTTTCCCATGCTGAATGGTGCAGGCAGAGTTAAGGTGCCTGACAAATATTTGCTGAATGAATAAATGCATTACAGCATATTTAATTATAGTAAAGAATTGGAGGCAAGACAATGCCCAACAATAAGGAGTTGCTTAAATAAATAGTGGACTATCCATAAAATAGAAAATGATTAAGGCATAAAAAGTTTGCTATGGATGAATGTGTATTGTCATGCAAAGATGCTATGATACATAATTGGGTGACAAGTTCAGATGAAAAAATAGCGTTCAAAACCTGAAGACAATTTTGTTAAAAGAAAAAAAAGTTTGCATAAAGATCTGGAGGAATGCACAATTAGGTGTAAAAATGATTATCTGTAGACAATAGAATTATAAGTTGTTTTATTTTTTTGTTTATGTATATTTGTATTTCTCTACAATTCAGTTTTATATGCCCTGGGTTTAAACAGGGCAGTGCTCCTTCCTCTATAATGGAGGTCATCATAGTCTCTTTCCTGAATATATAAAAATGTTATGCCCTGAACATTCTAGAATTATTCAATAATAAGAGAAAAGTATATTTTAAAATCAAAAACCTAATACAAAGATTTTTTAAGTAAAGTTTTCTAGAAGTGCAATAAATTTATTGAAAAGATTAAATTTTTCAAAATGAGATAAATGATTATGTGAGGCAGTGAGCTAACATCCTGTATCTAGCTGTGTTTAGCACTAATCAGGTTATTACAGAAGGACATTTTTCTGCATTTAATGAGTGATCTGACTACATAGTCTCTAATAACCTTCTCAAATTATAAATATGTCGTGAACTTTCGACTGTTTACCCTGAAAAGTTTTTTAGAATCTATTTTGAACTAAGCAGGAATACATCAATCATCTCTACTTTATTATTGACTATAATATTAGTTATGGAATGGAAATAATGTCAAAAATGAGCCCTGGCATTTTTTTGTATGTTTCTACACTGGGTGGAGTGCACAGTTAATATGGTACTTTACACTGAAATGCACCACACCTTGATGTAATTTTCTGATGAGTACAAAGTTCAAAGCAAGGATTTGTACTGTCAACAATCAATCATCAGTTGTGTTGAGCAACTTCCATATACAAACTGCAGTGCCAAGTAGACAGAGAAATAGTAAGATGTATGGGACATGACACTGTCCTCAAGGAGCATAGAGTCCAGCAGTTGTATGACAAAATTTGCCATATTTAGCAATGGGCTGAGAATCAACAACCTGCTCCTGGATTTTGCCTTTTTTTTAAGGTTCTCTCACATCAAATATCACTGATTCAGCAGTCTCCAGGGCATACTTGCCCCTAAGAATAGCAGAAATGTTTTCCCTTCGTTTTCCTTAGCACAGCTGTGATCATCTGGAACTTTCTAAGAACTAACACCAATTCTGACAGTATTGCTTATTAGAAAACTTTTAAATCTTTATACTATTACCATCTCATGTGTTAGATACAATGTAATAAATATATTTTTAATGTGTATCTAAACTTGCATGAAAGTTAAAAAAATTCCCAAGTTCCATAATTGAATAGAGAATTGAGAACCAAAACCAAAATAAAAGGCCCATAGGTTGATGTGGCAGCTGTCTGAAAGTAGAAAATGTTATTTTCTAAGGTTTTGGAATCTCAGGTCTTGAAGAGAAGGAGACAAGATTGGGAGCAATAAAGGAAACATCCTCACTGGAAAAGGTGGATTACAGAAGCAACACCACAAGACACAAAGAAGCTTGTCTGCCTTAGCTTGGGTTTATAAGGAGGGGAGAAAATAAGCCCTTAAAATGTATAACCAAGGGTCTGTGCCTCATATATATTTGCCACTCTTTCCAAAGGACACTACACATGGGATCTGAGAATACCTAAACTAGATAATTACATAAAAATTGGTTCCAGGCAGATGACAGATACCTGAGATACCTGGCAGAAATAAATTCAAAATCAATCTAGAGGGATTTGTCTTCAACATAATCCCCTTAGGATGCCCACACATAAAGTCTCACTGAAGATGAACTCTTGTGGCTTGTTTTCTTGTATGTTTTCTAATTTTGAATTGTGATTTCATCTTCAGGGAGAATCAATGAATACTATAAGCAGTAGAATTAGACCACCAAGAAATTTCAGATAAAAGAATTATCAGATAAATATTGTAAATTTGGGTGATTATGAAGTATCAGTGTAGGCTCGGCAATTGTAACAAATGTACCACTCTGGTGGGGGATATTGGTGATCAAGGAGTCTATGCATATCTTGGGGCAGAAGGTGTATGGGAGATTTCCATGCCTTCCTCTCAATTTTGCTGTAAACCTAAAACTGCTCTAAAAAATTAAATCTTTAAAAGTATGTTTAAAATGATTAAACACAAATAAGAATTTAAGACATAAGAAAATATATCGACTCTATAAAAAAAGAACCAAATAGAACCATAAGAAATTAAAAGTATATTCATTGTCATTTGAAAATCAATAAATAAATGGTATAGGTTAAAATTAGATGTGCCTGAGAATAAAAGCCAAAAAAAGATAGATTAAGAAGTTAGAAGTTTCTCACATAAAATTAATTTGTTTCTCACATAAAAATCCCAGATCTTGACTGTTCAGCATTGGCATTAAGGCGCCATAGCCATCTGGAACTGATTATTCTTCTACATTTCTATTTCAACTCCTAGTGGGTGACACTTGTTATTTTGGCTCAATACGCAGTTCCAGCCATCAGTATACATTCTAAGCAGAGGAAGGAATGAAGAAGGAAAGGAAAAAAAGGATGTGGGTTTATCTTTTGAAAACGTGTCTTGAAGATACTCCCATTGACATCCTATTGCCCAGAACGAGTCATATGGCGATGCTTAGCTGCAAGGGATCCTGGAATGTTTATTCTTGGAAGTCATAGACCCAATTAAAACTTAGAAGTTTTATTAATGTGAAAGGAAGGTTACATAGATATTGAGGTAAATTAACACTTAAGTGGCAAACAATAATATATTTAAAATAGTTGAAAAGAGAAATTATGAACTGAGAGATATGTTGAAATGACTTAGAATGCAGTGATTTCCATATTACAGAATGCAAAAGTCCTAAATGCATCTAATGAGATTTCCAGAAGGAATATAAGAAATAATGAATAAGTAGCAATATTTGAAGAGGTATTGGCTCTAAATTTTTAGAAATGAATGAAAGACATGAATTCTCACAAACACAAATCTGAAGGGAAAATTGTAAAAAGTATCGGAATATGAAACAGATTACCTCCCCAGAAAAAAAAAGGCTGATAGCACCTTTCTCAACCATTAGTGTCAGAAAATAGTGGAATAATATCTTCAAAGTGATTTGAGACAATATTTGCCAACCTGGAATTCTATATCTAGCTAAAATATTATTTAAGCGTAAGGGCGCAATTAAGGTATTTTCAGATGAAGATTAATCTTGCTACTAATAGTGGCTAAAAGAACTACCAAGGATTTACTCCAGGAAGAAGAAAATTGAATCCATAAGGAGAGAATAATCTAAAGTAGGCAATGGTAAGGGGGCAGAGAAAAATATGAAAATGTGGATAAAAATAAACAAGCATTGACAATATAAAATAGTAGAAGTAGTTTCAGGGTGTTAAGATGAAACTACAATATTAGACAAAAATAAAATGAAAGGCAAGAAGTATATGTTTATAGTTAAAGTGCTCTAACATGTTATACTGCTCCAGAGCATGGGAAATATAAGCAGCTGTCCATCATATGTGGTCTGACCTCATCAGAGATAGCTTGTTGCCACCATATGTAGGCATAGATTAAGATTTCCAACTTGAGCCTCGTCTGGTACCACATGGCAAATGCCTTGCCTGGATCCTTTACTTCCAAGTTCTGTGCCCATTTTCTTTTAGAGGATTAAAAGATGATGGTAGTAGATATAGGGGGAAAGGGAGCAAAGAAAAAGAAATACACTTTGGCAAATGATTAGATGCAAAATCAAAAGAAAGGGAAGAGTCGAAGATTTCACTGCAGTTTTTAGTGTAATTGGTGACAGTATCCCCATCCTCTAAAGTAGAGAAATCTAAAGAAAAATATAACAACACTAGTTTGAGAGGTAGTGATGTTTCATGTGAGATGCGTCTGAATTAGTGAAATAAAACCATTTTATGAGAATCAGAGGTTTTTAACCTTAATTTTCAGGAAGTATCATTATTAAAGATAGAAATTTTAGAGACAGACACATAAAGCAATATCTCAGATACATATTTCTATCTGAACTCCTAATGAAGAGCCTAGCACATATTAGGTTCTCAATAAAAGTGTGAGGAATTAGTAAATGAATGAATGAATGAGATTTTTCTGTAGAAAGAAAAAGTCAGACAGCTAAGGGCTAAACCTTAGTTATTATGCACAGATTTAGAATTGGAACTAGCAGAAATACTAGCAGAGAAGAGACGGGGGAGAATCCCAGTGAATTATAAAACACTGACAGCAGTGCAGTGTCCAGAATAGAGGGGCAGGAGCTGACCAAGAGTGGGCAATGCTTTCCAGAGGGCTGGGACCCTGGGAAGTAAAGAAAGACTGTTGAGCACAGAACTTAGGAGATGACATGGTGACTGGGATGAAATGATCAAGCAGAATGGCTAGTGGGACAAGCATTATTCAATGAGGTTAAGGAAGATTCAAGTAAAATATAAAACTATGAAGAGCACTTTTTGAAATTTGGGGAAGACACTAAGAAAAGAAGATAGGTGAGCATGGTGGCTAGAAATGATGCTAATGCCCTCATTTTTTTAAGCTAAGGTAACTTCAGTATAATTAAAAACACAAGAGAGAGACCTATCAAGCCACAAAAATGCCATGGTCCACGTCGCCTCCAAGATAAGGTTCCAGGAGTTTTCAAGAGTCATACAAGACCCTGCTTTATTTATTCCCCGACTAGCTATATAATCTCACCTACTCTGGCTTCCATGATCTTCAGCCGTGCAATATTGCTTTCTATAAAATACATGATCACCTTTCCAACCTTTGCACTTGCTGTTGTCTACTTTAAATTAAATATCTTTTCTACGTTCTCAGCCAGAGCAATTCCTACACATCATTCTGGACTAACTTCAAACAATACCTTTTGCCAGTCCCTCAGCCGAATGAGCCATCACCTCTCTGTATTGCTGACTTAAAGCGTTTATCAAATTACACAGTATTATGATATTTGACTCTTTCCCACTAAACTATTGGAGAAGAGTTGTTTGTATCACAAAGTGCCTAAAATATAGTAAGTACACAATAAATGTTTATGAATGGAAGATTGCAGTAATTAATGAACAGAAAATTATTTTGGGTAGTGGGAAATGGTTAATTTCTGACTTTCAAGTACATATAATCCTATTTCATACCATGGAAAAATGGCCTTTGAACTTAATTGCAAATTAAGTTTCCAAACATGCAGAGCTGATATAGCTACATTATTGGCAATGGAACTAATAAATCCTTAAGGATGAGATATATCATTAAATAAGATGGCTTAATACCCCTCACTCTTGCCCTGATGCAATGTTTATAAGAGAAGAAGAGATGCTTGCTTTTCTAGGGTTGACTATTACTCAACCTGAGCCAAGATAATATGTTTCAGATTTATCATGGCCAAATCATTCTGACCTGCTGCAGTGTCATCCATGGAAGAGAGGATTTTTTTTTTTTTACTCAATGTGAATGCCAGTTTTCCTGTTCAACCCGTTCTACCTAGTTAGGATGAAACTGCTATCCCTTCAGATGGAATTTCCTACTATAACTGTTCAATGGTTTAAAGATGCCAAAGATAGATCGCGCAGTGGGAAGGAAGACCCTGACTGGTTGACATTCTTTAGCTTCTGCATTCTTGCATCGTGCTGGTTCCCTTCTGCCCAGATTCCTAGAACATAAGACTTTAAAGTAACCTTATATGAATTGTTGAGGCCAAATATCTGAGTAATTTCTCTGACTTCATCATCTTTGCCCCCTTCGATCGGAATTCAACTTCCTCCTTTCTGCTTCGTTTCTCCCTCAACTCAAGTCTTGGGCACTCTGTCTTGCTGTTTTATTTATTGACTTACTCAACACATATTCACTGAGTGCCTTTACTTGCCTAGGTCTCTGTTCTTTGCACTGAGGTTGCTGCAATGAACAAGACAGACCAAGTCTATTTTCTCATAACCTTCACTGCAGAAATAGGACTGCATTCATTCCCAAAGATTTGACTCCAAGCTGCATAAGGCTTATTACCATTTATCTTAATTGTGTTTATGTCAATGTTCAAGGATTCTGAGTCTGAAGTTCCAGCCCCACATCACTGTCACATGGTCATGTCCTGCCAGCACGTCAAACCCAACACATCTTGGACCAAACTTACCTCTCCTCCTCACACTTGTTCTTTCTCCTGACTTCTCTATTTTGTCAATGCTGTCATCATTTCCCAGGCACAAGGCACAAAACCTCAGAGACACCCCAGTTGCTTCCTCTTTCTCAACCCCAATACATCACCTGATTCTATCCCTCTTCCTTCTGGACAAATGCTTTTCACAACAGTCATTTCCTTTTTGTAATGACTGCCATGTGCCAGGTTCAGATCTTCATTTCATGCCTGGGCCATTGCACCTGCTCACAGAGGTAATCTCTCCATTAACTTCCTCTTCTGGAGCACCTTAATCATTGCTGCCTAATTAATCTTAGGGTCATGTCAGAGAGTACTCTAGATGTTATATAAACCAACTTTTATCTCTCTAATGTACTTCTTTCAAAGCCATTTTCCTACCACCATACTCCACAAATATGAGATAGTTGAAACTCCTTGATTTGGCACTCCAAACCATCCATGATCTGGCCTCCTATCTCCTTCTCTGAAGATGTGTCCTCAGGGTCTTTCAATATCAACACCACTCCCTTGAGACCCCTTTCTCCTCCCCTAGTCCAAGCTTGAGACTACTCCCCTCTTTCCCAGAAATGCAGACTGTAGCACAATGTTCAGAACATTGACTTCAGAGGAAAATGTCTCCAGTACAAAACCTTGTTCTTCCTATTACAAGCTGGGAAATCCTAGGATGGCTACCTAACAGCTCTATCTTTCAGTTTTCTTAACAAAATGTGGGGAAAACTTGTCTTGTAGGAGAGTTGTGAGGATCCAATGAAATAATGCCAACCTCATGGCACACGATCAATCACACTAGCAAATCTGTCTGCCAAGAAACTGGAATTCCAAGTTACTTTCCTAGTAGTGAAACTGTCTGGTGGAGGCAACATAACTGAAAACACACCTCAAACACCTGCAGCCCTAGGCTGCCATGGATGCAGGAACCCTGTAACCATGGGCTTCCCTGCTCTGTGTCATAACTCCTATTTCTCCTGCTCAAATAACATGTCTTCAGAGAGGCCTGGCCTAGCTCCATCTAAAATCCCCATACACCTCTAGTTAATGTTTATACCTTTATTTTCTTTGTTTTCATCACAACACTTTTCACGGTGTGAAATAATCTGACTTCCTTGCTCACTTTCTTGTCTGTCTTCACTCCAGAAATTGAGGTCCATGCCAGCAGGGCCTTGGTCTTATTTCTGGTTCTGTCCCAGAACCATAAACAGTGTCTGATGGAGTTGAACAGATACATAAATGAATGAATCTCTGCCCGTCTGATGTGTTTCCATCCTTCACACCCAGCCCAGATCCTTCCTCCCATGAAGGCTTATAAATAATCCAGTCCACAGTAACTTGCCCTCATTCAAAGTCGTATCACAATGCCTCATCTAAACTCAGTTGAATCCCTAGAGCAGTTGCCTATGCCATGTTCTGCTTGTGACATTTTTTGCATTTCAGATCTGAGTTATCATTTATATCTTGTATTTTTATTTACCATAGTTTCTGAATCAGACTATAAACTCCTTGAGGTCCAGAAATGCTTTGTATATCTCTGTGGAATTCTTTAGCACAATGCCTTACACATTATGCACTAATAAACAATCATTTATTTATAGACCTTTAATATGTACCTGGCATGATACTAGGGATGCAATAGTGAATACAGCACTGTCTCTAAGTAATCAACTGGGTGCCATTATTCAATTATTTCAGTGAATATTCAGAAGTGGCTGTTGGCCTTCTTAGAGGGCATTAGAAGGCCTGGTCCAGACAGAGACCACACGTATCAGCTGGATAACCTCAGGTGGGTTGTTTAAACTGTAGGAGTCCCTCCCTGATCTGTTAAACAGAGATGGTAATACTTATGTTACAGAATTATGAAAGAGATAATATATGTGGAAACGCCTCATAAACACTAAATGCTACATAAGTATCAGTTGTTATTATTACCAGTATAATAATATAATTTAAGCTGAAATTGGAGCCATCATGAATAAAATATATTTAACAATAATGTCCATTTATTCCAGAGATAATACGAAACCTGATTCTGCCTGTCACGTGTACCAGGTGACAACCTCTGAGTAGGACTTCACTTTGCCAAATTTCCCACAGGCTCAGCATCCACCACCATCACCTCACAGAGAGTGCCTGGGCCACACATACAGCTTTACCTACTGCTGGAAATCAGAAAAGCCTGAAGGACCATGAGCAGAGAGCTCTAGACCTTCCAAAGTCGCTTGCTAGATTTCTAAAATGAAACTATTCTTAAAATACTCAAATGTCTCTCATCAAAGTCCATGTGTGCTGACCTGCTGGGTTTCAGCAGCATGTGGGCCTGGAGGTACCACCACCATCAGGGCCAGCCATTTGACATGAGACCCAAATGCCTGGTGTACAGGGCATGTGCTCCTATTTGGACTCTAATATCTCTCCGTGAGTCACCACCTCTCTTTCCCAGAGCTCAGGCCTCAGCTTCCTGCTCCAGGTTGAGCCCTCACCCTCAGATTAGCTGCGTAGTGTGTCTGTTCTGAGTCAGGCAGTTCTTCCTTCCCACCCACTGCCCACCAAGTCCCAGGGCTTGCTGTTTCAGCACACATTACTAGTGTGGGGAGGCAGGTCCACGGGTGATATCATCTGTTTGTAAACAGCTTCCACAAATCACCTCCCACTGGAAATCACAGAATCTCAGACATGGAAGGAAGGGCCACTCCCAGGCAGAGCAGGACTGCCCTCCAGAGCCTCCCTGGCAAGGGGTCATTTGGCCGCAAGGTCAAACATCCTGGATGAATCAGTAGAGCATTTCCGACCTCACCTTTGAGCAGACACCCTCAGCCGCCAGCTGCTGGGTGGATGCCATGACAGAGCTCCCCACTCATTGGGTCACCAAGGGAGCAGCAGCCAAGAAGCCGAGCTGCAATTTTCTGAGAGCCTGGGTGTGTCCAGAGACCCGAGTGTCTCTTCCCTGTGTGGTGGTGATTTCTAAGACAGTAGAGCATGACTCTTTGAGTGTGAGGGCATGACTTTGGAGTCACACAGGTTCCAGTTTCAATCTCATCTCCCTCACTCAAGGGGACATTCACTAGCTCTGTGATTTCAGCCAAACCACTGGAACTGTCTAAACCCATGTGCTCACGTATAAAAAGTGGGGAAGTGAATGTCTATATTTTTAGATTACTGTGAGGATTAAGTGAGATAATATAGGTAAAGTGCCTTGACTTGTGCCTGAAATATAGTGCCAAATAAATGGTAACTAGTGTTACTATTATTATTACCATGATTATCTCTTCCTTCTGAACCCAGCAGACACCATGCAGAGGATATTGTTCTCCTGTTTCCTCGTGCCTGAAATGAGTGGATAAAATCTGTGCCCACAGGGATAGGTTTCTGACCTATGCAAGATGACCCATCCATTGCCACTGCCACAGCCACCATCTCTAAAGAATGAGATCCCCATGTTTCCGAGCACACATGCTGCACCACAGAGACTCCCAGAAACCCATGGCTGTTGGTCCTGCTTCAGCTGCACAAATGAGACCTGGAGAGGGCAGCTCCCAGTTTCCTGGAAGGCTCATCTTAGGAAAAATTTCCTCCCCAGCAAGCAAAGCAGTAGGTCAATGAACTTCCATGCCAAAAATAAAAAATAAAATAAGACATAAAACTAAAAAAAAAAAAAAAGAAGACAGCTGGCTTGATTCCAAAGCCCCAAAGAGTTGCCAAAACAAACTTTTACCACACAGCTGCCTGGACCTGGTGGTCGGGAGGAGCACCTCAGTGGTAAGGCTTGGGAAGCCCAGGTGAGAACTCAGCAGAGCAATGAAGCCCTTGAATCAGATGTCCTGTCTTCTTTATCATGCGCCAGCTGGGTGACTTTGAACAAATTACTTAACCTCAGTTTCTCTTCTGTAAAATGGGTATAATTGCACTCTCCTACGCAAGTCATTATGAGAATCAGATTGTGCCACATAAAGTCCTGAGAATATTCAAGGACTTTGTCGCATAAAATCCTTAAAATACTCGAAACAGTCGATATGTGATCGCTGCTATCATAATTAACTATCAGAAAGCCACCTTCTTGTTCAGGCATGAATTATAGTATTCTGCCTTTCACAAACATTTCAAGCCTTTCTACCTGGGTGGAGAAACGAATGAAGAACAAATAAAAGGTGTTCTCAGGAGGTAGAAGCTTTATTATGACATCTTCAAAAGACAATCAAATCAATAGACATTTGCTGAGCACCTGCTGTGTGCAAGCCCGTGTAGACAGTAGGGTCCAGTGTCCCACGCATGGCTCTCGAATCCCCGGGGAGAAAAATCACATCGGGGTCAGGGAGTTTTGCGTGGCTGAGAACAAAGTGGGTTTCTGAACATCAAAGTGCAATTCGCTTTACGGGGCAAACTCCGAGGCCCAGCCCCGCGTGGGAGCCGCAGCGGGGCGGGCCCGCTCTGGGCTGGGCGGGTTTCTCTAGCGCAGCGCTGGGGGTTGCGGGCCTCTCAGCAGCCGGAGCAGCATCCTGAGCTCCGGTTGTTGGAGCGCTGGGACCTCTGGCTGCCGCCCCCGCAGCAGCAGCAACCACTACTCCGCTGTCGGCGGCGTCTCCTTGGGAAGCAGCAGCAACTGGTGGAGCTGGAGCCGCAGCAGCCTGAGTCGCCGCAGCAGCCCCTGCCGGAGCCGCAGCAGGAGGAGGAGGAGGCGGGCGCCGGGGTGGGCGCCGGGGCGGGACACGGAGCGGGGCCCTGGGACGACCCCTTGGAAAAGCCTTTGGCGGAAACGGCGCTCTGTTGAGAGGACATCGCGGAGCTCCTCACGACAAACCTGGAAGAAAGGCAGCCTTTCAAAGGCGAGCCGGCTTTTTCTTTCCACCAATGGAACTCTGTCTGGGCTTTTGAGATTCGGCTTAGTGTACAAGTCAGCCTGGCCTGGGACAAGGAGGGAAAAGCACCCAGAAAGAGCGGACGCAAAGAAGCAAATCCAAGCAGGTGTTTCCAGTGAGTTAAACATGCTCAGAGCAGGACACAATCCATGCAATGAATCAATGCATTTCCATTTTCTCTGACTAGAAGAAGACTGCTCAAGTTCTCCACAGTGGAAAATAAACAGCACACTGCGGCAACTTATCTGTATGATCCAGTCCAAAATCTCCACTTGGCTTTTTTCTTGTCCCTCATTTTACTTTCCTACCGACCTTCGACTGTATCTTCCTAGTTACTACACCCCCATCAGTTAGAAAACACCCAAGTCCAACAGGCGGTCCCACCTGCTGGGTCTAAATAATCCACAGGCCAGAAGCATGTCCTGATCATTCTTTCTTGCCTACGCCTCTCATGCCCCACAACCATGTGGGAAAGGAGAGTTGTGCCAATATAAATAACCCCATCCAGGGAGCTGAAAGACCTGGGTTCTAGTCACAGCTCTTCTGCGGACTTGCTGTGTACCCTTGCAAAAACCACCTCCTATGTTGCCTTTATGTCCTCATTAGTACCTTAAGAGGTTGGCTCACTAGAAGCGTAGGTGCCTTGCGGGACACCCCTTCCACATCTATCTGCTGCCTGTGTTCTGTTTGCTCCTCCCCTGTGCCCTCAACTCATCCCACCCTCTCCCCCAGACCCTGCTAGGAGACTTACCAGACCCTGGCTCCACTGAAAGACTCACTACGTTCTCCAACTGGAATGGGCCACCTGCTAGGCAGTGGATTGAGCAGCGTCCAGCCAGAGAACCTTTTTATAAGAAGTATTCAGGTTCAGGCTCTTGGGAGGGGCCCATTTCCCAACAGACGTGCTCAGCTGACACTCACATCCCAGAGACATTCATCACTCAGGTAGCATTGTAGGTGGTGCATGTGGGCATCTAAGTCACTTCACAGAGGTGCCAGGATTGCTATGGCATGTTTACTTTCCAAACAGGGCACTGTTTGTACCTGGGAGGCTGTGTGTATGCTAAGAGAGGGCATGGGGCTCAAATGCAGGGAGGTCTGGAACCCCTGCCCTTGTCTTCAATACACACACACACACACACACACACACACACACACACACACACAGACGGCTCCACTTGCCCACACATCCATTCCTATGTAGTCATCTACTTGGTAGGTGGTAGTTCACCTATTTTTATCTTGATTCTCATCTCTCTGGCTCTTGGTCCTTGGCTCCCCAGGGCAGACCACAAGCTATGCGATAAGCCTGCTGGGTTTCATCCATATGCTTCAAGATGCAGTGAGTGAAGATGATGACGGGGATGCACCTTTGGGAACCCCAGGGGTGATTTCTCTCTGTCACTGGAGACAGGAAGAAAAACCTAGGCAAAGTTAAGGAACCATAAGACCAGAAAAGTTGTGAATGTAGTCAGGTTGCCATATCCCCATAATACAGCATGGTATGACAAAGAGAAAAATGTGTGCAGGACAGTGGCCCAATTGCAAAAAGGCTAGTCAGCCTGTGGGACTCCTGCTTCTTATCCCACCCCCAACCACCAATCTGCCTTTGAAGATAAGTTCTCCCTAGGGCCACTGCCCAGTGCAAAAGAAAATGGGAAAGGAAGAAGGGAGGGAGGGAAAGAAGAAAAAAAAGAGAAAGAAAGAAAGAAAGTTCTTTCCAAAGGTCCAAAGTGTTCATGATAGATAGTGTTTTCAGAATAACTAATTTTTAAGAATTGGAGGATACTTTGGCAGTCAACTTCAGAACTGCTTCTTAATCAAATTGCCCACAACTGTGAATGTGAACTATAACAGAAGTCCAAGACTAAGAATTCAGGAATTAAGGATGAGAGACAGGTTTGGGGGCGAGTGAGCTGGGAGTGGCTCAAGGGACTAGGCGAGGAAAGATAAGTCACAAAAGATACCAGTTTCATTTAACATGGATTTAGAGCCTGATTAACAGGTTGCCAGTTCCTAGAGCACCTGTTGGTGAGTATAGGTGAGACATTCCAAAAAGTAAAGTCAATATTAGAACAGAGAAGGAAGTAATGAAATAACAAGACAGAGGCAGGATCTCCTCTGGGAAAATGGGCAAAGTTCTTTTAAAAAAAAAAAAAAAGAATGAAGAACGTTTGGTAGGAATCAGTATAAGGAGATAATCTGGGCAAGTGCCTACTCATTCTGTGGGCATCCTATGATCTCATAAACCAGCTTACTTTATTTATCGCTATTAACTCTTATCAAAGGAGGCATCAATTGTTTATCTTTTATATTAAAGGCTGATTTGGAATTAACTTTTCTAGTTATCTTTTCTAGGTACATTATGAGTGTCTCCTGAAGGAACCAGCCCATTCCTAAAGAAATGTTGCTTGGAAAACCCAACACAGGGACCAAAACCCCTGTACTCTTATACCTCTCACTGCACACACACACACACACACACACACACACACACACACGTACGTCCCAACCACATAGAGACAGTCTTTGCAAAGAAGGGTGTCTTTCTCAGTTCTTTACCCAGATTCAAATCCAGGATTTCAGCATGCAGGGAAAATGTGCTCAGACGTTTCATATCTGCCTCCAAAACTCACTCACTGCCCACCCAGCTCTCCCTCTAGCCAACTGATGGAAACACCTGAGCTTATAATAATCAGAAAAGTAAAGAGTGTCCATTTATTAGAGCCCAGGATGAGCACTTCAGGCAATCTTATTCCCCATGAATGGGGACAAGCAATTTTTCAAACTGTGACCCATGCTTGAAGGAAACCCTCTCAGAACCTGAACCTTTTGAGTACAACCATCCTCTTCTCTTCAAACCCATTCCTGGCTCTCCTCATACAATCTTGTGTCTGGCGTAATGGTCTCAGACATTATTCTTTCCTTCAAGCTTAAAGTTCCAGAATCCAGTGCATAGAAGGAAATATTGTTTTCCAGAGGCCTAAGTAGCTTCACTGCCAAAATGTGCTTCCTAAACAAGTTTGTAAAGTGTTCGCTTGCATTTAAGAGAAGGGAAGGGAAGATGGCTTGATGCAGCAGGTAGGGAGTGGGAGAGGCAAACAATGAAATCAGGAGGCAGTGATATCAGGAATAAAAAGCTTTATTGTTACAGAGAAAATAGCTTCATAACTGAATTACAACACCTAGTTCTCCAAAGAGCTATGTCTGAGAGGGAAAGCCAGGCCAGAAAATATCACAAGCTAGACTTCAACCCTACAATGGAGTGAACATGGGCAGGATAAAGAGGGGAACTTAAGGCATTTCCGAAGTCCTTCCATGGGAAATGAGAGAAAAGAAGCCTCAGGCTGACACACATCTTCAGCACCTGGGATCTGCCAGTCCTTCTCCTCCGTGCTCCTCATGGCCCAGGTCAGCAGCAGCCTCCAGAGCTGTGGCAGCAGCCAGAGCCCCCAGAGCTGTGGCAGCAGCTGGAGCCCCCAGACTGCTGGCCACTGCCACTGCCACAGCAGCTGGAACTCTGAGGTCGGCGTCGGAGGGACTGGCGGGGCCTGTGGTGGCTCAGGCAGCAGCCACCACCCTCAGAGCTGCAGCAGCCCCCAGAGCTGGAACCACAGCAGGAAGAGACTGGAGGTGGGCATGGGGCTGAACACTGGGGAGGGCATTTTGGGGGACACTTGGGAGGACACTTAGGAGTACACTTGGGAGGGCATTTAGGGGTACATTTGGGAGGAGGCTGGCACTGCTGCTGGCTCTGCTGGCAGGACATCTCTGTAGAAGCTGAATAAAGCTGAAAGACAATACAAGCCCAAGGTCACTTCCTTGCCCTTAAAATTGAACTATAATTTCACAAGATTTTATCTCTAAGATGACCAGAATTTATTATTATGATTATTATTATTATTTGGGATGGAGTCTCACTCTGTCACTCAGGCTGGAGTGCAGTGGTGCTATCTCGGCTCACTGCAACCTCCACCTCCCGGATTCAAGTGATTCTCCTGCCTCAGACAGGTGTGCACCACCACACCCAGCTAATTTTTGTGTTTTTAGTAGAGACGGGATTTCAGCATGTTGGTCAGTCTCGAACTCCTGACCTCTTGACCCGCCCACCTCAGCCTCCCAAAGTGCTGGGATTACAGGCATGAGCCACTACTCCTGGCCTAAGATGAACCAGATTTTAAAAACCCAGTCTCCCAAGACCAGTAACAAGAATGATACAAATGATTTCCACCTAGTAACTCCATATTTTCAAATGAATAACTTGGAACTTCAGAAAGGCATCAGTCCTTCATTCCTTTTACCTACCTTCCACCCTCCCCTTCCAGAAGAACCTTCCCCTCCAAAATCCTTCTTTATCCTTGTCTTTCTTCAAGAATGGCCTCAACCTCCACCCAGGGGCTCTTTCTGCCCAAAACACCAGCACCAAGAGTTCATCCTGGTCCTGAGAAGCACTCTACCTGGTTCAGGCACTGCAGCAGATCACTCAGGAGACAGGTAGACTGAGGTGCTGTCAGAAGCTTCTGCCTTTTATACAATTCAGTCCTGACCTAGCATCAGGAGGTGCAGACCATGTGCGGGACGCTAGAAGCATCTTTCATAAAGGCATGGGTGACTCCCTCCCCTCGCATCCCAGGGACCCAGTTCCTCCCTGCATAAGCATCTCAAGTATTAACCCACAGGAAGATCCCCTGAGAACTGCAGGCCTCTAGGATGGTGAGGGAGCTCTGTGAATTGCACATGGCACCTATCTATCTCACAGGCAGCTCTGCTATGCCTTCTATTTTCTGAGCTGGGCCAATACGGCTCTACACCTCTGGAATGAACAGAAGTTCTGTTTTCTCTTTGGTATAGGAACTGAAGGAGAAAATTCCCAAGATGGAAATTAAATGGCCCTTTTTAGAATAATAATAGAGATCCAAAATAAAATTGTAGGCCCAAGCAAATAATCTAACATGATTTTTTTTTCATTTCTAGATGATGCCATAACCAGAACAAGGAAGGTTTGATATCTCAGTGATGTTATTTTAGGCAGATCTAATGCTGACAGTGTGGGTGGTTGGGCTTCTCTCCTTGCCTGAATTTGATGCTCCAAAACTGCTCACAAACAGTACCGATTCAGCACTAACAATGCCTTTAAAAGGGCAGAAGTCTAGGAATGGCTTATTTACTCGTGTTAAAGAAGGTGCCCTTGGCCAGCTCGAGGTGAGGCAGCAAAGACCAGGTGTATACTGAGGGTGGAGCAAAAGCTCTCCACTCATCTGGAGGTTTCCAGAAGTGAGGCACCAGTTCTGGTCATTCATAAGAGAAGAGCATCCAACCTGGGAAGGACCTCAGGAGAAGATTAATCTTTGGATGGAGAGGTGAAGAGGAGGAGTATATAGGTTTTAAAAGCCCATGGTGGGATCCAAAACATTTTCTCAGCAAACAATATTCTGAGGGAAAGTTGGGTCCCCAGGATAGTTATCAAAATTGACTTAGCTGGAAAGGGTGGCCAAAATATGGCATATTCACAATGAAAGCTGCAGTGAGAGAAAATAAGACTGGGAGAAAAAGGCAGTACCTTAGCTCCATGCTCTTTGAAATGGGCTGCAGTGAGAAGCATCAGCCCAGTTATAACACAGACCCTGGAGAGGGACATCCAGCATCAGTTCCCACCCTTGCTCTCTCCACCTGTGCAACCTCTGGCAAGTTACTTAACCATCACTGGAAAAGGGGGCTGAAAACATTCCTAATCCACTGAATAAAGAAATACAGATGAAGTTCTTAGCACAGTTCCTAGAACTGCAAGTTTAAAAAAGAAAAAACTAATCACTATGGCTATCCTTATTTCCATGAGAAAATATATGCTAAATTTCAAATTACTGACCTGCCAATTTTGAAACCAAAACTAATTTTTATGATATCAGAACTTAGACTCGATGTTTTCTTACAGCAAAATATTAAGAGTATTTGCTTGTCACTAGGGAATGAGATTATAAAGAAAGCATACTCATTATTTAAAAACACCAAAAAATAGGAAGAATTTTAAAATCACCTATAATCCCATCCCTAAAATATGGTTACTATTTTGCTATTTTCCTTCCCGTCATTTTTTTCTATATATAGTGGTTTTGTTGTTGTTGTTGTTATTTGAGTTTTGTTTGTATTTTACATAGTCTTTCTCATAGTACTTACATGAGTTTACTTTACTAACTTTTCACTTAACATTTTAACATCAACATTTCCCATGTTATTCGTTGTTTGGAAGCATTATTTTTGGTAGCCATAAGAACATTTCATGAAGGGCACAGAATCTATTTATAAGTGGTTGGGAGCGTGAGTTCTTTTTTTTTTTTTTTGAGACTGAGTCTTGCTCTGTCACCCAGGCTCGAGTGCAGTGGTGCGATCGATCTCTGCTCACTGCAAGCTCTGCCACCTGGATACACGCCATTCTTCTGCCTCAGCCTCCCAAGTAGCTGGGACTACAGGCACCTGCCACCACGCACGCCCGGCTAACTTTTTGTATTTTTAGTAGAGACGGGGTTTCACTGTGTTAGCCAGGATGGTCTTGATCTCCTGACCTCGTGATCCACCCACCTCGGCCTCCCAAAGTGCTGGGATTACAAGTGTGAGCCACCGTGCCCGGCTGGGAGCGTGAGTTCTAAATCCAGTCTCTGGGTTTGAATCCCAACTCCCCACTTACCAGTGGTGTGACTTTGAACAAGTGATATGAGCTTTCCACCTCACTGTCCTCGCCTGTGAAATGGTCAAAAAAGTAGTGTTTATCTCATGGGGCCATTAAATTGAGTTAACATACCTAAAACTCTTGTAAAAGTGCCCGGCATATAGTAAGCATTCAATAAATGTTTAAAATGAAAACTGATGCTGTGTCACTTCTAAATTCCAGCACTCAGGGCAGGCCTAGATAAAGACCACAGGGTTGGGGCGTCGGATCTGTCTCTGCCCTCCTTGTGGAGAAGTATAAGCAAGAAGGTAGAACACAGGCTCTGAATTTCTGGAAAGGGAATCCCAGTAAAATTAAAGGAATTACCCATTTAAAACATGGGTTTGGTGAATTCTAAAAGGAACAATGTCCATCCCCTTTTAGTTATAATTGTTTGGGCACACGACCCACCTATCTGACCACATGGTAAGGTCTTTAGTGCAGGAATCCCTAAGGGGTCTAATTTAGTGCCTTGTAGGCAGCAGGTGCTCAGTTTTCATTTCCTTGTTCAGTTGAATTTACTATTCAGCAAGCAAGATGAATGCCTCAAACAAATCCAAACCCAGATTTTCATTAACAAATTCTAGACATTTCATGGGATGATAGAATAGTTGTGGAAAGGACCTTGGCCATCATTCAGAGCCGGTGGTTCTCAACCCCGGTGAGATCTAGGCTTTGACATTCTCCAGACGTCCATCAAGTGGCTCTGCTGCACCACTGGGATTGATAATTGCTGATTTAGATCATGCCCCTTGTTTGACAGAAAAGGAACCTGAGACTTAGAGATGGAAAAAGGCTTTCCCTGGATCACATGGAGAGTTGGGAGCAGAGATGGAATTCAAAACCTGCTATCTGCCCTCTCTCCATCATAGCACTCTGCCTCTTGAATAGTATTTTATTTCTTACTGTGATTTTTTCCAGCAAGATTTATTTTATATAATTTGCTTGTTAAACATGGCTATTGAATTTGGAGTGAAAATAGTAATAAATATGGGGAATCACAGCCTGAATTGCACATATGAAAAAATTGGAAGTGATCATTACCTCTACTAAATAACCAGGGATTGATTACCTGTGTTGGACAGGCAGTGTCTGGCATTGCCAGGGATAGGCCAGCTGGCAGACCCCCAAGAACCCTCCCCAGGATGGCACTATCTGGATGACTGTTCCCTAGCCCAGAAGTCCAACTCTTAGCCTTAGCATGGCTAAGTTCCTTAGTCCATGTCCCTGAGCTGATTAATCCTGTGGAGACTGATTCACTGCACCTAACTCACAAGAGACTGTGATGACATCAACTTACAAAGAGAAACCTGAGTGTCAATGTTGGCAGGTACATTGTCTTCCTGTAGGAAAACTCCTGAAAGAAGTCATCATAATCTGCCAGCACTCAGTGAGCATGAGGTTGCATAACAACCTCAGGTTTTGATGGTGAGCAAAACTAGACATGCCCCTTAGGTCATCTGAACACCGCCAGCCCTGGACAGATTTGGGAGCCCTGAAAACATTTGTCCCTGACCTCCCTTTGCTTCTCTGTGCTGGACTGTGGCCTGGGAACTGCCTCCATGAGGGCCTTTGCACAGTGTTGCTCTCACCCACTGCAGGCTGATTCTGGAGTTTAACACTGGAAAGGGAATTTTTCTATTTGTCTTATTCCCACTGCTCACTGTTGCCCTGATGTAAAGTCTGAATAGTGTACAGAATAATGCCCACCCCTCCTGTGCATAGATGTCCACATTTCAATCCCCAGAACCTGTGAATATATCACCGTACACAGCAAAAGGAACTTTGAAGATGTGATTAAGTCAGGGATCTTGAAATAGGGAGATTTTCCTGGATTATGCAGGTGGACTCACTGTAACCACAAAGGTCCTTACAAGAGGGAGGCAAAAGGGTCAACGTCAGAGAGGGGAGATTTATCAGCAGAAGCAGAGGCTGGAGTGAGGCATTTTGAAAATGTAAGAAGGTGACAGAAGCCAAGGAATATAAGCAGCTTCTAGCAGCTGGGAAAGGTAAGAAAATAGATTTTTCCCTAGAGCCTCCAGAAGGAATACAGCCCTGTCAACAGCCTGATATTAGCCTAGTGACACCTATGCCAGTCTGACCTGCAGAACTATAAGATAATACCTGTGTGTTGTTTTCAGCAACTAAATTTGCAGTAATTTGTTACAGCAGCAATCAAAACCAATCAAGAGGATCCTCAATGCCTCTGAGGCTAATAGAATGTCGTCAGGCCAAGGGAAGCTCAGTGAAGAGGTGACAGAGAAAACTCTTACAGATAGATAAAGTGCTGTCTGGGTTGTCCCAGCTCTGCCCCTTGCTAGCTATGTGACCCCTTGGACCTGTTTCCTCAGCCATAAAATGAGGATAATAACAGTGCTTATGGCCATGCTTGTTGTATGAGGACTCCATGAGATAATGCCTGCAAAGCCCTTCATCCTAGACTTGGCACATAAGAAGCGCTCAGTAATTTTTAGCCCTTCTTATTCTGGTCATTATTAGTCTTGTCCTCACCATCATCAGTGAAAACAGAGATGTCATGATGGTTGCCAGTGCATTCCTGGGTCCCTCCACTGGACTTAAAGCTCCCAGCTACTTATTTCCTGGACTGGAGCTTGAAGAATTCCATAGAGTAGGATGGACAACTTGCCACCACTTTGGGCTTATTTGAATTTTCAAGATACTACTTGCACCTCTTCTCAGGAAGACGAGAGCTTCTTATTCTTTAACCTCTGGAGAGCATTTTACCATTTATGAGGTGTTTGTGCATTCCTTCCTTTACTGGAATCTTTTCAACAACCCAATTTTGTAGAAGAGAGGGTTACTACCCCTATTATTCAAAGGTAAAATCAATGCTCAAAGAGGCCAAGAAATTTGTCTAAGGTCACACAGATGTTAAGAGAAGTTACCAGGGTTCAAATCCAGCTCTTTGGACTCTATATCTCATGCTTGCTTCTTGAATCACAGTGACCTCTAGCCCAGGGTCTGTTCACCCTGTCAGAGAAGAAGTGCACAGACCAAAATCTGCAGGGGGCTAGAATATAATGCACAAAAGCAGTCTGTAGATGCTCTTCTTCAGAGAAGATACTGCGATATGGCCTTAAAATGAAGCTTTCTTCCTGTCCTAAGTGAACAAAGTGCTGAGTGGAAGGGCCTCTAGCAGTCTGGTTGCAAGCTGCAGACCTTTCTTCTTGCCTTCCTGCACACCACCACCTTCAAGTAATGAGTGCCAGAGACATGGGGGCAAGCAAGGACATCAGAGACTGACTCATGAGCTACCTGGGGCCCCCAGGTGTGTGTGTGCACTTCCTGGAAAAGCCTCACCTCCAGGCCCCGAGCCAGGCCTGCTCAGCCTAGCTGTGGATCCCTGGCATGTGGGATGCTCAGGTTTCCTGGGGCCTTGCCAGCTACAGTGTTATCTTCTCTATGGAGAGCATCTCCATAGCTGGAGCCTGGAAGCGAGGATGCCATGGGAGCCTCCAGAGTGAGTAAACAGAGAAAGGAAGATTCCTCCTCTTGGAGAGCAGGTAAATATCCGGGGCGTGGGACTCAGAGGGAGTAAAAATAGCCAAGGAGGCTCCTGGAAACACATACACCAAGGTACCTTGTTTTCCCAGATGGAGAGGATGGAGACCAAGCACACAGGTGACGTGAAGCAGGCAGCAGGGAGAGGCTGGCTGCAAAGGGGCCAGGCATACCCAAACACCGGGGTAAGGGTACCTCCATCCAGTGGCAGGTATACCATGTGCCTCCCTCCGGGGAACTGGGCTATCCCTCACAGTGGCTTAATCTGCCCATTTGTCTTCATCAGTGGAGTGTCTTCAGCAGGGCTTGTTTTCAGTTCTCCCAGCTTACATTGATGACCTATGGGGATCTAGTCCTGGGCTAGGCAGTGGGGAGGCAAAGATAGGGAAGCCATCAGCACTGCCCGCTAAGAGCTGTCAGTCCAGTGGCAGAGACAGGTGTTCCCCAGGAACTGCAATACAAGCAGACTCTGATGGGTATGGACCAAAGGTTAAGCTAAGTGGATTAGAAAGGAAAAGGTGTACATCAAGTTACAGTAGTATAAGCAACATGAGAAATTCATTTATGTAAGACTCTCTAAACATTTATATATATAAATGTATATATAGATAATGTATACATACATTATATATAAATGTATATAGATAATGTGTATATACAGTATATATATATAAATCCACCTATTATATATATGTATAGTATATATGTAGAGAGAGAGTAGGTAAATAATCAGGGGAAAAAAGCTTGGATTGACCATATTAAGATGTTAACTGCAATTTCTTCTGGGTGGGGGATTGTGCACATTTCTTTTACTTTTGCTTACCTACATTTTCTGATTTTCTGCAACGAATATGCATTACTTAGATGATACACTGTTTAAATTAACACAGAGGTACTAAATAGACTGAAAGGATCAGAAGTGACATTTGACGCTTTCATTTAATTTTGCAGATGTTGTGGTTTCCACTAAGCACCAGGCACCATACTTGGCTCTGTAGGCATAAGGAGGAAGTGAGTTATACACAGTCCCATTACTCCTGAGGCTCAGAATGGCCTTCCCTCTCTTCTCCATCCATTTACAGTTCACATGCCACCACCGCCTACCTGGTCTCCAGTAGCCTCACTGGCCAATTTGCTTCTCAGTATTTTAATCACAGAGTGCACAGTACTGCCTGCTCCATATGTGGACATCATTTACCTGCAAGATCTTGAACTCCTTGGAAGCAGGAACTATGTGTTATCTTTCTATTAAATTCCCAAAGCATAGAGCTAGGAAAATACTGGATGCCTTGGGAACATGAGCTGAATGTAGCCAAGCAGAGGGAAGGAGACATTGAGGCCCACACAGGAGTCAGCTTTGATGCCCTGGTTTCCTCAGGGATCCTAGGTCTTGACTCCCGAAGGGACTGAGGATGTGAGTCCTGCTCTTCTCTGAGCCACTCACCTCCAGTGGGTTGTCTCAAACCATGGCTCATGTATGGAAAAAACACAGTGTTTATTGAGCTGAAATTAGCACTCCAGAGGCAGGCCTTGCACCCACAATTGGGAAAAAAAGTTTCCCTCCACCCAAAGATACTATCTTCCCCATCAAGATTTCAAAGCTCAATTGACTACGTCCATGCAAAGACTAAAGAAATTTAGTTTAACTTTGTAAACGTGAGGCTTGGTTAGCTCTGTGGTAAGCACAGTAATAGGGAAGAGAGAAAGGGAGTGAGGAAGAAAAGAGGGAAGGAAGGATAGATGGAAGGGAAAAGGGGAAGGAGAAGAAGGAAAGGAAGAAATGAACAGGGATGGGAAATGAACAACAAATACAATTCTCTCTTCCCACCTATAAGACATTCTACTTCAGGTAGTGGTGATTTTGTTGACAACTCAAAAACGTAGGGCAGAAAGTGAATCTCACTTGTAACAAAGAGGAAAGACACCCACGTATCCTAACAACTAGTATTTATGGTTATAGGTTGGGGCTTCTCTTTCCACCCCCTCCCAATCCCACCCACCTATGCCTGCCCAGCTCTGGGCGCTCCCTGCCCTGAGGTACCAGGACTTCTCTGAGCCTGCTCAGTCATGCTCCCGTGTCTGACAGGCGGAGTATGACTGAGTCACATTACAGGAGTCGGAGCAGTTTCACACATGCCTGAAGTCTCTAGGTTAATGATGAAATGCTCAAGAATTTCCTGCTGCCTGTATGCCAGGCTTTTCACCAATATCTGGGAATATGGCTATGTCTGTCCGAGGGTTGCAGATTACTCCCTCCAGGGAATTCAGTCTCTTCCCCTCTACATATTCCCCTCTATTCATCATCTGCCCCACCACCTCTGTCATGGCCTCCATCATAAGGACCTCTCCCCCCTCCTCCCAACTACTTCTCCTTTACGCCTCCCCTCTGATGGCATAAGCCACATTCCACAGTTTACAGTCAGTGATGCAAATAGGACCCATCATCATTACCTCCTCTGAAGCCTCCTTAATCCCCCCAGTAAATGTCCCCAAGACCCAAGGCTGAGAGTCATC
Organism: Homo sapiens; assembly: GCF_000001405.40. NCBI lineage: Eukaryota > Metazoa > Chordata > Mammalia > Primates > Hominidae > Homo > Homo sapiens. Next base: position 152,502,564 of record NC_000001.11, on the reverse strand, counting down.
CCACCTTCTCCCTCTTCCTCACCTCCATGTCTAATCATGCACCCAGGCTCCTCCTCCCAGTCCTACAGTCTCCTGTCCTCAGACCCCTACCATTTCTGTTTCTAAAAGGTAAGTCTGAGCCTATTTAAAACATTCAAGGGCTCCCTATTCCCCACAGAGGAAAAAAAAAAGTCAATTCCTCCACATGGTGCCTAGATTCTTCATAATTTGGCAGCTTCTACCTGCCCAGCCTTATGTTCCTGCACCATATGGACACTACAGCCACATCAAATTATTACCATCCCTGAATGCGCCTGCATGCACCCTCTGCTTAGAACACCCTTTTTCCTCCACTCCTGCATGTTCTCAGGCTCCTATTCTCCAGGAAACCTTCTGAGACAGCCCCAACACTGGCTCCTGTAATGGAATGCCTCCCTGTCAAGGCGCCTGGCACTCTCTGGGATCCCCAACAGGATCGCCTCTTTGTTAGATTCTGAGCCTCTCCACAGTGGGGTCTGGGCACTCCCCCATGATGCTGGGGGATATCACAGAGGCTGTGTATCATAAATACTCAAAGGTGCTTGGAGACAGATGCTGGGGTTATTCATCACTGTGTATCCTCAAGGCTCAGCACAGAGTTCATGTCATTCAGCAAATATTTGTTGAGTAAAGAATGAAGGAATGAAAGACTGAGAGCTTGTCGTCATTGTCGTGGAAGGAGGAGGCCCACAAGGCCAGCCTGGTTACTGTGTAGCAGGTTCTGACCTTGACTCAGTCTGATACAGGTGGAAACTGCAATGAAGTCATTTCTCATCAGTGTGTTGCCTTGGTCTCCCTGGGATGCCAGGCAAACAGGAGCTTTTAAGCACTGGAAATTCTGGATCCCTTATTAGATAAACTGAGTGACACCAGGTCCTGCTTGAGTTATTCTTAGACTCCACAGGTCACCAGGAGTCTGTCAGAGATTTGGCCCATCCCTCCTCATCCAGGGGATGAAACTGGCTCCAGAAGCCAGAACCAGCACTCAGAACTCCAGCCACTGAGCCCCATGTCCTTCCCATGTCTTTCCCATCTCCATTGTCTGAACTGCCTCCTCAGTGGCCACATCTGAGCTGAGCGGAGCCTGGGGAAGAGTAACGTAAGGACAGAGTCTTGCAGTGCCACAGAGTGTCCTCTCAACTGCTAATTGCCTAGTTAAGTGACAGGAAGCCCAGCAGGCTTTAGGAAGATTTCAGGGGAAAAATGACCCCTGACTTCTGCTGCTGTCCCCCTCTGCCCCAGGCAGCTGCATGAGGGTTCAGTTACTGCCATCCCAAGGGGTTACTCTGTGGAGGCCCTTTGGATGAGGCCAGCCCTCTGAACCTCTGTCAGTTCCCACTTGTAGCATTCCAAGTGCTCAGGGTTTCTCTGGTATAGAGCTTGGTCCCTGGACCAAACTCTATGTACCAGAGAGAGTTTCTCTCTTTAGGTTTCTGGTTTATTATTAAATCCTTAGAACCCAGAAGATGTTTGGAACATAGTAGATGCTCATTAAATATTTTTGGGAAGAGGGAGGAAGGAGGAAGGGAGGGAAGGAGGGGGTGAAAGAAGGGAAGGATAGAGGGAGGGAGCTGATCCACGTGCCACTGTTTTAACCAGCTGCCACTGAGCTGGCTGAGAGAGCAGGGTGAGCCTCTGTGAGCATCTGGACAACTCACGCATGAGGCTAAAGCCAGCTTCCCAGAACAGAGGTGACCTCCCCTCAATCCCAAGACTCTTGGACACAAATGCTCATTTACCTGAGTAGAAAGCCTCTTGAGCTAGAAAACTTCACAGTCCATGGGCATCCTTTGTGGTACATAGCAGGGGCCCTGGAACCCTTTGCTATTTCCTCATTTCAGCCCTGTCTTTTCCTGGGGCTTTCCATGTGTATCTCTCCCACAAGCCATCTCAGCACCGTAGAAGGATCCTGTCTTAGAAACACTAGGCTCAAGAGGGTCACCGAGGTTCCATGTTTCTCACTGGGATCCAGGAGATAAGGGTGGTGGGAATGCATTCTATTAGAAGTGTAAGACTCAAGGACCAGTGGTGAGCCATTTGTATCTTTAAAGTGGAAGAGGAATCCATTGAGCAGAGTGAGCTGAATAAGAGACAGAGATATCTGCCCTTGAGTCTCAGTTCTGCCGCGTTAACTCTGCAACCTTGGACACACCACATTGCTTCTCTGAGCCCCAATGTTCTCATCTATAAAATGGAGGCCCACAATATGCTACCCAAACAAATGAGATCACATATAGCAAAGTATGTGGTGATCCATAAAGTGCAATAATAACTATCATAATAATATAAACATAATCAAATAATGATGATGATGACAATTAAGGCCAAGCTGTGAGTGGTGTTGTCTCTCACATAACCCCACAGCTTTACGTGATGTCAGTGCTTCTAAGGGGCGCAGAAGGATAAGGCCCACAGCAGGAAAGACCCCCAGGTGAGAGCTGAGTGTCAGTGACACTTCCAGGCATTCCTGGTGCCTACCTGGAAGACAGCACTGAGGGCAAACACTGTCCTGCCCCAAAGAGCATGAGAAAGCAAGAATGAACCTGATGGTTAATCTTTGTGACCCTGCCTTGACCCCTGTAGGACTCCTCTTATGACTAGAGAATGAGCACCCTATTCTCACCAGCTGGTTCTGCAGGCCCTCAGAAACCAGAATGTCGAGTGGGGTGGTGCCTGGGTTTGGGCACTCACTTTGCCCCTCTGTAGCAGTGTGTCCTCCAGTGGAAGATGGGGAGGCTGGACACAATGGCCTCTGTGAGTCCATCCTGCTCGGGTGGATCTGGTGGAAGTGTCTCGCAGGCTTCCCAAGGCCCTGTGCTCCGGGGCTCACAGTACCGAGAACTTGGCCAATACCCAGCACTATCGACAACACCTCATAGTGCCTCCACTCAGGGCCAAGCCTGGCTTCAAGCAGCTTCACCCTGGCCTTGCACCTACAGTGTCACATACAAAAGACATTTGGAGCTGTTATCGGAAGGTTCATCCATCAATCCATCATTCAGTCCTCAAAATCATATTAAGTACTGATAACATACCAGGCATCGTGCTTGACCCTGATGACACAGATGGAAATTAAACACAGCCCTGTCCTTAGGACGTCCCCACTCTGGGTCAGGGCCGGGTTGAGGCAGGCAGACACACAGGCATTCACTTGTAAGGCAGTGTGATGAGTGCTGATAGACGACATAACACTTTTCTCTCTTCGGAGTTGCCTTCCACTCCAAAGTCCTGGCAGGAGACAGATGACTTCCCACAGACACCCTTGACCACCCTGTCGACCTTCTCAGCTAAGAGCCAGAAAGGATCCCAATTTTGCCATCAATTAGCTATAAGACCTTGGGAAAGTCACTTTGGTTCTTGAGGCCTCAGTTGCCTCATCTATAAAGTGGGAACAATGATGGTTTTTCGTCTATTCAGGAATCAAATTTTTTTTTTTAGCAGCAGCTATATGCTAGGCTTTGGGAACACAGAATTGAGCAGAGACATGTCCCCTGATCTCATGAAATATAGAGTTAATTAGAAAAGACAGACATTAAGACTTAACATTAGTGCCAGAGCTATAAAAGGAGAAACAGGTTCCTATGGAACTACTGGAAGAGAATCTCACCCAGCCATGACTGTTCTCCCAGAGATACCATGGGCATTCAATTAAACAGTGAATATAAAAGTGCTCCTTAGGCTGTAAAGTGCTGTGTGAATATGTGCTATCCTCTCCTGGGTGTTTTTGCTTGTCTCACTCAAAGCTTGGGAAGTCAGAATATGAGAAAGATAAAAAGGAAAGCAAATGTCAATTTAGATAATTGCTTAAATAAATAATAGATATTATTCCACTTGTTAGCAGACCAGGACCAGGATGTTCCCCAATAATAGTGAAATGTCTATTATTTCACTAGCATGCCCAGGGTGGCACAGCTCAGGGTCAGACATGAAGGTTAACCATGTCCCTCTCCACTGCTCTGTAGTAAACAGGAAAACAATTCTCCTCCTTGGTGTTTCCACCTCCAGCCCTACTCCTCAACTTCTGGTTAGAAGCGAAGGCACAGACCAACTCCCAGCCAAGATGCTCAGAGAGGGCAGAGGTCCACCCAGGAGAATGGACAGCAAGGCAGGTAATTGTTGCCAGGCAGAGCTCAATCTGCCTCCTCTGATGGGACTGCATCCATACTAATGGCCTTACTAAGTCTGGTGGGAAGAAAACCCTAGTCAAGCTGTGAGCTGAATCCAGTTGAATCCAGCTCTGGTAGACAATGGCTGGACAGATATGGAAACTGAGGTTCAGAGAGGAGAATTGGATGGTTGCAGCAAAAAAACTATGAGTGCCAGTGCCCTGTTTCTGAGTCTTCTGGTATCAGCAACACTGTGAAGTGGCTTGGGGAGGCAGACCTTCCCCTGGTGGTATTCCCAGATCTGGGCATCTCACCTTTGGCCAGTGCCCTCAGGGTCTCTTCCTTTTCTCCTGTTCATTCAAAATCCAGTCTCTGTAAACCATCTGAAACTTACTCACAATTAAGCATGGCCCTTGCCTGGGGAATATATCTGTGTTTCAATAGATACCAACTCTCAAGATAAAGGAATGAATTTATAATCATCGGGTTTCAGGACTAAGCCCTAGAAGGAGTGTTGGGCAGTGGTATATGCAGTGGTCAGGGTCGATTTCTCCCCAGATCAGAGAACGGAGACCCAGAGCCAGAACAGAGATGCAGCTGGCCTTCAGCCACATGGCTAGAAAGTAGCAGGCCCAGAACCCATGTCTGCTGAATTTCAGCCCCTTAAGAAAACCACAGATGCTGCAACTCTCAGTGGAGCTAGAGAAGACCCTTCGCCAGCTGGAGAGGTCCCTCAAGGGACAGCAATCCTGTCCCATATGACAAGGGGGAAACTAGGGATGAGGGATGTAAACCTGCTCTCCCAGGACTCTTGGAGTTGAGAGGAATTTTGGTCTTCATTCAGGGCTGTCCAGTGAAGTCACCCCAGGTCACTTTCTGAACAGCCTAAGTACAAACACAAATCCTAAATCTCCCAGAGCCCAGACTCAGGCTCGCTGAGTTGTCACTCTTGTTGAGACACCCCCTGGTGGTGTGGTAGGAAAATCCTTTTGATTCTCTGGCCTGTGGTCTCAGGGAAGTTATTTAACCTCTCTCAGCCTCAGTTTCTATATCTGTAATGATGGAAAAAATACTGCCTAATATTTGGGGATTGGTCTGAGAATAAATTAGACTGCAAATCTAAACTTACTAGCACGGAGCCTGACACAGGGAAGTCATTCAATGTGTGTTTCTTTCCCCCTCCTTAACCTCTTCCTTTTATAATAGTGACGCAGCATACTTCATAGAGTTAGCTTAAATAATGTCAGAGATGTGAAGTAGACAAGACCTATTGAAGACGGAATCTGTTTTTCTTTTTTTTTTTGAGATGGAGTCTCACTCTGTTGCCAGGCTGGAGTGCAGTGGCGTGATCTTGGCTCACTGCAACCTCTGACTCCCTGGTTCAAGCAATTCTCCTTCCTCAGCCTCCCGAAGAGCTGGGATTACAGGCATGTACCATCAAACCCATTTTCATGTATTTTTCATAGAGACGGGGTTTCATCATGTTGGCAGGGAGGGTCTCGATCTCCTGACCTCGTGATCTGCCCGCCTTGGCCTCCCAAAGTGCTGGGTTTACAGGCATGAGCCACCGCGCCCGGCCGAAGTTGGAATCTTAAAAGAAAACTCAAGGAATCTCTATTAAAATAGGTCCCTGCTTCCTTGGGACTGAAACATCACAGAACCTCACCCTGTCAGTCCTTGCAATAACTATAGGAGTCAAGATGTTTGGGGGCCTTGGATTTGAACCTTAAGTTTTTGACTGTGAAATGAGAAGAGAGGTCAATAACTCAGCAAATATTTATTAAGCTTCAAATGTCTCCCAAACACCAAGAACAAGGCTGAGTGAGGAAAGAAAGACTAAAGGAATGGACATGAAAATGGGCAAGACACACTCCCTGCCACATAGGAACATACAAGCTGGACATGGAAGTCAGGACACACACAAGGGAGCTACACAGCCAGAGGTGAAGAGCACAGACTCGGGAGCCAGTGTGTGGGTTTGAGCCCTAACTCAGTTTTTGTACTTTCTTTTTTTTTTTCTTTGAGATGGAGTCTCGCTCTGTGGCCCAGGCTGGAGTGCAGTGGCGCGACCTCGGCTCACTGCAAGCTCCACCTCCCGGGTTCACGTCATTCTCCTGCCCCAGCCTCCCAAGTACCTGGGACTACAGGTGCCTGCCACCACGCCCGGCTAATTTTTTGTATTTTTAGTGGAGACGGGGTTTCACCACTCTCCAAGACTAGCCAAGATGGTCTCGATCTCCTGACCTCGTGATCCGCCCGCCTCAGCCTCCCAAAATGCTGGGATTACAGCCGTGAGCCACGGCGCCCTGCCTATTTTTTACTTTCTTTTGAGACAATGTCTCACTCTGTCACCCAGGCTGGAGTGCAGTGGTGCAGTCATGACTCACTGCAGCCTCGACTTTCTGGGCTCAGGTGAACCTCCAGCCTCAGCCTCCCTAGTAGCTGGGACTATAGGTGCACACAAACACACCTGGATAAATTTTTTTGTATTTTTTGTAGAGGTGGGGTTTCACCATGTTGCCCAGGCTGGTCTCCAACTCCTGGGCTCAAGCGATCTGCCTGCCTTGGCCTCCCAAAGTGCTGGGATTACAGACGTGAGCCACTGCGCCTTGCCCCCAACTCAACTTTGGGCAAGATACTTACCTTATCTGGAAAGAACTTGGTTTCTATAAAATAAGGACAATAAGAAGGTCAATTAACTGGGTTGTTGGGGTGTGTGTGTGTGTGTGTGTGTGTGTGTGTGTGTGTGATAAAATAGAATAAATATTTTATAGGGACAAACCTGGCTTAGGCTGTATGTGTGTGTGTTAATTTATATAAGATATAATAAAAATAAAGTATGAAATTAAAATATTATTTACAATATAGAAATTTATTAAAGCACTTTAAATAGTACCTGACACATAATAATCACATATAAGTTTTGCTATGTTAACCAGATACACCACATAAAAAGCAGACCAGAGTTCCATGCTTCATAGAGGAAAACACAGTTGACTCTGATTACTTGGGATTGACAGCATCCCATCAGGTCTTGAAAGAAAAAGGGATTTGCTGTGACCTCTGCAGCAGCTTCCTGCTCTTCGCCTATCCTCATTACTGTAGCCCAGCAAAATCTCCAGGATTTACTGCCATTTCTAAACTCCTGCCTCTGATTCTGTCGCCCCCTACCGTCCCATGTGTGTAAGGCAAATTGGATGCTCCACCTCTCCCTCAGTGCACAGAAGTGCTAAAACCCTAATCCAAGGGTTTACAGCCTTACTCAAGAGACTTGGACAAGTGTGTGACACGGCTGTGAAATAAGAAATAATAGGAGCAGAGTTGGAGAAAATGTTGGACATGGAAACCCTTGGAAGACAGATGTGTTAGTTTGCTAAGGCTGCCAAAACCAAGTGTCACAAAGTGGTTTAAACAACAGAAATTCATTTTCTCTCAATTCTGGATCCCAGAAGTCTTACATCGAGAGTTGATGGGCTTTGTTTCTTCTCTCCTTAGCTTACAGACATCCATCTTCTGCTTGTGTCCTCACTTGGTCTTCCCTCTGTGCATGTCTGTGTTCTAATTTTCTCTTCATATATGGACACCAGCCATATTGGATTAGGGCCCACACCTGATGACTTCATTTTAACTTAACTCCCTCTTTAAATACCCTGTCTCCAAATATGGTCACTTTCTGAGGTCCTGGGCTTGGGACTTTAACATATGAATTTTGGGAGGACACAATTCAGCCTATAATAACAGATAAGAGGAGTAGCCTCCCTCAGGAACCAAACGTAAGCCCTGTACCATCACAGATACCCATGAAGAGGGGGACAAAGATGGAGATGGGTGGAAATAAACTAAGACCCCCCCCCCACCCATGCCCACCTCATTAAGGATTCAGCTGACTTTGGAGGGTGGATAGAGATTACACCAAGGCCTCAGGGGGGAAGTGAGGACTAGGCAGCTTTCAGAGGATGGGCTTTGAAGCTTCTGCATCCTGAGGTCCAGGAAATTAACCCTGTCACACTCCCTCTCCACAGTACCCCAACATTCTGCAACAAGGAGTTCCCTGGTATGCCTCCAGCATACTATAAAAGAGCAGAACTGGCCGGGTGGGGTGGCTAAGGCCTGTAATTCCAGCACTTTGAGAGGCCAAAGTGGGTGGATCATTTGAGGTCAGGATTTCGAGACCGGCCTGGCCAACATAGTGAAACCCTGCCTCTACTAAAAACACAAAAATTAGCTGAGCGTGGTGCTGCATGCCTGTAATCCAAGCTACTAGGGAGGCTGAGGCAGGAGAATCGCTTGAACCTGGGAGGTGGAGGCTGCAGTGAGCCAAGATCGCACCACTGAACTCTGTTGCCTGGGCAACAGAGCAAGACTCTGTCTCAAAAAAAAAAAAAAAAGAAAAAAAAAAAAGCAGAACCAGTCCTATGATCATCACTGACACATCTAATCAGCCTATATATATAGACTGGCCTAGACATTCTAGAAGCATTCTTTGAAATAGATTGTTTCTTGGAGTAAGGAATTTATATCTTTGGGATAATAGCTGTGGCATTTTCCCCTTTTCTCCCCTTGTGAGTAAGGAGAGTTTGTTTTTCCCACTTTTCAAGCCAAGCAAAGAGTCCATAAGAAAATCACTCTGAGATATTGGGGGTCTCTGCAGGAAAGTGAGATGATGTATTGTATCTCATTCGGATGCTTGATGTGCTGTGGAAAGAGAGATGTTCAGCTGTGCTGGGTTGACTGCCAGCATACAGAACAGTGAGGGGATGCTGGAAAGAGCTTGCCATGTGCCCTGGATTTGGGGAGGCGTCCCTGATTGGGTATAGGTCCTGTCACCCAGGTAGTGAGCATTGTACCCAACAGGTAGTTTTTCAACTCATGCCATCATCCTAAGCGAATTAACACAGGAACAGAAAACCAAATAACACATGTTCTTATTTATGTGTGCTGAACATTTAGAACACAGGGACCTAAAGATGGGGACAATAAACAGTGGGCACTACTTGCGGGGAGGGACAGAGAGAGATATTACTGATTATAAAGTCTGCAGCACCCATCCAAACTATCCACTGAGACCCCAATATATGGGAAAAAGGAATATATCCAAAACAAACCCCATGTGAACAAGACAGAGAAGGAGAAACAACGCAGGAAAGTAGATCAGACCACCCACTGCTTGCCAATGCAGATTCCCAGGACCTGGTTTAGGTCTGAGCTGACAGAGCAGAGAAATCTTTTAAATTGTGCTGGACTGAAGTCTTTAAGCCCTGAAAGTGACCAGAAAGCTATAAAATCTGCCAGAGACTTCATTAAGGCACAGTAAAGAGATTTAATATAGGGTTTTAAGTATCTGAGTTGATAAATAAATAAATAATTTTCCATCTGTAAAATATAAAGTGCAAACCTTCAATATGTTTTCTCCAAGAGCCATTTTTGTCATTATTGTCAGAAGTTATTTCTAATCACATGTATGATTGCTACCCTCATTAAATAGTGAACCTCTCCACCCAGAGAATGCACCTAGTGGTTACTTTCCTTAAAAGTCATCCATACTATTTCTGTACACATAAAAGGATGCCTTATTTGTATGTGGTATTTGTATCTTGTTAGCATATCACTTAGCAAATTACCTTTTCATATATTTATTATTACATTATATTTCTTACTTGAAAACTGTTTAGCAGTAAGTTTTCTAATGTTCTACATTTTATATTTATCCCTTTGTTAGAAGCTTTCTGTATTCACTTTTTAATTCATTGTTCATAGACTAATGGAAAACTTATTTCTTTGATAACTCTAGTGATATTCTGAAGTTCATTAGTAATCTATGAATGTCTATACAGTTTTATTCATCACTAAAAACCATTTATTGTGTAAATCACATGAAATTTCTATAAATTGGAACTTGTTCAGAAAACAGTTTAGGTGAAAATGTAACTATTACATACACTAAATAAAATAGGTTGCAATTTCATAAAATTTTATGCAATTAATTAGATAAATATGTGTACTTTGTTATTTTATTGTTCAACCCCAAGATCATCATCTACCTTAGATGAAATCTATTGAACTCTGGAAACAGCTAAATTTAAGAGTGAGAAAACAGTTCTCAAAATTAAAAGCTGCTACAGGAGACATCAGCGAAAATGATGAAGTAAGGACCTTTAACAATCTGCCCTCTCTCCATCCCTCTCCCACAGTAGTACCCACTGTCTATTATTCCCATCTTTATGTTCCTGTGTTCTCAATGTTCAGCACCCACTTATAAATGAGAACATGTGTTATTTGATTTTCTGTTCCTGCATTAATTCGCTTAGGATGCTGACATGGGTTGAAAAACTACTTGTTGGGTACAATGCTCACTACCTGGATGACAGGATCCACACCCAAACCTCAGCATCATACAATATACCCATGTAACAAACCAGCACATGGACCCCCTGCATCTAAAATTAAAATTAAATTTTAAATTATTTTTTAGTGGAGAAGAAAACAAATCTGCCCTCCATAAAAGTAGTGAAAAAACAGACAAAAATGGTCAGATTCAACTTTTTCAAAATTCTAGAAGAATTTATTCAAGAAACATTGTTGAATCTTGGTAAGAACAGTTAATTTGGTAGCACTGGAGCCATCTCTCTCTCTCCAGCTTCCTGGTAGCCTTGAAAAATAACAGCTAACATTTGCAGTGAAGACAATTAATTACCTGGCAGCCAGTAGAGGGAGCAGAACAGGAATGGAGCTGATAAGTAACTTCAGAAACAGACAAACAGAGAGCCAAATCATGGGTGAACTCCCATTCACAATTGCTTCAAAGAGAATAAAATACCTAGGAATACAACTTACAAGGGATGTGAAGGACCTCTTCAAGGAGAACTACAAACCACTGCTCAAGGAAATAAAAGAGGACACAAACAAATGGAAGAACATTCCATGCTCATGGGTAGGAAGAATCAATATCGTGAAAATGGCCATACTGCCCAAGGTAATTTACAGATTCAATGCCATCCCCATCAAGCTACCAATGACTTTCTTCACAGAATTGGAAAAAACTACTTTAAAGTTCATATGGAACCAAAAAAGAGCCCGCATCGCCAAGTCAATCCTAAGCCAAAAGAACAAAGCTGGAGGCATCACACTACCTGACTTCAAACTCTACTACAAGGCTACAGTAACCAAAACAGCATGGTACTGGTACCAAAACAGAGATATAGATCAATGGAACAGAACAGAGCCCTCAGAAATAATGCCGCATATCTACAACTATCTGATCTTTGACAAACCTGAGAAAAACAAGCAATGGGGAAAGGATTCCCTATTTAATAAATGGTGCTGGGAAAACTGGCTAGCCATATGTAGAAAGCTGAAACTGGATCCCTTCCTTACACCTTATACAAAAAGCAATTCAAGATGGATTAAAGATTTAAACGTTAGACCTAAAACCATAAAAACCCTAGAAGAAAACCTAGGCATTACCATTCAGGACATAGGCGTGGGCAAGGACTTCATGTCCAAAACACCAAAAGCAATGGCAACAAAAGCCAAAATTGACAAATGGGATCTAATTAAACTAAAGAGCTTCTGCACAGCAAAAGAAACTACCATCAGAGTGAACAGGCAACCTACAACATGGGAGAAAATTTTCGCAACCTACTCATCTGACAAAGGGCTAATATCCAGAATCTACAATGAACTCAAACAAATTTACAAGAAAAAAACAAACAACCCCATCAAAAAGTGGGCGAAGGACATGAACAGACACTTCTCAAAAGAAGACATTTATGCAGCCAAAAAACACATGAAGAAATGCTCATCATCACTGGCCATCAGAGAAATGCAAATCAAAACCACTATGAGATATCATCTCACACCAGTTAGAATGGCAATCATTAAAAAGTCAGGAAACAACAGGTGCTGGAGAGGATGTGGAGAAATAGGAACACTTTTACACTGTTGGTGGGACTGTAAACTAGTTCAACCATTGTGGAAGTCAGTGTGGCAATTCCTCAGGGATCTAGAACTAGAAATACCATTTGACCCAGCCATCCCATTACTGGGTATATACCCAAAGGGCTATAAATCATGCTGCTATAAAGACACATGCACACGTATGTTTATTGCGGCACTATTCACAATAGCAAAGACTTGGAACCAACCCAAATGTCCAACAATGATAGACTGGATTAAGAAAATGTGGCACATATACACCATGGAATACTATGCAGCCATAAAAAATGATGAGTTCCTATCCTTTGTAGGGACATGGATGAAATTGGAAACCATCATTCTCAGTAAACTATCGCAAGAACAAAAAACCAAACACCGCATATTCTCACTCATAGGTGGGAATTGAACAATGAGATCACATGGACACAGGAAAGGGAATATCACACTCTGGGGACTGTGGTGGGGTCGGGGGAGGGGGGAGGGATAGCACTGGGAGATATACCTAATGCTAGATGACACATTAGTGGGTGCAGCGCACCAGCATGGCACATGTATACATATGTAACTAACCTGCACAATGTGCACATGTACCCTAAAACTTAGAGTATAATAAAAAAAAAAAAAAAAAGAAAAGTCTCAGGATACAAAATCAATGTGCAAAATTCACAAGCATTCCTATACACCAGTAACAGACAAATAAAGCTCCAAATCATGAGTGAACTCTCATTCACAATTACTACTAAAAGAATAAAATACCCAGGAATACAACTTACAAGGGATGTAAAGGACCTTTTCAAGGAGAACTACAAACCACTGCTCAAGGAAATAAGAGAGGACACAAACAAATGGAAAAACATTCCATGCTCATGGATAGGAAGAATCAATATCGTGAAAATGGCCATACTGCCAAAAGTAATTTATAGATTCAATGCTATCCCCATCAATCTACCACTGACTTTCTTCACAGAATTGGAAAAAACTACTTTAAACTTCATATGGAACCAAAAAAGAGCCCGCATAGCCAAGACAATCCTAAGCAAAAAGAACAAAGCTGGAGGCATCACATTAACTGACTTCAAACTATACTACAAGGCTACAGTAACCAAAACAGCATGGTACTGGTACCAAGCAGATATATAGACCAATGGAACAGAACAGAGGCCTCAGATATAACAACACACATCTACAAGCATCTGATCTTTGACAAACCCTTCATAAATAAAGGAGAAATAAAAATAAACTCCTTCCCAGACAAGCAAATGCTGAGGATATTCATCACCACTAGACTAGCCTTACAGAAAATGCTCAAGGGAAGCCTAAAACCCAGAAGCAAAAGGACAACAGTTACCATGATGAAAACACATAAAAGTATAAAACTCATTGGTAAAGCAACATACAAATGAGGAAAAGACTCAAATGGTACCACCACAGAAAACCAGCAAACCCCAAGAACAAATAAGAAGATGAAAAGAAATGAACAAAGAATATATGAAAACAACCAGAAAACGATTAACAATATGACAGGAAGAAAACTTTACATATCAAAAATAACCTTGAAAGTAAATAAATTAAATTATCCACTTAACATATATAGACTGGGTGGAAACAAACAAACAAACAAACATGATCTAACTATGCTTTACATGCTGCCAGAAGAAATGCACCTTACCTGTTAAGACGTATATATACCGAAAGTAAATGAAGGAAAAAAGATGTTTCACACAAATGGAAACAAAAAGTGAGCAGAAGTAGCTAGATTTATCAGATAAAAGGGACTTTAAGTCAAAAAGAGTAAAAAATAAAAGACAAAGAAGGTCATTACATAATGATTAAAGGCATTAATCCAGCAAGAGGATATAAGAATTTTTTTTTTTGAGAAGAGTTTTGCTCTTGTTGCCCAGGCTGGAGTGCAATGGCACAATCTCGGCTCACCGCAACCTCCGCCTCCTGGGTTCAAGCGATTCTCCGGCCTCAGCCTCCTGAGTAGCTGGGATTACAGGCATGCAGCACAAAGCCCAGGTAATTTCGTATTTTTAATAGAGATGGGGTTTCTCCATGTTGGTCAGGCTAGTCTCAAACTCCTGACCTCAGGTGATCCGCCCACCTTGGCCTCCCAAAGTGCTGGGATTACAGCCATGAGCCACCGCGCCCGGCCCAAGAGGATATAAGAATTTTAAATATGCACCCAACCCTGGAGTACTCAATTTCATTAGCAAATGTTTGATCTAAAGAAAAAAAAATAGATTCCAATACAATAATAGTAGGGAATTTCAGCACTCCACTCTCATTATTAGACAGATCATCTACACAGAAAATCAACAAAGAAACATTGGACTTAAACTGGACACTAGACCAAATGAACTTAAGACACATTTACAGAACATTTATCCAAGAACTACAGAATACATATTCTCATCAGCACGTGGAACATTCCTCAGGATTGACTATATGTTAGGCCACCAACACAAGTCTCAACAAGTGTTAAAAAATGAAAATCATACCAAATATCTTCTCAGACCACAATGGAATTAAACAAGAAATCTAATAGGAACTTTAGACACTACACAAATACATGAAAATTAAACAACATGCTTCTGAATGACCGTTGGGTGAATGAAGAAATTTAAATGGAAATTTAAAACATTCTTGAAACAAATGAAAATGAAAACACAGCATATCTTGGGACACGGGAAAAGCAGTGATACAAGGAAAGTTTATAGCAATAAACACCCACATCACAAAAACAGCAAGATTTCAAATAAACAATCTAATTATGCACCTTAAAAAACTAGTAAAGCAAGAAAAACCAAACCCAAAATTAGTAGAAGAAAAGAAATAACAAAGATCAGAGTGGAATTAAACAATAATAGAGACTAAAAAAAATACAAAGCATCCATGAAATAAAAAGTTGTTCTTTAAAAGGTAAACAAAACAATAAACTACTATCTATACTAACCAAAAAAGAGAGAGACAAGACCCAAATAAATCGGAAACTAAAAAAGAGACCTTACAACTGATATCACAGAAATAGAAAAGATTATGAGAAACTGGTATGAACAACGATAATCTAATAAACTGGAAAATCTAGAGGAAATGGATAAATTCCTGGACACATACCACCTAACAAGATGCAATCAGAAAGAAATGGAAAACCTGAAGAGACTAATAATAAGTAGTGAGATTAAATCAATAATAATAATTTTTAAAAAGTGTTCTAGGAAGCTAGGCAGGATGAATCAAATGGGACTGGTTGGGGAATGAAGGGAAAGGCGGGGAGGGGTGGAACTCAGAAAGTCTTCCGGGAGGGGAGGTGCTGAGCTGATCCTTATTGCATGAGTGGGGCACCCAAGTTAAGGAGCCAGTGAAAGGTGGTGGGCATCAGGGGTGTCATGTGGAGGCCAGCTGAGACACATCTAAAACCTGCATCTATGCCTGCTTCCCAGACCTAAAGGTGGGACCTGGAGAAAAGCAGAGAAGCAGGAGCTAAACCAGAGCTGGAGAGGTGTGCAACTGGAGGGTCTTTCCCAGTTCAGCTGGAGAAAGGGAGATCAGGCTTTTTAGGATAGCAAAATTCATGCGCTAAATGGAAATGTATAAAGAACAAGCAACTTCTTTAGTCTGAATGGATATAATGTTGTTTCTTGAGCAACTGACCCACCTGAGGTGGAGATAAAATTTCTGATTAGATGTCTATATTTCTGTCTCTTCTGGTTTAAGAAAATCTCATTTTAGGAAATAACTCAATCAACATAACTTTTACCTCCTGCTTAGCATTTTTTATCCCCTTTCCCCTTGTCCTGTACTGATGGCATCTGGGTTCAGGACAGGAACCCCAGGCCCTAGGGGTCACACGCAAAGGAAAGCCTGGGATTCCTCTGCTGGATTTTGGATTTTTGCTGCCCCCTACTGTAAGGGGGACTGAACTGACCAAGTTCTTGGTCTAGGGTCCACTGATGAAATTTGTGGCCAGTTAACTTGTATTCTGTTCCCATGGCCTGGGCCAGCCCACTGATCCTCCTGGCTCACCCAAGCTCACTTTAGCTCTGACTGGAGCTGGAGATACGAAGGAAATAATGTATACAGTGGTCCATTTCCAAGATAAAGTGCCTTAAATTGTCTTAGGTCAGCAAACTACAGAAAACACAGGATATACTAGGCCCCTGCTTGGATAGCCAACATCTGCTTGTAGCCCCTGCCCCCTGTTTAGTTGCCCTCACCCAAACCAAAGAAGTTTAGTCTAAGATGAAAGTTTACTAGCCTGCAAAATAGCTCACTTTGTCTGTTCTTATCAGCCTGCCCAACTACTTAGGTCATAAGTCAAATACTTAAAGAGCCCCTGAGCTGACTAGGATTGCAATGCATTGTAGGCTGCAACAAAATGCTGCAAGACAACACCTAAAGCCCCAACCCAACAAGTGATAGGTGATGTCTGGGAAGATTGTGACCCCATAGTACTTAGCCTATGAAGAGTCCGGGAGAGGGACCTGTGCACTAGGGGATAAATTGCTTGTTGTAACTGTGCTAGGTGTGCCTGCCCATCAGACAAGCTGTCTTGCAAGACCATCATTAAAAGTTTCACTTTAGCTGTTCTCTGGGTCTCTGAGTCCATTCTTTGGGATTGGATGGGTGAGTTTCTTTCTCACAACCTGGTAACCCGTATGGGGAACTCTGTGCCTGCATGGAGTGGGACTCCAGCTGAGAGGGGAGATACATCCCACCTGATTTAGGTGGCCTGCTCTGTCTGGGTGTCCTGGCTCCCCACAAAAGCAGAAGACAAACCTGAGACTGTTATTCAGGAGACAGTGGAAGTGACACAGGGAGAAAAGCAGGCACCATGGCAACTAGGCAAACTTGTGCATGAGCCAAGGTAGGAAAATTGGACTATAAGTACTGCCTTGGTGGTTAGGCATTTTCAGAGGTTGAGTGTGTGTGACTAAGATGTACCTTAGATACAAAGCGAGTGCAGAGTCCCAATTGTCCCATGAGGAAACAGCTGGAGACAAACGAAGCAATTCTTGAGGTGTCGAAGAAACTTCCAGTGTGGGGGCTGAGTACACAGGAAAAAGCTCAGACACAGAGACTAACCAAAAACGGGAAATAAGAATTCTAGGCTTAGGAAACAAAGGAAAAAGGAAACTAAAGAGACCCCCCTCTAAAATTCCCCCAGATAATCCATTGGGGAAAATGCTGCAGGTTTGGAGGGATAACCCTCGAACCAGGGACAAGGAAAAGCAAAAGATAATAAATATTGCTGTTTTATCTGGCCCAAAGAGCCCGTTAATCAGCCTCAGTCTTTTGGCCTAAGTTTGGCTCAGATGAGGACTGGGTGTGCCAAACTTAATTCTCTATGTAAATACCAAAACTCCAACCTCACAAGAGGAGGTGGGTTATGCTTTTTGTTGGATTAGTGAATTAACCCCCATGATCCCCCTTAAAGAAAAAAAAAGAGCATAATAAAGGGCCTTTGCCCAGTGAAATCCCTGGCATCCCCTAACATGCTTTCCCCCTGCCCCATACATCTCACAAAGTAGAGGACAGGGAGATCAGGAGGCAACAGGAAGGCAAGAGGAAGAGGAATCTGGGGGTCATAAAGGAGCTAAACCCAATGCTCTCTTAAATCCTTATCCAAATTTAAGGAAAAAAATTAGAACAATGTTTTAAAAAATTTGAGAATTTACCTATTCCTTCTAAACAGCAGGTGTCTAACATGTACCCTCTTAGAGACTTCCCTATGGGACAGGAAGAAGTTGGATTTGTGGGTGTGCCTCTAACAAGTACTGAGGTTAGGAATTTTAAAAAGGAAATAAGGCCACCATAAAAAAATCCCCTAGATTTAGCAGAGCAGGTAGTTCAATTTTTAGGACCAATTTTTATACTTGGGCTGAAATGATGTCAATTGTAAATATTCTGTTTGCTGGGAAAGGGAGGAAGAGAAAAAATAAGAAGGTAAATTGGAAAGAGAAAGGGGAGGAAACAGCAAAGGTAGAGGACCAGAGAGAGACAGAAAGAGGAAGAAACTGAGTGTAAGGGAGAAAGGAAACAGGGGATGACAGAGAAAGCAATAGAAAAAGGAAATAAGTGAGAGAGAGACAGGAAAAGACAGATCAAAGACACAGATGGTGAGACTGGGGAGAAAGATAATGTAAAAGGAAGAACAAGTATAAAAGAAAGAAAGAGAAAGAGAGAGAGGCCATAAAGGACAGGAGACAGAGACAAAAGTGCAAGTAAGCAGTAGCGGCCACAGCTCTGCTGGTAGAGGAAATTCAAAAGTTGACCTTCAGCGGGGCCCTGGTAGTAAGCACCCCACATCAGGTCTGGAATGTATTAAACCAAAAAGCTGGAAGATGGTTAACTAATTCCCAGATTTTAAAATATAAATTCATATTACTACTACTACTAATAATAATAATAATAATAATTTGGTCTTAACAATAGATAAATCCAATAGATTTAACAATAGATACTTGCTTGAATCCAGCCAGTTTCTTATAGAAAGGAGACGAGAATGAGGAGGCATCAAACCGTAACTGTTTAAATATCATAGACTATCAAACTAAAGTTAAACCAGACCTTAGAGAAACTCCAGTACATGATGGGACAAGGCTGTTTGTGAATGGGTCATCCCAAGTAATACACAGCAAAAGACATAATGGCTATGCTGTCATTGATAGAAACAAACAATCCTTATGTGAAAAAGGTAAACCAATAACTGGTCAACCCAAACCTGTGAATTATATGCTCTTAACCAGGTCCTAAACCTCCTAGAAGGTCAAAAATGCACTATATATACTAATTCCAAATATGCCTATAGAGTAGTACACATCTTTGGAAAGATCTGGACAAAGTGGGGCCTAATAAATAGCGCTGGGAAAAAATTAGTACATGGGGAACTGGTCAAACAAGTTTTAAAAAGCCTCTTGCTTCCAGTAGCCATAGTTCACGTAAATGACCATCAGAAAGGAAACACTATAGAAGCTATAAAGAATGGGCTTGCAGATAAAGCTGCTAAGCAAGCCTCCCTGAAGAAAGAAGTTAGACTGTGTAGCCTAATACCAGATATCCCTAATGTGGTATTAAGACCCCAGTTTTCTAAAGAGGAGGAGAAAGAGCTGGGTAAGATAGGGGCCACTCAAACTGGGGATGGAAGGTGAGTGCTCCCTGACAGGAGAGTAATAATAAGCAAATCCATAATTAGAGAACCGATGTCATACTGCATAAGGGAAGTCATTGGGGAAAGTCTTGTGTAATGCAATACACAAGAATTATGGGTGTATAGAGATTTATACACTTGCTAAACAAGTGTGTGAGGGTTGTGTGACCTGCCAGAGAATAAACAAAAAGGTAGTTAAAAAAAAAAAAAAAAAAAAACGACTACTGGAAGAAGACCTCCTAGGTTAAGGCCATTTCAAAGCACTCAAGTAAATTTTACAGAAATGCCCAAAATAGAGAGACTAAAGTATCTGCTGGTAATAGTAGACCACCTCTCCAGCTGGGTGAAGGCCTTCCCCCTCCCAACTGCCACAGCCAGGAATGTGGTCAAAATAATCTTAAAACAAATTATACCCAGATTTGGCCTGGTAAAAAAAAATATTAATTCTGATAATGGAAGCCACTTTAACTCAAGGGTGCTAAGGAGAATTATGGAAGGTTTGCACATTAGATGGGATTACCACACCCCTTGGCATCCCCCCTCCTCTGGAAAGGTAGAGAAAATAAATCAAACTCTCAAAAAGCACGTTACCAAACTAATCTTAAAAACTAAAATGCTTTGGACCAAATGTCTCCCAATGATACTCCTTGGGATTAGGACAACCCCAAGAAAAGACTTAGGATTGTCCCCCTCTGAGTTATTGTATGGACTCTCATATTTAAACAAGGCTACAAAGCTTCCTACTATGGAAACCAAAGACCAATTTTTAAAAAATCATATACTGGCCATATCCTCTACCCTGTCATCTCTTAGGTTAAAAGGACTTCTGACTCAAACTCCACCCCTGAGTTCACGGTTCACCACTTCCAGCCTGGCTACTTGGTGCTGATTAAAACTTGGAAGGAAGACAAGCTCCACCCAAGCTGGGAAGGTCCCTGTCAAGTGCTCCTGACCACCGAAAAAGCCATGGAAACAGCTGAACGAGGGCGGACTCATTACACTTGGGTCAAGGGACCAGTAAAAAAAAAATGTAAGGAAGGGTAAAAGGGAAAAGGGCAAATGGGAAGTGTATAAATCGCCTAAGGAACCCTTAAAGCTAACTCTAAGGAAAACCTAGAAGAGAGCTATAAGCGGGCCCTGTCATTGGGGATGGTTATGGTTAGGATTAATCCTAACACAAAGGGTAAAAGGAAACCCGAGTATTGAATGGAGCCCAGTACTAGGGGTGGAAAGTAGGGAACATCCAATCAAACTAATAGTCAACATAACTCAGACTTTCACCCCGCAAGCTGTAAAATTTAATGCCTGCCAAGTTTTACCTTGAAGGACTTTAGGACACCAAAGACAGTTGTCACAGGCAAACAAATATCTATGACCTAAAACAAACCATTATTGGGCCCTCTCAGAAAAGCCCTACACTAGCTGAAATCAGTCTGGTAGACCAGTTAATACCAAGGCTGAGTAAGTCATTCTTCCAAAAACAAAGCCTTAAGGGGTAAAATACATTTATATAAGGGCCCCACACAACCTAACTGTGAAAATTTAAAATCCAATCATATATTAATCACAATAAACAACCCAGCTACTCTAGACCAGGAACCTTGGAAGTATGGATTAGGAGTAAATATCTCAGGAAGGGACCTCGTGGGATGGTTAGCTCTCAGGCTAATCACCAACTCATCCTGGAGCTCACTCAAAGTTACTATAACTTCTGGTCCCACCATTTCCTTTAACCCACCAGGCAATAACTCTAATAGAGTAAAAAATAATAATAATTGAAATAACTGACCTAAGGCAGACTTTAAAAATTAAGACCGGATATGAGGATGTAAATGCCTGGGTTGTATCCCCATAGGGATACAAGGCCACCAGCCCTCCAGGGTCCTCAGAAACCCCAAATATTAGATGCAGATCTAAGATTTTTAGTCCTTCCCCAGGCTCTTTTTCCCTACTTCAAGAGGCCAAATGCCCTGGAGAGGAAATCACATGAGGAATGTGTTTAAGAAAAGAGTAAGCACTGTGAACTTCGCACAGGTTGGAGGAGGGTAGGTGGGGTCCGTAAAAGAAGCCTGCAGGCATCCAGGAGGGACAGATGATAATGAGGAAAAGGAAAATCCTGTGAGTGCTCCTGGGAGTCTGGGACAATTCTGAAGTTTTCCTACCTTTGGTTCATCAACCGAAGAAAGCAGGACTGGCTTCAGGCTGGCCATGCCCAAGACACAGAAACAGAAGGCTGACTGCCATTGCCTGCCCAAACTTGGTCCATTGGACTGGCCCAAAGCAGGTCCGTTGTGCAACGAGAGAAGCAAAATACAGAGTAAGCTCAGCTGTTACCAGTGAAATGGGACCTAGAGAAACAACGAGGCAGAGCTTCACTCTGACCCCCTCCTTGGGGGCCCCCTTTGGAGCAGAATAAGACCTGTAAAAGAAAGACCAGGACTTGGATTCTGCTCTCTGGATGAAAGAATATTGGGCTCACGGGCTGTGTTTGGGAGAAGGGAGTGGTGCAGGCTAGACAGAGCAAGCAGAGTGGAGGTGGGGCCAGGAAATCTCCAGATGAGCCTTGGTTTTGCTTCTCATAGGAGGTGAGCGTCCCTGTCACCCCCAGTGAGACAGTCAGGAGTACAGCACCCCACCCCCTCACTCGGCTGTTGTGGGGATTCACAAAGTGAAGTGGGGTATGGAAAACATGTATTGTCAGCATAAAGGCAGGATTATTTCCAAAGGCCCTGCCCTTCAGTATACATCCAGCAAGCTAGTCCAGGAAGCAGTTTCCAAAAGATTTTAGCCTTGATCCCCTTGTTCACTTCGTCATGGAGAGAGAGACTGGGAAAGGGGGAGAGACTGAGGCTATGCCCTTAAACCTCTGTACAGCTTTTTCTGCTCCCAAAGAGCCATTGAAACCTTGCTGCCTCTATCTCAGCCACAGAAGAACTTAAAAAGCTGAGGGCTGGAGACTGGTTCCTCCTTTCATAGCCTCTCAGAACACCAGCCCTGTCACAGGACCATGAAGCTCCGTTCTCAAGGGGATCCAGAAAAGGATCATCCACACCTCTGTCCTCACAAACAGAGAAAGCCAAAATCACCACCAGGGGGCGGAGAGGAGCCCTGCAGGGAAGGCCTTGCGGCTATAGCCTCCTTCCTGTTCATTGAAGCGCTGTGGTTGGCTGGCCTCGCCTCGTCTCCCCTCCCCTCCCCTCCCCTCCCCTCCCCTCCCCTCCCGTCCCCTCCTGTCCCCTCCCCTCGCTCTCCTTTTTTCCTTTTCCTTTTCCTTTTCTTTCCTTTTTCTTTCACTTTCCTTCTTACTCTACTTCTTGAACAAACATTTATTAAGGCCCTTACTGTGAGTCAGGCACCCTGCTGGAGCTAGGGATACAGCTGGGAGACAGGTGTGTGGTCCTGCTCCTACAGCCTTGGTATGTAGTCAACAACACTGAGTGAATGAATGTATTCTCTATAGACCTTGAAAGAAAATAACCACAGGCCAAACCTTGAGAAGAAAGACCTTGAGGACAGCAACAGCCCCAACAGACCCAGACATAGGGAGTTACCACGGATCAGTCCCAGACACCCACCAAGAAGCCTTGCAGGGATGCAAGACCACAGCTCGTTGGCAGCAGCAAGGTTGCAGGTAGAGGAAGCCCAGTCCCATGGGCTCATCTTTTCTTCCAGACTTTTCTAAGTGAGAGTTATCTGGTAACCATACAGGCCAGAGTCACAGAAATTCCCTTTCCTGAATTGGAAACGCTGAGCCAGCCTTTCATCCCCAGTAGAGAGGGGTAGGTGCCAGTGTAGGTGGATGATACCGTAGCTTACCTGTTCTACTCAGAGTGGCACTGGGATGAGCGGGCACCAGGACTCCAGTTAAGGATAGCCAGGGGTAGTGCTTCGGAGTCAGACCAGGAGTGTACCCCAGCTGTCCCAGCTGTGTTTCAGAGAAGGTGGGGGGCAACCCTGAAATTAAATCCTTCTCTAACTGAAAGCCTGTCTTGGAGGACAGGCGGGAGGAAGCAGCCACAGACTCAGTGCCTCTGCTCCTACTACAGCCACGTCCTCTTCTACAGCTCATCACCAGGCTAGGCCCAAGGGACCTCCACATTCTCAATGGAAACTCCCACCCAAGGTTCAGGGCATTGTTAGAGCACCCCTTCTCATGTGAGGGCATCCCTTGACCTGTTTTGGCACCCTTCCTTCTGTTGGGGAACCCCTCATCCTGTTAAGGCACCTCTTCTCCTGTTAAGGCACCCCTCATCCTGTTAACGCACCCTGCCTCCTGTTAGGACACCCTCCTGCTGTTAGAGTACTCACTCCTCCTGTTAGGGCACCCTTCATCTTGGTAGGGCATTCCTCCTCCTGGTAAGGCATTCCTCCTCATGTTAGGACACCCCTCCTTCTGTTAGGGCACACTTCCTCCTCTTAGGGCACCACCTTCACCCTTTATGACAACTCTCCTCCTGTTACAGAGCACCCCTCCTCCTGTCATGACACCTCTCCTCCTTTTTAGAGAATCCTCTTCCTGTGGAGGCACCCCTCCTTCTAGTAGGGCACCGCTTCTACTCTTAGGGCACCACCTTCACCCTGTAGGGCACCCCTCCTTCTGTTAGGGCACCCCTCCTCCTGCTAGTGCACCCCTCCTCCAGTTAGACCCACCCCCTCCTCCTGTTAGAGCACCACTCTTCCTGTTAGAAAATCCCTCCTCCTGTTAGGACACTCCTTCCACTGTTAGGAAACCCTTCCTTCTGTTAAGGCACCCATTCTTCTGTTAGGGCACCCCTTTTTCCTGTTAGAACACTCCTCCTCCTTTTAGGGCACCCCTCCTCCTGTTAGGACACCCCTCGTCCTGTTAGGGCACCCCTCCTCCTGTTAGGACACACTTTCTCCTGTTAGGACACCCTTCCTCCTGTTAGAACACACTTTCTCCCATTAAAGCACCCCCTCATCCTGTTAGGGCATGCCTTCTCCTGTTAAAGCACCCCCTCCTCCTTTTAGGACACATGTCTTACTGTTAGGACACATCTCCTCCTGTTAGGACACACTTCTTTTGTTAAAGCACCCCTCCTCCTGTTAGGACACCCTTCTTTTGTTAAAGCACCCCTCCTCCTGTTAGGGCACTGATAAGATTTGGCTGTGTCCTCACCCAAATCTTATCTTGAATTGTCATTCCCACAATCCCCCATGTCATTGGAGGGACCTGGTGGGAGATAATTTAATCATGGGGGTGGTTACCCTCATGCTGTTCTCATGATAGGGAGTGAGTTCTCATGAGACCTGATGGTTTTATAAGGGGCTTTTCCTCCTTTTGCTTGATACTTCTCCTTCCTGTCATCATATGAAGAAGGACATGTTTACTTCCCCTTCCACCATGATTGTAAGTTTCTTGAGGCCTCCCCAGCCATGCAGAACTGTGAGTCAATTAAACCTCTTTCCATTATAAATTACCCATTCTTGGACAGTCCTTTATAGAAGCTTGAGAATGGACTATTACAGTAAATTGGTACTACAGAGAGTGAGGCACTGTTATAAAGATACCCAAAAATGTAGAAGCAATAGCAAGAGGGGGCTTGCCTGGGCATGCCCACAGTGGACTGGGGGCACGCATGTGCACTGCAGGAAAGAGGTGGAGCCACCAGGAATTTGCACCTGATGCAGGGGAGGAGCGAAGCCTCATCACCTCTTATGTGGAAGCCCTGGCACTCAACTGTGAGGTGAAAACCTGCTTGCAGGACCCCTCTTTTTGCTGAGGGTTGTCCTTTTGCTTAATAAATTTTATTACTCACTCTCTGATGTCCACATGCCTAATTCTTCCTGGTCTTGAGACAAAAAACCTGGATCTAGCTGACTTCAGGAGGAGAAAAAACCTACATCACA
This sequence comes from Homo sapiens, assembly GCF_000001405.40. Classification (NCBI taxonomy): domain Eukaryota; kingdom Metazoa; phylum Chordata; class Mammalia; order Primates; family Hominidae; genus Homo; species Homo sapiens. The sequence goes on along the minus strand of NC_000001.11, from coordinate 152,477,487 downwards.
ACTGACTTTGGAATTGGGTAATAGGCAGAGGTTGGAACAGTTTGGAGGGCTCAGAAGATGAGAAAATGTGGGAAAGTTTGGGCCTTCCTAGAGACTTGGAGGGCTCAGAAGACAGGAAGATATGGAAATGTTTGGAACTTCCTAGGGACTTGTTGAATGGCCTTGACCAAAATGCTGATAGAGATATGGATAATGAAGTCCAGGCTGAGGTGGTCTCAGGTGGAGATGGGGAATTTCTTGGGAACTGGAGTGAAGGTCACTCTTCCTATGCAAAGAGACTGATGGCATTTTGCTCCTGCCCTAGAAATCTGTGGAACTTGGAACTTGAGAGAGATGATTTAGGGTGTTTTGCAGAAGAAATTTCTAAGTGACAAAGCATTCAAGAGGAAGCAGAGTATAAAAGTCTGGAAAATTTGCAGCCTGATGATGCAATAGAAAATAAAATACCATTTTCTAGGGAGAAATTCAAGCCAGCTGCAGAAATTTGTGTAAGTAATAAGGAGCTGAATGTTAATCGCCAACACAATGAGGAAAATGTCTCCAGGCCATGTCAGAGACCTTCACAGCAGACCCTCCCATCACAGGCCCAGAGGCCTATGAGGAAAAAATGGTTTCATGGGCCAGGCCCAGGGCTCCTGTGCTGTGTGCAGCCTAGGAACTTGGTGCCCTGTGTCCCAGCTGATACAAGTGTGGCTAAAAGGGGCCAAGATACAGCTCCGGCTGTGGCTTCAGAGGGTGCAATTCCCAAGCCTTGACAGCTTGGCAGAAGTCAAGAATTGAGGTTTGGGAACCCCATCTAGATTTCAGAGGATGTATGGAAACACCTGGAAGTCCAGGCAGAAGTTTGCTGCAGGGGTGGAGCCCTCATGGAGAACCTCTGCTAGGGCAGTATGGAAGGGAAATGTGGGGTCAGAGTCCCCACCTGGGCACTGCCCTGTGGAGCTGTGAGAAGAGGGCTATGGTCCTCCAGACCCTACAATGGTAGATCCACCTACAGCTTGCACCTGTGCACCTGGAAAAGCCACAGGCACTCAACACCAGCCTGTGAAAGTAGCCTGAAGGGGGGCTGTACCCTGCAAAACCACAGGGACAGAGCTGCCCAAGGCTGTGGGAGGCCACCTCTTGCATCAGTGTGACCCAGATGTGAGACATGGAGTCAAAGGAGATCATTTTGGAACTTTAAGTTTTAATGACTGCTCTATTGGATTTTGGATTTTCGTGGAGTCTTTAGCCCTTTTCTTTTGGCCAATTTCTCCCATTTGGAATGGGTGTATTTACCCAATGCCTGTATCCCCATTATATCTAGGAAGTAACTAACTTGCTTTTGATTTTACAGGCTCATAGGCATAAGGGACTTACCTTGTCTCACATGAGACTTTGGACTTGGACTTCTGAGTTAATACTGGAATGAGTTAAGACTTTGGGGGACTGTTGGAAGGGCATGATTGTGTTTTGAATTGTGAGGACATGAGATTTTGTTGGGGCCAGGGGTGAAATGATATAGTTTGAATGGACTAATACAGGCACCCTCTCCTCCTGTTAGGGCACCTTTCCCTATATAGGGCACCCCTCCTACTGTTAGGGCACCCCTCCTCCTGTTAGGACAACCCTCCTCCTGTTAGGGCACCCATTCTCCTGTTGGGGCACCCCCTTTTCCTGTTAGAATACTCCTCTTCCTGTTATAACACCCCCCCTCTTAGGGCAACCCCTCCTTCTGTTAAGGCACCCCTCCCCCTGTTAGAGCAACTTTCCTCCTGTTAGAGCACCTCTCCTCCTGTTAGAACAACTTTCCTTCTGTTGGAGCACCCTTCCTTCTATTAGGACACCCCTCCTTCTGTTAGGGAACCCCTCTTCCTCTTAGGGCATCTCTCCTGATTTTAGGGCCCCATTTTCTTGTTAGAACACACCTCCTCCTATTACAGCACCCTTCTTCTTGTTACAGCACCTCTCTTCCTGTTTAGGGCACCCCTCCGCCTGTTAGGGCATCACTTTCTCTTTTTGGGGCACCTCTCCTCCTGTTAGAGAACTCTACCTCCTGTTAGAGCACCCATTCTACCTCTTAGGTCACCCCACCTCCTGTTAAGGCCCCCTCCTCCTTTTAGAGCACCTCCTTCTCTGATTAGAGCACCCCTCCTTCTCTGATTAGAGCACCCCTCCTCTTGTTAAGATACCCTTCCTCCATTTACAGCATCCATTCTCCTGTTAGGACATCCCCTCCTCCTGTTAGGGACCTACACCTCCTGTTAGAGCACCCCCTCTTCCTGTTAAAGCACCTCCTCCTCCTTTTAGGCTCCTCCTCCTGTTCAGGCCCCCTCCTCCTTTTAGAGCATCCCCTTCTCCTATTAGGCACTCCATCCTATTAGGAGCACCCTAATTAAGGCACTTCTATTAGAGCACCCCTCCCCCTGTTAGGGCACTCTCCAACCCCATTAGAACACCCTTCCTCCTGTTAAGGCACCCCTTTTCCTGTTAGGGCATGCCTCCTCCTGTTCGAACTTCCTACGTCTTGTACACAGCACCCCTCTTTCATGTGATCTCCCAAATTCGGCTGAAACACCTCCAGGCCAGAGAAACCAAAACCCATCAAGACAATAGCCACTTGCTTTTCTGAACAGATTAGATGGTTAGATGATATGGCTTGGCTCTGTCCCCACCCAAATCTCATCTTGAATTCCCAAGTGTTGTCAGAGGGACCCAGTGGGAAGTAATTGAATCATGAGGGCAGGTCTTTCCCATGCTGTTCTCTGTTCTCGTGATAGTAAGTTTCACAAGATCTGATGGTTATTATAATGGGGAGTTTTCCTGCATAAGCTCTATTCTCTTGTCTGCTGCCATGTGAGACATGCCTTTCACCTTCCACCATGATTGTGAGGCCTCTCCAGCCACGTGGAACTGTAAGTCCAATAAACTTCTTTCTTTTGTAAATTGCCCAGTCGGGTATGTTTTTATCAGCAGCGTGAAAATGGACATTAGAAATTATTTTTCATTTTAAGCATGACTCTTTGTAGCCTCTGTCCACTCACTGGTCCTACTTATACCCTTCCACACACTAAAAATTTCTTAGCTCTCCTTCAGACTTCTCATCTCCCAGATAAGCATTCAAGGTTCCTCCCAGGCATTGTTGTCATTAGAGGAATGGCTTTGGATTGCATCATCACTCTAGGCTCTCTACTATGACTTTTCTGGGTCTTTGTCATGGGACTGAAATGGACCTGGCAAGGGGCAGCCTAATAGACCTGTTCTATGGCATAATGGTTGGGCCCATTCACAGCACCGTCTACATGTGGCAGCCCTGGAGTTGTGCAGTAGAAAAGCTGTGGGGGCCTAAGCAGCAACCTCGCTGTCCTTGGGGCCTACAACAGTGTAGATGTTTCCAGGGATGAGTCAGTGTTGATGAGGCAAATTATTCAGGGAGGTTGTGGCAACACAACCAGAAAGAGAGTTGTGGTCAGGGAAGAAAGCAGAAGGTAAAGACAAGAGAAACAGCAGTGACCAGCAGATATGAGGAGTGAGGCAAGTACACAAGGTAAGAGAAAATTCTAAAAAATTAGAAGGCGGTTCAGAAGCAAACTTTTGTTGTGTGTTTAAGGGATTGGTCTACCCAGGACGCCTCTAATATGTGAACTAAGTAAAGAAGGAGGAAATGGATCTAAGCAAAGATATGAGGGTTCCTCCTCATTAGAATCAAACCCATTTGGCCAGGTGCAGTGGCTCACACCTGTAATCCCAGCACTTTGGGAGGCTGAGGTGAGCGGATCATTTGAGCTCAGAAGTTCAAGTCTAGCCTGGGCAACATGGTGAGACTCCATCTTTACAAAAAATTAAAAATTATCCATGTGTGGTGGTGTGTGCTTGTGGTACCAGCTACTCAGGAGGCTGAGGTGGGAGGATTGCCTGAGCCCAGGTTGCAGTGAGCTATGCAAGACTGCACTTCATTCTGGGTGACAGAGGGAGACCCTGTCTAACAAAATAAATCAACAAATAAAATTTAAAAACAAAAAAATAATTTTTAAAAAATGCACTCCTCTCACATTTCACCCTGTGACTGTGTGTGAATCCATGAAAGCATAAAAGGTGAGGCAAAGACCTCAGGCTTATCTTCAGGGTGGGCTCAGGATAAAGGGACTGGGGCAGTTGCTGAGCCTTCTATTTCATGAACCACATCAGACTCATGAATACAGGCAGGGGAACAGGTGGCTTAGGGGCCTTTCTTCTGCTCTGATACTCAACATTAGTGGTTGCCATAATAAGCAGGACCAGCTACATCATTTTCAAGGCCCAATGTGAAATGAAGATGCAGCACCCCTTGTTCAAAAATTATTAAGTAAAAGCAGAGCATTAAACCAAATGCACAGTCATATGGGGCCTTCTAAGTGCCGGCCCCATATAACTGTGCAGGTTGAACACCCAGGAAGTCAGGCTTCATAATAAGGCAATTGAGCCTGTGATTGTAAGTATAGGTGCTGGCATCCAACTGCCCAGGTTCATAGCCCAGTTCAGCCTCCTTCAAAAAAGGTGCCATTGAATAAATTAGGTTTTGGCAAACCTTTTCTGTAAAGGATCAGATAGTAAATATTTCAGCTTTGTGATTTTCTCTGTCACCGCTTCTTAACTATTCAGTTGTTCCATGAAAGAACTCATACATAATGCATAAATGAAAAGATATGGCTCTCCCTCTCCCTCTCCCTCTCCCTCTCCGTCTCCCTCTCCATCTCCCCACGGTCTCCCTCTCCCTCTCTTTCCACGGTCTCCCTCTGATGCTGAGCCGAAGCTGGACTGTACTGCTGCCTTCTCGGCTCACTGCAACCTCCCTGCCTGATTCTCCTGCCTCAGCCTGCCGAGTGCCTGAGATTGCAGGCGCACGCCGCCACGCCTGACTGGTTTTCGTATTTTTTTGGTGGAGACGGGGTTTCGCTGTGTTGGCCGGGCTGGTCTCCACCAGCCTCAGCCTCCCGAGGTGCCGGGATTGCAGATGGAGTCTCGTTCACTCAGTGCTCAATGGTGCCCAGGCTGGAGTGCAGTGGCATGATCTCGGCTCGCTACAACCTCCACCTCCCAGCCGCCTGCCTTGGCCTCCCAAAGTGCTGAGATTGCAGCCTCTGCCTGGCCGCCATCCCATCTAGGAAGTGAGGAGCACCTCTTCCCGGCCGCCATCCCATCTAGGAAGTGAGGAGCGTCTCTGCCCAGCCGCCCATCGTCTGAGATGTGGGGAGCGCCTCTGCCCCGCTGCCCCGTCTGGGATGTGAGGAGCGCCTCTGCCCGGCCACAACCCCGTCTGGGAGGTGAGGAGCATCTCTGCCCGGCCGCCCCATCTGAGAAGTGAGGAGACCCTCTGCCCGGCAGCTGCCCCGTCTGAGAAGTGAGGAGCCCCTCTGCCCGGCAGCCACCCCGTCTGGGAAGTGAGGAGCGTCTCCGCCCAGCAGCCACCCCGTCCGGGAGGGAGGTGGGGGGTCAGCCCCCGCCTGGCCAGCTGCCCCATCTGGGAGGTGGGGGGCGCCTCTGCCCGGCCGCCCCTTCTGGGAAGTGAGGAGCCCCTCTGCCCAGCCACCACCCCGTCTGGGAGGTGTACCCAACAGCTCATTGAGAACGGGCCATGATGACAATGGCAGTTTTGTGGAATAGAAAAGGGGGAAAGGTGGGGAAAAGATTGAGAAATTGGATGGTTGCTGTGTCTGTGTAGAAAGAAATAGACATGGGAGACTTTTCACTTTGTTCTGTACTAAGAAAAATTCTTCTGCCTTGGGATCCTGTTGATCTATGACCTTACCCCCAACTCTGTGCTCTCTGAAACATGTGCTGTGTCCACTCAGGGTTAAATGGATTAAGGGTGGTGCAAGATGTGCTTTGTTAAACAGATGCTTGAAGGCAGCATGCTCGTTAAGAGTCGTCACCACTCCCTAATCTCAAGTACCCAGGGACACAAACACTGCGGAAGGCCGCAGGGTCCTCTGCCTAGGAAAACCAGAGACCTTTGTTCACTTGTTTATCTGCTGACCTTCCCTCCACTATTGTCCTATGACCCTGCCAAATCCCCCTCTGCGAGAAACACCCAAGAATGATCAATTAAAAAAAAATAAAAAAAAAAAGAAAAGATATGGCTGTGTTCAAATAAAACTTTATTTGCAAATCCAGGCAGTGGCCCAGACTTGATCCATGGGCCACAGCTCACCAGCCCCTGCTGTAAGACCTTAATTTCCTAGTCTATGGGATGAGAATAATGACCATGCCCACCTCATTGAGTGGCTTTGTGGATTAAATGATACCATGTTAATACTTAGCAAAGGGCCTGTACACAGTAAGTACTCATTAAGTGTTAGCTATAATTACTGTAGGGCATGTGCAGGACTGGTGAGGTGGTAAAGATGTAAGAGCCTCACAAGTGTCTGGGCTGTGCTGTTTCCACCTCTCTATACCATCTTGATGCTTTGCCCTCCATTGCCTTCCTTTCCATGGCCATGGGAATGGCCAACAAAGGGTTGAAGCCTGGTTTATGTCTGCACTGCCTGCATAACCCAAGAACCAGTGGGCTTGATCAATCAGAGGTTCTGAGAAGGACTGGACATTGTTAGTTACAACTCATCCAAAAGATTAGCCTGAGGTGTTCATTCTCTTATGGATTTTTACACATTCTGCAGAGCCAGTGAAGGGAAAATGCTTAATTAATATCCTGTTTGGGTAATTTGCATCTCTGAGGCTCTCCAGACACCCACTGGGCCTCTACCTGGCCAAGGAACAATCTTTCTGGGTATTTCCCCCCAGACACCCAACTGATAACCAATTGAACTTCATTATTTTGGTTTTCAGTAGCTTTTTTAATATACAAAATGAATCATATATTATACGTTGGTCAAAATATGTCAACAAACATTTTATTTGTATTTGAATTTCTTCCTAGCCACCTACAATTTGTATGATTTTAGAAATGTATTTTAAATGCTTTGAGCTCTCATTCCTTCATCTATAAAATAAAATGTTAATATCTTCCTTGGGGGATTTTTGTGAGAGGAAAATTAGATAATATGGATTAAAGTACTGTAACAAAAGGCATTGTGAATATCTAATTACATGCTGGATATAGCTTGCCAACATTAAATATTTATGTATGTATGAGACAAATATTCATTTCACATTGTCCCTGAATCCTTTGAGAGGAAGTGTTCTCTTAGTACCTCGAGCTTACCAAATTTTATTGTAATTGTTTATTTACTCACTTGCCTTCTCCACTTGCCACTGAGGACAGAAACTGTTTTGGTCACCATCTTATTCCCAGCACAGAGTAGGTGTTTAAGAAATACTTCTTGAAAAGATGTTGAATGAAATTGTTCAAAAGAACACAATTTCAAAGTGAAATGCAGAGAAATATTCTCATACTCTGTCTCCTGAGCTGCTATAATTGTGACATTAAGGAAGAAAGAAGACCAAGGGGGAAGGGGAGCTTGAAAAAGATTGGGCTTCCAAAACTAGACAGTCTTCAAGGAACACTTTTATGTGCGTTTAGGAATGCTGGGTCAAGGCTTTCCTCAGCCTAAAGTCAATGATCTTTTCCCATTCTGCAGTGGAAAATATCTAACACATCTGTCATTCCTTTTTTTTAATTTTAAATATTCCTTTTGTAAGTTTCTCTTACATGTTCATTTCTTACTACCACTTGTCTAGCACTTAAGCCTTGTATCAAAGAGAATAAAATGGGCTTTTGTCTAAAGGGAAAGTTATATATATTTCAGTTTCACTATTTTATAAATTTTTTAAAAGAACCTGTGACTTGAAGGAACTCTAACCCATACAAGTTTGAAAACTGTTTGTTATTATAGGACAAACCTTATATTTTACAGGTTAAAAAAATTGAGGTCTAGAGAAGGAATATGACAAAACTAGGGCCCACTTCATGGAGGAGGGGCTGCTCCCTTAGCTCTTTCAAAACATGATCAGTCAACTTAGAAGTCTTTGCTGGAATGTTAAAAAGCCTGCCCTTTAAAATCAGCAACAAGGCAAATATCCTGCTATCACCATGTCCAGCATGTCCAGCATAGTAAGAGAGAAAAAAAGATATATTTACATTTATATATACGCATATATAGTGTACTATAAGCATAGCTCTGAAGAGTTTAAAAGAAAAAAATCAAAGCTGTTATTATCCATAGTTGTTGTTATTGTCTATTTAAAAACACAAAACCTACAGAAAAATTATAATTGATAAAAAGTTTATCAAGAAAGTTGAAAATAAGATCACTATACAAAAATCTATTGTATTTCTACATAGCAGCATTGAACAATTAGAAAATGTAATTTTGAATGTTATCCATTTAAAAACATCACAAGTGTTTGAGGTAATGTATATGCTAATTACTCTAATTTGATTATTATCTTTGTCTATATGTATGGAAAATCACACTGTACCACATAAATATTATAATTATTATGTGTCAATTAAAACAAAATAAATCTAGAAAAAGAAAATTTAATTCTTGTAATACTATTTACAATAGCAGCAAGAAACAAAATATTTTAGGTACATTTTATAAAATATGTCTCATTATGAAGAAAATTATGAAATTTAATTGAGAAACATTAGTGAAGATCTAAAAACATACAGAGAGACACTATGTTCACAAACAGGATTCAAAACCCCAAAGACGGCAGTCTTTTTTAAATTAATCTATAGATTTAATGCAATTCGAAACAATATATAAATAGGACTTCTATGGAACTCAGCAAGCCACTTCTAATACTAATACAAAAATGTAAAAGAGCAAGCAAAGACCGGGACACTTTTAGAGAGAAAAGGTAGCAGGATGTGCCCTACCAGATATAAGACTTATAATAAAGCAATTAAAATTAGAATAGTGAGGCCGTGGCACAGAGAAAGACAAGTAGATCAGTAGAATCAAATATAAAACCCAGAAATAAACTTGTATTTGAAACATCTTATACGAATGGAGTGATTTTCTGTTTGCACCATGATGGAGTCGCTGACAATCTTCCTCCTATCATAAACAACTAAGAAACTGAATAAAAGATACAGAGCAAATGTTTTCAAGCATTGAACAGAAACCGACAGAGGATTATAATCCTTGAGAAAAGAAAAGCACAAAAAGTAAGCCCCAATTTCAACGTGGCTTTCTTTGAGAAGGTCAAACTAAGCAGGAGAGAAAGAGATCAGATTTCAATCCTGCCAAACGCTAGGATTTGGTGGGCAAGGTCCCAGAGAAGAGAAATCCACAAGGAGGTGCACCTACAAATCTACATTAAAATTCCTTCTTAGATCCTTTGCCAATCGCTAAGCTGTTCATGCACAAAGTGATCCTAAAGGAGGCCTAGGAGAAAAGAGCCACTGGAATGCTAGAGAGCTGAAGATCTGTTAGAGACTGCACAGCATTAGGAAGCTAGTAATTAGAGGTTGATACCAGGTCTGAGCAGAGCAAACTTAGGGTTTATCTTTAGCTTTTAGTTAAGACCTCAGAAACACCATTCGCTAGGATTTTGACTCATGCCCTAAGAGCAGCCAACACCCTGGAAGTAAGGAAAGGTATCTACTCTAACAAAGCCTAAAGCCAAGTCTCAACAGTATCAAGATGATCCTCTGGTACTTTAACTGCCTGCCAGAACAAAACTCAACGCTCTTCAAAGATGGAAAACATGACCCAGAGCTTCTACAAGGCATCATCCAGACTAGCCAGTAAAGAAAAAAAAAAAAATTAGTCACAGAAAAATGCAGGAAAAGGTGATAAACATCAAGAGAAAAGGCAACAACTGGGAGACAATCCCATGTTAGAAGACGCAGGAGTTTTAAAAAGAGCTTTAATATAACCATGATAAATATGTCTTTTTAAAATAGAAGGAAAGATGGACAAAACAAATGAAAAGGAGGAGAATTTCAACATTAGAATCGATAAAAAAAATCAAGTGAATATATTCTAGAATTAAGTATCTGGAGTCAGAAACATTCTTGGCGGGGTAACAACAGACTGGGTATGGTGGAAGACAGAGTAAGTGAACTTGAAGAAAGGTCAATAAAAAATACACAAACCTGTGCATACAGAGGGAAAAAAATGGAGGAAAAAAAGAGCAGAGTGGATAAATGGGTTATGCTCAAAGAGTCTAATATACATGTTACTAAAGTTCAGAGAGAAAGGATAGAATGAGACAGGGCAATCTTTGAAGAATTAATGTGCAAGAATTTTCAAAACCTGATGAAACACAAACAGATTCAAAAATTTAAACCAACTTTAAGCATGATACATGTAGAGAAGGCCACATCTAAAGAAATTATAGAGATTTATAGAAAGCCAAAGCATAGGAATAATCTCAAAAGGAGTCAGAAAGAAAAAATATATATTATTTTAAAAAGGGCATCAATAAGAATTGTGGTTAACTTTTTAAATAGAATGTATAGAATCTAGAATATAATGAAATCGCATATTCAAAGTGGTAGGGCAAAACTACAGATAATTCTTTGTCTTGTGAAAAGGTCTTTCTAAAAACAAATTACTTTTTTACAATAATATTTTTATGATGATTTTTACAAAAGTATTTTTACAATAATATTTTTAGAAAAAGAAAAACAACATCATGAAAAAGATGAAATAATTCACCTTCAGTGAACTTGTACTACAAGAATTCATTCAGATTAAGGAAAATGATCCCAGATAAAAGCATGAAATTGCAGAAAACTACAAAAATCACTTTTAAAAGGTAGATATTTGAGATTTTATAAGTGAATACTGACTGTTTAAAACAACAAAAAATATTGGAATTTATAATATATGTCAAACTAAAATTTATAATAATAGCAAAAGGCAAAGAAAGTTAAGGTTCTTGCATTGTTTGAGAAGTAGTAAAAATATTAATTTAAAATGAACTATAAAAATTGTAAAGAACATTTTAATTTCTAGGATACCTTAAAATAATAATAAAGAAAAATATACTTAAAAAGCTAACAGAAGAGAAATGAAATAATTTAAAAATTGATCCAAAATAGACTAAAATTATTAAAGAAATGAAACAAAGAAAAAGTAGAAATGGCAAACGTAAACCTAGCTATATCAGTAATTACATTAAATGTGAATGGTCTAAATACTACAATCAAAAGACAAAGAGTATTAGACTTGATTTTTTTAAATCAATTTTATGTTGTTTATAGGAAACACCTGTCATACATAAAGACACAGAATGGTGCAAATTTTAAAAATGGTAGAAAATATACTTTGTGAAAACAAATTACAGTAAGCAAAAATTGTCAGAACTAAAGGGAGAGATAGAGAACTCCATAATTATATTGAAGATAGTAACATCTGTCTCTCTCTCAGTAATTAATTAGAACAAGCAGTAAAGTTGAGGAGGATAAATCAACCTGACATAATGGGCATACATAGAGCAAACATCAACTATCAGAATACACATTCTTTTCAAATGTACTTTGAACATTGACCAAAATAAACTGTCTTGGATCATAAATCATGTCTTAAAATTTTCAGAGATCTGAAATCATATGTTCTCTGACCACTGTGAAATTATGTCAGGACTCACTAACTGAAAGATAACTAGAAAATCTCCAAATGTGTGGAAATTAAGCCACATGTTTTTAAATGACCCATCAGTCGAAGAAATAAATCACATAGCAAAGTAGGAAACATTTTGGGCTGACTTATAATAAAATATTCTGCATCAAAACTTTCAATGCTGCTAAATCAGTTCTTAGAGAAAATCTTGTACTTTAAGGTAAATATTAGAAAAAAGAAATGTGGGCAAAGATCTAAATTTTTTCTCAAAATACTGGAAAAAGAATGGCCAACTAACCTCTTCCTGAAATTTTAAATAATAAATAAATAATAAAGAGAGGAAATCAATGAAATAGAACACAGGCACACAATAGAGAAAATCAACAAAGTCAAAAGTTACTCTTTTCAAAAATTTTTTTAGAAAGGATTAAAATGAGTAAAGTTAAAAATTAAAAATTAATAAAATTGGGCAAGAAAATAAAAGCAAAAGTGAAAATTATGGATATCAGGAAGAAAAAGAGGGAATCACTACTGATTATACATTATTATGAACAACATTATGCCAATAAAATAGAAAATTCCGATGAAAAGGATATTCTTTAAAAAACAGCTCGCTAACACTGACCTAAGAAGAAATGTAAAATTTCAATATTAAAATAATTTAAATGTTTCCTTAAAAAGACTTTCAAATGCAAAAAAATGCCAAGCCCAGAAGCTTCACCGGTAAATTCTTCTCCTCTATTAAGGAAGAAACAATACCAATCTTATGTAAATTCTCCAAAGAAAAGAAATAGGTATTTGGGATCTAATTAAACTAAAGAGCTTCTGCACAGCAAAAGAAACTACCATCAGAATGAACAGGCAACCTACAAAATGGGAGAAAATTTTTACAACTTACTCAACTGACAAAGGGCTAATATCCAGAATCTACAGTGAACTCACACAAATTTACAAGAAAAAAACAAACAACCCCATCAAAAAGTGGGTGAAGGACATGAACAGACACTTCTCAAAAGAAGACATTTATGCAGCCAAAAAACACATGAAAAAATGCTCACCATCACAGGCCATCAGAGAAATGCAAATCAAAACCACAATGAGATACCACCTCACACCAGTTAGAATGGAAATCATTAAAAAGTCAGGAAACAACAGGTGCTGGAGAGGACGTGGAGAAATGGGAACACTTTTACACTGTTGGTGGGACTGTAAACTAGTTCAACCATTGTGGAAGTCAGTGTGGCGATTCCTCAGGGATCTAGAACTAGAAATACCATTTGACCCAGCCATCCCATTACTGGGTATATACCCAAAGGACTATAAATCATGCTGCTATAAAGACACATGCACACGTATGTTTATTACCGCATTATTCACAATAGCAAAGACTTGGAACCAACCCAAATGTCCAACAATGATAGACTGGATTAAGAAAATGTGGCACATATACACCATGGAATACTATGCAGCCATAAAAAATGATGAGTTCATGTCCTTTGTAGGGACATGGATGAAATTGGAAATCATCATTCTCAGTAAACTATCGCAAGAACAAAAAACCAAACACCGCATATTCTCACTCATAGGTGGAAATTGAACAATGAGAACACATGGACACAGGAAGGGGAACATCATACTCTGGGGACTGTGGTGGGGGGGGAGGGGAGAGGGATAGCATTGGGAGATATACCTAATGCTAGATGATGAGTTAGTGGGTGCAGCGCACCAGCATGGCACATGTATACATATGTAACTAACCTGCACATTGTGCACATGTACCCTAAAACTTAAAGTATAATAATAATAAAATAAAATAAAATAGGTATTTGACAAGGAGTATCTAATGGCCATATCTTTGTTGCCACATCACACCATGGACTACCAGTGCCCTCTTTACCACTGAAAATAGTCATCAGTGCCTTTAAATCCAATTAGATTAGATAATTGCAGAAAACCCAGAATTAGTTCAGAAAACTCATTTTTCTGTTCCTCTACACTCTACCTCTGAGTATGAAAATCTCTGTCAGTCAGAGTTGCACTAGAAGAATACCAGAACCAGTACGTGTGTGTGTGTGTGTGTGTGAGAGAGAGAGAGAGAGTGTGTGTGTGTGTGAGAGAGAGAGAGAGAGTGTGTGTGTGTGTGTGTGTGTGTGTGTGTAGGAAAGGGGGTGGAGGAGAGGGAAAGAAAGAGAAAGTGATTGCAAGGAACTGGCTTATAGGATTGTGGATGCTGGATAGGCAAGTCTGAAATCCATAGAGCAATTTCGTTTACTTAAAGTGAACTGATTACAAATATTAATCACATCTTTAAAATACATTTACAACAAAACCTAGATTAGTGTTTGGTTGAATAACATATAACTGATCAACAAATAGAGTTTATTTTAGAAACAGTTTCAAACCTCTTTCAAATTTGAAAGGCAATTAATGATTAATTAACATTAATAAAGTAAAGGAGAAATATAATATGGTCATCACAATAGAAATAGAAAATAATAATAAAAGATATTCAGATTAGAAAAAATAAAACTTATTATTCTCAGATGACATGATTGTGTTCGTGTAAAATCAAAAATAATGTACAAAACAACTAAAATTATAACTAAACTTAACAAGGATGATAGATAAAAGTCAATTTACAATAAATCAATTGTATTTTGATTTATTAGCAACCATCAAATAAGAAATAAAAATTTTAAGATATCATTTATTATAGCACCCACAAACATCAAACAAACAGAAATAAATCTGTTAGAAAATGTGCAACTTCTCTAGGCTGAAAACTATAAAATAGTACTGAGAGAAATGAAAGAAGTCCTAAATAAATGAAAAAATATTCAATATTTATGAGTTAGAAATTTGATATTGTAACATGTCAATTATCTTCACTTTTTTGTATAGAGTTAAAGAAATTCTCATCCCAGCAGGGTTTTTTAAATAAAATTGACAGGCAAATTCTAAAACGTGTATGAAAATGCAAAGAATTGGTCGGGCGTGTTGGCTCTGCCAGCACTTTGGTGGATCACCCGAGGTCAGGTGTTCGAGACCGGCCAGCCTGACCAACATGGTGAAACCCCTTCTCTACTAAAAATACAAAATTAGGGCCGGGCGCGATGGCTCGCGCCTTTAATCCCAGCGCTTTGGGAGGTCGAGGCGGGCGGTCACGAGGTCAGGAGTTCGAGACCAGCCTGACCAACATGGTGAAACCCTGTCTCTACTAAAAATACAAAATTAGGGCCGGGCGTGATGGAGCGCGCCTGTAATGCCAGCTAATCAGGAGGCTGAGGCAGGAGAATCGCTTGAACCCGAGAGGCAGAAGTAGCAGTGAGCGGAGATCGCGCCACTGCACTCCAGCGTGGGCGACAGAGTGGGACTCCGCCTAAAAAAAATTAATAAATATATACAAAATTAGCCAGGCGTGGTGGCGCATGCCTGTAATCCCAGCTACTTGGTAAACTGAGGCAGGAGAATCGCTTGAACCTGGCAGGCGGAGGTTGCAGTGAGCCAAGATCGCGCCATTGAACTCCAGCCTGGGCAACAAGAGTGAAACTCAAAAAAAAAAAAAAAAAAAAAGGAAGGAAGGAAGGAGCAAAGAGAATAGCCCAGCCAGCCAATATTTTAAAAAGGGATAAATTTGCGAGATTTATACCGCCCGATATCAAAATTTGTTATAACATTGCAGTAACTACGACTGCGGTATTAGTTTGAAAGTAGAACAATAGAACAAAATAAGAAGTCAAAAACGTTCCCATACATATACGGCCAACTAAGTTATGACAAAACTCCACTGCAATGTAGTAGGGGAAAAAAAAATGGTAGGAAATGATTCTGGGTCATTTGAATATCCATGTGGGGAAATAAATGAACCTTGACCCCTACCTCAATCCATACAAAAATATTTGTAAGAAATGGATCATAGACCTAAATGTGAGGGTTAAAATAATCCAGCTTCTAAATTAAAACAGAAGAAAATATACTGGGTAGACAAAGATTTCCTAAACAGGACATAAAAAGTACTATTTTATAAAAGAAAAATTATTTTATATTTTATAAAAGAAAAAACTGATAAATTGAAATCCTTAAAATTAAAAACTTTTAGTTCTTGAAAGACATTGAAAAGAGAGCGTGTAGGGAAGCAATAGGAAGATTTTGTGTCATATCTATCTGTATCTATGGCTACAGTTGTGTAACTTCTTTTATTTTTAATTCGCTGATTCCCCACGAGAGGGCGCCTTTCCACAAGTCCTTATTTAGCACAGCACTGATGGCCATAGACAATGCTCGAGCCTGGCTTTCTAGCACATCTCCATTTCCCAACACAGAGGCTAAGCCCTTTGTGGGAGGCACACATGTAGTCAGACAATCCTGGTAATATGTGATACGTTTGGGGAAAAATTTTTTTTAACAGTGACTTAAGACCTGGTAAGGTATCTGTGTGGCCAGATTAAAGGATAAGAGTGAGTTAGTAAAACCTAAAATGAACTGGGCGTGGTGGCTCACGCCTGTAATCCCAGCACTTTGGGAGGCCGAGACGGGCGGATTACGAGGTCAGGAGATTGAGACCATCCTGGCTAACACGGTGAAACCCCGTCTCTACTAAAAATACAAAAATATTAGCCGGGCGTAGTGGCGGGAGCCTGTAGTCCCAGCTACTTGGGAGGCTGAGGCAGGAGAATGGCGTGAACCTGGGAGGCGGAGCTTGCAGTGAGCCGAGATAGCGCCACTGCACTCCAGCCTGGGCGACAGAGCGAGACTCCGTCTCAAAAAATAATAATAATAATAAA
Organism: Homo sapiens; assembly: GCF_000001405.40. Taxonomy (NCBI): domain Eukaryota; kingdom Metazoa; phylum Chordata; class Mammalia; order Primates; family Hominidae; genus Homo; species Homo sapiens. The sequence goes on along the minus strand of NC_000001.11, from coordinate 152,461,205 downwards.
TAAAATAAACCTAAAATACAGGCAGTTCGTCTCTTTTTAGAAGTCAAAACCTTAACATCTGGGAGTGTCCGTATGAATTTTGGCCCCTAAAAATCTTAAAAAGGGATGTTTTTGAGTTGCCAGCATCAATACTTAGTATAAAAAGTTTATAAGTGCAATAACTCTTTGGAACTCTATCACCAAAGGAGGACATTCTTCTTCTATTTAGATGTCACACATCTCCACAAACCGAAATGCAGTCTGTTTCCTATTTATTGTTATATGTTGCCTGCATTCTTTCTTTCAACAGTTATTGAACACCTTGCTGTGTCCTAGGACCTGTGCACATCTTCTGGGATCTGCCATAATTTAATGCTAATTCTCTGTCCCCCTCTGGGAGAAGACAAACACATTAGCCACATGGTGATTAGATGTAGTTCAAGGTGTCTTAGGGTCTCTGAGGACTGGGGAGTTTGGAGAGTGTAAGGGATGGATCTTGGAAGTAGGTGATTTTTGAAGTAGGTGATGTTGGGGGACATCTTGGATGTACAGATTGTTTTTCGTAAGGTATACCAGCACAAGCAAAGGCAAAGGGACATTTGCATGATGCTACCATGAGGTATTATATACATAAAGTGTTTCGGGAAGACTGAAATAATTAATTTGCTAGAGTCACGTATAGAAAGGCTTCATTTGCCATTTCCAAGTAAAGAAGAATGAAGATTGACTGGGTGAAAAGGCGGTTTATGCACACAACCAGCAGGTGGCGCCCACCCTTCTGCACATCTAGCAGCCTGGTTAGTCCCTCCCAAATTACAGCAACCAGGAAGGAGTCAAATGCTGATGTCCACCTGGGCCAACCCTCACCCCCACACACATCCCACACCTTATACTCTGAGCTACTCTGAACCCACTACCTACAGAAACTAGAACAGATAGGAAACAGCATGGTTAAAAATGTTCCACACTTGCTTTCACTTTCAAGAAGAATGTCACTTCTGTGCTTTTACTTTCAGATAATTTAAAAACCAAAAGTCTACTTAATGCCAAAAAAAAAAAGAGAAGTAAAAATAGTAATTGATTTCAGAGTGGTGAGGACGCTGGACCTAAAACCAGGGGTACAAGGAAGCAGCCTCGGTGTGGTGGGGATCAGTGAGAGCCTGTGACTCCTGGGGCCCTCCTCGGCCACTGAGCTGGGGCTCACTGACACCAGGAGGCCAGCTCAGAGCATGGCAGCTGCTGCAGGCAGGGCCACTCGGCCGAATGAAGGCAATGGGGTGCAGAGGAGAGAACGGGGCTCTGGAGCCAGAACATCTGCTTTGCTGGCTCTGTGGCCATGTGTGAGTTACCCACTCTCACCAAACCACTATTTCTCAACTTCTAAATTGGTCCATAACACACTCCCAGAGGAGTTGACATGATCAGCATGTTTAAGTGCCTAGTGGTGCCCAGCATATAATATATACTCAGTCAGTAGAGGTAGCTCAACCCCATTACTCTCCTCTCTCACTCCCTTCCAGCCACACTGGCCTCTTTGCTGTATCTTGTGTAGATCAGGAATGATTTCACCTTAGGACATTTGCATTGGCTTTTCCCTCTACCTGGAATCTTCTTACCCAAGATATCTGCTTGGCTCCCTCCCTATATTTCTTTCAAAAGTAAGCTTCTTAATAAAGCAGAGCTGACCAGTCCATTTAAATTACAACTTACCCTTTATCCTTGCCACTTGCACTCTCATTCCTTATTCAGCTCTATTTCTATAGTGGTTACCGCCTTCTAACATGTTGTATAATTTACATATTTATTAGGGTTATTGTTTACTGCCTACTACTCCCACCCACATATCCCAGCTTTTATCTATTCTGTTTACTGCTGTATCTCTAGAGTCAATAACACTGACTGGACATCGTAGACACTCAACAAATACTTATCAGTTTTATGAATGAATGGATGCATGGATAGATGCTCTTCCATCTTCAAAAATCAAATATCATCTGTCAAACAGAGAGAGCAGGTGTTAAGGTCAAAGGCGATCCCTTATGTGAAAGGGCAGGTGGAGGAGGAAGCACTGCACCATGGAAAACTGTGTTCCAGGTGGTTGCCAAGAATACTCAGAAGTTAGAGATGAAGGGCTGCCCCAGACACAGCCTTGGGGCCCAAGATTCATACTGCTGTTAGAGGGGCACAAACTTGCTGGGTTTTGACTCTGGGAGGAAAACCACGTGTGGGGTCTTAAGCGGGGCCCTGTGTCTTTGGGGATTCACATTTGTTGCACCCAACTATACTCTGGAGCTTCAGAAATCAATGGAAGTTGCTCTGGATTCAAAAATCAATAGAAGTTGCTCCCTTCCCTGGAGATGCCCACGGTCAACCTTTGTCTTTTGGAGTCAGGCTAACCTGAAGTTGAATCCCAGCTCTACCACCATTGAGTTATGACCTTGGACAAATCACGTAAATTATCTGAGTTTACACTTCTATACATGGCAATATTAGTGGCCACTTTTCAGCAGACTGCCTACACACAGTGTGAATTTGAGAAATACTAGTTCCCTTACCGTTCCGTCTTCCATCTCTGAAACTTCGCTGGAGCTCCATCTTCTTGAGACATGGCGATGCATTTCAGGAGTTTCCCTGAAGAGGGAGCCAGAGCACCACGGAAATCCTAATTGTTGGCTGACAGCAGTCAGCGCAGGGAAGCTTATGGGCACAGCCAGTCAGCAAGTCTTTTGGGTCCAGACCTCGGCTTCCTCTCTCTCAATGCCTTCTATCAAAACCCCCCCACCTTGTGCCAAGTGCTGCTCACAGTCTGCCAAGCAGCTCCCCTATCTCAGGCTCTACCTAGTCAAAATGATCTTTCAATCAAAATTCCAATTTTCTTTTCAGTCACTTTATATAGCTGTTGTCATAGTAAGTGACAACTTGGTTTAATAAAGCCAGTTGTGCCAGGATGTTGCTAGGTAATATTTGCTACTTCTAGGTAACGTGTATATTTTAACAGGTGCCTTCTGATGATACATATGGGGACAGGTAGGCATTCCAAATGCTGAGATCCAGTGCCACTCACCTTTAGACCACCCTGCATTCCATGGGCTATACTTAATATTTGGTGCTTACCCACAGTAAGCTTACATTAGGTTGAACACATAAAATTGTTCATAATCCACCATTTTACCTACAAAACAACAATTTCATATGGTCCAAAATAATATTTCACTTCTTCACCCCCACTCAATTTCAGTGTAGACTCCAGGTCTTTTTTTTTACTTTCCCCATCACATTTTTGCCCTCAAGCACTGTTTTCACTCTTGTTATATTCCCCCCCTCCAGCCCTACCTCAGTTTCCAGTTCCTACACCTTGCCTAGGCCACACCTCACCCTTGCAGGGCATCTCCCTGCTGAGGCAGCTGCTGTGATGGGATTGGTCCCACCTGCCATCTCCAAAATGAGCACAACAGGGCTTTGTCCAGCCAAGAACATAGGGCTCCAGCTCCTCCCATACCACAATATCCCATGAGCACTCTCTCAGTCTCCCAGCAAACTTCTCTGCCCTCGCAGACTCTGGAGTGCCAGTCCCATCGAGTAACTATCTGAAACCCTTTGAGTCTAATTGTCTTCAGATGTGAAATGTAAAAGGACAATGCACACCACATAAGGTTGACATAAGGAATGACTGGCGTAATGGTTGTAAAAAGCCTAGCACTGTGCCTGGCAGATGGCAGTCATTCTGCAAGGTACAGTTGCCCTCTCAGAACCTAGGCATGGTGTACAAGACCAAAGCCCCCAAAGCAACTCATTGTCCTGTCCACCTCTTCCTAAAATGCCATGTTATTGTTGCACCCCCATAGGCACCATTTTGTCAAGTGTGGTCTGGTCCTATTCTCCAAGCACTCTGTATCACACACTCCTGTGATTGCCACAGCATGGGGCAGGGCTGGCCTGGTAACTCCCTAAGGGACTAAGTCCTGCCTCACCAACAGTCTTCTATTCTGTCCTGGGCCCCTGAGATTCTGCCCTTCCACACAACAAGAGTAGTGACTGTGATACCAGAACCACATGACATGTTAAATAAAGAGGCTCTGTAAAGAGGAGCAGAGAGATGTGTGCCCCGGAGGGGAGGGAGGTGGTCAGGCTGGGGGTGAAGAGTGGTGGGACTTGGCCCTAGGAACTCCTGCCCTTTTGTCCTCCTTCCTGCCATACCCTCTCCTGTGTGTTCTTAGCATCTCACCCCCACTCCTCATCTCTCCAGTTCTAAAACAGTCTGTCAAGGCTTCTGGAAGTGGAGAGAGACCCAGGCTGGTTATGGAGGGATTATAAGGAACTGCTAAACACAAAAGACAATGGTCAGCCTCACCCAGACAAAGGCAAATGCCTGTCTTAGTGGGGAGATTGCATGTTCATCCAATTTGAAATTTTAAACAGATGTATAACTCTAAATACTTTAGAATTACAATGTTAGGTTGTGATTTTGAAAAATACCAGAAAAAATGGTATTATGCTAGCAAAAATATAAAGTGGAAATTTCCTCTTCCAATGGGAATGGAGTTACAGGGATGGATTTATCCTGTAACCTGAAACAACTACATAATCTGACAAGCTATAGTTGGCCTTCCTTATACTTGACTTCTACATCCATGGATTCAACCAACCATGGATCAAAAACATTTGAAAAAATACAATAAAAATACAATTTAAAAATACAGTATAACAACCATTTACATAGCATTTACATTATATTAGGTATTATAAGTAATCTAGAGATGTTTTCATGTCTACAGGAGGATGTGCATAGGTTATATGCAAATATCTTGCCATTTTACGTGAGGGATTTGAGCATCTCCAGATTTTGGCATCTTCAAGGGTCTTGGAACAAATCCCTCGTGAATACCAAGGAATGGCTATATAAAAAGAACAATAGTTTTCAAGACCATGAACCTGAAGCAATGCAGGACCATGATGTTTGCAAGATGAAACAAAATGAGCTGAACCCTAGGACTGTCCTGGCCTCCTCCCGGCAAAGGGTTTCCAGGCTGTGACTCAGGGAGCGGAAACTGGCAGAGTCCAGTGGACTCTCAGGATTGAATAAATGGAACTGGATCCTAAAAGACCAAGGCAGCTAGAGTTTTCAAGACAGACTACTAGCCTAGCTGTGGGGAAAAGAAAGAGAGATCAGACTGTTACTGTGTCTATGTAGAAAGAAGTAGACATAAGAGACTCCATTTTGTTGTGTACTAAGAAAAATTCTTCTGCCTTGAGATGCTGTTAATCTGTAACCCTAGCCCCAACCCTGTGCTTGCAGAGACCTGTGATGTGTTAACTCAAGGTTTAATGGATTTAGGGCTATGCAGGATGTGCTTTGTTAAACAAGTGCTTGAAGGCAGTATGCTTGTTAAAAGTCATCACTACTCTCTAATCTCAAGTACCCAGGGACACAATACACTGCGGAAGGCCGCAGGGACCTCTGCCTAGGAAAGCCACATATTGTCCAAGGTTTCTCCCCAAGTGATAGCCTGGGATATGGCCTCATGGGAGGGGAAAGACCTAACCATCCCCCAGCCCAACACCCGTAAAGGGTCTGTGCTGAGGAGGATTAGTAAAAGAGGAAGGCCTCTTTGCAGTTGAGATAACTCTGAGGAAGGCATCTGTCTCCTGCTCATCCCTGGGCAATGGAATGTCTCGGTGTAAAACCCAATTGTATGTTCCATCTACTGAGACAGGAGAAAACCACCTTATGGCTGGAGGTGAGACATGCTGGTGGCAATACTGCTCTTTAATGCACCAAGATGTTTATGTATTGGCACATCAAAGCACAGCACCTTTTTCTTAACCTTGTTTATGACACAGAGACATTTGTCACATGTTTTCCTGCTGACCTTCTCCCCACTATTACCCTATTGTCCTGCCACATCCCCCTCTCTGAGATGGTAGAGATAATGATCAATAAATACTGAGGGAACTCAGAGACCAGTGCCGGCGCGGGTCCTCCGTATACTGAGCGCCCGGTCCCCTGGGCCCACTTTTCTTTCTCTATGCTTTGTCTCTGTGTCTCTTTCTTTTCTCAGTCTCTCGTCCCACCAGACGAGAAACACCCACAGGTGTGGAGGGGCAGGCCACCCCTTCACCTAGCAAGGCAAGAGCTAGAGAGAGAAGGGGGCAGGGGAGCCCTGACAATCAGGAACAGCCTCCCCTCAGATCCTTAGCTGAGTTATGATCAGCACCTGTATGTGAGGAAACTACCTGAGGCAGAGGATGGACCTCCCTGCAGGAATGAAAGCGAATAATCCCAGGATCACCCCGAGTTAGGAAGAACCCCTGTTCCTAACAGCTAGAGTAGAAAACATCATAATTTATTGGATACTGGGTAGAGTACTCAGAAAGGTTTTGCCTCAGTGGTGTAGTAAAATTGGTCCTAAACTAAACACTGCTCTGGTGCCACCCATCATATCTTAAAAAGCAAAATTTGAAGGACCAAACTGTTTCCAAGTAACTTAACTTTTGTTTCTTATTTATAGAAACAAAAATATATCCAGCCATTCAAATGGTAAAATTCACAATGTGTGGTATCCATAAAAAATTACCAGGCATGAAAAGAAGGAAAATATAATACATAATAAAGAGAGGAAGTCCTAACCAGAGCAAGCAGGCAAGAGAAAGAAATAAAAGGCATCCAAATAGGAAGACAGGAGGTCAGACTATCTCTGCAGGTGATATAATTTTATACCTAGAAAATCCCATAGTCACAGCCCAAAAGCTAGATCTGATAAACAACTTCAGCAAAGCTTCTAGATACAAAATCAGTACACAAAAATCAGTAGCATTTCTATACACCAATAATGTCCAAGCTGAATGCCAAATCAAGAACACAAATCCCATTCACAATAGCCACACACACACAAAACAAAGCAAAACAAAAAAACACCTACAAATACAGCTAAACAGAGGTGCAAGACCTCTACAATGAGAGTTAGGAAACACTGCTGAAAGAAATCAGACATGACACAAACAAATGGAAAAACATTTCATGCTCATGGATAGGAAGAATCAATATTGTTAAAATGGCCATACTGCCCAAAGCAATTTACAGATTCAATGCTATTCCTATCAAACTACCAGGGTCAGAATTAGAAAAAAAATTCTAAAATTCATGTAAAACAAAAAAAAAAAAAGCCCAAATAGCCAAAACAATCCTAGGCAGAAAGAAGAAACCTGGAGGAATCATATTATCTGACTTCAAACTGTACTATAAGGCTACAGTAACCAAAACAACATGGTACAGGTAAAAATAGACACATAGACCAAAGGAACAGAATAGAGAGCCCAGAAATAAAGCTACACAGCTACAACTATCTGATCTTCAACCATTTATCTTCAATAAATGGTGCTGGGATAACTGGCTAGCCATATACAGAAGATTGAAACTAGACCCCTTCCTTACACCATATATAAAAATCAACTCAAGATGAATTAAAGACATCAATGTAAAACCTAAAACTATAAACACCCTTGAAGAAAACCTAGGAAATACTATTCTGGACATAGGCCCTGGCAAAGATTTTATGACAAAGACACAAAAAGCAATTGCAACCAAAACAAAAATTGGTAAGTGGAACCTAATTAAACTAAAGAGCTTCTGCATAGCAAAAGAAACTATCAACAGAGTAAATAGACAACCAACATAATAGGAGAAAATATTTGCAAACTATGCATTTGACAAAGGTCTAATATCCAGAATCTATAAAGAAATTAACAAGCAAAAAACAACCCCATTAAAAAATGGGCAAAGGACATGAACAGACAATTTTCAAAAGAAGACATATACATGGCCAAAAAGCATATGAAAAAAATATTCATCATCACTAGTCATTAGAGAAATGCAAATCAAAACCACAGTGAGATACCATCTCACACCAGTTAGAATGGCTATTATTAAAAAGTCAAAAAGTTAACAGATGCTGGCAAGGTTGTTGAGAGAAGGGAACACTTATAGATATAGATATATACCCAAAGGAAGATAAATTATTCTACCATAAAGACACATGCACGCATATGTTCATCGCAGCACTATCCACAATAGCAAAGACATGGAATCCACCTAAATGCCCATCAACGACCAACTGGATAAAGAAAATGTGGTGCATATACACCATGGAATACTTCTCAGCCATAGAAAAGAACAAGATCATGTCTTTGCAGCGACATGGATGGAATTGGGGGCCATTATCCTAAGCAAACTAATGCAAGAACAGAAAACCAAACACCACATATTCTCACTTATAAGTGAGAGCTGAACACTGAGTACACATGGACACAAGGAAGAGAACAATAGACACCAGGGCCTACTTAATGCAAGAGGGTAGCAGGAGGGTGAGGATTGAAAAACCATCAGATACTATGATTATTATCTGAGTGACAAAATAATATGTACAACAAACCCCCACAACACACCACTTATCTATTAAACAAACCTGCACATGTACCCCTTAAACTAAAATAAAATTAAAAAATAAAAAGGTAAAGAGAAAAATAAATCAACTGATATTGACCCAGAAATGACCAATGATGACAGATGACAGAAATAGTAGATGAGGGCCAGGTGTGATGGCTCATGGCTGTAATTCCAGCACTGTGGGAGGTCAAGAAAGGAGAATTGCTTGAAGCTAGGAGTTCAAGACCAGCCTGAGCAACTAAGCAAGACCCTATCTAAAAATAGGTTCTAAATGAGGATGTTCTAAAAGTTAATATAATCGTGTTTCATATGTCCAAAACACTAGCAGAAAAGATTAAGCAGGGACATGAGAGAGAGAAAACAAAGCCAAATCAAACTTCTTGAAATGAAAACTAAAATGTCTGAAGAGAAGAATAACTGAATGGGATTAACAGCATTTTAAACACTGCAGAAGTGATGATTAGTGAGTCAAACACATAACAATAGAAACCATCTAAAATGAAGGAGAGGAAACAAAAACTGAAGAATAAGTTAAGCAAACATAGGACATCTTCATGCAGCCTGATATACATGTAATTGGAGTCCCTAAAGGAGAAGATGGAGTGGAAATGGGAGAAAAACAACTTGAAGAAATAATCACCCCAAATTTCCAAATTTGATTTTTTAAAATAGAAAAACTATACATCTAAGAATCTCAATGATCCCTAAGCACAATGAATATTTTTAAAAATTAAAACCGAGGCACATCATAATTAAATTGCTGAAAACTAGTGATTAAAAAAAAATCTTAAAAGCAGCCAGAGGGAGGAAAAAACACGTTATGTACAGACAAAGAAAGAGTAGAGTAATAGCAGGTTTCTTGTCAGAAATGACCCAAGTCAGAAGATGGCAGACCAATATTTTTAAATTACTGAAAGAATTGTCAACCTAGAACTTTGTACCCAGGGAAAATATCTTTCAAAATGAAGAAAAAGAAAATACTTCTTAAGACATTCAAATGCTGACAGAATTCATCACCAACAACCTTGAACTACAAGAAATCTTACAGGAAGCCTTTTAGGCAGAAGGAAAATGATATCAGATGGAAATCTGGAGTTATACCAAGGGATGAAGAGCACTTGAAATGGTAATTATGTGAGTAAATATAAAAACACTTTTTATTATTATTTCAATCTATTTTTAAATAGTACAGCAAACTGGAATACTGAACATCTAAAAACATGTCACAGTTACTAGCCCAGGGTACCCAGCAGCTCCGGGCACAGCCCTCTCCGGAGTGGACCTGAGCACAGTTCAAGGCACCACCTTTAGCCCGTGGCCAGCAGGGAGCGCCTGTGGATCTTGGAAAACGCTGCCTCACCCCTTGGGCCTGCCCTCCCAGGTGTCAAACTACCTGGGCCAGGGGCTTTGGGGCTCTCCGACAGCCACAGAGGTAGAATCCCTTGAAGATAAATTATAAAATATGAAAGACCCAGGTGGGGTGGACTGCTGGGCAACCCAGGTCCTTTTCTAGGCTTTCCCACTAACTTGTCCTGAGCCCTTGTTTGGGCATCTGCCTTTCTGGACATTAAATAAAAGAATTATGTAAAGTGCTTTGCATGGTCCCTCATTTGTGAAATACAGGATGGGACTAGCTGATGTCTAAGGGCCCGTCCATTCCCCACACTCTTAATTCCTCAGTCTTCCCGTCTCATGTGCCAGCTAGGCCCTTCTGCTTCTGCTCTGGGGGAGTCTGCAGGGGTAGAAAGAGGCAGAATCTCTCCCTCTGGGGGAAGGGTTACAGAGAGAAGGCTTTGAGAAATCAGAACCTGAAAATCAAGTTCAAGAATTCCCTGTAAGTCCCATGTGCAACCACCATGCAAAGCACTTTATATAATGCTTTCATTCAATTCCCCATTCCAACCCCCAAAGTGAGAGAGAGAAAAATAATTACCCCAATTTTTCAGGTGAAGAAACTGAGACACAAAGATATGAAGAAACTTGCCTAAGGTCAAACAGCTAACAAGTGGTGGAGCTGGCATTTGAGCCAGAGGTCATGTCCTGACATATATGGTCATGTATGGGGGCTCCATGCAGGCCTCCATGAGCGTTGCACTGACTGTCCTGAGAAATGCCTCTGCCTGCTTTTTGCACTTCAAAATCACAGACTAGCCTGGAAGGGTTCTGGCAGTTTTCTGGCCCACCCAGAAGATGCTGACTCAAAACAAATTTTTTTAATGTCTAGAACCTGTTACACCTGCCCAGTTCTGTTTCTATAAAAGTCCACTCCAATAAGGGTACTACAGTTTAATGATAGTTCTAGACATTATGTTCGGATAGCACTATTAAGTTTACATATAACTGCCATGAGTATCATTGCAGTTCTTCACAACAAATGTAAGTATTAATAATAAAACATGATTTTTTAAAAACAATACTCTTTTCCCAGATGTGGACAGTTCAATACAGTCTAACTGACTTGGTCAGAATCACATAACCAAGGGTCAATTAATAAGAATGGTAACTTTAAACTCCCCCATCCCAATCTTATGCTGTTCTTTTACACCTCTTTTCTCCTAAGTCACTACCCCCAAAGCCTGTGATAAGCAATATGTATGTGTGTATTTCTCTATCATGTGTGTAAGACGGAAATAATTTTTAAAATGCTCAGAACAAGATAAGCGGGTTGGACCAGTGGCACCACCAGCAAGAAGGACTCTTTCCTTCCTGCTGAGACCACCTTCCAGAGTCCAGTGCTCTGAGAGGGTCATCCGCTGCCTCCTTCTTCCCATGAGTCTGAGATTGGGCCATTTCCTCTATGCCCTTAATGGCAGAGCAGGCTCTCTGAACTCCCCAGGGCTCTGCATACCAGGTCTTCCACCCAACCTCCACAGAGCTGGGCCCCACCCCAACCCTCAGCCTCCTCTAGAAGGCAGGGAGGACCCAGGGAACAGAAGGGGGCCCTTGAACTCCCCTCATCTTTAATGAGGGAAAGATATAATCACCTGTCAGCTGCATGGACATAATTAACACCTGCACAGAGTTTCGGTTGCTGATTAAGGGTACTCCTCCCTAGCTGAGGTTCTTATAGGAAAGTCTGTCACAACTTGCTAGAGATGGGATGACAGGATTAAGGTCAGTGCAGGGGCAGGGGTCCCTTTTCTCTGAACTCTAAGGTTCTTAGCACTGGATCAGGAACAAGCCAGGCTCTAACTCAACAGCAACCCTATTTTGAAACCCTGCCTTCCTGTGTCCTGCTCAGATCAAGAAAGGAGAAAAGTCCACCCAGCTCACCCAGTCCTCAGGGTCTCCAATCCAAATTGTTTCTCCAAACCCCCCTTCCATCAGGATACTTCCCTTCTACTCCAATCAGAAGAGCCTCTGCAACTTGAACCCAGGACTAGGTTCAAAATGTGAACCCAATATCCAGGTCTAGCATCTTCCAAATTTGAGCTCAGCTCCTTAGGTCGTTGCTGGTGTTAAAAGAAAAAATTCAGCTGAATTTAATTTAAAGGACGGTAATTGAGCAAAGAACAATGTGCTAATTGGGGAGACTCCTAAGCCACAGTAGGCTCAGAGACTCTAGCACAGCCACGTTGGGGAAGAAGATTTATGAACAGAAAAAGGAAAGTGACATACAGAAAACAGAAATGAGGTACAGAAACAGCTGAATTGGTTACAGCTTGGTCTTTGCAGTATTTGAACACAGTGTGAATAGTTGGCCACCTTCAACTGGCCAAAACTCAGTGATTGACTCAAGAGTAGGCTACGGTCTGTGTAAAACTCCATTTAGGTTATAATTCACGATGTACAGGAAACCTTTAGGCTGAACTTACAATATATAAGAAGGCAGTTTTAGGCTAAACTTGATTTAACACTAGCGTTTCACAATCCCAACCCAACCACCATTTTCATCTTTTCCCAAAACTTACACCTATCAGAATCATACCAAAATTCATCTGATTTGAAAAAGTAATAAACTAGCAAACAAATAAATAAACAAGCTTATCACGGAGTGCGGTAAGCACTAAGAAGAAAGCAAATATGATGTGTCGACCCTGACTGCAGGCAGTGGCCGATGCCCCTTTAGCCACAGTAGCCCCAGAAAGGCTGCTCTGTGGAGTAGTCCCTGAACACTCCGTAGCCTGACATTCCTCCCATATTTCCATTCTCAGTCCCCACCCCTCCACCTGCCTTCAGCACTCCCTACCCCTCCTCCCCACCTTTTCTCATAACTCTTGTATCTCTTTGACACTGTTTATTTCTTATTGTACCTATTGTTAGACCACTCAACTATAAAGCTATGTGAGGGTAGGTTTTTTTGTATGTTTTGTTCACGACTGTATTCCCAGAACCTAGAACAGGGTTGGGCACACAGCAACTGCTTAATAAATACAGGTTGAATAAATCAAAGTAGTCTCCATTTATCCCTGGCACTAAGAGCATGAGCTAACTACTCAGGCAGGAGCCAGCTTTGCAAACTTCTGGCAGTTCTCAGAGGAGCCCTGGGCAAAGTCATCTCTTTGATCTTGCAGAACCAAAAGAAAGCCCTAACCACATTAGCTCCCCCACAATTGCCTCACCACAGCCTTGCCACAGGAGCAGAGTCTAGTCTGGAGAGATGTCCAGAACACAGGACACAAAATTCTTAAGAAGATTCTATGCTTGTTTGGATCACGCCCCAAACCCAGATGTCACCCCTGCTTCTTCTTTTTCCCTCACCCCTTTCCCCCACTTCGAGTCCTCTTCACTCCATTGCCAAATCTATTTTGAAGCTGCCCACCTTCTCTCTGTCTCCTCTGCCACCATCCCTTTAACCTGGGCCATGGCAGTAGCCCCTCAAGGTAGTCCCTCAGCTCCTACTCTTGGCCCTTCCTGTTCAAGCTCCATGTAGCATCCAGAGGACTCGTTTAAAAATCTAGGAGTATGTTTTCCCTGCTTAAAATTCTTCAACAGCTTTTCTCTGCTCTTAGAATAAGATTCAAACTCACTAAAAGTCGTCTCCTGCCTCTTTGGCCCTCGCTGGCTACACTCAAGCCCTACTGACAGCCTCTTTTGTCCTTTTCATGTGCACCAAGTTGTTCCTGTTTGTTCTAAATGTTCCCTCTGCCTATAATCCCCTTTCTCATCCTCAGGGCTCTGCTCAAACGCCTCCTTTTGGGAGAGGCCTTCTGGCCTGGCTACCTGAAGGTGTACCCTGCCTCCATGATTATGCTGTGTCACATCATCATGACTATTTCCTTCCTCACACTTATCGTGCTGTACTTTTCTTTGTTTATTAGTGCCTTGCCTGCCTTCCCCATTAGAGTGTGAGTTCCCTCAGTGTAGGGGTCTGTGTCTTTCTAATTCACCTCCCTTCTCCCAGTGCCTAGCATGTGATAGGTGCTTAATGAACATCCTTTTAAAGGAATAAATAGAGGAGCCTCTACTTACTCACATCTTCGGTATACACAGAGACACACTCATAGTCACACATACACACACAGACACTCATAGCCATGCATCAGCATACACACACAAGCAGAGGGGCACACACGCGTGCACACACACACAATCGAGGTTGCAGTCACTATTGACTCTGGTTGCAACCTTTTCTTCCTGCTTAGCCTCTTACAAGCCTTTGCCACTTTTGACATTCCCTCCATTGGAAACCACCTTCTTCCCCACAAGGCTGGATTATTCCATGTCCTTCTAAGCTTCTGGGACTTTGCTTTTCCCTCTGACCAATATGCTTTGCCAACCCTCCTATACCAGTTCATCCCTCATCCATGCTTCAAGGTGAGGTTCAAACATTATTTTTTCTTTGAAGTGTTCACAGAACCTGACGTCTCCTCTCTTCCTTTGTTATATCACTAACAGAATATCTGTCATGCTGTGTTTTTTGTTGTTTTTGTTTTGTGCTTCTGTCTCCCAGGTAGAGTGTGGAATTTTCTTGTGAACAGGTGCATTTCTCATTCATGACTGTATTCCCAGGGCTGAATGGAGCAGGTATACATAGGAAGTGCTCAGTACATGGGAGTGGAATTGACTGGGAGGCCTGGCCATGAGAGACATGGATCTTATATAGCTCTGTGACCATCTCTGGTTCCTGCTTCCTTCAAGTGACTCCTTTTCCTAGTACCTCCTAAATGTGATCACCTCCTGAGTTTTCCCTCTCCAGTCTCTGCTATTTCTCCACAGTGTCCTCTAAAGATGTTCAGAGGTTAAAGTACCTCTTCGATTCCCAGCACACAGGAATCCCTAACCACATTAATTCTCTTTTGCATCCCTGAGGCCAGCCCTACCATCAACCTCTACAGCCTCTTCCTGGCCAGACAGCATCAGGGGATAGACTTTATTCCTTAAAGCGCCTCTGAAGAACCATTCTGACACTCATCTCATACATCCTATGTGACAGAAATAGGACACAGGTTTCTGCCTAATGCCAGGAAGACATGACCTTAGGAAATGACTACTCAAGATTCTTAAGGCTGGTGCTGTATGGGATGACAGATCACCTTTCATTATCCTCTGAAAATAGGAAGGACATCGCTGAAGGCAACTCAGTTCAGGAGGATACTCTACCTCCTCAGCTCATAGAGTTGGCTGTTAGAGACTGATTCCAATGAGGACAGTGTTTCTGTAAATGCATAATCAGGACATCTGATCACAAAGCTACAAAACAACAGCAAAACCTCTGAATTGAATGTGGTCACCAAGAACTTAGGACCACTCTCTTAGGCCATTGGTCTTAGAACTATATAGTAGCTCCACATGGGTGAGTTATGGAAAAAGCCAAGTAGGTACAATTCTAGAGTAACTATATCTTAGGTCCTCAACTCCCACCCATAGCACCCTAGCTCCCCTATGTTTGCCCTGAGCCTGAGTGGATGCTCCACTAGATCTGAGTCCTTAATTAAAAGGTGTGGCAACACTTGCATCTCTACCCCCACCAAATGCATGTCAACAGCCAGTTGGCAAGGTTTAAGGGGAAAAGCACATGTTTTGAAGTGAAATAAATCTGGATTGGATTTGAATCATGGAATCCCTGCTTACAGACTTCATTCAACAAATATTTATTGAAGTGATTCTATGCACCACACATTGTGCCAGATGCCGTAAATAAGGGAGAGACACAAATTATGCAAATTTGTGAGCCCCTGGTTTCTCATCTAAAATAAGGTACTAGCTACTTCTTAGAGATGCTGAAAGAATTTTATGAGATAATATGTGTAACTGTAGGCTACTTATTATCATTGTTATTAATAGAAGTAACATGACATCAGTATGTGTGAAAAGCCATACAATTATTTAAATCTTGAACTCAATATTTATCTTAATACATTTACCCTAAAGAAAAGCTCATATATGAATCTTTCATACTTTTCTTTATTTATATAAAGGGGCAGAACGGGAAGGAAATAAAGTGCCGACCAAGTATATATAATTTGAAGGTAGTGGGTGAAATACTTTACATTTGTTAATTCATAAAAATGAGCAAAGGAAAAACTACAAGCAACCTAAATATTCAGCAGTGATATAATGAATGGAATATTATACAGTCATTTAAAGTAATTATAAAGACTATGTAGCAATATAGAAAAATGCTCATTATATCATATTAGGTAGAGAAAGCAGGTTACTGGGTGTAGGTATGCAGATGCTGATTGCAGTTGTGTAAGGTCCATATGCATGAGCACAGCCACACACTAAAGTCACCACTTGCTCTAGAATCACGGGCGTGTGGTGATCCTTTGCTCTCTTATCTGTCAAACTGTTTGTGTGTTGTTTCATTGTTTGTCACATTATTTTTATAGGCATGCTTTTCTTGAGGTGCCCTCTTTGTCAGTATTTCCCTCTCTCCCATATGGCCTACCCATCAATTTTAAAAGGGAAAAATAAAGATATTTTCATGCTTGAAAGTCTTGGCAGGTAGCAAACTTTTGAGGAGGCATCAGTTGCATTCACTTCATTGCTGTTTTCTGAAAAATATATGGAAGAGTTATGCTTTGCACATAGCTTTTCAACTACACATAGCAACCCTTCAAAAATTGCTCTCAGAAATTAAAAACAAACGCACTACTGCAGTAGAATCCCCCAGCAGCACCCACCCGCACTGTCCTCGGAGGGCACACTTTATGTCTCTAGGACACAAGCCAGCACAGGTTGGCTTTCTATCCATTCATCCATTTATTCTACCATCCATATGTCCATCATTTGATGCTTCACTGCCTGTCCATCCACCAAATCCATCCCTCTGTTTATCCATTCATTCAGCCATCCTTCCTTGAAAGGTCATCACCACAAAACTCCCTTATAAGAATTAGAGATTTTTTAAAATGTTTCTCATCTTCATTTGGCTACTCATCTGAAAAGCCAAGGTCAAGGTTACTAAATGGGGTCAGTGAAGCAACAGGACGTGAACCCAGGAGACGTGCTTCTCATCTTCTCCCAGTCCATGGTGGGCAGTTCAGCAGCTGTTTCAGCCACTGGGCAGCCTCCCAAGGCCCATTTTGGGAACAATGAGTCCAGTAATCAGGCCACTATTTGTCATCAGGGCCCGCCCTTGTCACAGCAAGGTTGCTGGCTGGAGCAGAATCTTCAAGGCATTTCAAGCATTTACCACCTAAATCTGTCACATATTAGCCCTGTAGGTGGAGTGGGAGAGGCCGTGCAGTATGACTTGTCAAGCTGCCAGACAAAACCTGCTTCAGTCAATTAAATAATGGGCTGTCATTACAGAAGACTGGATTGTGACCTTCTCAATCAAGTTCTAATTGGGGTTGATGAGGACAATCTACCCTGGATGTTCTTATCTTCCATCAGACCATCACTGTTTAGAGTCCTCCTTTCATCCCTAAAATGGGTGTAGATGGGAAAACTGAGCCTGCATCTGCAGAGAGATGGGGATGTGTCCCTAGAGCAAATTTAAGAATTAACAAACACTTAATTGTATGCTCTACGTGAGATCCAGTACCAGATGCTGAGAATCTAGATGCTGGGACAGACCAAGCACATTTCCTGCCTGTGAGGAACACGCAGACCTAGTGAAGAAAACAGTTACCATCAGTGTGGACAGGGCCATAACAGCAACAAGGACAGGGTGTGATGAAAGCACCCACATGTGTCTAGAGAGAATCCCAAAGGCTTCAAGGAAGGGGCATTGGAACTGGGCCTGGACAGCACACACAGACATGCCTGTTCCCTGCTAGATAAACTCAAGAGACACATGGAGGAGCAAGGAGAGGGCCCACCGCAGCTCAGGGGCAGCTGGCAGCTTACATGGGGTCTCTGGGACAGCAGCCACTCTCTTGCACAGTGTGGCACAGATTTGAAAATGTGAGCCACAGAAGGTCCTGCTGATTGTTTCCAGGATACACTTTAAACCATCATAACTCCAGATCGCTGTTTTTATTCATTTTTCCTAGAATAGATTCTTCTCACCTCACCTACCCCTGAGGCCCCACAACCTACTACTATACCCTACTCACTTTTCAAGGCCCACCTCTCAGGTCACCTCTTCTATGAAGCCTTCCTGGAGACTGATCCACTCACAGACGCCTCCCTTTTTGCCCTCCCAGTGTTTTGTATCTAAGTCCAGATTAAATTCCAGTTAGTTTGTGGAGCCTGTCTCCAGGGACCTCCATCTTTGCATCCCCAGTGCCTGGTACACAGTAGGTACCCAACATCTGACTGCTGACAGACCAACCCCTCCCAGGATTGACTCACGCTGAGGTGATCCAGAAGCACCATCCAAACCCACTTCCCACAGGGCTGAGCTTGTTGTCATGGCAGGAAGCCACCAGTTAACTTGAGAAAAACCAGCCTGTGGAATTCTGCCAGTTCCCCAGCCAGTATGCCCCAGAGTAGCTGCCACCCAAAACCCATGCTGTATTTTCTAATGTTTACAGGAAACTTGGAGCTCACAGAGCACCAGTCAACAATCGGCCACCCAGCGAGCATGGGCTGAGCCCCCACTGTATGGGAGGCACCCTAGCACCAGTGACCCTTTAGTGGCTGGGAAAGGAAGTGGGAGGAACCTACTAGTCATCAAAGATGAGATTAGGTTGTTTATTTTTAATTAATTCAAAAGTAATGTGATTGATGTTATCTTCATTATATTCTTTCCTGACTTTCCCATGCTGGGCCTCTCTTACTAGTATAGCAAGATTTTTTTTTTAAGAAAAATTTTAAGGTAGTCTGAGTGGAAAAGCAAGGAGATCCTGAGTATGCAGGGAAAAGAAAGGGGTCGCCAGTGCACTGAGCGGGAAGAGGGTGTGGGACTGCAGAGGTCTCTGAGGGCCAAGGGAGTGACGTTGCCAGCAGCCCAGGCCGCACGTGGCCAGCCTTCTTTAGTTGCTTTCTCTCCCTGCCCCAGCTCACCTCTCATCCAACTCAAACTCTAAGCCTGGGCCCTTCGGGATTTTCTGTATGGTTCGTTATCTTGCACTGCGTGGGAACAAATGATTCTGCCTTTGTGTTCAGAAAAAAAAACAGGAGTGGGGGTGATTTTTTTCAAAGGAAACTTTATTTGGAAAACCAAAAGAAAAGCAAAACAAAAGAGAGCCACCAGGAAGGGGCTGAGGTAGAAAACTGTACCAAGCACAGAGTCCTTATCCTAAACCATCTGAAGACCAACTGTCTTGGCTGACATGTGGACCCAGGACCCAGCACCCATCTCTGCAGAGATCCTTTGCCTGGCCCCCAGGTGCTGCCCCCACACATTTACTGGCACAGTCTGGGGAGGTGAAAAGAAAACACATTTGCTGTTTCTCACCTGGGGGCTCTGAACAGAAGTCAGTTCTACCTACCCATTCCCCACTGGCAGCATCCCCAGTCAGTCCTTGGTCTCCCTTCCAAGCCAGTGTCTGCCAGCAGGAGAGCTGACTGGATTTTTCTCTCCTCCTGCCTCCCTGTACTCCTACCAGGAGGTGCCAGGGCTGGATTCCCCTGGTCTTAACCTGCTCTCAGGAGCCCTCACTGGTGCATTTCTCTGGTTTCCGTTCCCCGTTTTAGCCTCTGGTCAGCAGGCCACTGGGCCTGTCACTGGCCATCTTGGCAGTCATCCTTGTGGACTTTCCTCCCCAGACCCCCTAAGATCTGGTGCCAGTGCCTGTCCTGGCTCTTGTGCAGGACTTTCTAGAGCTTGTCTCACTGGCAAACTCTGCTCAAGGCCCAGCAGGCACTGCACACATCTGGGCAGTGGTGGTTGTTTCTCAGCTCCCAGCCTAACCCTGTAACTTAAGGTCCGCTGGGCACAGGTCCCTATCGTTTAGCTCTGCCCAGAGCCCCACTCGTCATGGCTACTCTGCCTTCAGCTGTTCCCCTTCCTCCTGATGTGAAACTCAGTGCTCCCACCCCACCCCCACCTCCCAAAGTATGAAGATCCCTTTTCAAATCCCAGCTCTGCCATCTAACAGGCTACTGACTTGAACAAGTCTTTTGAACTTTCCAGGGAGAAGACACGTCTGTAAAATCGGGAAAACCATAATAATTAACCCAAAGGATGGCATGAGAGAAAATACAGGTAAAAATGCCTTGTAACTGTAGCCCTGTGTGCAGGTTGTTTTGTTGGCCTCTGCCACCGGCTGATCAGTAGCTTCGCTGTCTGTCTTCACCACCTGAAACACATTCTCTCTCTGGTTCAGGACGGTGCGCTCCTCTCTGAATTCTGGCTTCTTTGCAGGCTTTCGGTTATCCCTCTGTCACCTATTTGCTGCTCAGTTAGTGGCATGCTAGGCCTTCCTGCTACACGTTGACTTGAACACTAGGTGGCAGCCTGACCCATATCTTGCTGGGGTAACTCGGCCCTCTGCCGGGATGGGAACCGAGACTCGAGGCTTCCACCCCAGCTACCCTTACAGCTGCCACACTGCCTTTTCTTTCATGGCTGTTGGCAGCAGAGAGCCAAGAAAGGCTCCCCGTTGCTAAACACAGGCCGAAGCCTTGGAGATGAAGGGAGATTTGAGCTGATCTGAAGTCAGCTCTTCTACCAGCTGGGGCTTCCTTTGTAGAACAAAGACTTGAGACAGCCTTTGGTGGAGGGTGAAAGAAGCTGAGGCCTGGGCGGTGGCGGAGGACTTAGCATGGTGGTGACCTTTTAGCCCAGAAGGCTGCTTTGCCGACTGGGCCTGGAGTTTCCTGTGGACCCTGTGGCCCAGAGGACCTGCTGGGATCCCATTGCATTGGAGGATACAGGCTGATGTTTACCTTTCTCTACTGACTCCTTTCCCTCAACATGCAAGCATGATCAAGCCTTTCCCATTTTAAAGTAATCTTCCAACTTACCTCTCCTTTCATCATCCTCTCTCTTTGGCCTTACCATCTTAGCGAAATTTATTGAAAAGTTATCTTTGCTCTCTCTTTCTTCATCACCTCCCACTCACTTGTTAGCCTACGGCATTCTGACTCTCTTTCTCCTGCACTTCCAGGTCTGTTACTGAAACAAATTTGGGGTCCACCCGCCCAACACAGCAAAGCCAAACACTGACATCAAGATTGCAGAGAGGGGGAAAGTGAGGCATTTATTGCAGGGTGCCAAGCAAGGAGAAGTGGGTAGCTCATGCTTAAGACCTGAACTCTCTGATGCTTGCAATCAAGGGTCTTTGAAGGCAGGGGAAATTTTCAGGAAAGCAGAAATTACAGAAAAAACTGTAAGTCAATACACGGAGGTTATACATTGGTTTGACCTAAAAAGGTGGGATATCTTGAAGCCTGGTGGGAGTAGCAGGGAGGTGAAGGGGCCTTACGGGTCATAGGCAGATACAAAGATTTTCTGATTTGCAATTGGTTAAGGGAAAGAAGATTTGTTTAAAATGTTTGGGACAGCAGAAAAAAAATGTTAGCTCTGGTCCGTGGGCATGACTTCCTCCAGGCCCCTAAAGAAGAATTTTAGGACAAAGAAAGATGGTCAGAGTTCAGTCCTCAGTTCCCCCTTATCTGAGGTCCATGTGCCAGTGGATCCTGTAGGTGGGGGTCTAGATTTCTAGAAAACACTTCAGGGACATATGTTAAGATGATATCTTTGGTTTCTATGGGAAATGTAACATCCTGTGACTCTAACTTCCTTGGCTATTTTTTTAGGTTACTATTACCTTCTTGCTTACGAAGTTGCCCATTTATTTCTCAGGGCTAGCGAGGTGCCTGGAATTTCCCTTGAAGGAACTCGGGATTTTTCTTTATTTCCATGCGTGGAGGGTCCCACAGGATCCTAAAAGGGGTCCCTGCTCCATCTCAGGTCTACTGTCTCTGGTACTGGCCATGCTCTTATATTGTCAATGCCAAGCAACTTTCAGTCTTCATCTTACTGTGTCTCTTTGATGCAGGCCATATTTGTGCTCTCTCCTTGACACAATTCTTTTCCTGTTTTTCTCCAATCCTCTTTAAAATGTTCTTGATCTGCTTTATACACTTCACTCAAACCCAATACTCTCAACTTTTTAACTAGGACTTCTATACTGAAGATTTCCAAATCTTTTACTTAGGACCCGGCATTCTCAGTCCAGTTCCTTATCTCCAGTTAACTCAACATGACCAAAACTGACCTCATCTCTCTGCCACCAGCCCTGATTCAACCAGTTCCTTCTCTGATTTCTGTCTCAGTGAAGAGCATCACCAGGGACCCAGTGGTGGCCAAGGTCAGACCATTAAAAGTCATTGTTGATCCCTCTCTGCCCCACAACACCCACATCCACTTCATAGCCATGTCTAATCAATTCTACCCCCTTAAAAACCTCTCAAATCTCTCCCCATCCCTAGTCCAACTCCCCTGCCCAGGCCAAGTCTCCATTCTCTTTTTCCTGAATAAAGGCAACAGACTCCTATTTGTTCTCCCTGCATTTGTTCCTGCCCCTTCACCACTGCATTGTCCTCACTGCAGAC
Source organism: Homo sapiens (assembly GCF_000001405.40). NCBI lineage: Eukaryota > Metazoa > Chordata > Mammalia > Primates > Hominidae > Homo > Homo sapiens. The sequence continues at coordinate 152,438,944 of NC_000001.11, read as the reverse complement.
AGTGTCCTTTATAAAGCGCAAAGCTAAACAAGTCATTTCATTTGTAAGCTCAAAACCCTTCGGTGCCCTAAGGGTAGTGTCCAGACACTGTTGCAAGGCCCAAAAGAACCTTCCTGACCTGACTCTGCCCACATTCTCCAGCCACATAGCTTAGCAACCTCCACCTCTCCCCAAACACACACTGTCTCTCTCTCCCCAACTCCCCTCTATCCACCCTCATCAAAAGTGTTCCTGGGAATCCTATGCTCTGCCTTCCACCGCACCTTCGGTCTGAACTACTTCTTTGGCTGCCTCCTTTTTCTCCATTGAGGCTCAGTTCAAGAATTGTCAACTTTCTAATCCTAATTCTGTGCTGGGTGCCCCTTCCCTGTGCCTTTTGGTTAAAGTACTCAGTGTTGTGATTGTGTGACTGTATGTCACTCGACAACTCAGTTTCAGTGAAAGAATTGCATCTTTTTTATCTTTGGGTTGGTCCCCAGCACTAGGTTCACTACCTGGCACTGAGAAGGGGCTAGACAGATATTTGATGGGTGGGTAGATGGGAATATTGAAAACTATTTTCCAGAAAATGTTTCCTGCTTATTCAGAGGTGATCTAGTATTTTGATTCCTCACCTTAACTCCAAGCCCACATGGTACCTATTAAATGAAGCCAAACCCAAGACCTCAGAATGACCCAAAGCAATGCAACTGGATGCTTTCTCCAGAACCAGGTGCTGGAACATCTTTGCTAGGTTCACTACTAAAAAGTTTAGGCACTGTCTCCTGCCTCACTCCTAAGTAGAATCAGCCATGCAAGATGCCAGCTTTGCTCTCATTTCAGCCTAGAGGGATTGCTCTTGCCAGACCAGGTAGACAAGAACTGCAGCTAAGCACTGTAACCAGAGAACACAGCCACCCTCTCTGCAGTTTGTCCCTTGCAGGACAAGGAACCTCTGAGCATGCTTGTGTCTGCCTGGAGAAATCCAGAACAGAAGCACAGAATGCAGAGCCCCCACTAATAATTTAAATGAGATGCAAACACATTCTTAAGGACAGAGAGTTCTCATTCTTATTAATGGTGATAACAAGGCAACTATAATATCACCAACAGTGCTGCCTTAGATTTGCTGGGAATATTTTACAGGCTGAGTCTTTGTTCATACTCTCCTCTGATTGTTCTCCCCACCATGCCTCTTATCCATCCTTCAAGACCCTGATGCAAATACACAATCTGAGAAGCCTTCCCAAGGCCACCCACCCCAGTCTGAATTAACAAGTTTTTTTTCCACGCCTCTGTAGTACATTGTTCATATTTCTTTTACAATACTGATACCAAATTGTGTTTCTTATGCATGTGTCTTTCTTATGTCTTTGTCTGTGTCCCTGACAAAGTTATAAATGCCCAGCAGAAAGGAAATATGGTTTATCTATGTCTGCATATCCCATGGTTCCGGTCCTGCATTCCAGGCATTTGATAAATATCCATTGAATTGATAATAATTGTCAAACCATTGCAAAGCAACAGGCAGAAAACTAGGTTCATAAGTTCAAAGAGAATGGAGAAAATAGGATTGATCATGTGGGTAGAGCTCATCTGGGAAGATTTCCTGAAAGAGGTGTGGCTGGATAAGACTGTACAGGGTGGGGCTGACAAGCATGAACCCTAAGTCTCTGCATGATCCTGACTGTCATCTTAAATTCTGGGAGGGAAAGACCAGGCTTTACTCCTTCCTTATCCGTCTTTGCTCCCCACCCCAATATAGGATAGCAGCAGGAGAGTTGAGTGGTTAGACATGTGGGCTCTCAAGACAGACTGCCTGGATGTGTAGCCTAGCTCAGCCACTTAACAACTGTGCAAGCTTGAGCTGATGACTTCACCTCTCTGGTCTCAGCTTTCTCATTTGTAAAGTAAGGACAATATAATACCTACCTCACTGGATTATGTGATGATTAAACAAGTTAATCTATAAAGCATTTACAAGGTGCCTAAAGCTAATCTCAATGCTTTATGTAGATTAACTCACTTAATCTTCACACAGCCCAATAACATTGGCACTATTTTCATACTTACTTTAAGGGTGAGGAAACTGAGATGCAGAGAAGTACACTATTGTGAGATTAGGGCGGGAAGGTCAAAGCTAATATGACAGTCATTAGCATAGCCTCCCCAAACATGTCAAACATTCCCCAAACATGACTAACTTGGACCTGCCCACCCCAAACCAGCCAGCACTTCCTTTAAATAGCCAGAACCACAGTCAGAGCTCTAAATAATAACTTTCCTAAAGAAAAGACATACAAATGGCCAGCAGGTATATGAAAATGTTCAACATCACTAACAGAGAAATGCAAATCAAAACCACAATGAGATATCACCTCACTCCAATTAAAAAAGCTATTATTAAAAAGACAAAACATAACAGATGTTGGTGAGGATGTAGAGAAAAGGGAACCCTAACCCTACACACTGTTGATGGGTAGGGTGGAATGAAAGCTAGTACAGCTACTATGGAAAACAGCATGGAGATTTCTCAAAGAACTAAAAATGGAATTACCGTTCAATCCAGCAATTTTACTACTGAGTATCTACCCAAAGGAAAAGAAATCAAAGAGATACCTGCAGTCACATGTTTATTGCAGCATTATTCACAGGAGCAAATATATGGAATCAACCTAAGTGTCCATCTACAGATGAATGGATGAAGAAAATGTGGTACATACACACAATGAAATACTACTCAGTCATAAAAAGAATGGTATCATGTCATTTGCAGCAATGTGGATGGAACTGAAGGTCATTATCTTAAGTGAAATAAGCCAAGCATAAAAAGACAAATATCATGCATTCTCATTTATATGTCAGAGCTAAAAAATTTGATCACATGTAGGTAGAGACAAGAAAGGTAACAGAAACTAGGAAGGGTGTGAGGAGGGGTAGGGAGGAAGATTGAGAGAAATGGGTTAAAGGGTACAAACATGTAATAAGATAAGAGGAATATATTCAATACTTAATAGCAGAGTAGGGTGACTATAGTTAACAAAAATGTATTGTACTAGCAAAGCCTCCAAGAAATATGGGACTATGTGAAAAGACCAAATCTACGTCTGATTGGTGTATCTGAAAGTGATGGGGAGAATGGAACCAAGTTGGAAAAGACTCTGCAGGATATTATCCAGGAGAACTTCCCCAATCTAGCAAGGCAGGCCAACGTTCAGATTCAGGAAATACAGAGAACGCCACAAAGATACTCCTCGAGAAGAGCAACTCCAAGACACATAATTGTCAGATTCACCAAAGTTGAAATGAACGAAAAAATGTTAAGGGCAGCCAGAGAGAAAGGTCGGGTTACCCTCAAAGGGAAGCCCATCAGACTAACAGCAGATCTCTCGGCAGAAACCCTACAAGCCAGAAGAGAGTGGGGGCCAATATTCAACATTCTTAAAGAAAAGAATTTTCAACCCAGAATTTCATATCCAGCCAAACTAAGCTTCATAAGTGAAGGAGAAATAAAATACTTTACAGACAAGCAAATGCTGAGAGATTTTCTCACCACCAGGCCTGCCTTACAAGAGCTCCTGAAGGAAGCACTAAACATGGAAAGGAACAACCGGTACCAGCCACTGCAAAATCATGCCAAAATGTAAAGACCATCGAGACTAGGAAGAAACTGCATCAACTAACGAGCAAAATAACCAGCTAACATCATAATGACAGGATCAAATTCACACATAACAATATTAACTTTAAATGTCAATGGACTAAATGCTCCAATTAAAAGACACAGACTGGCAAATTGGATAAAGAGTCAAGACCCATCAGTGTGCTGTATTCAGGAAACCCAACTCACGTGCAGAGACACACATAGGATCAAAATAAAAGGATGGAGGAAGATCTACCAAGCCAATGGAAAACAAAAAAAGGCAGGGGTTGCAATCCTAGTCTCTGATAAAACAGACTTTAAACCAACAAAGATCAAAAGAGACAAAGAAGGCCATTACATAATGGTAAAGGGATCAATTCAACAAGAAGAGCTAACTATCCTAAATATATATGCACCCAATACAGGAGCACCAAGATTCATAAAGCAAGTCCTGAGTGACCAACAAAGAGACTTAGACTCCCACACATTAATAATGGGAGACTTTAACACCCCACTGTCAACATTAGACAGATCAACGAGACAGAAAGTCAACAAGGATACCCAGGAATTGAACTCAGCTCTGCACCAAGCGGACCTAATATGCATCTACAGAACTCTCCACCCCAAATCAACAGAATATACTTTTTTTCAGCACCACACCACACCTATTCCAAAATTGACCACATACTGGGAAGTAAAGCTCTCCTCAGCAAATGTAAAAGAACAGAAATTATAACAAACTATCTCTCAGACCACAGTGCAATCAAACTAGAACTCAGGATTAAGAATCTCACTCAAAACCGCTCAACTACATGGAAACTGAACAACCTGCTCCTGAATGACTACTGGGTACATAACGAAATGAAGGCAGAAATAAAGATGTTCTTTGAAACCAACGAGAACAAAGACACAACATACCAGAATCTCTGGGATGCATTCAAAGCAGTGTGTAGAGGGAAAATTATAGCACTAAATGCCCACAAGAGAAAGCAGGAAAGATCCAAAATTGACACCCTAACATTGCAATTAAAAGAACTAGAAAAGCAAGAGGAAACACATTCAAAAGCTAGCAGAAGGCAAGAAATAACTAAAATCAGAGCAGAACTGAAGGAAATAGAGGCACAAAAAACCCTTCAAAAAATTAATGAATCCAGGAGCTGGTTTTTTGAAAGGATAAACAAAATTGATAGACCACTAGCAAGACTAATAAAGAAAAAAAAAGAGCAGATTCAAATAGATGCAATAAAAAGTGATAAAGGGGATGTCACCACCGATCCCACAGAAATACAAACTACCATCAGAGAATACTACAAACACCTCTACGCAAATAAACTAGAAAATCCAGAAGACATGGATAAATTCCTCGACACATACACCCTCCCAAGACTAAACCAGGAAGAAGTTGAATCTCTGAATAGACCAATAACAGGAGCTGAAATTGTGGCAACAATCAATAGCTTACCAACCAAAAAGAGTCCAGGACCAGATGGATTCACAGCCGAATTCTACCAGAGGTACAAGGAGGAACTGGTACCATTCCTTCTGAAACTATTCCAATCAATAGAAAAAGAGGGAATCCTCCCTAACTCATTTTATGAGGCCAGCATCATTCTGATACCAAAGCCAGGCAGAGACACAACCAAAAAAGAGAATTTTAGACCAATATCCTTGATGAACATTGATGCAAAAATCCTCAATAAAATACTGGCAAAACAAATCCAGCAGCACATCAAAAAGCTTATCCACCATGATCAAGTGGGCTTCATCCCTGGGATGCAAGGCTGGTTCAATATATGCAAATCAATAAATGTAATCCAGCATATAAACAGAGCCAAAGACAAAAACCACATGATTATGTCAATAGATGCAGAAAAAGCCTTTGATAAAATTCAACAACACTTCATGCTAAAAACTCTCAATAAATTAGGTATTGATGGGACGTATTTCAAAATAATAAGAGCTATCTATGACAAACCCACAGCCAATATCATACTGAATGGGCAAAAACTGGAAGCATTCCCTTTGAAAACTGGCACAAGACAGGGATGCCCTCTCTCTCCACTCCTATTCAACACAGTGTTGGAAGTTCTGGCCAGGGCAATTAGGCAGGAGAAGGAAATAAAGGGTATTCAATTGGGAAAAGAGGAAGTCAAATTGTCCCTGTTTGCAGACGACATGATTGTATATCTAGAAAACCCCATTGTCTCAGCCCAAAATCTCTTTAAGCTGATAAGCAACTTCAGCAAAGTCTCAGGATACAAAATCAATGTACAAAAATCACAAGCATTCTTATACACCAACAACAGACAAACAGAGAGCCAAATCATGAGTGAATTCCCATTCACAATTGCTTCAAAGAGAATAAAATACCTAGGAATCCAACTTACAAGGGATGTGAAGGACCTCTTCAAGGAGAACTACAAACCACTGCTCAAGGAAATAAAAGAGGATACAAACAAGTGGAAGAACATTCCATGCTCATGGGTAGGAAGAATCAATATTGTGAAAATGGCCATACTGCCCAAGGTAATTTACAGATTCAATGCCATCCCCATCAAGCTACCAATGACTTTCTTCACAGAATTGGAAAAAACTACTTTAAAGTTCATACGAAACCAAAAAAGAGCCCGCATCACCAAGTCAATCCTAAGCCAAAAGAACAAAGCTGGAGGCATCACACTACCAGACTTCAAACTATACTACAAGGCTACAGTAACCAAAACAGCATGGTACTGGTACCAAAACAGAGATATAGATCAATGGAACAGAACAGAGCCCTCAGAAATAATGCCGCATATCTACAACTATCTGATCTTTGACAAACCTGAGAAAAACAAGCAATGGGGAAAGGATTCCCTATTTAATAAATGGTGCTGGGAAAACTGGCTAGCCATATGTAGAAAGCTGAAACTGGATCCCTTCCTTACACCTTATACAAAAATCAATTCAAGGTGGATTAAAGACTTAAACGTTAGACCTAAAACCATAAAAACCCTAGAAGAAAACCTAGGCAATACCATTCAGGACATAGGCATGGGCAAGGACTTCATGTCTAAAACACCAAAAGCAATGGCAACAAAAGCCAACATTGACAAATGGGATCTAATTAAACTTAAGAGCTTCTGCACAGCAAAAGAAACTACCATCAGAGTGAACAGGCAACCTACAAAATGGGAGAAAATTTTCACAACCTACTCATCTGACAAAGGGCTAATATCCAGAATCTACAATGAACTCAAACAAATTTACAAGAAAAAAACAAACAACCCCATCAAAAAGTGGGCGAAGGACATGAACAGACACTTCTCAAAAGAAGACATCTATGCAGCCAAAAAACACATGAAAAAATGCTCATCATCACTGGCCATCAGAGAAATGCAAATCAAAACCACAATGAGATACCATCTCACACCAGTTAGAATGGCAATCATTAAAAAGTCAGGAAACAACAGGTGCTGGAGAGGATGTGGAGAAATAGGAACACTTTTACACTGTTGGTGGGACTGTAAACTAGTTCAACCATTGTGGAAGTCAGTGTGGCGATTCCTCAGGGATCTAGAACTGGAAATACCATTTGATCCAGCCATCCTATTACTGGGTATATACCCAAAGGACTATAAATCATGCTGCTATAAAGACACATGCACACGTATGTTTATTGCGGCGTTATTCACAATAGCAAAGACTTGGAACCAACCCAAATGCCCAACAATGATAGACTGGATTAAGAAACTGTGGCACCTATACACCATGGAATACTATGCAGCCATAAAAAATGATGAGTTCATGTCCTTTGCAGGGACATGGATGAAATTGGAAATCATCATTCTCAGTAAACTATCGCAAGAACAAAAAACCAAACACCGCATATTCTCACTCATAGGTGGGAATTGAACAATGAGATCACATGGACACAGGAAGGGGAATATCACACTCTGGGGACTGTTGTGGGGTGGGGGGAGGGGGGAGGGATAGCATCGGGAGATATACCCAATGCTAGATGACGAGTTAGTGGGTTCAGCGCACCAGCATGGCACATGTATACATATGTAACTAACCTGCACAATGTGCACATGTACCCTAAAACTTAAAGTATAATTTTTAAAAAAAATGTATTGTACTCAGGTGAGAGACACTCTAAGTACCCTGACTTGCTCACTATATCCATTATATACTTGTAACAAATGTATTGCATACATTTTTACAAATAAAATAATAATAACTTTGCTTTTGTTAAAATTTGTAACCATCCACAAGACACTTTTCTATTTCATCCTTACTACATGCCTATGAAAGAGCCACTGCCCCTGAGCTTTCCAGATGAGCACCCAAGGCCCAGAGAGATGGTGGGACTTGCCTGAGATGGCACAGTGGAGTAGGAGAAGCTGGCCTCAACAGCAGGCACTGTGTCCCCTACCTCATCCAGAGCTCCTCCAATAGCCAGAGCAGCTTCCAGCCCAGAGGTTGGATGATAGGGCATCAGACAGGTGGCAGCAGCCCCAAACCCTTCTCCTTCTCAAGCACATCCCCTGCCCCAGTGGCTGAACAACTTTTCCTCCAGATGAAGCAGCACCAGCCTCTGCCCAGAGCCCACTGTGGCTGCTGAGGCCTGGCTCAGTGGTACCACCATCTAGGTCAGTGAGTTTATAAAAAGGTCATTGGCTGGGCACAGTGGCTCACACCTGTAATCCCAGCACTTTGGGAGGCCAAGCTGGGTGGATCACTTAAGCTCAGGAGTTCGAGACCAGCCTGGACAACATGGTAAAACCCCATCTCTACTAAAAATACAAAAATTAGCGGGCTTGGTGGCGGGCGCCTGTAATCCCAGCTACTCAGGAGGCTGAGGCAGGAGAATCGATTGAACCTGGGAGGTGGAGGTTGCAGTGAGCCGAGATAGTGCCACTGAACTCCATCCTCGGTGGCAAAGCAATACTCTATCTCAAAAAAATAAAAATAAGAAGACCACCATGATTCCAGGGCCTAGAGATGACAGAAAACAAAGGAAACCATGATCAGAGTCTAAAGAAAAACATGTTTAAAAGTAATTTCCAAAATAAAAGAATTTAGTTTGGAAGACTGCAGTTAAGTTTCCATCTCCAGGAAAAATAGACAAAGAAAAAATTTAGGCAAAAAATACAAAGGCCAACAAACACTGAAAAAAAAAGTTCTACTCACAGTCAATGAAGGGATTTAAACCACAGCACTGATATACCATATATTAAAGTGGCAACTTTTAAAGCTTATAGCTCCTCATATCAGTGAGTTTGCAGGGGCTGAACATTCATTGGAGTATGAATTGAAACCACTTTTTGATAGAGTAATTTGGTCTGTTGTATATAAGAGCCTCAAAGTTATTAATATTCTTTGACCCCTCAATTTTATTCTGGGTACTTAAGAAAGACATTTAAATTAGGCTTAAATATATGTATTTAAGAATAGTCATATTGTGTGGTTTGTTTGTTTGTTTGCTTTTTAGATGGACTCTTGCTCTGTTGCCCAGGCTGGAATACAGTGGCACAATCTCGGCTCACTGCAACCTCCACCTCCCAGGTTCTGGAGAGTCCCCTGTCTCAGCCTCCCGAGTAGCTGGGATTACAGGCATGTGCCACCATGCCCAGCTAATTTTTGTATTTTTAGTGCAGATGGGGTTTCATCATGTTGGCCAGGCTGGTCTCGAACTTTTGATTTCAAGTGTTCTGCCTGCCTTGGCCTCCAAAAGTGCTGGGATTATAGGTGTGAGCTACTGCACCTGGCCTCATGTTGTGTGTTTTATAAAAGGAAAAAAAAAACCAGGCTAAGAAACTAAAAAGTGGAATAATTAAATATGCAATGGCACCTCCATTCAGTAGAATTCTTTACTACCACTACAAATGATGTTGAAAAGTTGAAGACTATTTAATAATCTTTAAAAACCTAATTTTCTTTTACTATGTGAATTAGTCCATTTTCACGCTGCTGATAAAGACATACCTGAAAAGTTCCACATGGCTGGGGAGGCCTCAGAATCATGGCGGGAGTTGAAAGGCACTTCTTACATGGTGACAGCAAGAGAAAAATGAGGAAGAAGCAAAAGCAGAAACCCCTGATAAACCCATCAGATCTTGTGAGACTTATTCACTATCACAAGAATAGCACAGGAAAGACCAGCCCCCATGATTCAGTTACCTCCCCCGGGTCTCTCTCCCACAACACATGGGAATTCTGGGAGATACAATTCGAGTTGAGACTTGGGTGAGGACACAGCCAAACCACATCCCTATGTAAAAAATTAGGTAAAATAAACTGTATATTGTATACAGAATAATTCCAATATTATATAAAAATATGTGTATATAAGGGCACTATAGTGAAGTTTTTAAAATCTCGGTGGTTGAGAACCTGAGTGGTTGAGTCTGACTCTGACCTTCACTAGCTGTGTGGCCTTGAGCAAGTCACTTAACCCCTATGTGCCTTGTTTCCCTCTCCTAAATAATGATGGTATCCACCTCACTGATGCTGGGAGGATTGAATGAATTAATATCAGGAATGCAGTAATTGATACATGTTAGCTATTGTTAGTATTGTCATTGCTTATCTATGCACATAGAAAAATGGCTGAAAAGATATACAATCTAATGATTGTTCCCAGAGGGCAGTATTATAATCATTTTTATTTTTCCTTTTGATATCTCAATTTTCTTCCATGTACATGTGGTGCTTTTAATAAGAAAAGAAAATTGTGAAATTAAAAATAAAGAAGATTGGAACAGACTTCTTGAGAAGAAAGACAAGAAATAAAAGCCCAGACCAATATATCAAAAGACTGTTAATTTGCTAAGAAATCAGGGGAGAAATCCCTAATTATAAAAAGCCAGGACTATGTTAATGAAATGAGTACCCAGACTGTGATGGTTAATTTTATGTGTCAACTTGGCTAGACTATGATGCCCAGTTTTTGGTCAAACATCAGTCTAGTGTTTCTGTGAAGACATTTTTTAGATGTGATTAACATTTAAATCAGTGGAGTTTGAGTAAATCAGGTCACCCTCTGTAATGTGGGTGGGCCTCATCCAATCAGTCAAAGGCCTTCTGAGAGAAGACTGAGGTTCCCTGAAGAGGAAGGAGTTCTGCCTCCATTCTGCCTTTGGGCTCAAGACTGAAACATCAATTCTTGCTTGAATTTCCAGCCTGCCGGCCTGTCCTGAAAACTTCAGACTTCCCAGTTCCCACAATTGTATGAGCCAATTCCTTAAAATTCCTTCAAATACACTCTCAACACTGTCTCTCTCTTCATATATATCTATGTATATCCTATTGGTTCTGTTTCTCTGAAGAAGCCAGAGTAGTAGACAGACCATGTGAAGAAGCCAGTGAGAATGAGAGAATAGTCTCCAACCTCCAACACAGTGCTCTTCATCTAGAGCCCCAGGGGCAATGATGAGCTAGCCTGTAATTATCGGTGCCTATATCCTCTCTACAGCTTGTAGGGACATATATTATTATGTTAAAAAAAAAAAAGCAATATGGGGCTTGTTAGTGCTTGGAAGTATACAAGACATACTTCCAAGTTACAAAGACATACTTCCAAGTTACAAAGACATACTTCCAAGTATGAACAAAACAAACACATGCGTCCCTTGTGGCAGAGCAGAGCTGGCCCTTCCCCAGATGACACACCTCAGGGACTTCACCTTATACCTTGCAGTGTTCTGTATTTGGTTTTCCATGTGAGGCAGCAACGGGTTCAAAGAGAGACCATCTGAGCACAAGTGATGGGCGTGGCACATCCAGGGAGATCAAGAACCAGGCCAGATGCAGAGACCTGACCTGTGAGCCAAGTCTGGGCACCTGAATCTAGAAGGCAGTGAGCACACCCTTCCCCAGTTAGGACTTCATCCACAGTAAAACTGATGAGCTTCTTTCAATTTAGATCTTAGGAACTGACAGCAAAAATAATTAAAAGTGACAGAACCCACACCATTGTATAAATTATTTGATAGAAATATTAGCTTAAGAAAAATTGTATTCACAATAGATTTCAAAATAATTTACAAAGTGTTTATGGGTTTGACATGAATCCCACCCACCTCACTGGGGAATTGGTAAATCATGTAAGTGTGGTCCTCTCTGGATTTGCTTCTTGTGTGATTCTGATTCTGTGTCAACTGTTGTCAACATATGCCCAAATATTCATAGCTTTGTGCCATAGCTTTTACAGAAGTGGCAGAGACTTTTCTGTTCTTTCCATTTGCAGTCAAAATTTCAGAATTTTCATCAAATACTCTGTTCCTACTTTGCAACTGAACAGAGAAGTTCATGTTGAAACTTAAGTAGATTTATCTTTTATAGGTGAAAACACACTTTATTATTCAGCCATGTTACATTACAAAACCTCCCTCATGAGTCATAGGAGCCTCTGGGTTTTCTGTCTAACCATATCAAGTCTTCTTGTATAAGGACTTTTAGCCAACTCTGAAGAGCTGGTTATCTTTTACCATCACTGCTCTTGTCTCCATCTTCATGATTGGCATCATATATCTATTGTCTACTGAGAGCCTACTGTCATCAGTCACCAGGAAAACCTTTCAAGATTCACCAGTTTATTTAATCTATACACAATACATGAAGGAAAAGGTATTATATAACCTCCATTTTCAGAGAAGACCCCAAAGCTCAGAGAAGTTAAAGGATGTGTCCTAAGTCACTGAGTTCATAAGGGGAGGAGCCAGACTATATCCTGAGCTCAGTTGGCCTGCAAAGTCCTCAGTTTCCATTGGAATAACAACAACAAAAGTCATACCTGGCCAAGGACAGGCCAAGAGTATAACAATTTAGAAGCAAAGAAGGAGGCTCTAAGTTCTTGGAGGCTCCGAGTCCCTTTCTAAAGGGTTGAAATAGGCTATCATGTGTGATACTACATGGTGTTTCAGGGCACCACACTCCTGCATCAGAGAGCTGCTTCTGAAGTCTTGCCCTTCTGTGGGGCCACCCTAACCCATGCCCATAGTCCTCAAAGTCCTCGTTCCTGCCCTGCTGAGAGGGCTGTGGAAGAGGCCCTCACATTGAAAAAAACACTTTACCTACCGCTTATGGGCATTCATGCTCCCCACCTTACCCCAAATCCACCATGGAGGCAAATTTGCATAGGAAGAAGCCCACTGAGCCAGGAATAAAAAAAAACAGCTCCAGTTCCATTGATGTAGGGCAAGTTCTTGGCTTCACTCAGGAAAAAATTCAAAGTCAGCCAGTGGTGGAAGAAAGCAGCTTTACTGTGGTGGCAACAGTGTTACAGCTCCCTGACTGCTCCTGTGGAGGGCTACCCCATTGCCAGTGCACCCAGAGTAGCAACAGGGTGTGGGTTGCAGTCATATTTATACCCACTTTTAATGACATGCTAATTAAGGGGTGGGTTATTCAGAAATAGCTAGAAAATGGGTGGTAACCTCTCAGTGTTGCCCTGGAAGGGGGTATTAACTTCTAGGTGTTGTCACACTATTGGTAAACTGTCATGGCACTGGTGGGAGTGTCTCATGGTGATGGGCAGCAAGAGCAATGGGAGATGCTCAGTGTCTCTTCTCTGTTTTAGCCAGTCTCCAGTCTGGTCCAGAGACAAGTCCTGCCTGCCTCTTACCTCATTATCTCCCTGCACAGTTGTCAGTGTGACTTTGGACATGTCATTTCACCTCTTTGAAACTCAAGTTCCGCCTGTGAAATATGGGAAGAAGAAGAAGAACTTTTCAGGGTATGAGAAGTAAAGGTGTCATGTGCGGGAGTCACCTCAGCACCATGGTGGGCACGCAGTCTTTTTTTTTTTTTTTTGAGACGGAGTTTCACTCTTGTGCAATGGCACAGTCTCTGCTCATTGCAACCTCTGCCTCCCGGGTTCAGCTGATTCTCCTGCTTCAGCCTACCAAGTAGCTGAGATTACAGGCATCTGCCACCTCGCTCGGCTAATTTTTTTGTATTTTATAAGTAGAGATGGGGTTTTACCATGTTGGCCAGGCTGGTCTTGAACTCCTGACCTCAGGTGATCTGCCTGCCTCGGCCTCCCAAAGTGCTGGGATTACAGGTGTGAGCCACCATGCCCAGCCTGGCACATAATCTTTGCACCATCCACAGCTGCTGAGCCTCAAGCCAAGCCTCCATCTCTTCATCAGTAAATGAACTGACTGTGTAGGACTAACAGTCTCATCCAGACCTTGTTGGACTCCTCAGCACCTCCTCTGCAGTGTCCCCTAATGCTCCTTGTCAGGACATCCATTTCACCTGAATTTTGCTAAGCCTGGAGTGAAGCTTTAGCTGATGGATCTTGGCCTCTGTGAGCCAGGCACTGTCACCATCCAGACTTCCAGGCCTTGCTTGCAACCAGCTCCTTTTGGTAGTCAGTGTCTCAGACCTAGTTGTCAAGCCCACCCTGGAGAAAAGTGACTTGTGTCTTGGCCACTGCTGCCACTTCACAAGCCTATGTCTGAAAAGTAATAGTACACACATAGTGTCAGATATGTATTCCATATGCAGCAATGGTTGGCAGGCACATGGATTTGTGGAACCTGTACAATAAGGCTACCAAGCACCTGAAGACTTCAATTCAGGAAAGGGGATAGAAATCAGGTTCTTAGCACTCACATGGAAAGACTGGGCACCCAGAGAAGCCACTGTTGGGAATAGGCCCCCAAAATATGGCCATAAACTGGCCCCAAAACTGGCCATAAACAAAATCTCTGCAGCACTGTGACATGTTCATGATGTCCATGACACCCATGCTGGAAGGTTGTGGGTTTACTGGAATGAGGGCAAGGAATACCTGGCCCACCCAGGGTGGAAAACTGCTTAAAGGCATTCTTAAACCACAAACAATAGCATGAGCCATCCATGCCTTAAGGATATGCTCCTGCTGCAGATAACTAGCCAGACCCATCCCTTTATTTTGGCCCATCCCTTTATTTCCCATAAGGAATACCTTTAGTTAATCTATAATCTATAGAAACAATGCTTATCACTGGCCTGGCTTGCTGTTAATAAATACGTGGGTAAATCTCTGTTCAAGGCTCTCAGCTCTGAAGGCTGTGAGACCCCTGATTTCCCACTTCACAACTCTATATTTCTGTGTGTGTGTGTCTTTAATTCCTCTAGTGCCACTGGGTTAGGGTCTCCCTGACTGAGCTGGTCTCAGCAAGTGGAGCCCAACATGGGGCCTCAAACCCAGGTTGAAGGGTCGCCGGAGTGACAGTTGGAAAACGTGGAACTAAGCTGGAGGACACCCAAGTACTCTTAAAGCAATCCCCGTGGTGAGTAAGAAGGGGAGCTAGGAAGCATCAGGGTAACCATGGGATAAGTGTGGGCTCTGGGTTGTTCCACCTTGGAACCTTTTCACACTAAAGATGAGGAGGAAGGAGAGTATAACGAAGTAACAGAAGAGGTTACAGAGCAGGTTTGTTTGCCAGCTAAAGCTAAAGCAGCAAAGGAGAGAGAGGTTCAGCCCTACCCTTTTGCGCCCCCTCATTATTATTTTGAAGAAAAAGAGTGGCCTGACCCTCCAGATCTTTCTTTTCTGGAGGACACTAGGCAAAAAGTAGTTGCCCCAGTGACTGTTCGAGCAGCGCCTCGAGCAACCGTTCTCAGTTCTATTCAGGCAGGAATTCAGCAAGCTAGACGAGAAGGTGATTTAGAGGCTTGACAATTCCCTGTTAGAATACACCCCCCAGATCTGTACCTTAAGGACATGCTCCTGCTACATTTGAACCTTTTCCTTTTAAATTACTCAAAGAATTTAAACAAGTTATTATTCAATATGCACCAGGTTCTCCTTTTGTAATGGGACTTTTAAAGAATGTTGCTGTTTCTAGTCAGATGATTCCTACTGACTTGGACACTCTTACTCGAGCTTATCTAACTCCTGCTCAGTTCTTACAATTTAAAACTTGGTGGGCAGATGAAGCTTCCATTCAGGCTGCTCACAACACCCAGGCCCAACCTCAAATTAATATAACTGCAGACCAACTTTTGGGGGTTGGTGGCTGGGCTGGTTTAGATGCACAAGTGGTCATGCAGGATGATGCCATAGAACAGCTTAGAGGAGTGTGCATTAGAGCTTGGGAAAAAATAACTTCTGGTGGAGAAAAATACCCTTCCTTTAGTGCTGTAAAACAGGGACCAAAATAACGCCATGTGTGGATTTTATAGCTCAGTTACAGGAGTCTCTTAAAAAGGTGATTGCAGATTCGGCTGCTCTGGATATAGTGTTATGGTTATTAGCGTTCAACAATGCTAATCCTGATTGCCAGGCTGCTCTGCAACTTATTAGAGGGAAAGCACATTTAGTTGATTATATCAAGGCCTGTGACGGTATTGTAGGTAATCTGCATAAAGCTACTTTGTTGGCACAGGTCTCCACTGGGGTTGGTCAGTTTTTACCTAGTTCTTTCTCCATTAATCAAAGCACCCATCCCTTCCAGGGAGTTTTGGTATCCAAGATTAAAAGGTGAATTATTTGAGGAAGATATTCTGGGAGGTTCCCGAGGAACACCTGGTTGCAGCCATGTCAAGACTGACTCTGAGGAGGACCCCAACTGTCACGAGCAACACCTGTTGAACACAGCCACCCACCTGGGGACAGATCAAGATGCTGTCATAGATGGTGGAAGAAAACCTGAGGAAAGTGGGACAACCAGTCACAATAAGTAATTTAATGGTAGCTGTGATAGTGGTGATCACCATTTCTGTGAGTATTCCTTCAATAAGGGCTGGCCCAGAGAACAATTATACTTATTGGGCATTTTTATCTATCTTGGCTGGCAATAATGCCTGGATGTAATCACTCTATGATGCAGTTACACATGCTTTCTTGTCTCAATATTTACCATAATAAATCTGCTCCTCTAATTGAGGCATACCACCCTCAGAAACCTATTTGTAAACAGGGTTGGACCCAGTTAGAAAAAAATGAACGTACTTGTTTAGGAAGATTGCATTGCAGAACCGGCAGAGGTGCTGCACAACAATTCCTATGGAATCATTATTAATTGGTCCCCTAAGGGGATGTTTAGCTTGAATTGCACCTCTCAGTCTGCGTGCCATAGCCACACTATGTTCAGCTGGTCTGAACAAAATGGTCAGATGGTAGAAACGGTAAGAAGTATGGCAAGAGTTCCTACTATCTGGAAACATGGTGGTATAGTGGCACCTCAACCTCAAATGATATGGCCCGTTGTGGGAACTAAACATAAGAATTTGTGGAAACTATTAATAGCTCTTAATAAGATCAAAATTTAGGAAAAAATAAGCATCTAGAAGAATACTCTACAAACTTGTGTTTGGATTTTGCAAAATTAAAAGAAAAAATATTTAAAGCATCCTAGGCACACTGGACCTTAATGCCAGGAACTGGAGTGCTTGAAGGAGCTGCAGACAGATTAGTAGCTAGTAACCCATTAAAATTGATAAAAACATTTGGAAGTGCTGTGATTTCAATGATGATTGTGCTTTTAATCTGTGTTGTTTGTCTTTGTATAGTCTGCAGATGCAGATCCAGACTCCTGCAAGAAGTAGCTCACCATGACAAAGCTGCCTTTGCTTTTATCACTTTGCAAATTGAAGAAGGGGGACACATTGGGAATAGGACCCCAAAATCTGGCCATACACTGGCCTCAAAACTGGCCATAAACAAAATCTCTGCAGCACTGTGACGTGTTCATGATGTCCATGATGCCCACACTGGAAGGTTGTGGGTTTACCGGAATGAGCGCAAGGAACACCTGGCCCACCCAGTGCGGAAAACTGCTTAAAGGCATTCTTAAACCACAAACAATAGCATAAGTGATCTGTGCCTTAAGGACATGCTCTTGCTGCAGATAACTAGCCAGACCCATCCCTTTATTTCAGCCCATCCCTTTATTTCCCATAAGGAATATTTTTAGTTAATCTATTATCTATAGAAACAATGCTTACCACTGGCTTGCTGTTAGTAAATATGTGGGTAAATCTTTGTTCGAGGCTCTCAGCTCTGAAGGCTGTGAGACCCCTGGTTTCCCACTCCACACCTCTATATTTCTGTATATGTGTCTTTAATTCTCTGGCACTACTGGGTTAGGGTCTCCCCGACCGAGCTGGTCTCGGCAAGCCACCGCCTCAGAGAGTCCCATACAGCTCTACATGCCAATAACTACTTACAGCAAGGCTGACTGCAAGGCTGTGTCTAGCTTTCAGCAACACAAAAGTTGTATGAGTTGAATATTACTTCTTTATGTTCCATGGAGAACTATATTTTCACTTTGGAATGATCTGAAAACAATGGCTCCTAACATCAGCTTTATATTCCTTTGTTCTGAAATAGTGAGGATATATAAACTAATACAAAAGTAACTGAAGAAAGTCTTTAGTAAATCCTTTTGGGGGGAAAAAGGACAGTTAGTGAAATATTGCTTTGTATTTTCTAATTCTATTTTTGGATTTTCCAAGGTGTGTGTTATTATTCATAGATTATGCCTCTTAAATGATAGAATGAGTGATCCATTGGAATATTAATGTCATGCCCATTCCTCTTTTTGGTCTTCAAAAGGATTATTCACTACTACTTTAAATAACAACAGCAATAATGTTTTAGTGTTACTAAAGTAACACTACTTTAAATAAAGTTAATACTACTTTAAATAACAACAGCAATAATGTTTTAGTGTTCATCAGTTTACAATGCACTTTTACACACAGGGTATGTTTTTAATCTCACAATAACCATTTGGTGTAAACAAAGGTTACCACTATTTTATAGATAAAGAAACTCAGGCTCACTATTTTATAGATAAGGAAACTCAGAGCTTCCCAAGTCATGCAGCCAGTTACACTGTGGAGCCGTGTTGGTCTCTGCACTTCTGGAGATGAGAACCATGCCTGTGTGCCTTTCTAATCTTCCCAAAACTGGCTTCATCAAGGTGGTCTGAAGAAAATGAATGCTCATGTTTAACAATAGCCAGTGGCCTCCAGAATGACCTCATAGGCCCTTAGTACTCAGCACCCAACTCTCTTCCTGTTAAATAAGAACTATATTTCCAACCCCCCAAAGTAACTTCCTATTTAATGGCTTTCACCTTTGCAAGCCTTTGGTGTTTGTTTGTTACTCAGTTTGCTGAGAACACCCTGTCATCATCTTTTAATCTTGGATACCACAACTCCCTGGAAGGGATGGGTGCTTTGATTAATGGAGAAAGAACTAGGTAAAAACTGACCAACCCCAGTGGAGACCTGTACCAACAGGTTTGTAGGGTTAAAGCCAGCACAAATCCAGTCCATCCTGATTAGAGCTGCATTCGAGTTTTTTTTTACCAACTTGTTCCTGGGATCCCCTTTTGGCTTTGGATGTGGAGGTATCCACTCTATACTCATGAGCATAGGAATGAAGCCCAAGAGCTCTAAAGGGGTGGAAATATGGGGCCAGGCATGACTTAAGTGACATAGCACCCAGCCCTTATGTTTTCTGGAGAAAGCTGTGCTCTCCTGAGAAATGGGCGATGCTTTCATATCAAGTCATTACACATTTACTGCAAAACAGCCTTGTCCTCAAAAAGGGAGATGATCTAGAAAAGATGATAAAGCAAATAGACAATCAATGGTAATGATGGTAGAGTAAAATAGATGCTGTGAAATGTACCAACAAAAGAATATTTGGAGCAAGTGAATATGTTTGCAGGAGACTTCATCGGAGTGGGTTGATCTGAAAATATATTATGGAGGCAGTGCTATTTGAGCTGTTCTGAATGAATGGGGGGCTTTTGCATGGAGGAGATGGAGAGGAAGCATGCAAGGCTGGAAGAAGGGTTGCAGGAAGTCAAGAAGGCAGCCAGAGTTGGGGTTTTGCAGGGAATAATAGGCCCATACTTTGACCAGAGATTATGATAGGAATAAGGACATAGTGAGAAAATTAGTCTGTTTCCTTTACATTTAAGTTAATAAACTTTTGGCACCACCAGGACTTTGTAGGGTTCTGAGAAGGAGCAGTGGTGAAGTAGGAAAAGGAGCTCACCGCTCCTGCCATGATTTTTCTTCTTTTCCCCTTGGGAAAAAAAAGAGCTTGGAACCTTCCAGTTTGCAGGTTCTAGGAGTTCTGCCTATGGATTGAACACCTAGATATAGGATATGCAGAGTCCCTACTAAATGGCAGATTCCAGCTCTTCTGGCAAAACCAAGAATACTAACAATCATGTTAGCCATGTGCCTGCTGCCTAGATCAGAACTCAGAGAAACTGCAGGGCCAACACAACCTGTCTGTTCAGGGATTAGGCCCAGATAGCCTGAGAGATATTCACTAAGCCACTGGAAATTGTGTCAACAGGTGCGTCTCCAATGTCTGCTTAATCCTCCCTGGCATTTCCAGGGCAAAACTTGAGCATCTGGGCTTCCGGGATTTTATGATCAGGGGCTATGTGGAGCGGGTTTGAGGAAAGAGATTCCAAGTTAGGCAGAGAGAAAGTAAGAAGGCCCAGAACTTCTCACTGTTCTTTTTTCCTCTAAGAACCATTCCCCCACAACCCTGTCTTTCAGTAAGGATACGTGGGCAACATGAACCAGCAAATTCTCTCATAACCCAAGCAACTCTAGAAAACATCTCTCCAGCTTTCAGATTTGGTTTTGTTCTTTTCTGAAGGTAAAGACCAAGATCATGGAATTTGCTCATCTGCTACTTTTTGAGAGAGATGTGAGTGGCCACCCTGTAGCCATTCATTGTCCCATATTACCGTTGTGTGCTCCTGGGTGAAGGTGAAGATGTCTGGTGAGCAGCATTCTTTAAGGGTTGGGTTTTTGGCTGCATTTGTAATGGCAGAAATTTAAAGGCAGCCATGTCAGGGTTAACAGTTACCTGCCACCTGACCCAAGAGGATCCATGTAGCTTACCATGGTGTCTCCCTGTCCCCTTCATCCACCAGCCAATCAGGACCTGACAGCAGACACTGATGAAGCTGCACTGGAAGAGACACTTCATTAGACAGACGGAGTTTAGCCTGCTGAGCAGTCTGCCTCGGCCTCTGTGTGTGTATGTGTGTGTGTGTGTGTGTGTGTGTGTGTGCGCGCGCGCGTGCGCGCGAGTGTGTGTATGCGCGCGCGAGTGTGTGTATGTGTGTGTGTGGTAAGTACATAGCTGTTTGGGGCAGTCAGGAGATAACGATCATGATGTAGGACTGGAGGGAACCCAAAGAAAAGCACCACCTGCATGAAAGCCCAGCTGTTCCCCCTGGCTGAACTTATAGAGGCTTTTGCCAAACATTCTGGATTTTGCCACTGAACAAAGGGGAAGGGGGAAGAAGGAGAACTGTCAGTATGAAGAGAGATTATTTCCTTGGGCTTTGTCCCCGGCATCTCACAGGGCCTCTGGATTTGAGAACTTGCCCTGTTTGTTACTCTCTGTGGTCCCATAGCTAGTTCACGTAGTGTTTAAGCTGGAACATACCATGTTGAGCTGGGTTTAAGTCAAAGGGAATTTTCCAGACTTCAGATAAGAAACTTCAGCCAAGATGCAAAGCAGAGAGGTTAAGATGCTGGGCTCTGAAGTTGAACAGGTTTGGGTTCAAATCCTGCCTTTACCATTTATTTTCTGTCTTTGGAAAATTAAGTTAGTTAATGATAATTTCTTCATCTATGAAATTGGGATAATATCTTTGCTACCATAGGGTTGTTGTGAGGGTTAAATAAAATGATATGTGTAAGTTTTTAGCACAGTGTCTGTACATAGTAGGCACTTAGCAAATAAAATAAAGTAAAATAAAACTAGCAAACCAAAACAAGCACAGGTAGGGGGTGTTGCTGACATAGACCCTGATCTCTCATATTCCTGAGCAGTGATTCTTTACCCCAGACCTTGTGATATTTGACAATATTTTTTAGTTAGCATTCTAAAAATTTCTACTTTTCATTTTAAAATAACTATTTTTGGTGTGTAAAGCCTGTTTGCCCAATTGGGCTAATTTTCTGGAAAGCAATCTTAATTTATAGCCCACTAAGTGTGGCAAATACTGCTTGTATCTTGTAGAAATAAATCAAGTAGAGGTCAGCAATACATTGTTGAGTAAGTGTATAAGAAGGAGTCAAAGTGCAAAACTGGGTTTTCATTGCTGAGTTGCTGATCCAGCACCTGGTCTCACTGCCCTCCAGCATACCCGTAAAATGTAACTGCTAAGTAGACTCACTAATGTCAACTTAAATAATAACCACAGTGAATCTCTCTTAAAAAAAAAGTTACCTATTTGAGAATAGGGCATTGCAATGGGAATACATGTGCCATAGTAAACTACGTGCATATTCAGGAGGTAAAGGAAAACAAAAGTTCTTACAGGAAAAACAATGAAAATTACATAATTTTATTGAAATGTGTATTCTTGGCTACAAAGATCAATAACAATGGTGATGCTAATATGAAGTTGGACAGGCAGCTGCTGGACTGATGTCCTCACAGAAGTGTTTGTTGTGTAAGGCTATTATGGCCTTTGTGTAAGGTTGTGGTTTTTGCAGTCTTTTGTGATAGTTGTGTTATCAGGTGTACAAGCATGAGAACTCTCTCTTCGCAGCCTTCCTTAGCTCTATATTTGTCAAGGATTTTTTTGAAGACAAGTGACTCCATTTTGATTCTGACAACTTGCACACTAACTTATAACATCTCCTCACCAACTTTATAAACTAACAAACTTACACAGTCAATTACAGGCTCAGTCCCAATCTCTGCCAACTCATCTCCCCCAGCCCCACCTGCACACTTCAACCCACCTCCACTGGCCCAGCACACACATACAGTTCTTTAACCTCTACTTCTATGGTGCCCCAGCTCCTCACAGCTCAGTCCTGCCCCAGGCACACATAAAGACCTATTAGGCTTTGGAGGCAGGCAGACCTAAGTTCAAATTCAGGTCTAACTTCCTAGCTATGTGACCTTAGGTAGTTTACTTAAGTTTACTTACTTACTCTCTGTGCCTTGGTTTCTTCATCTATAAATTGGGTTAATAATACCTACCAAATATTCATCTTCTAGATACAGCCTCTGGCTTGTTACTTCCCTAACTTACCCTCAGTTCCCAAACCTTTCTGGAAGTTCTAAGCCCCATCAGAAAAAGCTTCAAACACCACCACAGAAGAAGGTCTAATCGGCTCTCCCTCTTGTTCTCCAACTTCACCCTCTCATACTGGCCTTCTTCTAACTCTGATCAGGCAGAAGCAACCTCAGCCCCCTCTTGCTCCCAAAGGTTGAAGCCCCTACTCTGCTTTTCCCTGGCTGGTATGCCTACCCCACCTTCACCCCAGGACTGGAGCCAACCTGTCCCCATGTAGACAGATCTCTCCAAACACAAAGCCTGCATCCTGCCCTCCTGCAGTCTGGAACTCCCCAGTGCTCTGTGCCCTGAGGGGAAGTGCTGGAGGCTGTGCTGTTGCTACAGGGCTGCCCTCAATACACCAGTCTCTTCAACCAAGGCCCTTACCATGCCTTCCTATCCTGTTGTTCCCTTTCCTGTCTGTTGCATGCTGATCTATAAGTGAGGATGGTAAAGATGGCTTTCCCTTCCAGAGTCACTCAGGAAGCTACACAGTATATATTATCTGCAAAGTGCCACTCAAGAGCACTCTTTGGGACTTGGCTTCTGAGCTCAGAAAACTTCCTCCTCAGGAATGGTTCTTCATGCATTGAGGATAAGTGTGATGTTCATAAGGTGCCAAAACTCAATGAGAGAAGAATAAATGGCAGCATGGTGCAACAGAGAGAACACAGGCCTGGAGTCTGAGGGGCTCTAGTCCAGCACCGTCTCCGCTTCACAGAGTGGCTACTTCTCTGAGGATTTCTCAGTGTTCTCATTTATGAATTGGGCTTAGCCATACCACCTCAGAGGATTGCTAGGGAGATCAAATAAGATGAGATGGTAATGAAAATGGAATAAAATCAAATGAAATGAAATGGCAATACCATTATCATTAACCTCTTGGGGACTTACCCCTGGGATGGCCAGGCTATAGACTTCATGAGAGTTGAAACTGCTGCCATCGTATTCAACACTGTATTCCTAGGGCCTTAGCCCTCTGCCTGAAATGGAGCAAGCTTTCCATAAATATTTGCTGATTAGCCACCAGTTGAGTTTCCTGTCCTTGCAATGAGGAGTTACCACATGATCATGGTAAGCCTTTTTTCTCATCAGCTACAAAATGCTACCTACCCATAGCATGGGGTGGGGAAGGTATTAACTTTTTTTGTTTTAATTAAAAATGAGACCAACTTTAAAGAGATGAAACTGGCTTTCTTGTGTCTCATACACTAGGTGTGAAAGGCACTTACAAAACAAGAATTCAAAAAATGTTCTAAGTAATAACAGTTCTAAGTAACATCACCACAAAAACATGTGTGCCCTCTCAGAGTGGCTACTTTGTAAAAGTTAACCTCAATAGATATATTCTTGAACATTTATATTAAAAAAGGAAACAGTGGCCAGGCACGGTGGCTCACACCTATAATCCCAGCACTTTGGGAGGCAGAGGCAGGTGAATCATGAGGTCAGGAGTTCAAGATCAGCCTGTTCAACATGGTGAAACCCTGTCTCTACTAAAAATACAAAAATTAACTGGGCATGGTGGCAGGCACCTGTAATCCCAGCTACTCAGGAGTCTGAGGCAGGGAATTGCTTGAACCCAGGAGGCGGAGGTTGCAGTGAGCCAAGATCGCACCACTGCACTCCAGCCTGGGCGACAGAGCAGGACTCCATCTCAAAAAAAAAAAAAAAAAAAAAAGGAAAGAGTCCCATAACTTTGTAGGCTCATAGAGACAAAGAATGTTCACCAGGACCCCAGCCTGTACCAAGCACTGCTGAGCCCATCACAATGGAAAGAAGCTTCCCTGTCAAGAGGACTCAGCTACAGAAGGTACCAAATGTGGTAGGAGGGGCCTGTTAATTAGACCAAGGCAGTCACACATCAGCAGGTAAAACAGAGACAAGAGGAGGTGTGGCTGGGCTGGGCTGGATCTTGGATGAATCAAGCCTTCCCATAGGGCAGGATATCCTGTCTAAAACAAGAGCCTTGGTTAAAACCCCTATAAAAGGTTCTCATCACACTGACCTGGTACTCCTCACACCACTTAACAGCCACTTGTTTCATCCCACCTGGGCATTAGGTAAGTCCCCTCATAAGAAACCTCTTTCTCATTCTCAGTGTCTTGGTGATCTGAGCTCATAAAACTGGGGCAGTCAGGTATGGACTATGCATCCTTCAGAGCTAGCTGTGAGCACTGGGCAAACCAACGCTACCGTTGGGAAACATGCTCTCCTGAAGCAATCAGGCTTTCTCCTCCTCCCTGAGGCTGGCCTGGGAGCAGCTCCTCTCACTGGGAAACTGTGTGGGCAGCGGCTATGGGGCCACCCATGTGCCTTCCTGGATCAGCAAAGGTTTCTTTTTTCTAAGGCTCTGGAAGCTTCTTTGCAGTGCTGAGAGTCTATGGGATCAGAATCAGTTTACTTATGCCAACCTAGACAATAAGATCAAACTGTGTCATGGATGAAGGGGTTTACATGATTCCCCTCTCCTACACCAGGGTGATATTTAGGCAAAATATGTGTAGATTTTTCTAAGGAATCTAAAATGTAACTAAAAGGTCATCTTATTATTTTATTATCTAAAGGTCAGTGGTTAAAGTCTGCTACATGGTTTTAAAAAAAAAGAAAGATATTTTTCATCTATGTTGAGGAAAACATCCCCAGTTTTTTACCTTGATGAAAAGTTTGCCTGAAATTGTTGGTTACCAGGTCCTAGAAAGGGTTTCTCCTGAACAGCCCACCTTTTGCTATGACTTACTGAGTCCTCATGGCCACACTAATCTGCTTTTTCTAGAACTCAAGTCTCCTTCCTTCCTTTTTTCTCTTTCTTCTCCTACCTATATCTGCCTCGTCCCATCCTCTCTCTGGCTTTCCAGCTGCTACAGGCTCCATCTCCCCTTGCATTTGAGACTTGTCATCTTTGATACCATCTCCTCCTTTGGGTCTCTCCAAGGCTTCTGCTTAATGAATCTTCAAGTCTCTTTTCCTTTTGCTCATGCAACCAAACCCAGGCCTCACCTCAACCTACCTCTAGATTTCTGGCTAATGAAAAAGAAAAGCTTTCCCTTTGATTAGGAACCAACTCATAGGTCACCAGAAATCTGGGCCTGATGGAGCCACGTGCCTGTTGGGCAAGCTGACTTCTCTGATAAGTCTCAGGGCTGTGGACAGAGGCGACATGCAGAGAAACTTGGACCCTCAGAACTGGAAGGCCTCCCACCCAAAGAAGGTTCCCCCCTCCTGAGCATTCCCAGCAGGTGGTAGCCCAGTTTCTTCCCACTTTCCCAAAAAAAACAAGAAGGGAGGGCTGTGTCCCTGGAATTTCTGCTTGGCTCCCATCCAAGACAGGGGTTGACTCACAGATGTATTTACTTCCTTTTGGTGTTCCCGATGGGACCCTAACACCCTTGTGATAAATAAATAAATCCTGTCCACAGGGTACATTCTAGAAAGCCCATTGCATTTGGGTTAAGGAAAAATGGATCCTAGGATTTCTTGGCTCCTTAAAAATTGTGTGGCCTAACTTCTCTGAGCCTGTTTCCTCACCTATAAAAAAAAGTGGAAATAATAAGGATTAGAAGAGATGATGTACAGGAAAGTGATTATATAGGTGTACAAAAATTATATGTGTGTATATGTATATAATAGCATAATAATTATATTTAATAAGGAGCACTTAATATAAGCCAGGCATCTGCCAAGTGCTTTTTATGAATTATGTCTTTAAATCTTCACAATAATCCCACAGAGTACTAATATCACCTTCAATTACAATGAGTAGTAAACTGAGGCATGGAGAGGCAAAGCAACTTGTCCCAGCTCACACCATACTTAAGTGGTGGGGCCAGCATTTAATCCTGACTCAGGAACCTGCCTCCATCCTGTGTGCTCCTCCTTCCCATACATAAGATGCATTATGTAGGAAAGGACAAAGGAAAACTAAAAACAGAGCTGAACGTGCAAGGAAAGACCTAGCAGCAGACGTGCTATAAAGGAAATAGCTGAGGTTGATTATGGAGCCTCCAAGGGAACTTTTCATCTTTTCCAGGTTGACTTCAAAGATGCCTCAGTTACTGCAAAACATTAATGGGATCATCGAGGCCTTCAGGCGCTATGCAAGGACGGAGGGCAACTGCACAGCGCTCACCCGAGGGGAGCTGAAAAGACTCTTGGAGCAAGAGTTTGCCGATGTGATTGTGGTACGGTGTGCTGAGCCGGGTGGAGAGGGGACATAGCAGGAGAGTGAAACCTGGTTTGCCTGCAGAGGCCTTGCCTGGGGAATTTGAGGAGGCAGCAGCTAAACCCAGGCCTGCCGGGACAGATGGCAGCTGTGCAGGCAGAAAAAAAGGTGAAAGAACCAGAGATGGTCATGGGAGTTGGCAAGTCCTGGCTCTTTAGATTAAAACCTTGGTTTTAATTAATTCTAACTTAAAGACAAGGTAAAAGGGCTCTAAAAGGACAACTCAGACAGGAGCAGAGCCTTGGAATATTTCAAAATGAAAATAATTGCTGCTTTCTGCCGCCTCTTAAATTTGATACAGTAAATATTTCCCACGTCTATCTGAAATGTAATCATCCATTCATAGACATTCATTAGAAGCATAGCTCTGGGCTTGCACGAAGCAGTTACTCAAAAATATTAGCAGACTGATCACATCAGAAATGAAATTTTGAAGAGCAGGTTGTTAATAGCTAGGGGGAGACTTTGGAGCCTCACCCCACCCCACCTGGCAAACCAGAACCAAGGCCTTGATGCACTTTCCTGTCTTTGGTTTGCATCTAAAGCAACCAGGATGATGATGGCCTTAGGGACAAGGACATATGGGCACAGAAGGATGCTGCATCCACATGCTCAGGGCAGCGCTGCAGGGGCCCACTGCTTCCCTCCCTCTTTATCATGGGGAAACATCTGGGCCTCAATGAGGAGCGCACAGAATTCCCATGGGGCTGTGTTCCCAACCTGCTGCTCTTTGTGCTGGGCCTGCTGAAGAGACTAAGGCCTCAGTGCCAGGGGCAAGGTGCCAAGGGCAGCCCAGACAGTCAACTTGAGAGCCCAAACAGTTGCATTGTGAATTCAATAATTTATTAACTCTTCAATAAATCTTTATCTAATTTTCCTGTAGCCCAGAAATTGTGCCAAATAGAGGCTACCAAACAAAAAATGCTCTCTACACTTGAGGGAGAGAGACGGGACTAAAAAAAAATAAAGGCAATTAAGTCTTGCTGCTGCTCTAGCCGTATGTGTGTGTAGTGTGGGGTCTGAGGCAGGGGAAGCTGGCAGCAGATTGGAAGGGACCTGCCCATGTCCTCCTCAGGGGAGGGATGCTGACTCCACCTCATCTTCTCCTCAGAAACCCCACGATCCAGCAACTGTGGATGAGGTCCTGCGTCTGCTGGATGAAGACCACACAGGGACTGTGGAATTCAAGGAATTCCTGGTCTTAGTGTTTAAAGTTGCCCAGGCCTGTTTCAAGACACTGAGCGAGAGTGCTGAGGGAGCCTGCGGCTCTCAAGAGTCTGGAAGCCTCCACTCTGGGGCCTCGCAGGAGCTGGGCGAAGGACAGAGAAGTGGCACTGAAGTGGGAAGGGCGGGGAAAGGGCAGCATTATGAGGGGAGCAGCCACAGACAGAGCCAGCAGGGTTCCAGAGGGCAGAACAGGCCTGGGGTTCAGACCCAGGGTCAGGCCACTGGCTCTGCGTGGGTCAGCAGCTATGACAGGCAAGCTGAGTCCCAGAGCCAGGAAAGAATAAGCCCGCAGATACAACTCTCTGGGCAGACAGAGCAGACCCAGAAAGCTGGAGAAGGCAAGAGGAATCAGACAACAGAGATGAGGCCAGAGAGACAGCCACAGACCAGGGAACAGGACAGAGCCCACCAGACAGGTGAGACTGTGACTGGATCTGGAACTCAGACCCAGGCAGGTGCCACCCAGACTGTGGAGCAGGACAGCAGCCACCAGACAGGAAGAACCAGCAAGCAGACACAGGAGGCCACCAATGACCAGAACAGAGGGACTGAGACCCACGGTCAAGGCAGGAGCCAGACCAGCCAGGCTGTGACAGGAGGACATGCTCAGATACAGGCAGGGACACACACCCAGACACCCACCCAGACCGTGGAGCAGGACAGCAGCCACCAGACAGGAAGCACCAGCACCCAGACACAGGAGTCCACCAATGGCCAGAACAGAGGGACTGAGATCCACGGTCAAGGCAGGAGCCAGACCAGCCAGGCTGTGACAGGAGGACACACTCAGATACAGGCAGGGTCACACACCGAGACTGTGGAGCAGGACAGAAGCCAAACTGTAAGCCACGGAGGGGCTAGAGAACAGGGACAGACCCAGACGCAGCCAGGCAGTGGTCAAAGATGGATGCAAGTGAGCAACCCTGAGGCAGGAGAGACAGTACCGGGAGGACAGGCCCAGACTGGGGCAAGCACTGAGTCAGGAAGGCAGGAGTGGAGCAGCACTCACCCAAGGCGCTGTGTGACAGAAGGGCAGGGAGACAGACAGCCCACAGTGGTTGGTGAGGAATGGGTTGATGACCACTCAAGGGAGACAGTGATCCTCAGGCTGGACCAGGGCAACTTGCATACCAGTGTTTCCTCAGCACAGGGCCAGGATGCAGCCCAGTCAGAAGAGAAGCGAGGCATCACAGCTAGAGAGCTGTATTCCTACTTGAGAAGCACCAAGCCATGACTTCCCCGACTCCAATGTCCAGTACTGGAAGAAGACAGCTGGAGAGAGTTTGGCTTGTCCTGCATGGCCAATCCAGTGGGTGCATCCCTGGACATCAGCTCTTCATTATGCAGCTTCCCTTTTAGGTCTTTCTCAATGAGATAATTTCTGCAAGGAGCTTTCTATCCTGAACTCTTCTTTCTTACCTGCTTTGCGGTGCAGACCCTCTCAGGAGCAGGAAGACTCAGAGCAAGTCACCCCTTTGTACTGAATTGTCCTCATCTTGTGGGGGGTTTCAGGACTATTTTTATCTCTGACATCTCTCTATTGCCCCATCTACCCTAATGCATCAATAAAACCTTAAGCCACTGGCCTCTGTGTCTCATTCAACCACCTTCTATTGATATTACAGGCCAAAGGCTGTAGAGTTATGAGATGATGAACTGGACATAGTCCCTACCTTTGAAGAGCAACTAGTTGAGAAAATATTATATGAGATTCCTGCTATATATCATACTTAATACTTGGCAGAGATGGACCAGCAAAGGTTTCATACAAAAGGCGCTTTCTTTATGATGGCCCTGAAAAGACAATTAGTATTTAGATAGATAGGCAAAATTCCTCTTGGTCTTTCACTACCTCTAATTCTATAGCGTTAAACCGCTATTCACCTGTAAGGTCACACAGGAAAGCTGATTTAAGATTACCAAGAAATGGAAGAAGGCCCCCAGTGGCTGTGTAGGGAAAGAGCGAGAAAGCTTGTGTTACCAGGTACTGAGCCAGGGGCCAGAATTTTGTGCTTCCCTTCCTACCTCCCCCTCAGTGTCAGCTCTGACCTCTCATGATGTCTCACCCACCAGATATAAACCATGTTATGGGGTAGAGACTATCAATTCTGGTTTATTTTAAGAGTGACCAGAAGAACAGTTTTAAAATAAAGATTTATAGGGACGGGCGTGGTGGCTCACACCTGTAATCCCTGCATTTTGGGAGGCCTAGGTGGGCGGATCACCTGAGGCCAGGAGTTCAAGACCAGCCTGGCCAACAAGGTGAAACCCCACCTCCACTAAAAATATAAAAATTAGCTGGGCATGGTGGCACATGCCTGTAATCCCAGTTACTCAGGAGGCTGAGGCAGGAGAATTGCTTGAACCCAGGAGGCAGAGGTTGTAGTGAGCCGAGATTGTGCCACTGCACTCCAGCCTGGGCAACAGAGCAAGACTCCATCTCAAAAAAAAAAAAATGTATAAACCTAACCCTACAGATGCTGGTTCTAAGGTTTGGAGCCAATTAATATTGTTTAGAAACTTCTTGGGGGTCTTGTGCTTTTGTCAGTACAGAAGACTAGATAATCTGAAAGATTTCCCAAGACAAAATAACTAGATCCTGCATAAAGCATTTTTTTCACTGTGTTACTGGTTTACAGGAAGTAAGGGAAATCGCTAAGGAAAAAACAAAATGTGGAATAAACAACAACCAAACAAAAACAACACGTAGGCTAAATAACAACCTCCAAAGACGTCCGGGACTTAATCTCAGAAACCTGTGAATATGTCACTTTATATGGCAAGAAAGGGACTTCACAGATGTGATTAAGTTAGGAATCTTGAGATGGTGGGGGGTTATTCTGGATTATCTGGGTGAGTCCAATATAATCACAAGGTTCCTTACAAGAGTGAGACAAGAGGATCAAAGTCAGTAAAAGGAAGTGTGGTGATGAAACCAGCGGCTGTAGCCATGTGCTATGAGCCAAAGAATGTGTGGAGAATAGAATCTGGAAATGCAAGACACTTTCCTCTAGAGCCTTCAGAAGTAACATAGCCCTTCTGCCACCTCAGTTTTAGACTCCTGACCTTCAGGCCTGTAAGAGAATAAAATTTTTGTCATTTTAAGGCATTAAGTTTATGGTAAACTGCTACAGTAGTGATAGAAAACTAACACACCAAGCAAAAACCTAGAGCTGGAGCCAGAGTAGTAAAGGGTGAATGTGTGAAAGGCAAGGTTGTTCTTCTGAGGACAAATTGATTTTATATCAATTCATGCTGGCTTATAAGCATAAAGGCCAAAGAAAAACAGCAAAGAAAATGCAAAGACTCAGGGAATATTGCTCCCATAAGCCCTTTCTGGGGAATCTACTAGAGAATCAGCGCACATACATACACACTAAACCCAGAATCACAGAACTGTTTGGCATACAATCTGATGATGCACATTTAAATATATTCCACTGTAGAACTAAGACTACATAATGTGGATAAAGGTGACAGAATAGCATTTCATGTTATATGCACTGAAAATTTAAATACAATACAGCTAACAAAAAAATGAAGGGAGAAAGAGAAAGCATACAGAAAGTAGAATGAGCTCCCTGATTGTCTTAATATAAGCATATGCTTACAAGGAAAAACTGGGAGTGAAAGGATATCACTTCACATTAGATACTGAGAAAGGAAGAAGGAGGGTAAGGTGAAAATTTCCAGAAAATTCCATCATTACTTAGAGTGGAGAGTGAATATGCCATTTATTAAAGGGAAGGGGGAATACAGAATACATATTACATAAAGATGTACTATAAGATAACAACACAAATACAAACCTTCCTCAACACCAAAAGACATTCTAGAAAAAAGCAAATAACACAGATAACAGAGTGGATGATGTTATTTATGTAAAAGATACATATTTTCATAAATAGGACATAAAAGAGCGTGATAGACTGAGGTCAAACATATTTATAACAATAATGTCAAGAGCTTAACTCACTACTAGATGAACAAGTTGCATATTAGCTCTATACAAGTCTATGCTCCTTACAAGAGGTGTGCAAATCAAAGAGAGTCAGAAAACAATTTGTAAACAGGGTGGTTGAGTTAATATATATCAGGAAAATGCAGGTTAAAACAAAATTTAGAAATCAGGAGTCATGATCTTGATCCCAGATTAGATCAAAAGGCATTAAATAAGACTAAGAAGGAAGCTTTAAAATGCCAAATGCTATAATTTCACAATGAAGATATAATGGTTTTTAATATCTATGCATTCAATAATGTAGCACAACTCTGATGACACAGAAACTATAAGAGATACAAGGAAAAACTTAAAGAAAATAACATAGTAATAATAGGGCACTTTAATCATCTCTCTCAGCTCAAGACAGTAAGTGTAGAGAAGAAACAGTACATTCAATAAGATATAAAGAACTCTACAGACATATAGTCCAGCAATGTATTAACCTAACAAGAAAAAACTATACCGTCTACACATGAAATATTCAATATCAGGTCACAAAGAAAACTTCAATGCATTATTCAAAAATAGAAATAGGCCCAGGTGTGGTGGCTCATGCCTGTAATCCCAGCACTTTGGGAGGCTGAGGCGGGCAGATTGCTTGAGCTCAGGAGTTCAAGACCAGCCTGGGCAACATAATGAGATACCATTTCAACAAAAAGAAAAATACAAAAATTAGTTGGGCATGATGGCACATGCCTATAGTCCCAGATACTCAGGAGGCTAAGGAAAGAGAATCGCTTGAGCCCAGGAGGCAGAGGTTGCAGTGAGCTGAGATTGTGCTACTGCATTCCAGCCTAGGTGACAGATGGAGACCCTGTCTCAATAATAATAATAATAATAATAGAATTATTTCTTTCTTTCTTTTTCTTTTCCTTCTTTTCTTCCTTTCTTTCTTTCTTTCTTTCTTGCTTGCTTGCTTGTGTCTCTCTCGCTCTCTCTCTCTTTCTCTCACTCTCTCTTTTTCTCTCTCTCTCTCTCTCTCTTTCTTTTCTTTTTGAGACAGGGTCTCACTCTGTCACCCAGGCTGGAGTGCAGTGGTATGATCTCAGCTCACTGCTGCCTCCAGCTCCCAGGTTCAAGCAATTCTCCTGCCTCAGCCTCCCGAGTAGCTGGGATTACAGGCCCTTGCCACCACACCTGGCTAATTTTTGTATTTTTTGTGGAGAGGGAGTTTTGCCATGTTTCCCAGGCTGGTCTCAAACTCCTGAGCTCAAGTGATCCGCCCTCCTGAGCCTCCCAAAGTGCTGAGACTAAAGGCATGAACCATTGCCCCTGGCCACAAATAGCATTCTTAAAAGAACATGTAATAGTGATGGATTTTACCAAATCTGTGTTGTTGTTGGAAATTAAAAACATATATATAAACACACACACACATATTATTTTAAAACTGTTGAATAAAAGGAACTGAAAATAAAATGAAATTGCAGAATTTTTAGAAAATGATAATTAAACTAGACATATAAGGATCTGTAGAACACAGCTACATGAATTCCCCATAAAAATTAATAAAAGTATAAGTTCACAAAACAGTCAACAACTAAATAAGTAAGTAAATGAATAGATAATCCTCTTTTTTTTTTTTTTTGGAATCAACAAGTAGAAAAACCAACCTAATTTTGAAAAGAGTGAAAAAGGTGGGGTAAGAAGGCACAAACACACAAAATAAGAAATAAGAATGGGCAAAAGATACAAACAGATAGCTCACAAAAAATACAAATGATGCTTAAATATATGAAAAGATGCTAAAGCTTGTTTGTAATACTAGAAGCATAAACCAAAACTATACTAGTTTGAGATACCATTCTCACTATCAGCTTGACAAAAATCTACAAGTTTGAGAATAGATGATGATGAGGTAAAGCAGGCATTTTCACACCTTCTGGTGGGAATGCAAAATGAGCCTCAGTGGAGAGGAATTTGGTACAGTTCAGCAATACTACATGTGCCTGTTTTGTTCCTGCTGTTGCTTTGGTGTCTGAAGTAGTGCCTAGCATTCAATAATTATTTGTTAAAGGAATTGAATATCCTAATCTTTCCTGTCACATACATAAATTAACATAATCCCTACACAGACATGTGACTGTGGAAACATAGACATAATCAAGCTCATAGCAAATAAGAAAATGGAGTTTCTTTAGTGTTGTCAAAAGTTATGCAGTTAGAAAGAAAGAGGCAGAAATAGGACTAAACCCAGGTCCTCGGACTCTCAACTCAGTGTCAGGTCAAACCTCACAGATAAGAAAGGGCACCAGAGTGTATGAAGATCCATCCAAAGGGGCTGGGGAGGAAGCCGTAGAAAGTGGTCCTTCCACTTCTCACCTCCAGCCTTAACAGGAAGTCTGGCCATGAAAATATGGAGAAGACACCATCTCAGCATCCATGTTCCTAGGACCTTGCAAGAATAGGAAGATTATGAGTGACCATTCCTTTCAACAGTTAAGGTTTGACAGATGTGTCTATGACTCAAGAAGGATGTTCTCTCAAAGTAGTTCAGAGCCCAGAGGCCTAAGAGAGGGGCCCTAAACCCCTGTTTAAGCATTCATGTAACATTCAAGGCAACTAGGCTGCTCCATCTCAGGCCCACCCCCTCCATCTCCTGTAGGGACTTACTGGCCATCCTTGACTTTTAAAGTTTGCACATAGAGGCTTCTTTCAAAAAATGTGCACGTTATTTTAGACAAGAGGGAAAATTTGTGGAAAATACAGAGACTTGATGGGAATGAAGTATTTACACTTTCTGAGACAGACTCTATTTTGTTCAAAGGATAGAGTAATCATCCTTCCAAATCATATCAAACACATTAAAATGTACACACAGACCACTTAAATACAATTTTTGCTGACAATTTTTTGAAAAAAATTTTATAGTTTTGTTTTTGGAATTAGGACATAAGTTGTACATTTGCCTCATTTTAGCTATGACTTCTTTGCAACTACAGAGCACGTTTTTGAAAAAATATATACATTAAAATTGCTTAACAAGTAAGAATTTTTTATTACTACTAAATTTAACAATAAATGAGATTCACAGAGCTTTATATCTAGACATTTAAATTTAAATGTTTATAGATTTCCATTGCACATTTATTTTGGAGCTGACACACAGGTATACCTATGGAAAGATATCTACATTTTAAATATTTTAAACCTCAAATTGTCAGCAGGTGGCCATAACTATCCATGTTTTATTAAAATCACATAAAACCTAGGTACAAAAGCACCACTGATTATTGATCTAGAAAAACTGCATGAATTATAACAAACTGTCTCTCAGACCACAGTGCAATCAAACTAGAACTCAGGATTAAGAATCTCACTCAAAACCGCTCAACTACATGGAAACTGAACAACCTGCTCCTGAATGACTACTGGGTACATAACAAAATGAAGGCAGAAATAAAGATGTTCTTTGAAACCAATAAGAACAAAGACACAACATACCAGAATCTCTGGGACACATTCAAAGCAGTGTGTAGAGGGAAATTTATAGCACTAAATGCCCACAAGAGAAAGCAGGAAAGATCCAAAATTGACACACTAACATCACAATTAAAAGAACTAGAAAAGCAAGAGCAAACACATTCAAAAGCTAGCAGAAGGCAAGAAATAACTAAAATCAGAGCAGAACTGAAGGAAATAGAGACACAAAAAACCCTTCAAAAAATTAATGAATTCAGGAGCCGGTTTTTTGAAAGGATCAGCAAAATCGATAGACCACCAGCAAGACTAATAAAGAAGAAAAGAGAGAAGAATCAAATAGATGCAATAAGAAATGATAAAGGGGATATCACCACCAATCCCACAGAAATACAAACTACCATCAGAGAATACTACAAACACCTCTATGCAAATAAATTAGACAATCTAGAAGAAATGGATAAATTCCTCGACACATACACCCTCCCAAGACTAAACCAGGAAGAAGTTGAATCTCTAAATAGACCAATAACAGGCTCTGAAATTGTGGCAATAATCAATAGCTTACCAAAAAGAGTCCAGGACCAGATGGATTCACAGCCGAATTCTACCAGAGGTACAAGAAGGAACTGGTACCATTCCTTCTGAAACTATTCTAATCAATAGAAAAAGAGAGAATCCTCCCTAACTCATTTTATGAGGCCAGCATCATCCTGATACCAAAGCCAGGCAGAGACACAACCAAAAAAGAGAATTTTAGACCAATATCCTTGATGAACATTGATGCAAAAATCCTCAATAAAATACTGGCAAACCGAATCCAGCAGAGCATCAAAAAGCTTATCCACCATGATCAAGTGGGCTTCATCCCTGGGATGCAAGGCTGGTTCAATATACGCAAATCAATAAATGTAATCCAGCATCATATAAACAGACAAAAACCACATGATTATCTCAATAGATGCAGAAAAGGCCTTTGAACAAAATTCAACAACCCTTCATGCTAGAAACTCTCAATAAATTAGGTATTGATGGATATCTCAAAATAATAAGAGCTATCTATGACAAACCCACAGCCAATATCATACCAAATGGGCAAAAACTGGAAGCATTCCCTTTGAAAACTGGCACAAGACAGGGATGCCCTCTCTCATCACTCCTATTCAACATAGTGTTGGAAGTTCTGGCCAGGGCAATTAGGCAAGAGAAGGAAATAAAGGGTATTCAATTAGGAAAAGAGGAAGTCAAATTGACCCTGTTTGCAGATGACATGACTGTATATCTAGAAAACCCCATTGTCTCAGCCCAAAATCTCCTTAAGCTGATAAGCAACTTCAGCAAAGTCTCAGGATACAAAATCAATGTACAAAAATCACAAGCGTTCTTATATACCAATAACAGACAAACAGAGAGCCAAATCATGAGTGAACTCTCATTCACAATTGCTTCAAAGAGAATAAAATACCTAGGAATCCAATTCACAAGGGACGTGAAGGGCCTCTTCAAGGAGAACTACAAACAACTGCTCAATGAAATAAAAGAGGATACAAACAAATGGAAGAATATTCCATGCTCATGGGTAGGAAGAATGAATATCGTGAAAATGGCCATACTGCCCAAGGTAATTTATACATTCAATGCCATCCCCATCAAGCTACCAATGACTTTCTTCACAGAATTGGAAAAAACTACTTTAAAGTTCATATGGAACCAAAAAAGAGCCCGCATCGCCAAGTCAATCCTAAGCCAAAAGAACAAAGCTGGAGGCATCATGCTACCTGACTTCAAACTCTACTACAAGGCTACAGTAACCAAAACAGCATGGTACTGGTAACAAAACAGAGATATAGATCAATGGAACAGAACAGAGCCCTCAGAAATAACACCACATATCTACAACTATATGATCT
Organism: Homo sapiens; assembly: GCF_000001405.40. Taxonomy (NCBI): domain Eukaryota; kingdom Metazoa; phylum Chordata; class Mammalia; order Primates; family Hominidae; genus Homo; species Homo sapiens. The sequence continues at coordinate 152,401,494 of NC_000001.11, read as the reverse complement.
TTGACAAAGCTGAGAAAAACAAGCAATGGGGAAAGGATTCCCTATTTAATAAATGGTGCTGGGAAAACTGGCTAGCCATAAGTAGAAAGCTGAAACTGGATCCCTTCCTTATACCTTATACAAAAATTAATTCAAGATGGATTAAAAACTTAAACGTTAGACCTACAACCATAAAAACCCTAGAAGAAAACCTAGGCATTACCATTCAGGACATAGGCATGGGCAAGGACTTCATGTCTAAAACACCAAAAGCAATGGCAACAAAAGCCAACATTGACAAATGGGATCTAATTAAACTAAAGAGCTTCTGCACAGCAAAAGAAACTACCATCAGAGTGAACAGGCAACCTACAAAATGGGAGAAAATTTTCACAACCTACTCATCTGACAAAGGGCTAATATCCAGAATCTACAATGAACTCAAACAAATTTACAAGAAAAAAAAATGACCCCATCAAAAAGTGGGCGAAGGACATGAACAGACACTTCTCAAAAGAAGACATTTATGAGCCAAAAAACACATGAAAAAATGCTCACCATCACAGGCCATCAGAGAAATGCAGATCAAAACCACAATGAGATACCATCTCACACCAGTTAGAATGGCAATCATTAAAAAGTCAGGAAACAACAGGTGCTGGAGAGGATGTGGAGAAATAGGAACACTTTTACACTGCTGGTGGGACTGTAAACTAGTTCAACCATTGTGGAAGTCAGTGTGGCGATTCCTCAGGGATCTAGAACTAGAAATACCGTTTGACCCAGCCATCCCATTACTGGGTATATACCCAAAGGACTATAAATCATGCTGCTGTAAAGATACATGCACACGTATATTTATTGCGGCACTATTCACAATAGCAAAGACTTGGAACCAACCCAAATGTCCAACAATGATAGACTAGATTAAGAAAATGTGGCACATATACACCATGGAATACTATGCAGCCATAAAAAATGATGAGTTCATGTCCTTTGTAGGGACATGGGTGAAATTGGAAATCATCATTCTCAGTAAACTATCTCAAGAACAAAAAACCAAACACCGCATATTCTCACTCATAGGTGGGAACTGAACAATGAGAACACATGGACACAGGAAGGGGAACATCACACTCTGGGGACTGTTGTGGGGTGGGGGGAGTGGGGAGGGATAGCTTTAGGAGATATACCTAATGCTAAATGACGAGTTAATGGGTGCAGCACACCAGCATGGCACATGTATACATATGTAACTAACCTGCACATTGTGCACATGTACCCTAAAACTTAAAGTATAATAATAATAAAATAAAAGAAAAAGAAAAACTGCATGAAAAACTCAAATATGCACAGTAAAAACACCACAGTATACACAGGACTAAATTTTAAAGCAAGTGCATGGAATGCTGAATCAATCTTACACACAGTTTCCAATATTAAACTGATATTTATTTTACTTGAGGATGATGGAAATGTCCAAAAAGCATGATTATGAGAGGGTAAAATGTCCATCCTTACATATTTTTGTATGCCAACTAGTAGAGTCCTAAAAAATTAGCATTTAGAAAATACTTAGTAAAAACAGCTTTTAAAAGTTCACCTAAGAGATACATAAAATTAACCTGTTTTTCATGACAATTTATTCTCCCTGGTTATCTCCAGATTCAGTTTTCTGTGCCTCTTCAGCTTTAGTTTCATCATTTTCAGCTGGTGCAGTACCTTCCTTTCCAGCTTCCTACTTTTCCTTTCTTCTCTTTAGCACCTCTGCTAACCTTTGCTCCAGGTTCTTTCTTAGCAGATGTTTTTCTTGGTTTGGGTCCAGGTTTTGGTGGAGGAGGTTTTGCTGACAATCTGGGAGACCATCTTGTGGGCTCCTGTTTAGTTACTTTGGAGCCATCTTTGCCCTCTGTATTCTCTGGAGACTTTCTCTTCTGCATAGTGGCTATGTCGGTGTAGCAAAAAGTAAAGCAACGGGCTGGAACTGCTGGCGCCACCTCTGGATGCTGCCTCTGCCGCTGCAGCTGCTCACGCACAGGGCATGGCATAGCCCCTATCTATTTATTTTTGATTCAAATATTTTTGTTGGCTCTTGCAGAGCTCATAAGTCCCAGTCACATTGGATTGGTCATAGTGTGTAAAATGGCCCTGTCCTCAGGGACACTCAGGGCTGAAGACTCACTACAAAGGCCCAGAAAACCTCTTTCACCAGGTAGCTTCCCAGTCTGCATAGACAGCAAGTATACTGTGCTGCTGTCCCCTGGTGGCAGTTACGACTAATACCTGTAAAGGAGCTCTGGTAGTAAATGTGATTTTGCTGGAATAGGAAGGAAGGTGGCATCAGACGTGGGAATGGGCTCAGTGGTGTGGTCTTGGGCACAGCAGCACCCAGAGTAAGTGGCCCTGAACCCTCACTAGTGAAGCTACCAGTAGTGAGAGCAGCCCCAGGCTGCTCTGAGCCTTGGGGCTGAGTGTGTGTGTGTGTGCATGCGTGTGTGTGTGTGTGTTTAAGGAGTGCCCTTCATGGAGCCACTCCTACTGGCAACTGTCTTCCAGCAACTATACATCTACATCATTTCCAGGGCCTTGGCACACTGTGTGAGGATGTCCTGATTATCCCACCTGGGAAAGCACATTTCTGGAGCAGTCCCTACAGAGAGGCAGGGAGGTCAACATCCTGTGGCTCTCCCTCCTCAAGGCAGAAAGTGATGGTCTGTGCACTTCTCCTAGGAGCCCTGAGACCAAGGCTATAGCCTGCTGTTGTCCTGGTCACTCACAGAAGGCTGTGGATTCAACTCCCAGGACTGATGTAGGCCACCACTCAGCTCTGTGTGACACGTCCTCAGTGTTCCCCATTTATCCACGAGCTACAAATAATTAATAAATGATGATTCCCTTGGCCACATCTTTAGAAAGTAAGCAGAGTTCGGGCTGGAATGAGCACATCCTATTCTTACCTACTTCCATTCAATGGAGGGAAAAAAAGCTAAGAAACTAAAGCAGCCGAATGGCTTTGCCCCTAGGGTCTGCATGAGTGGTGAGAGGCTTACAGATCCACAAGGCCCAGTTCTTTTAGAGGGGATGAGGGTGAGGGTGTGGGCCTGTTGGAACAGACAAGGCTAAACTTTCAAGGCAGCATCACCTCCTATCCATCATGGCTGAAAGGGGCCTCTGGACCTTCTTTTCACAGCACTAAACACCCTCCAGGGGAGAGGCTCCCCATTCCATGGTACTATCGGGTGGTTATGAGCCCATGGCTCTGGGTGAAATGCAGAGAAGACACTGGTTCTGGTTTATCTAGGGATTCTCTGGAAAAGAGCTGATACTAGAAAGTGACAAAAAGAGGAATACTTTTTGGAGAGGTGTCCTGGGTGGCAACATAGTAACATGTACTTTTGGAATTCTCTGGTGTTCTGTTTAGAAAAGAAAAGTAAATCAGTTAGGTAACCAGAGAGCCAGGTGGTGTACCAGACCCAGGATTTTTGTGTTTGTTTTGGATTTTTTTTCCTCTTATTTTTAGTTGATACATAATAATTGTACATATTTATGGGGTATAGAGTAATATTCTGATACATATACACAATGCATAATGATCAAATTAGGGTAATTAGCATATCCATCACCTCAAACAATTGTCACTTATTTGTGTTAGGAACATTCAGAATCCTCCCTTCTAGCTTTTAGAACATAGACAATAAATTATCGTTGACTATATTCACCATACAATGCTATAGAACAAGGGTACCCAAGTCCATGGTTTGTTAGGAAACAGGCCACACAGCAGGAGGTGAGCGGCAGCAGAGTGAGCATTACCGCCAGAGCTCTGCCTCCTGTCGAACACTATTGTGAACTGCACATGCAAGGGATCTAGTTTGCATGATCCTTATGAGAAGCTAAGACCTGATGATCTGAGGTGGAACAGTTTCATCCCTAAACCATCCCCTCAGCCCTTGGGGACCTTGGAAAAATTGTCTTCCACAAACCAGTCCCTGGTGCCAAAATGCCGGAGCCTGCTACTGTGGAACATTAGAATTCACTCCTCCTATCTAGCTGTAATTTTGTATCTGTTAGGCAACCTCTCCCAATCCTCCCCTCCCCTCTACTCTTTCCAACCTCTAATGCCCCCAATTCTACTCTCTACTTCCATGGGATCAATTTATTTTTACCCCCACATGCGAAAAAGAACACGTGGTCTTTATCTTTCTGTTCCTGACATTTCACTTAATGTAATGTCCTCCAGGCTCATCCATGTTGCTGTGAATGACAGGATTTCATTCTTTTTTAGACTGAATAGTATTTCATTTTGTATATACACACATGGTCATTATCCATTCATTTGTTGATGGACATTTAGGTTGATTCCATGTCTTGGCTACTGTGAATAGTGTGGCAAAAAACATGCAGTTGCAGGTATCCCTTTGATATACTGATTTCCTTTTCTTTAGATACATCCCGGGTAGTGGGACTGCTGAATTATATGGTAGTTCTATTTTTAGTTTTTTGAGAAAACTTCGTACTGTTTTACATAATGGTTGTACTAATTTACATTCCCACCAACAGTGTATAAGAGTTCCCTTTTTTCCACATCCTCACCAGCACTTGTTATTTTTTGTCTAACAGTCCTTTTAACTGGGGTAAAATGATATCTCATTGTGGTTTTGATTTTCATTTCCCTAATGACTAGTGATGTTGGGCATTTTTTCATATAGCTGTTAGCCATTTGTCTGTCTCCTTTTGAGGAATGTCTATTCAGATCCTTTGCCCATTTTTAATAGGATTATTTGTTGTTGAGTTGAGTTCCTTGTATGCTTTGGATATTAGTCCCCTATCAGTGAATAGTTTGCAAATATTTTCTCCCCTTCTACACGTTGTCTTTTTACTCTTTTGTTTCCTTTGCTGCGCGGAAGCTTTTTAGTTTAACATAGTGCCATTTGCCTATTTTTGATTTAGTTGCTTGTCCTTTTGAAGTCTTAGCCATAAAATCTTTGTTCAGACCAATGTCCTGAAATATTTTCCCTGTTTTCTTTCAGTAGTTTTATAGCTTTGAGTTTTATGTTTAAGTCTTTAATCCAGTTTGAGTTGATTTTCATATACGGTAAAAGATAGGGGTCTAGTTTCAGTCTTCTGTAAATGGTTATCCAGGTTTCCCAGCACTATTTATGGAAGAGGGTGTCCTTTCCCTAGTGTATGTTCTTGGTAACTTTGCTGAAAAATCAACTGGCTGTAAATATGTAAACTTATCTCTGAGTTCACTGTTCTATTCCATTGGTCTATGTCCAACCCAAGGTTTTCTCAGGCTTTGTATAATTTTGTACTGAGCAAGCAGGAACTCAGTCAATGCATATTTTTAAATTTCCTAAATAAAGAAATACAAATCCTTTTTTAAAGTAAGAAAAATTAGCTATGAACCATCATATATTTATCACAGAGAAATCAAAAAAGACACAAGCAAAGAGATTAATATTTTAAAAAACCAATACCAGAAATAACCACTGTTATTTAATTCCTCTAGACCCTCTTCTATAGGCAAATTACCATACAGACATCTATATGAAAGTGTATGTCTATATGTGCAAATTTATATGTAAATTATATCTATAAATTGTATATCTATATGCAAAACATACACAATATAGACCTTTTGCAAACTATATATGCATATACACCTATATACTATACAAATATGTATGATTGTGGAATAGCTTCTATGGACTATTTTCAGTGATTTAGGGCAGCCCATGTTAGTAAAGTTTGGTGGTTAGGACTGTGTGCTTGGGAGCAAGTTTACCTAAGTTCAAACCTCGGCTGTGTACCTTAGAAGAGATGTGTCCTTGATCAAGGCACATGCGTTAATTATCTCATCTCTAAAGTGGAGAAAATAATGGTATTTCCTCACAGGTAGTTGTGAGAATAGCTAAATCCATATATTTATTTAAAAGTGCCTGACACATGGCAGGGTAAGCCCTCAACAAGTCTTTTTTTTTTTCATCAACTTTCATTTCCTGGGGTACATGTGCAGGATGTGCAGATTTGTTACACAGGTAAGCATGTGCCATGGTGATTTGCTGCACAGATCAACCCATCACCTAGGTATTAAACCCCAGCATCCATTAGTAATTCTTCCTGATGCTATCCCTCCCTGCTCTGCCAGACCCCAGTGTGTGTTGTTCCCCTCTATGTGTCCATGTGTTCTCATCATTTAGCTCCCACTTATAAGTGAGAACATGTGGCATTTGATTTTCTGTTCCTGCATCAGTTTGCTGAGGATAATGGCTTCCTGCTCCATCCATGTCCCTGCAAAGGACATGATCTCCTTCCTTCCATCTTATGACTGCATAATATTCCAGGGTGTTATGTACTAACATTTTCTTTATCCAGTCTATCAAAGAAACTATCATCGGAGTGAATAGAAAACCTACAGAGGGGGTGAAAAATTTTGCAATCTATCCATCTGACAAAGGTCTAATATCCAGAGTCTACAGGGAACTTAAACATACTTACTAGAAGAAAACAAACAACCCCACTAAAAAGTGGACAAAGGACATGAACAGACACTTCTCAAAATAAGACATTCATGCAGCCAACAAACAAACATGAAAACAGGATCAACATCACTGATCATTAAAGAAATGCAAATCAAAACCACAATGAGATACCAATCATCTCACTCCAGTCAGAATGACAATTATGAAAAAATCAAGAAACAACAGATATTGGCGAGGTTGTGGAGAAAAAGGAACGCTTTTACGCTGTTGGTGGGAGTGTAAATTAGTCCAAACATTGCAGAAGGCAGTGTGGTGATTCCTCAAAGATCTAGAAGAAGAACTTCCATTTGACCTAGCAATCCCATTACTGGGTATATACTCAAAGGAATATAAATCATTCTATTATGAGGATACATGCACTTGTTTGTTCATTGCAGCTCTATTCACAATAGCAAGGACATGGAATCAACCCAAATGCCCATCAGCTATAGACTGGATACAGAAAATAAGTTTTAAGTGAAGCATTTTTAAGGCCATTTATAAAGCAAAGAATGTTTAAAGAAAGAGAAAAAGATACAAATGGTCCTAATCAGACAGACCATCACCCAATATAGAAGATTCTCATGGGCTAGACTTTCATTCTATGAATATAATTGTGGCTTCTAGCAGGTGTTCTAGACCACAGCTCAACCTGGGGATTTCCATCTCAAAGAAAACCTAAGGACTAGGGCTAAATCCATGTATTATTCTAAATGTACCAATGTAACACCAACCCTCCTGCCTTCTCTCCCAAGCCCCTGTCCTGTCCATCAGCTTCTCACTGTTCCATTTCTCTCCCACTCAAAACTAAGCTGCTAGATAAGAGGATATGAAATCGATCTCTAATTGGCTTATTTTCCCACAGGATTCAGGCAGAGGAAGGGAGGGCATGTGTCACTGGAGAGGGCATAGTCAACCATTTCCAATTATTGCATCTGACTTAGAGAGGAACATTTAACAAACTAAAACAATTGGAGCCACATTGACAAGAAAAACCTTTTTGTTGTTTTATGATACATTTCATCATGTATCATGACATACTCATCATTTAGGTTCTTTTTATTTTTATTTCAAGAGGAAGTCACTATCTGCAGAGGAAAAATCCCATATGCAGGCTGAAATCTACCTCATTTTTCAACACTAATCCCATATATAAATAGTCACAAATAATACAGAATGCTATGTTATATGCTGATTTGTATATTACTATGAATTTGTGAACACCAGATTTGTGCTAGCCATAATGTAAAATGAACCAGACTTAGGCTCTAGCCTAAGGAGCTCTAGTCAAGGAGCTAGCATGAAGTTAATAGATGAGAAATATATTGAAATAACCAAGGAATCTTAGCTCAGAGTGCAAAAACCCATGCCCTCTACCTGTGAACTCCCAAACTAATCTTAGCCTTTATATAGTTCCAGATAGCTCTATTACAGCCATCATCAATTCTGCAAATGGCTTTTTGGGCCACATTTTCAGGTGCAGAGAAATATATTTGTAAAGGAACTCTACTCTTCATAACCATAACCTCCCTCTCCCAAAGCAACCTCTCTCATTTCATCAGGGATCTTTTTCCACTGCCTGCTACTCACAACAAACACATAGTTGCCCTCATAAAACAGACAACTAAAATCCACTTCTGTGTTCCATGATACACCAGCCAGGAACTCACTCTTCTAATTACCATCAATTTCATGATAAGATTAAAAGCCATACCTACTGTTGAAGTGTCTGTTTGTCTTATAAATAAATGTCGTAAAATTCAATTACACCACCTTACCCACAATCAATAAAAAATTCAGTCACACCTTCACTTAACAAAGGGCGTTGTTTATCTCAAAATTAAACAGCAATGCAGGAATGTGTGGTAAACCACAGACATATTTTTTTAAGCCATGACCTGATCTTTCTCACTTAACTGGTTCTGGCATTCTGCCTCTCCTCTAGGGTTTTGCTATCAGATTAATCTGTTGATTTCTCTGCTCTACACACTTACATAAGCACCTAGGTGGATGTGGGCCTGCAGGTGGCTCTGCTGTTATTTGTGGTATCTGTTGAAACCAATCAGTTTATCCAGCTTGGTGGCATACCACAAGTGCTAAGCCCACACTTCTTCAGAGGAAAATTTGGCCATCAAATGGAGGCACCTTTCATTCCCCCTACACAGAATGGCAACCCTAACCTCTCCCAAGACCCAAGAACTAATAATAAAATTTGGATATGCCAAGCTTTTTCAGTTTTGAATTTGAAATTTATCTCCCCTCTTCTATCTCAGAGTGCTGATCATCTCCTGAGAGCATCATGGTGTAGTAGAAAGATGCCAGTGTCAGAGGGACAGATAGACCTGGGTTCAATCCTGGCTCTGCCACCTACCATCTGTGTGGCTTTGGATCTAAGGCTCTTTCTGAGCTTTGGTTTCCTCACTAGAAAATGAGAATTATAATATTTCCCTCAAGAAAGGTTGGGGTATTACTAGTATATGTCAAGCAACTTTCACGCAGAGATGTTCCACAAATATTGGTGCCCCATTCTCTCCCTTCTCCCATCTGCACCACATCTTCCCACACTCACCAACGTACTCTCCTATTTTCTCACACAAGAAATTGCCAGTTTCTATTATTTTCCTCCAATAAGCCTTCCCAAATCCTCCTTTTAACCTGCCCCTTTTACCTACAACCTCCAAAGTTCTTGGGAAGCCAGGACCACAAATGTATTGTTGGTGGCTCAGTTACCTGGGACAACATATCGCAAAAAGAATGAATTATTTTTTGAGAAATGTGGAGTGAGATGGGCTCGACACTACTGGAGGGGTACTAAATTGGAGCAAACCTTATAAAAATTATGAATATACAACAAGGGTTTTTAAAATGTTCATAGCTCTGACTCAGTAATCTTACCTCTAGGAGTTTATCATATTAAGGAAATTATCAGATAAATATTCAAAGATTTGTGTATATGATGTTCATTACAGTATTGTAATAGTGAAAATTTGGAAGCAATCAAAATATCCAAGAACAGAATACTGAAATACTGGAGTAAATACTAGGCCATCATTAAAAACCATCATTTAAGAGTCTATAATGACATTGGAAAATGCTTACAATTTGACACAAAATTATGAGTTTATCATCAATTTTAACACTATATTATAAAAACATAAAATTGTGATATATAATCTAGCAATTTCACTTCGGGTTATATACTCAAAAGAAGTGAAAGCAAGAACTAGAACAGTTTTTTTTTCTTTTTTTTTAAAGTGTTTTATTGATACATATTAGTTGTACATATTTGGCAATAGAATAGATATTTGTATGCCAACATTCATGGCAACAATATTCATAACAACCAAAAGGTGGAAGCAGCCCTGATGTCTATCAAATGAGTGAAAAGATAAGCAAAATGTGTTGTAAACACATACAATGGAGTATTGTTCAGACTTAAAAAGGAAGGAAATTCTGACACATGCTACAACCTGGATGACCCTTGAGAACATTATGCTAAATGATGTAAGCCAATCACAAAAGGACAAATACTGCATGTATAATTTCACTTATGTAAAGCACCTAGAGCCATCAAATTCATACAGAAAGTAGAACTGTGATTTCCAGAGCCTGGGAGGAGGGAGGAATAGGATGTTAGTTTGGAAAGATAAAATATTTCTGGAGATAGATGGTGGTCATGGTTGCACAATGAATAAAGGAGGAAATGGTCTTCTTCTACGTCATGCAGCTAAATCACACCTTTAAAATTGGATTCAGCTAAGGGTGACATATAAAGAAAGATATTAGTAGGCTGAAATGCATTTTAAAAGAAAGCACTGGGATTATAAACCATGTCATAAGAGGAAGGTTTGAAGGAAGCAGTGATATTTAGACTGAACAAATGATTTGCAAGATTCAAAGGGGGCAGGACAGTAGTAGAATGCAGGAAGTATAGGATAGGTCCTCATGTGGATATCATGTGTACCACAGTATGAAATGCACTAAACGAGTGGATAAAGAAACTGTGACATACATATACATATATATATAATATATATAAACACACACACATACACATACACATATATATGATGGAATACTATGCAGCTATAAAAACTAATGGAATTAATGTCAGTCACAGCAATCTGGATGATATTGGAGACTATTATTCTAAGTGAAGTAACACAGGAATGGAAAATCAAACATCAGATGTTCTCACTTATAAGTGGGAACTGAGCTATGAGGATGTAAAGACACAAAAATGACACAATGGACTTTGGGTACTCATGGGAAAAGGGTGGGAGGGGGGTAAGGGATAAAAGACTACAAATTGGGTTCAGTGTACACTGCCCGGGTGATGGGCGCACCAAAAGTCTCACAAATCACAACTAAAGAACTTACTCATGTAACCAAATGCCACCTGTTCCCCAAAAACCTAGGGAAATAAAATTTTTAATGGAATAATGGATCATCATGGAGTCTGTCATTACAATGGTCACCCTGAAGCCAAATTTCAGGTATGGAAATGCACCCAGTACAGTGCAGTGTCGCTGCAGTTTACACGGTGTGATACGAGAGTATGTATCAAGAAAGCTCCTCTGCCCCAAATTTCTTGCTTTTTATCCATTTTCCCCACAACTCACAGGTGTTAAAGGGCATAAAATTTTAACTGTAACTTAAGGAAAATTTAATTTTTTAATGCCAAAGGTGTTAAAGGGCACACAATTCTAACTATAACTTAAGGGAAATTTTAACTTTTTAGCTTTAACTTCAGGATCACTTTTCTGATCCTTTGAAGGCAAAAAATCTGAGGATATATGATTGTAACAACCATTGGGGCTGGCATGGTGATTTGCACCTGTAATCTCAGTGCTTTGTGATGCTGAGGCAGGAGGATGGCTTGAGGCAGGAGTTTGAGGCTGCAGTGAGCTAAGATAGTGCCACAGCACTCTAGCCTGAGTGACAGAGCAAGACCTTCTCTAAAAAAATTAATTTTTTTAAAAAAGAGTATGAAATGCACTATACTGTATGTACACATTCCTTCAGAGACAAGGAATATCTGAACTAATAGTATTTGAACTAATCGAATCTAATGGGAGAAAGAAAAGAGAAAAAGGACATTGAAGGCAGATGGAGCAGCTCCAATGGAAGCACTGGGTCATGAAACAACACAGTGGGTACAAAGAACTTAGAGAACTTCCACATAGTTGTACATAGGCAGGTGTAAAGGAGTAGTGGCTGACAAGACAGAGAGGTAGGCAAGGGCTTGATCATTTGTTCACTCAATAAATATGTATTTGTTGATATACCTACTCACAAAGAACTTACTAATCCATGTTAAGAAGTTTGGGTTTTAACCAAACAGTATTAAGTAACTACTGAAGGACTTGAAAGTCCTACAGTTCAATTTGTATTTTAGAAAGTTCGTTCTGGAGGTTAAGCAGTGGATTATTTAGAGAATGGCAAGACTGGAGGCAATTAGAGATCACTTAAGAAGCTGTTTCAGAAATCTAGGTTTAAACAAAAAACAGCAGGAGTGGGAGCAAAAAGGACATGGTTCAAGGAAATATTTAGATACAAAATTGACAGAATTTGATGATGCATTGGCTTTGGGAAATGAGAAAGAGCTAAGTTAAGATAATTCTTGGGATTTTGTTGCGTGCAGTGGGGTGACTATGATGAACACAGAAAACCACTATAGGATGAAGAGAAAATTGAAATGGGGAAAATTGTGAAGTCCATTTTGTACATGTTGATACCTGTGGAAGACATTGCTAGTCACCTACCCGAATCCATTTTCTCCTTTTTCCACATAATGGTAGCTAGGATGTGGATGCCCAGCCTTCCTTTGGTACTATATTTTGCAGGCACTCTTTGCAGTGGGGTGGTGGCCATGTGGTTAAGACCTTGCCGGTAGAACGTGACCAAGAGCAAATTGCGCAACTTCTTTCTCACTTGCTTAAGAATAAATCCCTGTCCCTGGATTTCTGCTCCTTCTCCCTTCTACTGTTTGGGATGATGATAACTTAAATGACCTAAGAAGTCTCAAGTTGAGGATAGCAGAGCCTACATTAACCTAGGTTTCTGCATATATCAGAGCTGTCTGCTCATCTCAAACATTTATCTTGGGCTGTTCACATGATAGAGAAATAGGCATATTGTTCTTTACACTATTAATTTTAGAGCATTTTTGTAAAAGTAGCTTAGCCTGCCTCATACAGCATCTAAATGGAGATATGGACAGTTGACTACACTAGTCTGAAGTTCAAGAAAGAGGTAAATTTATCAGTTATAATTAAATTGGGTTAACATCAAAGCCATGGATATGAATAAGTCTCTCGTAAAAAAAATATATAAAGAAAGAAAAGAAAAAGACTTCAGATGGAACACAAAGGAATACAATCTGTAAAGTGTGCATAGAGGAAAGAAGAGGATATCACATTGAAGTATAGAAAGAATAATAAGAGAATTAGAGGATAGGCAGCATTACAGCAGTCAATACAGGAGTTAGTATCAAGGACACAGCTATCAAAGGAAGCTGTCAAGGAAACAAGTTCCATGAGAATATGGAGCCCAGAACATGAAGGATTAGCCATGAACCAGAGATGGAAAGTTTTGCACACAGCAAGAAAATGTCAGGAGACATTTTCAGTCAATGTATGTACACACTCCTTCAAGACAAGGAATATTTGAAATAATAGTATCTGAACTAATTGAGTCTAATAGGAGAAAGAGAAGAGAAAAAGGACATTGAAGGCAGATGGAGTTGCCTTCAATGTCAGGAGGCATGCAGAAAAAGGAAAGTTTCTAAAAATATCACAAGAAGCTAAAAAATGATCATTATTTTCTCTAAAAGTAGAATGAGGTTGGCGTTGGACTTATAGCTCATGGAAAGTGATAATAGTTTAGAACAGTTACTGAGGGTGAAAAAACATGTTGCGGAGAAGCTAGTGTTGAATGACTTCCTCTGTGTGTAGTCAGTAGTGGTGGTTAGATGGTAATACTGATCCAAAATGGGTACTCTGTGCAGCCAGTATCATATAAAGATGCAGGTTAAAAAGTAAAGGATATTGGTGAGAGCAGATGGAGGATTTCTTTTTTCATCACTTTGATCCTTGTGTTCATAGAGATATTATACCAGGTCTGCCATATTATCTGTGACAAACTTGTGCCATCACCATCATAACACCTTTCTAAGTCTGGGAGATAGATTTCCCCAAAAGCCTTCCTATATTGTTCTGGATTTGAATTTGCCAGTGAGGGGGGAAAAAACTTGTGTCATATTTAGAAGGTGGGAGCAAAGAAGAAGCTATTATTCTTAGGAGGTCAAGGAGGGCAGAAGTGGTAGCTTCTAGAAATCCTCCACAGTAACTTTTTCTATAGAATCTGGAGGCCTACAAACCTATCTCTCTGCCCCTCCCACATTCACATAATCTCTAATTTCTACATGAAATCTCTTATTCCCATAGTAGTCATGGTGGCTGTCTTCTCCTGACCAAAACCAGATATGTATGTCGGGCCTAGTGTTGATGTGGCTGTCCTCACCCTCTTTGAAAGCAAAGAAAAAACAAAATCTAATTATTCTGACCTTCAGTCAACTCTATTTTTCTTGGCAATGTTGTTTGGAAAAACATCTGGAAATACCTCAGACACTATTGCCTTGGGTTCTTGGATTTCATCACCCAAAAATACTTCCTTCATTCTTAGGAGCAGGCTTCTTCTTGGGTTCCTTCATTCCCACAGTGCTCCCACATAACTGGATACTATCATCTCAGACAGAACCTCAGCTTTCTTGGCAGCACTTTTGAATAGGAGTCCACCAATGAATACCGGATGTGGATATATCATGGGGTTCACCCTGGCTCCTCCTAACCCCTTCCTAAGTAGTGATTCACCATGATCATACTCAGGTGTTTAGACAGCAAGAAGGTTCTTTATTAGACTGCTCGGAATGTCATGCCTCAGGTAGTGCAGGCTCCAAAGCCAGCTATATACACAATTTGGCACATTAGTAGGATGTGACAGAGTTTAAAGAGCCAACAACTTTGTCCAGCTTAAAAGATAAGTCCTACTTAGTTCTGGGCACACAGTAGTGACCTAATTTACTTAGATTGTACAGAACCTGGGTTTCTGAATCCTCTCTGGCAGCCAACTGTTGTGATCAAGAGTATAGATTCTGTAGTCAGACTGCCTGAGATTAAATCCTGGCTTGATTTGGGAAAAACTGTTTAACTTCTCTGTAACTTATCTATTAAATAGGGATAATAAAATAAGGATTAAAGAAATAATGCATTTAAAGTACTTCATACATTTTGAGTATGATAATAATTATATAAACAGACGCTGGAGTTATTGTGGCTTTGGTCCCAGACTACTGTAATAAAGCAAATATTGCAATAAAGCAAGTCACATAAATTTTTTGGTTTCTCAGTGTATATAAAAAGCTATGTTTATACTATACTGTAATCTATTAGGTGTGTAATAGCATTATGTCTAAAAAATGTAGAAATATTTTAAAATGTTGGGTCAATGAAGATATTAATGGAGAAATATAAATACTTTTTGAAACAAATGAAAATGGAAATACAACTTACCAAAATGTATAGGATATGGCAAAAGCAGTGCTAAGAAGAAATTTTATAGCAAAATACCTACATTGAAAAGTAGAAATATTTCAAATAACCTAACAACGTACCTCAAGGGACTAGAAAAGAAAGAACAAACCAAATCCAAAATTAGTAGAAAGAAAAATAATAAAGATCAGAGCAGAACTACATGAAATAAAGACTACAAAATACATAAGATCAATGAAATAAAAACCTGTTTTTTCTGAAAAGAAAAATTCAACCGCCATTAGTTAAACTCACTAAGAAAAAAAAGACCCAAATAAATAAAATTGGAGATGAAAAAGAAGATAATACAACTAAAACCACAAAAATACAAAGGATCATTAGAGACAATTATGAACAATTGTACATTAACAAATTGAGAAACCTGGAAGAAATGGGTTAATTCCTGGACACGTGCAACCTACCAAGATTGAACCAGAACGAAACAGAAAATTTGAACAGACCAATAACAAGTAATGAGATGAAATCAGTAACAAAAATTCTCCCAACAGAGAAAAGCTGAGAACTGAATGGCTTTACTGGTAAATTTTACCAAGCTCATAAAGAAGGATTAACACTAATTTGTCTCACACTGTTCCAAAAAAATTTAAGAGAAGGGAATTCTTCCTAATTCATTCTACAAGGTCAGCATTACTCTGACACCAGAACCAGACAAGGGCACAACAAAAAAAGGAAACTATCGGCCATTATCCCTGATGAACATACATGCAAAAATTCTTTTTTTTTTTTTTTTTTTTTTTTTTTTGAGACGGAGTCTCGCTCTGTTGCCCAGGCTGGAGTGCAGTGGCGGGATCTCGGCTCACTGCAAGCTCCGCCTCCCGGGTTCACGCCATTCTCCTGCCTCAGCCTCCCAAGTAGCTGGGACTACAGGCGCCCGCCACTACGCCCGGCTAATTTTTTGTATTTTTAGTAGAGACGGGGTTTCACCGTTTTAGCCGGGATGGTCTCGATCTCCTGACCTCGTGATCCGCCCGCCTCGGCCTCCCAAAGTGCTGGGATTACAGGCGTGAGCCACCGCGCCCGGCCCATGCAAAAATTCTTAACAAAATACTAGCAAACCAAATCCGACAGCACATCAAAAAGATGATACACCATGATTAAGTGGGATTTATCTCAGAGACGCAAGGATGATTTGATATGTACAAATCAGCAAATCTAATACATTATGTCAACAGAATGGAGGACAAAAACCATATGATGATCTCAATAGATGCATAAAAAGTGCTTGATGAAATTCAACATCCCTTCATGGTAAAAATTCTCAAAAAAATTACACATAGAAAGAACATACCTCAACAAGAAAAAGGCCGTTTATGGCAAACCCACAGCTAACATAATACTGAATGAGGAAAGGCTAATAGCTTTTGATTTTTAAAAGCTAAAAGCTTTTCCTCTAAGAACTGGAACAAGACAAGGATGCCTACTTTTATCACTCTTATTCAACATAGTACTGAAAGTACTAGCTAGAACAATCAGGCAAGAGAAGGAAATAAATGGCATACAAATTGGGAAACAGGAAGTCAAATTGTCCCTCTTTTCAGATGATGTGATCTTAAATATAGAAAAACCTAAAGACTCCACCAAAAAACTCAGATATGATAAATGAATTCAATAAAGTTGCAGGATACAAAATCAACATACAAAAATTAGTCATGTTTCTATACACCAACAACAAACTAACTGAAAAATCAAGATAGCAATTCCATTCACAATGGCTACAAAAATAAAAATAAAAATAAAAATGCTGAGGATTAAATTTAATCAAGGAGATGAAAGACCTCTATAATAAAAACTGCAAAACATTGTTGAAAGAAATCAGAGAGAATACAAACAAATTGAAAGATATCTAATGCTCATGGATCAGAAGAATTAATATTGTTAAAATAACCATACTACCCAAAGCAATCTACAGATTCGATGCAATCCCTATAAAAATACCAACGACATTCTTCACAGAAACAGAAAAAACAATCCTAAAATTCATATGGAACCATAGAAGACACTGAATAGCCAAAGTAATACTTAGCAAAAAGAACAAAGCTCAAGGCATCACATGACCTGACTTCAAAATCTACAAAGTCATAGTAACCAAAACAACACGGCATTGATATAAAAAAAGCAATACAGACCAATAGAACAGAATAGAGAACCAGAAATAAATCCACATATTTACAACCAATTGATTTTTTACAAATATGCCAAGAACATTTACTGGGGAAAGAACACCCTCTTCAATAAATGGTGCTGGGAAAACTGGATATCCATTTGCAGAAAAATGTAACAAAACCACCATTTCTCATCATATGCAAAAATCAACTCTAACTGGATTAAAGACTTAGATGTAATACCCAAATCCATAAAGCTACTAGAAGAACACACAGGGAAAATATGTCAGGACATTAGTCTAGGCAAAGATTTTTGTGGCTAAGACTTAGAAAGCACAGACAACTTTAAAAAAGAAATAAACCAATGGGACTGTATTAAACTAAAAAGCTCCTGCACAGCAAGGGAAAAGTCAAAAGGGTGAAAAACAACCTGTAAAAGGGGAGAAAATATTTGCAAATTATTCATCCAACAAGAAACTACTATCCAGAATATACGAGGAACTCAAACAACTCAACAGCAAAACAATAATGATGATAATAATAATAATAATAATCCCATTAAAAAGTAGGCAAAGGATTTGAATAGACATTTCTCAAAAAAAAAAAACATACAGACGATCAACAAGTATATGAAAAAATGTTCAACATCACTAATCATTAGGGAAATGCAAATCAAAATCACAGTGAGGTATCATCTCATCCTATTTAGAATTGCAATTATTACAATAAGAACAAAACAACAAATGCTGGTGAGGATGCATAGAAAAGGGATCGCTTACACAATGTTGTAAATTGGTGTAGCCATTATAAAAAACAATATGGAGGTTTCTCAAAAAACTAAAACTAGAACTACTATATGATCCAGAATTCCCACTACTATAAATCAATATCTCAAAGGGATACCTGCAAACCTATGTTGATTGCAACACTATTCACAATAGCCAAGATATAGAATCAACCTAAATGTCCATCAATGAATGAATGAAAAAAGAAAATGTGGTATATATAGATAATGCAACACTATTTGGCAAAAAAAGGAATGAAAGAATGTAATTTGCAGCAATATGAATGAAACTGGAGGTCATTACATTAAATAAAATAAGCCAGGCACAGAAAGACAAATATTGCACGTTCTTGTTCATATATGTGAGTTTAAAAAGTTGACCTCATGGGGGTAGAGAGTAGAATGATGGTTACCAGAGGCTGGGAAAAGGGCAGAGGGGATAAAGAGACGTTGGTTAATGAGTACAAACATACAGTTACATAAAAGAAATAAGTTCTAATGTTTGATAGCACAGTATAGTTAATAATTATTGTATATTTCAAAATAGCTAGAAAAGATTTGAAATATTCCAAACACAAAGAAATGATAAATGTTTGAAGTGACAGGGATCCTAAATACCTTGATTTACCATTGCACACTGTATGCCTGTATCAAAATATCACATGTACCCCATAAATATGTACAATTATTATGTATCAATTAGAATACTTTATTGCTTAAAAATGCTAAAAATTGTCTGAGGCTTCAGTGAGTCATAATCTTTCTGCTCTTGGAGGGTATCACCTCAATGTTGATGGCTGCTGTTGGATTAGGGTGATGGTCCCTGAAGGTTGGGGTAGCTATGGCAATTTCTTAAAAGAAGACAACAGAGAAGTTTGCCTCATCAATTGCCTCTTCCTTTCATAAGATTTCTCTCCGTAGCATGTGATGTTGTTTAATAGCATTTTACCCACAGTAGAACTGCTTTGAAAATTGGAGTCCATCTTTTCAAACCCCACCACTGCTTCATCAACTAAGTTTATGGAATATTGTAAATCCTTTGTTGTCATTTCAACAATGTTCACAGCATCTTCACCAGAAGTAGATTCCATCTTAAGAAACCACCTTTATTGTCCATCCAGAAGAAGTGACTTCTCATCCATTCAATTTTCATCATGAGATTACAGCAATTCAGTCACATCTTGAGGCTCCACTTCTATTTATCTTGCTATTTCCATCACATCTACAGTGACTTCTTCCACTGGAGTCTTGAACCCCTCAAAGTCATCTATGAAGGCTGGAATCAACTTCTTCTTCCAAACTCCTGTTAAAGTTGATATTTTGACCTCCTCTCACGAATTATAAATGCTGATAATGGCCTCTGGAATGGTGAATCCTTTCCAGAATGTTTTTAATTATTTTAATTAATTTAATTATTTTGCCCATA
Source organism: Homo sapiens (assembly GCF_000001405.40). NCBI lineage: Eukaryota > Metazoa > Chordata > Mammalia > Primates > Hominidae > Homo > Homo sapiens. The sequence continues at coordinate 152,382,067 of NC_000001.11, read as the reverse complement.
TCCATCAGAGGAATCATTTATGGCAGCTGTAATCTTCCAAAATTTATTTCTTAATAATTACTCCTTGATCCGTGGGCTGCAGAATGGATGTTGTGTTAGTTAGGCATGGAAACAACATCCTTGTACATTTTCATCAGAGTTGTTGAATTACCAGGTTTATTGTCAATGAGCAGTAATATTTTGAAAGGAATCTGTTTTCTGAGTAGTAGCTCTCAACAGTGGACTTAAAATAGTCAGTAAACCATGCTGTAAACAGATGCACCTCATCCAAGCTTTACTGTTCCATTTACAGAGCACAAACAGAGGAGATTTGGCACAATTCTTAAGGGACCCAGGATTTTCAGAATGGTAAATGAGCATCGGCTTCAACTTAAAGTGACCAGCTGCATTAGTACCTAACAAGTGGGTCAGCCAATACTTTGAAGCAGCGGGGCTCTGAAGAAGCGAGCCACACTCCTACCGCATGCCCTGCGAGGGGGGCAAGAGAACCTTTCCCATTTCAAATGGGTCCTCCCCCGGGATCCTGGAAGGCGAGTGCGAGCGATGCAAAACTGTGGGTCTGCCTCTCTTCCAAAACCCTGCCTCCTCTCTCTCTTTCCTGCAGGTAAGAGGCTCTGAGTTTTAAAAACTCTGCCCTAACTGGGCCAGTCAAAACCCCTAGAGTTTGTGTCTTTTCTCTTACACAGTTTGAAATGCCTATCTCTTCCTTTATAATGTTAAGAGTTTTGCTACAGGCTGTCGCAATGTTACTAAGTAAAATGAGCATTTGTCTCAGTCGCCAAAGGTGCAAATCAGAGCAGTTGTTCCTACAGGTGTCATGTATGCCTCCACCTCGACAGCTGCAGGCATGCACAGCTCAGGGCACCTCCTGTTACCTTTTCGCCTCCCAGCTTGGGCGCCTAGGTGTGCCCACAGCAGGCAAAGGCGGACCTCAGCAGCCACGAGGTGGGAGGCGGGAGAAAGCCGCGGTGGTATTCGCGACCCCACAGGGCCAATGGACAGGCGCTTCTCGCCTGCCGGGCCAATGGAACCTTTCATCCTTTGGTCAATAAATTCAACCCGGTCTGAAGATATAAGAGATTAGGGGGGCCCAGTTGCACTAAGCAAGGGGTTCTTCCCCCAAAATCTCCCCATTTTTCCCCCCAAACTGTTTTTCCCCTTTTTCCTTTTCTAAGTGAGAGGCCTACCCCCTACTCTGTTTCTGATATGGAAGTTAACAGTGGAATAATCCCTGTTGGCTGAGAACTACAAATTCAGCAGCACACATTTGAGACACTCTAAACGGATGCAAACAGCCTCTAAAATACCTTTTCAGTCCCAAATTTGACTCCAAGTTTCAAGCTGAGGCCCTAGACATAAAAACCAGGTCTGGGGGATCCAAAGCCAGGCAACAGGTACAATGTAAATGGGCAGGACCAATTCCTGCCAACTGAATCCCCCACCCCATGGAAGAAGGCCATGCTTCCTGGCATAAACAGTCTCAGGGAACTCAAAGTTTGCCCTGACAGCAGGGAGAAACGGATACATAGGTGAGGGCGGTTAATTCCTATTCTCCAGGTTTTCCCTGCTTCATGGGTACATACCACATTGGTACCTATGGCCGGCTCCTGCCAAGGTCATCGGGGCTCAGGGATAAGGGGGAGAGAGTGAAAGGAGGATGCTCGCTTTCTCTCTCCTTCATACCCTGAGTTTTCACTGAAAGAAGGAAGGGATTGAGGGATGCCTCTATTCCCTGTCTTTCAGAATGGCAATCAGTTCTCTTCACCACCCCCAGCTTATACTTCTCTGGAATGTATCCTGAACAACTGGGACTGCTTTGACCCTCAGAATCTGGAGGGAAAATGCCTCATAGCCCTCTGCAAAAAGGTTTGGCCAAATTATGATTTATAGGAAGGACTGGCTTGGCCTCAGGAAGGAACTATCCATTTTTATACCATCTGGCAATTGGAACTTTTCTGTAGATGTGAGGACAGATGGTCTGAGGCTCCGTATGTGCAGGCTTTTTATAACTCGGAAGGCAATCCAGACCGTTGCAACAATGCAGGATTGATTCAGCCCTCCTGTTTGCCATCTCAGGGGAGGCTGCAAGGAGCAGGCTCAGGAAAGTAAAGATACAAGTCCCAGAGGCACCCCCAGCAGAGAAGACAGCTCCCTCTAGTCCTGCTCCTCCAGGTCCACCCCAACTTCCCGATACTGCTTCAGCCTCTCACTTGCCTCTCCTAAAAATCCTCACCCTAAACAAGCCCCAGTCTCACTCTTGCCCCTCCAACAAATGCCCAGTGAATTTGGGCCCAGTAAGGTCCAGGTCTCCTTCTCCCTACAGGACTTAAAGCAAATTAAAGGGGACCTGGGCAAGTTTTCAAACAACCCTGATAGATATATACACACTTTACAGATTTTCGTCCAAATATTTGAATTCTCCTGCAGAGACATCATGTTACTTTTGAATCAGACCCTGTCGGACACTGAGAAGCAGCCCGCTCTGCAAGCAGCAGAGAGATTTGGGAATGAGCTTTGCATCACATATAGCGTCAGGGAAGGGGGCGAACATTATCCAACCAGAAGAAAAGTAGTACCAGTGAATGACGCTAAATGGGATCCCAATGACTAGATAGAAGACTGGAAAAGGAGACACTTTCAGGTGTGCATAATGGAAGGCTTACGTAGGACTAGGACCAAGCCTCTCAATTATACTAAGTTGTCCATGACTGATCAAGAATTTGATAAAAATCCCACTGCCTTCCTGGAAAGGCTAAGAGAGGCCTTGGTAAAGCACACCTCTCTATCTCCTGATTCAGTTGAGGGATAACTAATCCTAAAAGATAAATTTATTACCCAGGCAGCTCCTGACATCAGGAGGAAGCTACAAAAACAGTCCCTAGGACCAGATAGTACATTAGAGGACCTCCTGAAAGTGACTACCTTGGTCTTTTATAATATAAGAGAAAGGGAGGCCCAGGAAAGAGAGAGGAGATACAGGTATTCCCAGGGTACACCTGTTAACTGCTAAAGATATGGCAAGAATATTAATCTCTTCTAAAGTTTATCCGTTCCCATATACGGTTTAATTTCTTTCACCAGGGTGAAACAGCTCAGGGTACAATGTTGTTGTTAGTATATTTCATTTCTTATCTCTGTAATCTTTGGCACTAAACTCTTTCCTTGTATAATACACAGGTTTAATCTATGCATACTTAAAAAACTTCTTTTTTTCTCTCATGCCTAGAAGGCATCAAATTCCAAATGGTCAGGCAACCAGAGCCTCGGACAATGGCTACCCTTTGCTAGGAACCCTTTGATAGACCTCTGGGAGGAATCTGACTGCCATTTTCCCCCAAAACAATGCCCCCTGTCATCAGGAAGCAGCTAAGACCTGTCATCATCCATATTCTAATGGCAGTTAGATGTATCTCTTCAGAGGGGGAAATGATACGGGAGTGCTAGGAAGGGAAGAGTGTGATCCCTTTAAATAATATGGAAGCGGGGAAGAAAAGTTCTGGGTAGAGGAGGGTGTGGTCCCTGGCTAGACTTCCACCACCACGGACCTAGGTGAGGACAGGCATTTCCTGCCCAAATGTTGCATTTCCCAAGACCACCCTGGCCAGCTACGCCCCCATCCTGGGGCTGTAAAAACCCAAGACCCTAGCGGGCAGATGACACACAGGTGGACAGATGTGAAGAGGAGCACATCAGACAGAAGAAGATGCAAGCAGCTGGTCATTGAGAGGACATTGAGAGGAGCATGCCAGCAGAAGAGCACACTGGCAGGCCATTGACTGTCAGAATGAGATGGAGTTTGGCCGGGGCAGTCAGAGGAGTGCCAGGGCCAACAAGCAGCCCAACTCCAGGGGAAAATCATCCTTCTTCTGGCTCCCACATCAGCTGAGAGCTACTTCCACCCAATAAAACTTTGCAGTCCCTCCCCAAACCCATGTATGACCAAATTCTTCCGGTACACCAAGGCAAGAAACCCCAGGATATAGAAATCACTCTGTCTTATGATAAGGAAGGGGGTCTGATTGAGCTGGTTAACACAAGCTGCCTATAGATGGCAAACTAAAAGGGCACCCTGTAACACATGCCCACTGGGGCTTAGGAGCTGTAAATATTCACCCCTAGTCATGGGGTCGGAGCCCCACAGACTGCCCTTCTGTATGCTCCCCTAGAGGTTTGAGCAGTGGGGCACTGAAGAAGTGAGCCACACCCCCATCACATGCCCTGCAAGGGGGACAAGGGAACCTTTCCCATTTCACTAGGATATTCAAAATGGTAAATGAGCATCGGCCTCTACTTAAAGTCACCAGCTGCATTAGTACCTAATGAGAGAGTCAGCCTGTACTTTGAAACTTTGAAGCCAGGCATTGACTTCTCCGCTTTAGCTATGAAAGTCCCTAAACCTCATGAACCATCCTCTGCTAGCTTCAAAGTTTTCTTCTGCAGCTTTCTCATCCCTCTCAACCTTCACAGAATTGAAGAGATTTAGGGCCTTGTTCTGGATTAGGCTTTGGCTTAAGGGAATGTTGTGGCTGATTTGATCTTCTATTCAGACCACTAAAACTTTCTCTATAGCAGCAATAAGGCTGTTTCACTTTCTTATTGTTCATGTGTTCACTGGAGTTACACTTTTTAATGTCCTTCAAGAACTTTTTCTTTGCATTCACAGCTTGGCAAACTGTCTGGCACAAGAGGCCTAGCTTTTGGCCTATCTTGGCTTTTGATGTGCCTTCTTCACTAAACTTAATCATCTCTAGCTTTTCATTTAAAATGAGGGATGTGAGATTGTTCCTTTCACTTGAACACTTACAGGCCATTTTCCAAGTTATTAATTGGCATAATTTCAATATTATGGTGTCTCAGAGAATAAGGAGTCCTGATGAGAGGGAGAGATGGGGGACTGGCCAGTTGGAGGAACAGTCAGAACACAACCAGCATTTATTAATTTTGCCATCTTGTATGGGTGTGGTTTGTGGCACTCCAAAACAATTACAATAGTAACATCAAAGGCCACTCATTACAGATCATCATAACAGATACAATAATAATGAAAAAGTTTGAAATATTGAAAGAATTACCAAAATGTAACACAGAGACACAAAGTGAGTGCATGCTTTTGGAAAACATGGTGCTGACAGACTTGCTCAACACAAGGTTGCTACAAACCTTCCATTTGCAAAAAATGCAATATCTGTGAAGCACAATACAGTACAATAAATCAAGGTTTATCTGTAACAATAACTTTATTGTCTCATCACTAAAATCTGACTTCTCCCCCCAGTTGTTCTCTTATTGTCATTCCATCTATTTTCTTCAAAAAATGGGCTAATAAGAATATTTTAATGTAGGCTTGTCAGGTACATTTATGTGTTGAAATGCCATGAAAAATAAGACATGTCCCTACTGTAAAGAAATAGTCTAGAGGACATGAAATGAAAAATATTACACTTTAGTGTGATTAGAGAAACAATATGAGTATGCACAAGGTGAGCAGATAAAGAAAAGAGCAGTTTCTCTGAGAAAGAGAAGGCATCAAGAAAGGCTTCACAGAGCAATTGGCAATTTGAACAGGACTTAGATAAATAAGTTTTCAGATAGATAGAAGAAGGAGATTATTTTAGGCAAAAAAAAAAAAACAGCCATACAAAAGTGCAAAGGTGTGAAACTGCACTGTGCATTTAGAGAATTATAAAGGGGTGTGATACTAGTGTATCTTCCAAGACAGGGATCTGGGAGTTGAGTAAGACAATATCAGAGTAGAAAACTGAGGCTAGATGAAATGTTTTCTATGCTACTTTATTTTAAAAATTCAACTCTGCATGTAGTGAGAAATCATTTAATAATCATAGCTTATGAAAGAAAAGCAATTGATAAGAAACCAGGGGAAATAGGTTCAGAGAGAGATGATGAGGACCTAAACTATAGGAATAAAGTCAGGAGGAAGAGTTCACAAAGTGTTCACAACGCAAAATCTACACAATTTGTTGAACGGCTTAATGTGGGAAAAAAAGAAGCAGAAGAAATCTAAGCTACCTCCCAGAATTTGGAGCAACTGGTTGAGTAGTTTTAATGCCTGAAGATAAAATTACAGGAAGCTAAGTGAGTTGACTAAGATAGGAAATTTCAGTTTGGGACATGCTAGATTTTTTGATATTTTGATAGATTTGATATTTCCATGAAATATCCAGATGGAGCTCTCCAAGGCATGGTCCAAAACTTGGGGTCATATCATAATGGAGAGATAGTCAGATAGTTACTTTCTCCATATTCTATGGAGATGAAAGAAATATGAAAGTTGTATGTTTATTCACAATAATTATAATAGCTCTTACTTATTGAGAGCCTTGATGTTGGAGATTTTGGTTTTGTATAACAGATACTAGTTTGAGTTCATTTAAGCATAACTACTACATAGATAAGGACACAGGGGTATCTCACAAAACTCAAGTGCAGGGATGCAAGTGTGTTTAAGCAGGGGACTAGAGCCAGGGAGGACCATGCCATAAGGACACTTGGCTCCAGTCTTCTCTTTGCCTCATTTCCTTCTTCCTTATTCTCCCTTGTGAAAGATTGCTTCTTCCTCCCTCTCAATCCACATGCCCATTCACATAGGTGTTACTACTTCCGGAGTAGTATCTCCTCCATTCAAGGCACCAGGCAGAGATTAAGAGGGGGAATCACTTAGTGCTAATTCTGAATTCTAAGGGAAGGTATTCATTATCCAGCTTGAATCAGGTGCCCTAGCTTGAATAACCTGGACCAAATAATTGTAGTGAGGGCTTGGAAGGGAACAGTAGTCCCCAGAAAAGATAGTAGGGAAAATGACCCAAGGTATCCACTACGCACGTATGTTCTTATTTAACCTTTAGGATAACACTAGAAGGTATTTATTATTACTATCCCTTAGATGATAAATGCTCTTAAGGCAAAGATCCTATCAACTTGCTCACCACACTATTCCCAGCACCTAGCACAATGCCTAGCTCATGTTTAATAAATACATTTTCTGTGAGTAATTGAATGAATCAACCTCAATTTTACACTTGAGGAAAGTTGGGGTCAGGGAGACTCAATCACTTTCCCAAGGAGACACAGCTGGGTAGTAAAAAGGAGAATCAAATCCAAATCTAGTCCACTTGAGAACTTTTGCTCTTAACTAAGGAAAACTCAATTCTGGTGAAGCCCTCCCTCCCACCCTAAAAGCCTGAATTTTCTTAATAAATAATATTTCCCAGACACTAAAAGCAATTGATAGTGGAGAATCCAATCCTGTTGTATCCTACCCTACAGGGGCCTGCCCTGTGCTGATAGCCAGAATGAATACTGGCACATCCACAGAAGTGTCTGGAGGCCAGCTCTTGGCTGTGTGCTGAGCCGAGTGCTCATGACTGGTGTTAGTAACATGCAACATAGCAAAACTAGAACGCGGGGAAGGCATTTGTGCTACAGCAGCCCTAGGCAGTTATGTCACATGACTTGACCATATCACAATGAAAACTTCCAGCTGGAAAAGGTCCCAGGTGTGTCCCTACCAACAGGCCCAAAGAGCAAAACTAGATGATCTTAGACTCTTTGAGAAGGATTGTACAACTTTTAATCCCCTTAATACAAGATTTCAAATCTAGCAACTAATAATCATCGCTTCAGCATTTATTATATATCTACCATGTTAGATATGTAGGTGATGTGGTAAAATGACCATATTTTCAAAGCCTAAGAACATATGCTTTAACAGAAGATTTTTCCTACTATCTTTCTTTATGTAAATAAGAATAAATTTGATCATAACTATATATTTAGCAAATCATCTCTTGTATGCATTATTGCAAAGCTTCATAATTGATCTCTGCAATTCTTCTCTTGACCCTTCTCAGTCTATTCTCAACATGAGGGTAGAGTGGAACTTTTGAAAAGGAAATCAGAGCACTCCCCTATTCTAATCCTGACAGTGACTCTCCACCTCCCTTAAGGTAAAAGCCCAAATCAGAAGGCCTAAGGATCTGGACCACACGTTTTAAGTACTCACCCTCTCACTCACTGTGCTTCAGCCACACTGTCCTCCCGACTGCCCCATGAAATTGCCAGGTACATTGCACCCAAACACATTTGCGTAGACTGATCTGTTCATTGAATGAACAAAAGAATAAAATCATTTATTAGGAAGAATTTAAGGAATACAATATAGAATTCTAGTTTCTTGTCTCTCAAATTAAAGTCCAGTTAGGTTGACAAAACATTTCACGTTTTAAATAATTAAATCAATCTAAGGCTAGAAGCTAAATCATATGTGTGGGACCATAAATATTACATAAGTGGAGAAAAAAGAATTGTGAAGTCAAAAAAAATCAAAGATTGTGGGAATTTTAACAAAATAACAATAAGGGTGATAATATTAATTCATATAGTACTATAGAGTTTATAACAAGGTTTTATAATTTTGTTCTCATTTTATCTTCACAATAGCCCTTTGCGATAAGTGAGAGAGATATTACCATCTCATTTTACAGATGAGGTAGCTGAGTGAAGACAGTTATGTGATTTATCCAGGGAAGACAACCAAAAAGGGGTAGAAGTAAAACTTAGATCTCCTGATAACAAATCAATCAGTCATTTATTTATTCACTTATTCAACACATATTTTGAGTATCTACATTGTGCCAGGCACTGCTCTAGGTATTTGGAATATAGCAGTAAATGAAACAGACCAAGCCTCATAGAATGTATATGCTAGTTATAAAAGTAATATTTTTAAATTTACCTTTAAGTTTTTACTAAGATGGCATTTACACAGATTAAATTTTATCTCTGGTGTACAGTTCTGCAAGCTTTGACAAATGCGAAGAGCCATATCAAGATATAGAACAGTTCTATAACCCCCAAAACTGCCACAATGTTCCTTCATAGCCAAATTCTTTCCTCAGTCCCAGGTTCTGGTAACCACTGACCTGTTTTCTGTCCCTGTAGCTTTGCCTTTTCCAGAATGTTGTAGAAGTGGAATTGTGCAAAATGCACCTTGTAAGCCTGACTCTTCACTTAGCATAATGCATTTGAGGTTCATCAATTTTGTTGCATGTAACTATGAATATACTACAATTTTTGTTTCTCCATTTACCAGGCGAAGAACATGTGGGTTGTTTCCAGTTATGTAAGTAAAGCTTCTATAAATATTTGCATGCAGATTTTTTTGTGAATATGTTTTCACTGCACTTGGGTAAACATCTAGGAGTGAGATTGCTAGGTCAGATGGTAAGTGTATATTTACTTTTATAAGAAAACTGTCAGTTTTCCAAAGTAACTGTACCATTTTTCATTCCCAGATTTCCATTGCTCTGCATCCTAGCCAGCACTTAATTTTGCTAGTGCAATAACTTTTTAAGAGTTATCCTAATAGGTATGTAGTGGCATCTCATTGCAGTTTTAATTTTCATTTTCCTAAGGACCAGTGATGTTGAACATGCACATTTAACATTAATATATCTTCTTTGGTGAAATGTCTATTCGAATTTTTTGCCCATTTATTCATTGAGTTGTTTATTTTCTCGTTATTGAGTTTTAAGAGTTCTTAATATATTCTGGATACAAGCCTTTTAACAGATACGTGATTTGCAAATATCCCAATCTGTGGCTTATTTTATCATCCTCATAATAGTATCTTTCAAAGAAATTCTAAATTTTTATGATGTTCGATTTTTCAATTTTTTATTCTTTTATGAATTGTGCTTTCAATGTCAAATCTAAGAAATCAATCTCAGAAACCTTGTATAGCTCAAGGTCCCAAAGATTTTTTCCTATGTTTTCTTCTAATCATATTTTATTCATTGAGGTTTGACATTTAGGTCTACGATTCATTTTAAGGTAATTTTTGTATACGGTGCAAAATATGGAACAAAGCTCTTTTTCATTCTTTTTGTTCTCTCTCTCTCTCTCCTTCTGTCTCCCTCTCTCTCTCTCTTTCTGGCATATGGCTATCCAATTGTTCCAGTTCCGTATGTTGAAAAGATTATCATTCCCCAATTAGTGCCTTTGTACATCTGTTGAAAATTACCTGAACATATCAGCATGGGTCTATTTATGAACTTTATTCCATTGTTCTAAGTGACTAAACTTTGCTAATGAAACACTTTCTCGATTACTGCAGCTTTATACTAAGTCTTAAAGACAACCAGTGTGAGTCTTCCGATTCTGTTTTCTTATGTTGTTTTGGCTATTCCAGTTCCTTTCCCTTTCCCTTTAAATCTTAGAATCAGTTTGCCCATTAATATAAAACAGACCATTAAAGAAAAAGACCATTAGAATTTTTATTAGGATGTTGTTGCATTTCTAATAATTGGGGGAAATTGACAACTTAATTATATTAAGTCTTCTAGTCCATGAACAAGGATGACTCTTCATTTATTCAGTTTTTTTCTTTGGTTTCTCACATCAGTGCTTTGTAGTTTTCAGTACATATATATTGCATATGTTTCTAAGAATTATACCTAAATACTTTATGGTTTGGATGTTATTATACATAGTACTTTTAATTTCCAATTGTTTATTGATCGTATATGGAAATATTATTAATTCTTTTGTATGCTGACCTTATGTACTGTGACTTAAATAAACTCGCTTATTAGTTCTAGCAGTTTTTGCATGTGTTTATTACATTTCTTTGTTATTTTCTACATTGACAATTATGTCACCTGCAAATAAAGAGAGTTTTACCTCTTCCTTTCTAACCTATAGTCTCATTGCACTGACTAGGATCTCCACTATGATGCTGAGTATGAGCAAGGAAATTTATGTTCCCAATCTTTTTTATTTTATTTTATTTTATTTTATTTTATTTATTTATTTATTTTTGAGACAGGGTCTCACTCTGTTTCCCAGGCTGGAGTGTAGTGGTGCAATCATGGCTCACTGTAGCCTTGGCCCCTCTGGGGCTCAAGCGATCCTCCCACATCAGCCTCCTGAGTAGCTACAGGCACATGCCACCACACCTGACTAATCCATTTATTTTTTGTAGAGGCAGGGTCTTGCTGTGTTACCCAGGCTGGTCTCAAACTCCTGACCTCAAGTGATCTCCTGCCTCAGCCTCCCAAAATGCTGACTACACGCGTAAGCCATTGCACCTGGTCCATGCTCCTAATTTTAGAGGTAAACCATTCAGTCTTTCAACATTAGATAAGATGCTAGCTATAGGAATTTTGTCGATGCCCATTATCAGGTTGAGAAAGTTCCCTTTAATTTCTATTTAGCTAAGAGATTCTGTTACTACAAATGGATGTTGACATTTATCAAATGCCTTTTCTGCATCTATCGAGATGATAGTAGAGTTTGTCTTCTTTAGTTTGATATGATGATTTTTTTTTTACTTTAATTTTTAGGGTACATGTGCCCAACGTGCAGGTTTGTTACATATGTATACATGTGCCATGTTGGTGTGCTGCACCCATTAACTCGTCATTTAACATTAGGTATATCTCCTAATGCTATCCCTCCTCCCTCCCCCCACCCCGCAACAGGCCCCGGTGTGTGATGTTCCCCTTCCTGTGTCCATGTGTTCTCATTGTTCAATCTCCACCTATGAGTGAGAACATGTGGTGTTTGGTTTTTTGTCCTTGCGATAGTTTGCTGAGAATGATGGTTTCCAGCTTCATCCATGTTCCTACAAAGGACATGATTTTTTATGGCTGCATAACTCATCATTTTTTATGGCTGCATAGTATTCCATGGTGTCTATGTGCCACATTTTCTTAATCCAGTCTATCATTGTTGGACATTTGGGTTGGTTCCAACCTGCCATTCCCAGGATAGACCCCATTTGTCATAACATATGTTTTTCATACATTGTTCAATGTGGTTTGCTAAAATTTTTTAAGAATTTTTGTATCTATTTTCATGAGGAATATTGGTCTATAGTTTTCTTATAATCTCTGTCTGATTTTAGTATCAGGGTAATGTTGCTCTCAGAATGAGTTGGGAAGTATTCCCTCGTCTTCAGTTTTCTGGAAGAGTTTCTGTATAATTGGTATCATTTCTTCCTTAAATGTTTAGTAAAATTCACCAGTGAAGCCATCTGGGCCTAGAGTTTTCTTTGTGAGAAAGTTTTTAATTACACATTTAACTTATTTATTAGATATAAGGCTATTCAGGTTAGCTGTTTCTTTTTCAGTAAGCTTTACTAGTTAGTGTCTTTCATGGAATTTGTTCATGTCATCTAAATTGTTGAAATTACCAGCCTAAAGTTATTCACAATATTCCCTCATTATCCTTTTAATCTGCAGACTGTGATTTTTCTTCTCTCATTCCTGATATTGGAAATTTGTATCATCTCTCTCTCTATCTAAATGTTTTTCAATTTTATGGATCTTCTCCAAGAACCACATTCTGCCTTAATTGGTTTTCTATTATTTTTCTGTTTCCTATTTCACTGATTTATTCTGTTATCTTTATTATCTCTTTTCTTCTTACTTTTGACAAAATTTGCTCATATTTATTTCTGGTTTTTATGACAGGAGCTTAGTTCATTGATTTAAGACTTTTCTTCTTTTCTAATATAGACATTTTAGTGCTATAAATTTTCCTCTAAGTATTGCTGTAGCTGCAACTCACAAATTTTGATATGTTCATTTTTTCATTTTTATTCAGTCAAAATACTTTCTAATTTCCTCTTTCATTTGTTCTTTGGCCCATAAGTCATTTTTAGGTGTGTTTTGGTTTCCAAATATTTTAGCTTCCACATTCCCTTCTATTGTTTCTAATATAATTTCATTGTGATCAGAGAATATACTTTGTAGGATTTGAATAATTTTAATTTATTGATACTTGTTTTATGGTTCAGAATTTTTCTTGATAAATCTTCCATGTGCACTTGAAAGGAAGTATATTCCACTGTTGTTGAGTGGAGTGTTCTATAAATATCAATTAAGTCAAATTAGTTGATAGTGTTCTTCATGCTTCTATATAATTACTGATTTTCCATCTCTGTTTTATCAATTACTGAGAAATGGATTTTAAAATCTCTGATGATAATTGACTATTTCTTCTTGAAGTTTTATCAGTTTTTCTTAGAATTGTAATGTCCTCTTGATAAGGTGACCTTGCCTGGATTCCCTCTACTCTGCTGTGACCTGGAAACTTTCCCCAGGCTTTAAGTTAGGAAAATTGTATTGCTTCCTTCATTTATCTTTCCTGTAGTGCAGTGGATGGAAACCTTTTTTTTATTTATTTTAAGTGACAAAAGTGGGAGGGTAAATCCAATCCACGTTACTCCATCTTGGCCAGAGAATCATGAAGGCAATAACTGAGTATAGACTGAAAAGAGATAAGGAAGCAATATCTGGGACAGCACACTCCAGAGAGAGGAAACTCTGAGGTGAGTATGTATCTGGCAAGCTTGTGGAACATCAAGGAGGCCAGTGTGGCTAGAGCAGAGAGAGTAAGGGGAATAGCAAGAGATGAGATCAGAGATCATTTAGTCCCTCTCTGGCCTGTGGCTTACTCTGAGCAAGATGGGAGCCACTATAGGGTGTTAAGAAGAGGAGTGACATGCTCAGACTCAGACTCCTGTTTTAAAATGTTCACTGTCTACTGAGTTGACAATAGACTGTAGAACAAGCTTGTCCAACCTGCAGCCCATAGGCCACATGCAGCCTAGGATGGCTTTGAATGCAGCCCAACACAAATTCGTAAACTTTCTTAAAACCATATAAGATTTTTTTTTGCTATTTTTTTTTAGCTCATAAGCTATCTTTAAGGTTAGTGTATTTGATGTGTGGCCCAAGACAATTCTTCTTCAAACGTGGCCCAGGGAAACCAAAAGATTAGACACCCTGCTGTGGGGTATTAAGAGTAGAAGCAGTTGTGTCAGTCAGGAGGCTAGTACTACCAGCAACAAATGATGGCAGTTTGACCAGGATAGTAGCAGTGGAGATGATAAAGTATGCAGACTCTTATTATAATCTGAAGATAAAATTGGTAGGATTTACTAACAGTTTGCCTGTGAGGATGAGGGGAAAAAAAGAAGTTAAGAAATATCTAGTGTCCTTTGCATTATACCATACTATTTATCTTTTGTGTTTAGCAAAAAGGTCTGGGGGTTATCTCTCCTATTATTGCTGCTACAGAATGAGCACTTGTATATTTAATGCTTTTTCTCCTACTCCTTTCCCAATGATCCAACACATATTAGCTCCTGTGAAAATTTATTGGGTGTAAGAATTAAAGCATATGAGACTCCCTTTTCAAGTTGAAAAGTGGGTTTGGTGGAGATGTGGATCAAACCACAGCTAACCTCTGTGTTTCTTAGGATAGGGGCCACGGAATCTATATTTAAATTAACATCTAAAGGGCCTTCCCTTAACTACCATTCTCAAAATAGAGATCCAGCCTGCCTTATGACTCACAACCCCATTTGACAAGCAGCTCAGCTTAGACTCCAGATTGCTGGGTTGTGGAACTAATAGGTGAGGGAACCAGTCCTACAGCAAGCAAGTCCTAAACTTGGCTGGTATGTACCTGCCTCAACTTGCCTCTGGCTTTACACAAAGACCTAATTTGGTTGGGCTTTGCTTCAGGTGAACTGCAGCTCCTAGTAGCCTTGAGAAGCTGGCTGGAGAAAGAAACAGCTGAAATTAATATGTCAACTTTACATTTAGGCAGAGGAAAGCTTTAAAGCTGCAGAGTATCCACTCACAGAAGACCTTCAGTCAACAAATGTCTCCCTGCTACTTAGACCAAGCTGGAACCATTTATTACTCCCTGTTGGAATTCTATAGGATAGGAAGGCAAGAGCCAGGAAGTAGAGAAGTCAGGAGATCTACAATCCATTGAAAACTACTGGGAATCTGGCTCCTTATAAAAGAGAAGGAACAGAAAATGTATTCTATCTATAAAACTCCAAAAGATTCCATAGATTTAAGATCTGAGACAAGTAAGTCTTCCTAGTGAGGATCAAGTGACTAAGAACCACAGACAACCAAGAAGAGGCTTACAGTGGCTAGTGCAACCAGAGCAAATAAGATTATGGATTGGAGAACCGGATAAATATACTATAAATCCCCTGCTCCCAGAGAATCAGTCATAGACTAAGTGAACTAGAAAGAAGGAGAGAATCTATGTATCCCGCAGGCAAATTCAGGGACTATGCTTTGACCTGCTGCCCTAAAAGTAAGTGGGTGTGATCTGAGGATTCTATCTTCATCATAGGCAGAGTTTGCATCATTATCATTAGCATCATAAACAATATCAAGATTATTGGCATTGTATTCATCTTTAATCAATGTGGCCCACTAGCCAACTGAGCCAGAACCAAGATGCACTTCCAAGCAGACCAATCACAGGCCATGTTTTTACAGTATTAGATGCCCAGAGATGTTGATTAATCCCAACACAATGTGATTGGGATTAATATATGATTTTAATTCTCAAAACAAAACTTGTAACAGTGATTTTTATGATGATGATGTCATCCACTAAACAGAAAATATAGTCTTTCTAACAAATGCAAAAAATATTACTTTTTAAAAATTTGTGTAAAAACAAAAATTTCTATGATTTATTGAATGGCTGTTCTGTTCCAGGCACTTGACTTAACTCTTTTAAGCTTTGTAACAACCCTGCAAAGAAAATTTCCCCCATTCTCAGAGATGTGAAGTTACATAATTAGTAAATGGCTGAAGCAGAATTCCAACCCAGATCTTTCAGATTCCAATGTCTATACTCTTAGTCACTGGGCTAAACTGCTTTGCTATGAATGTTTTTGTTTTAGTTTTTAGGAAAAAGCCAAGAAACATACTCCTTTAAGAGTCCTACCCTGTGTGTTCCCTGATTTCTTCTATGTGGACCAGATCTAGGAAACAGGTATGAGAAAGTCCTTATTAGAAAAGTCTAGGCTAATAGTTCCTCCTCTTGCAGCAAAGGTCCCAAGCCCTGCTCTCCATGAATACACCTGCCTTTCAAATCATACCCATCTCAGAAAGGAGTGGGATGTCATCAATGACCACTTAAAAAGTTAAGTATTAGTTTCCCTAGGCCAAGGCCCTGGAGCCTCAGGTAGCAGATTCTGCTCCAAGCATCTTTGGCTTGTATAAAACTTGGGGTATTGAGTGGGGCAAGTGGATTACAGAACACAGTCATTCCCTGAGATCTTAGTCACCCTATAACAGCTATGTAAAATAATTACTCTATCTGCCTTTTGTAATTATCTTGCCAAATGGTGATCTAGTATCACTTTTTCAAGACAAGAGTCTCCAAGGAAGAAAACTTACCCCTGAAGAAAAAAATGAGACATTTGCAGATGTGTTTTTCCACAGATCCCACTTCACTGTCTTTTCTCTCAGAGACCAATGTTCAGAAGTTACTTAAACTGAGCAGTCCCAGGAAATCTAGGCACTGAAGAATAATTAGTGCCAGAGTCAAGAAATAAGCACATGGGAGGAGTGACTTTATTCACAATAGGTAAAATAAACATAATTAATTTTTAAAAGGAGAACAAATGAAATTAAGATAGATAATTGCAATAATCAATAATATTGTTGGTTTAATTCATAAATTAAAGTTCAAGCCTGATGCCATAACTCATAGGTCTTATATTTATTTTTCCCTTATCCTGTTAAAAGATGTGTGAGGCAGCCCGAGATATAATTTTTGCCTATTCTTTTCTCATCCATGAGGCATGAAATATCAGCCCTACCGAGTAATGTGGAGCAAATCTATTCCAGTTAAAACTTACAGTGATTTAAGGACAGACAGATGTATATTCACAATATTTGTGCACAATACACCCTGGTCAATATCAAATGGCAAATCCTCAATATCTTTTCAAATAGGTGAGTGTCAAGATCATTTAAGGGTAGTGACAAATAATCCCAAACTCATAAATAATTCCAAACCAATACAATTTCACTAAGGACACTGCACTTAGCACTAGGCATTCCATGTTATAGATCTTCAACAATGTATAGTAAATACCTGTCACCAGGTATAGTAAATACTATACGTTGTTATAGGAGTATGGAAGAGAGTGTGTGTGTGTGTGTGTGTGTGTGTGTGTGTGTGTGTGTGTGTGTGATGTATACATAACCCTTCAACAGTTTTCCTGATGCTCAAATCCCAGGCCAAGCTTCCATCTTGGTCTGGCTTCATTATACTGCTTCACACATTCTCAGACTGCCTCACCACTGGAAGCACATTCCTACAAGAAGGGTCATGATATCATAGAACAGCCTCAAAAAAAAAAAAATGCCTGCTGAAGTAAATTACTGACAGCCACTGGACAAAAGGCAGTCTGGTTACTTTAAATTCATACTCAACAATGAACTCCCCCTTTTTTTTACCTTATCAGTTATTCACTTGACTTACAAACTCTAAATGCATATTGTTTCAAAAAATCAAATGTATGACTTAAAAGCTGGTATTTTCATCTACCAATTGACATTCAAAAGAATGTAATGTTCCAAATGCTCTGAATGCCCCAACACTTTAAGCATATACTTGCAGCCTTTTAGAGAAATTATTTTGATTACACAGATTCTAGATTGTTTGTTTTAAGGGAAAAAAAAATCAGTTGCATTACTTAATAATCATAACGTGCAATTTGTCAAAATACAAATTCCAGCTCATCTAGTGAAACTAGAGTTCCAAAGCTATCCACATTCCTTCCCATTCAGTCAGGTTTAGCTAGCCAGTAAGTTTCCAAATCCATCATGGAGCAACCTTCTCTCTGTCATCACAGGTTGTTGATATCGTAGCTCTGAGGAACATCTGAGCTTCTGAGACCCAGCTTCTGAGATCCAGTAAAGTTCAACAAGCATTAGTAGGTCCCAGATGGCACATTTCAGCTGAACCTGGACAAGTCACTAAAGCCCTATAGTGCATTCTGAAAGCCTGGGCGTGTCACCAGGTATCCTCTTTGTGAGACCCCGCTGCTCCAGTACATTGATCTTAAGATACCAACAATGATGTGGTAAAATAAAAATGAAATCCTGGGGTGAGAGCATTCTCAGCCAGTGTAGCTAGTGGATCCAGTTTCCTCAGGGACTCTACATAATGGAAATTTTAAGTTCCTTTGAAGGTTGAGTTCCAAAAGCTGGCCTTCAATTTCACCTAAGAAGAGAGACCACAAGGAGGGAATGGAGTTAAGAATCATCTCCATGAACCATCATTCCCAAAACTTATTGATAATTTTCTAAGTCAGATTAAACTTGACAGTATGAAGAAAAGACAGGAAAATATATTGAAGTCTTATTATGTGCTAAGCATTATCCTAATGTTACCAAATTCTAAGATGTCTGTAATTGTCCCTATTTCACAGGTGTGAAAACAGAGACAGACTTAGAAATGTTCCCAAGATATTACAGGTAGTGTATGTTGGAGCTATAATACAAATTAATCTATCTGTCTTACTGCAAAGTCAATGTTTCTTCTACCACATCATACTACAAGCCAAGAACATCTCCCTAAACTGCTCTTACAGAAAACAGACATTTAATACACATCAGTGTCCCTGAATCAGTTCTCAGGTATCAGCTGTAAGTTGAGTTCATTGAAAACCCCCCAAATAGGAGTTCCAAATAGTTACAACATAGAGAAAATGTTTGGTTCTTATGATAGACAAAGACCCACTTGGGCCCTAAGGCAAGTTCTTAATTTGAACATGACAAGAAGTAAAACAGACTATTTTAACTTGGAGAACCTCCACCACCTTAAATAGGATGAAAAAAAATTAGCACGCATGGTGGCACGTATCTATAGTCCTACCTACTTGGGAGGCTGAGGCAGAAGGATCACTTGAGCCTGGGAAATCGAGGCTGTGTTGAGTCATGATCATACCACTGCACTCCAGCCTGGGTGACAAAGTGATATGCTGCCTCAAAATAAATAAATAAATAAATAAAAAATTAAAAAAATAAAATTAAAATTAAAAAAAGGATGAGATGTAGAAACAAAACTTATCTGGCATGCAGTGGAAAAGCCAAAATCTGGAACTTTCACAGGTCCAATTAAAGTTACTTTTAACATTCTAAGGTATAGCTTCCTCTTCAAGAATCCAGTGGCCAACGGTGCATAAGCTTCACCAAATGGGCCTAAAATCAAAGAGTCTGGTAGTGCCTAGAGCCTGAGCAATGTAGACATGGAATGAGCAGAAGGTGATGAGATGAGTAGAACAAGGCAGGAAGGAGGCCCAGACACAGAGAAATGGTGTAACTGACTGTGCCCTACCTCTGGACTTCAGGCCTCTGCTTTGTTGAGCTAAATAATCTTTCAGAACCCAGGAGGGCAAAAGTTTCTGCAGGTATCAACTCAATTCTTAAAACCAGCACTTGGATTTCTTTCCAAAGTGTGCATAGGTGTCTGTGAAATGGGGACAATAATTGTTCTCCAAAATCGCAGCTGAAACGACCTGCTATCTGTCCACTTGGACCCTGATACTAATAACACCTATGATTATTACAGAGGGTAAACTAAGGCATTAAGAAGTGAGGAAACTCACTTAAGGACATAGACATCATAAGAACAATAACTCAATTGCACATACTCTGTACACACACACACACACACAACGAACTGTATACTTTAACCCATTTCCCAATTAGGGAAAAAAAGTGCAGCTCACTGCCAGCACAGTATTCTGGGGGCAAACACAAAACAGATTAAAAGGTTGAAATTTATGATATGTGAATTATATCCCAAAAAAGGTGGTTTATTTTCAGAACCATGACTTACCTTCTAGGCAATGCTTTTGACAGAGGTGTAGTATTTCTACCTTTAAAAGCCACTAGTAAGTGGCTTCTAACTCATTTTTATCAAACATTATCAAGTACTTTCTTTGTGTAAAATGCTGTGATAGATTGTATGAAATATTTATCAAAATAAGTTTGCAGTAATTATATAGTGTACTAAGAATGTATTATATGCCAGGCAGGTACTAAGCAATTTCATATGTTAAGTAATTGCCACCTGTTAGGTAAGTGTTATTGTTCCCATTCTATAATTTGGGAGACTGAGGCTGAGAAGATTAGATAATTGTACAAGAAATGCAGTAAGAGGCAAAATTGAGATTAGAACTTAGGTCTTTCTGACTATAATTTTATCCATTATGCTAAGCAAGTAGAAGAGGAAGAGAGACCTAAATGCAAAGAATACAAAAGACTGAATAATGGAGTTCTGAACTATGGAGGAGTTTCAGAGTTCTCAACTATAATGCTGGAGTGACAGTGCAAAAATGCTTTAAAATTCTGTCTCAGTGTGGAGTCTGGGGCCTGAAAGTCTTTCTGACACAGCAGCCATCTTAACAAAAATGCACTTCCAAAAGATGCATATGATTGAAAATGACCATAGTATCCAACAGCAACCATAACTTTCTGTGTGGTTGTTTTGGTCTAGGATTCCTTGGCTATGTGAGCAATTGACATATTTCAAGGGCCTATTCATTAACATTTTATGAACAGACACTCATTCTTAGTGTTTACCAAGCTCTAGGTGCTGCCTAGATGGTGGAATGAATAAGATATGATGACTGGCCCAAAGCAATGCCCAGATAGGAGTTTATTGACTCCATATATGTAGAATATATATGGTTAAGTGCTAGGCTTTAGCATCGGCTAGCATGTGTATCTGTTCTAGTGCTGCTACTAACTAGCTGCGATTTGTAACAAATGTTTACATTGCTCTATGCTTTTATTACCTTATCTATAAAATGGGGTTATTTTGAGGAATAAATAGATAAGCATGTAAACCTACCATGTATAGAAGATAGTAAGCACTTAGCACTTAATGGTAGCTGCTATCCTCCTCATCATCATCATTATCACCTGGTAGCAAAGTACAGCAGAATTGGCTCTCCATGCTTAAGACTTACAGCTCTCTGATTATTTTTGTTACCCTCAAGTGTATTTGATATACTTTCTGTACATAAGTGAACATTTTCCCAAGGGTCCAGGCCCTAAACATGCCAGACTACCAGTGGATCGCAGAGTGCTGGAAGAAAGCTCACTCTAAATTCACCCTGAACATATCTGAAAACATTATTTTTATATATAGCCAATTACACTTTTCTAGCCTAGAAATGAGCCTTCACAAGGTCAGAGAATGTTTCCTCTCTTCCTAACAGCACTCTGTATGTTACTTTTTTATATTATTTGCGTTTGAGTGGGCCTTACACTCCTAAAATGGTGCATAATTTTTGCATGATAGTTATATATGATAAATACACAGAGGTAAGTTAGTATAATGGTAAACAGCAATTGCAATAAGGTAGATACAGGTTCAACTTCTGGTTTCTCTGCCTACTAGCTATGACCTTGGAGAAGATCCTTATGCTTCCAGAACCTGTCTCTATAAAATGGGATAATAAATACATATCTCGTATGAAGGTTGTGAAGATTAAATGAGGTGATAAGATCTAGTATTTGGTAACATAATATGGTAACTATAGTTAACTATTTATTGTATATTTTTAAATAACTAAAATAGTAGAATTAGAATGTTCCTACTACAAAGAAATGCTTGAGGTGCTGGATACCCCAATTACTGTAATTTGATCATTACACATGGTATGCCCATATCAAAACATCACATGTACCCAACAATTATATACAACTATGTACCCATAACTAAAAGTGCAGATTTTTTAAAGATTGAGATGGTTTGTTTAAAGTATTTAGCACATAGTAAATTCTCAATAAATGTCACTTTTTATTATTACAAAAAAGACATGAATTAGATGAACCTAGTGGCTCAGGTTCATTTTCAATTAAATAAGCATTTATTGTGCACCTTCCAAGTATCTTACACTCTGCTACTTTCTGTGGGTACTAGTTAAAAGAAATGTATAACATGAGTCCTCTAAAACAAAGTCTGTGCTTTTCACATGTATATGACCCTGAAAAAAAAGGTATCTTGCAACCATGTCCTCGTACTGGAAGGTGGGGCTGGTACTAGCCTTTCTGCAATCATCTGTAGATAACAATGTGAAGGAGGAAGGTAAATATGTAGAGGTGGAGTTAGGTTTGATGGAAAATGAATCACCTCATTCACTATAATCACTATAAGCTATATAAGGGTCATTATCCCAATCCATCGTCACCCTGCAAGCTGCATCAGGCTTTATCCTACTTGTTCCTTTGGTGAACCAGGTGAGAGAAAATTCATCCAGCTACATTTATGAATATTTGGTGTTGTCCATAGTAGAAGTCTAGGGATATAAGCTAAGGCAGAGTTCATGTATATTTTGCCTTTCTTTTCTTTTTTGTTTCTTTCTTTCATTTTCTTTTCTTTTTGTTTGCTTATTTGTTTGGTTAGTTTAGTTTATTCTGGGGCCTTTTTGTAGTTAAGTTCATTTTTATGGAGAAGAATAATGCAAGTAAAAGTTCACCTTCCTCTAGGCCATTCCACAGTCTGTTCCGAGTCTTTTTCCATGCCCTCTTTTCTGGGCTGTCCAGCTCAAACTGGGAGGCAGCTGGGTCTGTTGCAGAGTCCCTTCCTTATTCAGTGTTGGTTCCCAGAGCTCCAAGATCTAATTATCCACTAGTTAAACTGCTGCCTGCATTGCTGAGCTCTTCTTCTTGATTAATTAAAGAAAACAGTGTTTGGTCAAGTGCTTGACATTAAGAGAGTTCCTAAGCTCTACTGAGTTCTACTGTCTCATGCCTATGAAACACCAAGCTATTTTGAGCCCCTTTGCCCATTTTTAATTTGCTGAAGGCCTTAAGGGTCCAGTTTAGCTTCTGGTGCCCAGAGGATAAACAGATGTGCATGGTGGAAGGTCTGTCACTTTTGACTCAAGAAAAGCAGTGAAACTAGAAAGAGAGATTGAGGCAATGGTGTCTGGCTGGTTCTGGAAATTTTGGAAGCCTTAGAACAACACCCAGAATGCCAACACACTCAAAGTGTAGAGATACTATGTAGAGACTATACTTACCCATGACAGGAAATATAGAGACTTGAGGTCTATTCTCAGTTGAACCAGTAACATGCCAAGACTTGATCACAGAAAAGTAACTCAAAGTTAACAAAGTTAATTTTCATTGTGTTAAACGGGGTTGTATCATCCCTGGCCCATTCTTACGTTTTGAGATTTAAAAAACAAGAGGTTAAAAAAATCATGCTGGTTATTATTAAAATGAAAATTGCTGATAAAAGGAGAGAATATGAATAATAGGGTTCTTTGTTTTTCTGTGTCCAGGTTCACTTAAACTTGCAAAAAGATGACCGACCTCTTGAGAAGTGTTGTCACCGTAATTGATGTTTTCTACAAATACACCAAGCAAGATGGGGAGTGTGGCACACTGAGCAAGGGTGAACTAAAGGAACTTCTGGAGAAAGAGCTTCATCCAGTTCTGAAGGTGAGAGCCATGTGCCAGAACTGAAGGCTGCTGGAGTCCTGTACAAGCTCTGTTGTATGACCCAGATCAGCTAAAAAGTGCACAGCCCCAGTGAACTCTAAGCAAACTCTATGAGTGGTATTTTGGGGATGCCAGAAAGTCTGTTAAAGCAGCAGATATTTTAAAGAAAGTGAATGTTTCGTCCTCACTTTTCCACCTATGCACTCCTACCTCATAGACTCTCAGACTTTCTCATACACCCAGGCTTTTCCTTAGAAAAAGCAGAAAATAAAATTATACTAGGACACGAATTAATAAATTATCCTATCAAATGGAAAAAAAAGTATAGAAAGGGAAATCATCTACATAGGGAGTTGACAAAATAGCCATGATTAAGAATCAAAAATAAAATGCCAGCATTTTATTCCATCTACTTAAAAAGGACTCAGCTAGGCGCGGTGGCTCATGCCTGTAATCCCAGCACTTTGGGAGGCCGAAGTGGGTGAATCACAAGGTAAGGAGATCAAGACCATCCTGGCTAATACGGTGAAACCCCATCTCTACTAAAAATACAAAAAATTAGCCGGGCGTGGTTGCATGCCCCTGTAGTCCCAGCTACTCGGGAGGCTGAGGCAGGAGAATGGCGTGAACCTGGGAGGCAGAGCTTGCAGTGAGCAGAGATCGCACCACTGCACTCCAGCCTGGGCTACAGAGCAAGACTCCATCTCAAAAAAAAAAAAAAGACTCAGTTATTAACTTCAAAATAATAGATGATAAATTCCAACATGGAAGATATTAACATGTAATAGTTACAATTTATGTAAAACTTAGAAATACCAGTTACTGAACTTAGTTTATTCCACTCCTTCCTGTAGGCCTTACCTAAGCACTTAATCCTTTAGCCTAAATCCTTGAAATGTCTTCTTCTGAGGATCCCAGTAGTCTTTATTTTCTATTAACCCTTAACATTTACTGGGTTCTATTAACCTAAAGTAATCCTTTATTGGACTAAAACTACATCATGTCAAACATCCATAATTTCACAGCGCTATTTAAATGTGTTAGTTGAGTATGCAGGTTAGGCTGACCAGGTCTCCCTTGGTGTGTCACTCATATACAGAACCCAGATGATCCAGACACAGTGGATGTCATCATGCATATGCTGGATCGAGATCATGACAGAAGATTGGACTTTACTGAGTTTCTTTTGATGATATTCAAGCTGACTATGGCCTGCAACAAGGTCCTCAGCAAAGAATACTGCAAAGCTTCAGGGTCAAAGAAGCATAGGCGTGGTCACCGACACCAAGAAGAAGAAAGTGAAACAGAAGAGGATGAAGAGGATACACCAGGACATAAATCAGGTTACAGACATTCAAGTTGGAGTGAGGGAGAGGAGCATGGATATAGTTCTGGGCACTCAAGGGGAACTGTGAAATGTAGACATGGGTCCAACTCCAGGAGGCTAGGAAGACAAGGTAATTTATCCAGCTCTGGGAACCAAGAGGGATCTCAGAAAAGATACCACAGGTCCAGCTGTGGTCATTCATGGAGTGGTGGCAAAGACAGACATGGTTCCAGCTCTGTAGAACTGAGAGAAAGAATAAACAAGTCACACATTAGCCCTTCTAGGGAATCTGGGGAGGAGTATGAATCTGGATCTGGATCAAACAGTTGGGAAAGGAAAGGTCATGGTGGTCTGTCATGTGGATTGGAGACTAGTGGGCATGAATCAAACTCTACTCAGTCAAGAATTAGAGAACAAAAGCTTGGGTCTAGCTGTTCAGGTTCAGGAGACAGTGGGAGGCGAAGTCATGCATGTGGTTATAGCAATTCAAGTGGGTGTGGAAGGCCACAAAATGCTTCAAGTTCTTGTCAGTCACATAGATTTGGAGGGCAAGGAAATCAATTTAGCTATATTCAGTCAGGCTGTCAGTCAGGAATTAAGGGAGGACAAGGCCATGGCTGTGTCTCAGGAGGTCAGCCCTCTGGATGTGGTCAACCTGAGTCTAACCCCTGTAGTCAGTCCTATAGTCAGAGAGGATATGGAGCTAGAGAAAATGGTCAACCACAGAACTGTGGAGGACAATGGAGAACAGGCTCAAGTCAGTCCTCTTGCTGTGGACAATATGGGTCTGGAGGTAGCCAGTCTTGTAGTAATGGTCAACATGAATATGGTTCCTGTGGCCGCTTTTCAAACTCTTCTAGTTCAAATGAATTTTCCAAATGTGATCAATATGGGTCTGGTTCAAGTCAGTCTACTAGCTTTGAACAACATGGAACAGGCTTGAGTCAGTCCTCTGGGTTCGAACAACATGTATGTGGCTCAGGTCAAACTTGTGGCCAGCATGAGTCTACATCAAGTCAATCCTTGGGCTATGACCAGCATGGGTCTAGCTCAGGTAAGACATCTGGCTTTGGACAACATGGGTCTGGCTCAGGTCAGTCCTCTGGCTTTGGACAATGTGGGTCAGGCTCAGGTCAGTCCTCTGGCTTTGGACAGCATGGGTCTGTCTCAGGACAATCCTCTGGTTTTGGACAGCATGGGTCTGTCTCAGGACAATCCTCTGGTTTTGGACAACATGAGTCTAGATCACGTCAGTCTAGCTATGGCCAACATGGTTCTGGCTCAAGTCAATCATCTGGCTATGGCCAATATGGGTCTAGAGAGACATCTGGCTTTGGACAACATGGGTTGGGCTCAGGTCAATCCACTGGCTTTGGCCAATATGGATCGGGCTCAGGTCAGTCCTCTGGCTTTGGACAACATGGGTCTGGCTCAGGACAATCCTCTGGCTTTGGACAACATGAGTCTAGATCAGGTCAGTCTAGTTATGGCCAACACAGTTCTGGCTCAAGTCAGTCATCTGGCTATGGCCAACATGGGTCTAGACAGACATCTGGCTTTGGACAACATGGGTCAGGCTCAAGTCAATCCACTGGCTTTGGCCAATATGGATCAGGCTCAGGTCAGTCCTCTGGCTTTGGACAACATGTTTCTGGCTCAGGACAATCCTCTGGTTTTGGACAACATGAGTCTAGATCAGGTCATTCTAGCTATGGCCAACATGGTTTTGGCTCAAGTCAATCATCTGGCTATGGTCAACATGGGTCAAGTTCAGGACAGACATCTGGATTTGGACAACACGAGTTAAGCTCAGGTCAGTCTTCCAGCTTTGGCCAACATGGATCAGGCTCAGGTCAGTCCTCTGGCTTTGGACAACATGGGTCTGGCTCAGGACAATCCTCTGGCTTTGGACAACATGAGTCTAGATCAGGTCAGTCTAGCTATGGCCAACACAGTTCTGGCTCAAGTCAGTCATCTGGCTATGGCCAACATGGGTCTAGACAGACATCTGGCTTTGGACAACATGGGTCAGGCTCAAGTCAATCCACTGGCTTTGGCCAATATGGATCAGGCTCAGGTCAGTCCGCTGGCTTTGGACAACATGGGTCTGGCTCAGGACAATCCTCTGGCTTTGGACAGCATGAGTCTAGATCACATCAGTCCAGCTATGGCCAACATGGTTCTGGCTCAAGTCAATCATCTGGCTATGGTCAACATGGGTCAAGTTCGGGACAGACATCTGGCTTTGGACAACACAGGTCAAGCTCAGGTCAATACTCTGGCTTTGGACAACATGGATCAGGCTCAGGTCAGTCCAGTGGCTTTGGACAACATGGGACTGGCTCAGGACAATACTCTGGTTTTGGACAACATGAGTCTAGATCACATCAGTCTAGCTATGGCCAACATGGTTCTGGCTCAAGTCAGTCATCTGGCTATGGTCAACATGGGTCAAGTTCAGGACAGACTTTTGGATTTGGACAACACAGGTCAGGCTCAGGTCAATCCTCTGGCTTTGGCCAACATGGATCAGGCTCAGGTCAGTCCTCTGGCTTTGGACAACATGAGTCAGGCTCAGGAAAATCCTCTGGCTTTGGACAGCATGAGTCTAGATCAAGTCAGTCTAATTATGGCCAACATGGTTCTGGCTCAAGTCAGTCATCTGGCTATGGTCAACATGGGTCTAGTTCAGGACAGACAACTGGCTTTGGACAACACAGGTCAAGCTCAGGCCAATACTCAGGCTTTGGACAACATGGATCAGGCTCAGATCAGTCCTCTGGCTTTGGACAACATGGGACTGGTTCAGGACAATCCTCTGGTTTTGGACAATATGAGTCTAGATCACGTCAGTCTAGCTATGGCCAACATGGTTCTGGCTCAAGTCAATCATCTGGCTATGGTCAACATGGGTCAAATTCAGGACAGACATCTGGATTTGGACAACACAGGCCAGGCTCAGGTCAGTCCTCTGGCTTTGGCCAATATGGATCGGGCTCAGGTCAGTCTTCTGGCTTTGGACAACATGGGTCAGGCACAGGTAAATCCTCTGGCTTTGCACAGCATGAGTACAGATCAGGTCAGTCTAGCTATGGCCAACATGGTACTGGCTCCAGTCAATCATCTGGCTGTGGCCAACATGAGTCTGGCTCAGGTCCAACCACAAGTTTTGGACAGCATGTGTCTGGCTCAGACAATTTCTCTAGTTCTGGACAACATATATCTGACTCAGGTCAGTCCACTGGATTTGGCCAATATGGTTCAGGCTCAGGTCAATCAACTGGCTTGGGCCAGGGTGAATCTCAACAAGTAGAGTCAGGATCCACAGTTCATGGGAGACAGGAAACTACTCATGGTCAGACAATAAATACCACTAGACATAGCCAGTCTGGTCAAGGACAATCCACACAGACAGGGTCCAGGGTAACTAGAAGACGAAGATCTAGCCAAAGTGAGAACAGTGACAGTGAAGTGCACTCAAAGGTCTCACACAGACATTCAGAACACATTCACACACAAGCTGGATCTCACTACCCAAAGTCAGGATCCACAGTTCGCAGAAGACAAGGAACTACTCATGGACAGAGAGGAGATACCACTAGACATGGCCATTCTGGTCATGGACAGTCTACACAGACAGGTTCCAGAACATCTGGAAGACAGAGATTTAGCCACAGTGATGCCACTGACAGTGAAGTGCACTCAGGGGTCTCACATAGACCACACTCACAAGAACAAACTCACAGCCAAGCTGGATCTCAACATGGAGAGTCAGAATCCACAGTTCATGAGAGACATGAAACTACTTATGGACAGACAGGAGAGGCCACTGGACATGGCCACTCTGGTCATGGACAGTCCACACAGAGAGGGTCCAGGACAACTGGAAGAAGGGGATCTGGCCATAGTGAGTCCAGTGACAGTGAAGTGCACTCAGGGGGCTCACACAGACCACAATCACAAGAACAAACTCATGGCCAAGCCGGATCTCAACATGGAGAGTCAGGATCCACAGTTCATGGGAGACACGGAACTACTCATGGACAGACAGGAGATACCACTAGACATGCCCACTATCATCATGGAAAATCCACACAGAGAGGGTCCAGTACAACTGGAAGAAGGGGATCTGGCCACAGTGAGTCCAGTGACAGTGAAGTGCACTCAGGGGGCTCGCACACACATTCAGGACACACTCACGGCCAAAGTGGATCTCAACATGGAGAGTCAGAATCCATAATTCATGACAGACACAGAATTACTCATGGACAGACAGGAGATACCACTAGACATTCCTACTCTGGTCATGAACAAACCACACAGACAGGGTCCAGGACAACTGGAAGACAGAGAACTAGCCACAGTGAGTCCACTGACAGTGAAGTGCACTCAGGGGGCTCACACAGACCACACTCACGAGAACACACTTACGGCCAAGCCGGATCTCAACATGAAGAGCCAGAATTCACAGTTCATGAGAGACACGGAACTACTCATGGACAGATAGGAGATACCACTGGACATTCCCACTCTGGTCATGGACAGTCCACACAGAGAGGGTCCAGGACAACTGGAAGACAGAGATCTAGCCACAGTGAGTCCAGTGACAGTGAAGTGCACTCAGGGGTCTCACACACACATACAGGACACACTCATGGTCAAGCTGGATCTCAACATGGACAGTCAGAATCCATAGTTCCTGAGAGACATGGAACTACTCATGGACAGACAGGAGATACCACTAGACATGCCCACTATCATCATGGATTAACCACACAGACAGGGTCCAGGACTACTGGAAGAAGGGGATCTGGCCACAGTGAGTACAGTGACAGTGAAGGGTACTCAGGAGTCTCACATACACATTCAGGACACACTCATGGCCAAGCCAGATCTCAACATGGAGAGTCAGAATCCATAGTTCATGAGAGACATGGAACTATACATGGACAGACAGGCGATACCACCAGACATGCCCACTCTGGTCATGGACAGTCCACACAGACAGGGTCCAGGACCACTGGAAGAAGGTCATCTGGCCACAGTGAGTACAGTGACAGTGAAGGGCACTCAGGGTTCTCACAAAGACCACACTCACGAGGACACACTCACGGCCAGGCTGGATCTCAACATGGAGAGTCAGAATCCATAGTTGACGAGAGACATGGAACTACTCATGGACAGACAGGAGATACCAGTGGACATTCTCAATCTGGTCATGGACAGTCCACACAGTCAGGATCCAGTACAACTGGAAGAAGGAGATCTGGCCACAGTGAGTCCAGTGACAGTGAAGTGCACTCAGGGGGCTCACATACACATTCAGGACACACACACAGCCAAGCCAGGTCTCAACATGGAGAGTCAGAATCCACAGTTCACAAGAGACACCAAACTACTCATGGACAGACAGGAGATACCACTGAACATGGCCACCCTAGTCATGGACAAACCATACAGACAGGGTCCAGGACAACTGGAAGAAGGGGATCTGGCCACAGTGAGTACAGTGACAGTGAAGGGCCCTCAGGGGTCTCACACACACATTCAGGACACACTCACGGTCAAGCTGGATCTCACTATCCAGAGTCAGGATCCTCAGTTCATGAGAGACACGGAACTACTCATGGACAAACAGCAGATACCACTAGACATGGCCACTCTGGTCATGGACAGTCCACACAGAGAGGGTCCAGGACAACTGGAAGAAGGGCATCTGGCCACAGTGAGTACAGTGACAGTGAAGGGCACTCAGGGGTCTCACACACACATTCAGGACACGCTCATGGCCAAGCCGGATCTCAACATGGAGAGTCAGGATCCTCAGTTCATGAGAGACACGGAACTACTCATGGACAGACAGGAGATACCACTAGACATGCTCACTCTGGTCATGGACAGTCCACACAGAGAGGGTCAAGGACAGCTGGAAGAAGGGGATCTGGCCACAGTGAGTCCAGTGACAGTGAAGTGCACTCAGGGGTCTCACACACACATTCAGGACACACTTATGGCCAAGCCAGATCTCAACATGGAGAGTCAGGATCTGCCATTCACGGGAGACAGGGAACTATACATGGACAGACAGGAGATACCACTAGACATGGCCAGTCTGGTCATGGACAGTCCACACAGACAGGTTCCAGGACAACTGGAAGACAAAGATCTAGTCACAGTGAGTCCAGTGATAGTGAAGTGCACTCAGAGGCCTCACCCACACATTCAGGACACACTCACAGCCAAGCCGGATCTCGACATGGACAGTCAGGATCCTCAGGTCATGGGAGACAGGGAACTACTCATGGACAGACAGGAGATACCACTAGACATGCCCACTATGGTTATGGACAATCCACACAGAGAGGGTCCAGGACAACTGGAAGAAGGGGATCTGGCCACAGTGAGTCCAGTGACAGTGAAGTGCACTCATGGGGCTCACACACACATTCAGGACACATTCAGGGCCAAGCTGGATCTCAACAAAGACAGCCAGGATCCACAGTTCATGGGAGACTGGAAACTACTCATGGACAGACAGGAGATACCACTAGACATGGCCATTCTGGTTATGGACAATCCACACAGACAGGTTCCAGATCTAGTAGAGCAAGTCATTTTCAGTCACATAGTAGTGAAAGGCAAAGGCATGGATCAAGTCAGGTTTGGAAACATGGCAGCTATGGACCTGCAGAATATGACTATGGGCACACTGGGTATGGGCCTTCTGGTGGCAGCAGAAAAAGCATCAGTAATTCTCACCTTTCATGGTCAACAGACAGCACTGCAAACAAGCAACTGTCTAGACATTGACAGTTATTTTCTAGTTCTGACCTTATAGTATCCAAAGCAACTAAAAGAACAGGAAGACACAGTTTAAATCATGAACAGTCAATGGTAAGTTATGAACATTCAGTTGATTCTCAGTATCAGTCTCGACCTATTATTATAAGAAGTCAGGAATCTAGTCATGGACATTCTATAGTAACTCATAAACAGTCAAACAACACCTATGTTCAACCTGGATATAACACAGCCAGAAGGGAGGGATGTACACATAGCCAGTCAAATGACCACCTTGGATTTGGCCATGGACAATCCATATCAGTTCATGGCCATTCAAAATCTAGTTCAATCAGAAAACAGGAATCCCATACTGATAACAAAAAGCATTCAGAAGATTGGGAGAAAGACACTCATGAGCAATTAGGATCTAGGCATGGGAAGTTAGAGTTCAATACAATAGGTATACATGGATCTAGCCAGCAACATTTCGGAGATACAACTTTTCATGGGCAGGTAAGATCCAGCACAGGTTTTGCCAGATAGGTATTAAGTCATGGGCCATCAAGAGATGCCTAGGGTCAGTCTGGATTCAGTACCAATGAAAGACAAGTATACAGCCATGGCCAATCAAATGATAGTTATGAGTAGTCAAATGACAGCAAAAGTCAAAGATACATTTTCAGTCACTTTCTTGACAGCCAAGACCCTGCAGGAATTGAAGAGTATAGGTATAGATATTCATCAAGCAGTGCAACCATATGCAGTGGGGGAGACAAAGGCAAGAGTCAGAGTCAAGTCTGTCAGGAGGTATCAGAATATACGGTGAGGATGTGGGCAAAAAACAAAGAGGCTCTGAGGCCAGCGGTTACCATACAAAGGAAAGAACAGGCTCTGGTTCCTTCTGCTTAGATAGCAACACCCCACTCTATGAATATGTCCAAGAACAAAGGAGTTATTACTTTGAATAAGAAGCCAACATAAACTAGCCCAAGATAAGAACTAACCCAGAGAAGAAATGAGACACATACATGAAATTAAGGTATTTAACATGATCTCCTCTTTTGGTAGTAAGGGTATATGTCTGTTCTTTCATTTTAACTATAGTTCTGTACTATATTACTTTTGTTTGGTGCCAGGTGTTTTTGTAAGGCTCCACATTCATTGAACTCCTTGGTTAGAAAATAGTGAATGAGGCCGGGCGCGGTGGCTCACGCCTGTAATCCCAGCACTTTGGGAGGCCAAGATGGGTGGATCACGAAGTCAGGAGTTCGAGACCAGCCTGGCCAACATAGTGAAATCCCGTCTCTACTAAAAATACAAAAATTAGCTGGGTGCAGTAGCGGGCACCTGTAATCCTAGCTACTCAGGAGGCTGAGGCAGGAGAATTGGTTGAACCCGGGAGGCAGAGGTTGCAGTGAGCCGAGATCGCACCACTGCACTCCAGCCTGGGTGACTGAGCAAGACTCCACCTTGAAAAAAAGAAAGAAAGAAAATAGTGAATGGAAGAAAAAGATAAACACCATTTGGGGCTATATTCAGAACTATATAATAAAGAGAGATTTGTGTGGTTGGGAATAAAATTAGGTTTTAAAAAAATTTCCGAATTTCAAAATTTGGATTTTCCAGATTTTGTTTTAATTAATTATTGACAAACCTATCCAAGGAGCTAAATGACGTGGTTTAGGAGCCAAAACGTCTCTAGAAACATTATAACACATCCCATCCTGAACAAAGAATGTTGTCATAGTTTCCCACATGAATATTCAGAATATTTGCATCTTTTTGTGTCACTACTGGAATTCTGTACAATTATATTTAAATTTATTGTCATGGCCTTCTGGATATAGGATCCAGAAAATTGTACTTCATAAAAATTGGCAATAAACATTTCATCAAGTTATAGTTTCTCTTCTCTTTCATCTCCACAAACACATAGTTTCCTGCCATGGGATCAGATGCAGTTTTCTTCCACCTCCACACAGCTAGATGGCAGTGAAGCACTCAGGTACTAATAATAAGGACTCCAAAGAAGACAAAACTCAACCATATCTGATCTTTTCCTCAATCTAATCGCTGTCCAATGCTTCTGTAAAGCATTTACAGAAAGGCTTTATACTGATGAGTTGACCTCAGATGTTCTGGTTAATCATGATCATCACAGCAATTATTATCAAACATAATCCCAAGAAGCTACTTTCTAAGACAACCCAAGCTCTGGAAATAAGAATTATACACCATGGATTTTCTCTGTCAAAGATATTAATGGAAGAATCACTATCAATAGAAGCTAATTGGGTCCAGAGGTTTCCAGTAGAAGAAAAACAGTTAAAAATATATTATTCCTGCCTATAAGGAGAAAATACATGAATTTATTATGAATAGTGAGAGAAGTAATGATGAGTAGAAGAATTATGTACAAAATGCACTATCCTCAGTAGAAAGTTTACTACTATAAAACCCAAAGAAAATGTGCAGACTGTCAGAACTAGTAAGAACTTTAAAGATTACTTCCTTAATTTGGAAGTTAAAATAAAAAAGCCAAGCACACCGCATTTAATTAAAAGAGTGATAATTCTCACCATTAAATTTGGTGCTATCCAAATTTATCCTCTTTTCACTCAAAAATCAAGCTACTTTTCCTCCACCTTCACTTTTGGAATTCAAACTAAACTGAAATTCATCAGTGAGTGTTCAAAATCACAAGTCCCTATTAGAAGCAGAAGTTACATGAAAACAACAACAACAACAAACAGGCTCATTCTTCTGATTAGACTCAGAATATATCTATCTAATCTAGTTTTTAAATTGTAATATTAAGAAGGACTTGTACTTTATGAACTTTAAATCGTACTATGTAATCAACATAACACTAGTCTGTTAGTTTGCTAGTGAAAAAGCTACTGTTATACTATTAATGATACTCAGCAAAATTACTGTGTATATAGGAGTTAACGCTAGTAACCAATT
The DNA here is from genome assembly GCF_000001405.40 of Homo sapiens. Classification (NCBI taxonomy): domain Eukaryota; kingdom Metazoa; phylum Chordata; class Mammalia; order Primates; family Hominidae; genus Homo; species Homo sapiens. The sequence goes on along the minus strand of NC_000001.11, from coordinate 152,347,669 downwards.
CATACCAATCTATCTATCACCATTTATTCACTGAATATAAATACTAATTATCAAAGAACAATTAGAAATTTAAATTTGATATTTAATCTCTTTCTATTATAGATAAAGTAAGTCTATACCTATAATAAAAAGAGAAATCCATAGATTTTTATCCTACCTCTGCACAGCTAGATGGCAGTAAAGTAAATCTATGGATTTACTTTATTTACAATAGAAGAGATTAACTTGCTAATTGGAAGTGCTGCTATGACCAAGGTATAGGTTTCTGATTCTCAAGCCAAAGCTCTCTCTCGTGTCAGGGCGTCTGCACTCATTCCATACATCTGTAATTCCATATTCTACCGCTAGACGGCGGTGAAACACTCAGATACTAATGATGAGTCCAAAGAAGGTAAAACTCAACATCTGATCTTTCCCTCAATCTAATCACTGTCTAAAGCATTTACAAGAAAGAAAGGCTTTATTCTCTAAGTATACGTTTACAAATGTCTAAAGTTTCACTGGTATCCTGAATAAACGTTAATGTGCCTTTATTGTATGTGTGTGTAAATATGTATATGTGTATATATAAATATATAGGTTATGTACATAAATGACCCCCATAATCCCTTAACCACACCCATTTGAAATTTAAATGTAATATATTCCACATTGCTAAAACTCTCAATAATATGTTTTAATCAAATAGGGGGCAATTGTTCCTTATAAATTACACCAGAAGTATTAAATAACTCAAAAAGAGTTACACATCTCCCTTCTAAGATAAAAGGAAAGATAAAAATGAGACATCAGGTATGGTCTACAAAGAAAAAGTTCAAAACTGGGGTGCCCCCATGTGAAACCTCTGTGAACAGTTGAATTTCTTAGATGCTAGAAAGAGAAGTGTCATAGGTACATACCGTTAGATATTTCCCCTCTACTACCATCTGTGTGCTAGCAACCTGTAGGTAAAGCATTTCTGTGCCAAGAAATACCCAGTGATGTCAAACCATGGCTGAGACTGTCATGGAGAGTACATGGCACTGAAGAGGAACTCTGGGTGGCCAAAATGGGAGGAAAGAAAGATAAAATTCCTCTTCTTACAAACTTTCTAGATAAAGATGACCTTTGGATGAGGGAAATTGAAGGTCAGTTTGTAGCAGACACACTGCATGCACTTGCTGTTCTGTTAGAGTGTAATACATAGTCCCTGTGTTCCAAGAGTCCTTGATAACCAGAGAAGACTTTCTAATACTACATGCTGAGTACAACCTTTGTGGAGCACTCTAACACAATCAAAGGTGGGTATGTAAACTGTGGGGAAATGAGCAAGAAAAAGTAGAAAATCTTTAAAAAGTAAAGATTGAGGCAATTCTGGATTTGGTTGGAAATTAATCAAGCGAGCAGACAGAAGCTTCCTCTCTAATAATGATTTGACACAATTAAAAGGCCACTAACTCAGGCTTTGAAACTGGTTTTAAGCAACATCTTACTGAATCTTTGGAAAACATGGTAAGTGAAAGTGAGTGAAACTCTCCTTAAAAGTGCATAGAATTACCAGTAGAAGTTCACAAGTATATTTTTTGCATTATAAAGCCATCTAACACAAAGAAGTATGAAATTTGCAAGGAAAAACATGTTCATTTTCTAAAGATTGTTTAGATATGTTAAGTTGTCTCATATTATTCTTTTCATTTCCCCACAATGTACAATTAATAAAAATCTTATGTTGTCTTACTTTCTACAAATAAAGTGCAGTAATTAGGAAAAGGATGAAATGGAGGAACAGCCTCTGGTTCCAAATCACTTAGATGTGTTTCTGGCTTTACCACTTTCTCTAGAATTAAAGTTTTAAGAATTGGCAGGTTATCCGTTTTTAATTAGAACATAGAAATGAAGGGTGGGAGAGGCAGTTTCCTATACTGAGGCTATTAGAGAAGAGGAAATATAGAGAGACCCTAAAATTCACAAATAGGGTGATCTGCTTTGGCTACAAGAACAAAATTTAAGGAGCTCAAGAACTTACATACAAGTACAGACAGATTATCCCTAGCTTAAAGTCATTACTTCAAGATTCCTCTGAGGCTGATTAAGAAACAACAACAAACAAAAAAATCTGTATCAAATCTACTGGTTGCTGCTTTCTAAAACTTGGTACAAAATATTCAATATTTGTGTTATTTATTCCACTCTGGATTAAAAAAAGAAAATTAAAATTTACTGAATGCCTACTCACTATGTTTCAGACACTTGCTCTAAAACAACCTTGCAAGTAAAAAATTAACCATACCTTACAGACAAAATTGAGGATCATGGAGGTTAAAAAAAAATCCTAACAGAGAATACACATCAAATGTTACTTTCCCTCACTTTCTTTCCTCTAAAAATCACTTTATGCTTCCTCTTTTAGAATCAATAGACTAGATAGGTAGATCGATGATAGGTGATAGAGATAGATAGATGACAGATAGACTAATAGATAGATAATAGACTTCAAATATATTTTTAAAATTTTTAAATGTTAAAATATTCTCCATACCTCACTCAGTAGTATCATTCTTTATTTTTTGTCAAGAGGGCTTTAATAGGACAGTAGTTCAACCCTTCTTCTTCCTTAAATTCTCAAGATGACATTTTGTCAGCTCTGATGTTGTTTGTTGCCTTGCTAGGCTAGCTGAATGTCTTAAAAACCAATCAACCAGTAAACAAATAAAATCATGTCTCATCCAAACTAATTTTTTTCAGGTAGCATTAAAAAATGTATTAGAGCCTGCAATTGTTTCCATTTGGTGCAATTTCAGAGGCTAGACAAGGGTTATGTTTTCTCCCAAAGTGTACCACATAGGCTCTAGATTTGAATATTTGCAGATTAGGGGAATACCCAATAGGCTTCATTTTCCAGCAACATTACTAGTTCCTACTGCCAGTTCCTACTGCTCTTTTCTTTACAATACTTGCCCCATTCTTCCTAATACCTTTCCTGACTAGTTTTGTCAGGGCTGAAAGAACAGATGGTTGAGCTCCACCTATGTGTGACCAAACATTCATATTTCTACAGCTCTCCTGCAACATATAATCCAAGAATGTGGGCTAGGCTGATTAGTAATCTCTCTATGATTATTTTAATGACAGAATCCAGATGATGCAGATAATATGGGTGTTGTCAGTGCAACATTAGGGTCACTCTTTCACTCATCTATTCATTGGAGGGAAGTTAATAACAACTTAAATGACAGATAATGTACTTGATACTGAAATTAGAAATAGAAGACATTGTCCCTGTTCCTTTCTTTATATGTTCATCAAGGAGACCAACATATGAGAAAACAACAGATATGAATGCTGTGGCAAGTACTATAATAGACATGATCAAATAAGACATAATCAAGGAACTATTATTGATCACGTCAATTATAGCACTTGCCACAGTATGATCAGTATGCGAAACTGCCTCTCCCACACTTCATTTCTATGTTCTAATTAAGAACTGAAAATTTGCCAATTCTGTTTAATTCTAGAAAAATTTGGTAAAGCCAGAAACACATCTAAGTAATTTGGAACCAGAGGGTGATCCTCTGTTTTCAGTAAAGTGATCAACTAACCCTGATTAAAGGTGAAGAAAGGATTCAGAGAAATCTTAAGGAAAGAGGAGAATTTGCAGTGGGTCTCCAGAGATGGTCAGGAGTTATTCAGGTTTATCTGAGGAGACTAACTACTCCAGGCTTTTGTTAAGTGTACGTAAAGTCTTAAAGTAAGAAAGACCATAGTGAGCTCAGGGAACCTGAAAATAATCCAGCATAGCTAAGACATAGGTTGTATGTGGAAGCATAGCAAGAAATGATGTTGGAGTAATAGGCATGGGAAGACTGTAAAATGAAAATAAAGATAAGTTTCTTTGGAATCTTTTGTAGCAAGTTAAATATGAATAAAAATTAAGATACTATGGAAAATTGTTAACTTTTTATTTAAAATTGCATAAATGGTATGATTCCATTGTGTTAAATAAATTTTGTCTAACTCTCCATCCAGCTGCATACAAAGAAATCTGAAATAATGTTTTCCAGAAGTTAACACTGATTATTTCTATATGATGGAATCCGTGATGATTTGTTGCTGTCTTCTATTACAATTTTCTGTATTGCTTGACTATTTTATAATTAAGGAGCATTCATTCTTTCAAATTTAAAAAGTCACTAAAATAAAATATAAACGAACGCATATGTTTACACTCACACAAAGTATAGACAGAGAGACTTCGGAGCAAAAGAACATGATCCAGATAGACAAAGAATAATTCCTGCTCCAGGGAACTGGGAAAACAAGGTCATTCAGGCAAACAAAGAGAGGTCAGATCAAGAAGAAATGTGTCGTCAAAGTCATACAATAGAGCGAGACTTAAGCTTAGGTTATTCTGCTGGAAGGAGGCAAAGTGTTAACACGATCAGAGAGTACAGTTAAAAAGAAGATCTAACTGGGGTGGAGATCCAAGCATTTTTATGAAAAACTCCCAAATGGAATTATTTTGTGTGGCAGATCTCCAAGCTTTGGTCAGCATTTCTGGCATATAGGATCAGTTTTCTATTATGAATTTGGCTCTTGTCAGCCTTCTAGCTAAAAAATATGATTGCAAAAAAGTCCATTTCACTTAGAGAAAAAAGTTAAAAGTTATTCATAAAAACAAGAGATTGAGCATGATGACAATGTCCAGGATGAAGGTAAACCATAGTTTTCTCCGTATTTTTTATCCATTTAATGAACAATTATTTCTACAGAGAAGTAATTCTCAGTAGAATCAGCAGAAGTGATTCTTGAGGATTTCTGCCTCAAGTCCCCTTTTTGCTCTTAAAAATTACTGAGAAACATGAAGAGCTTTTGTTTATGGGGATTATGTCTACCAATATTTTCCATATTAGAAACTAAAACTGAGAAGTTTTTAAAGTATTTATTCATTTAACAAGTCCATTACATATTAACATACCATATTTTTATTAAAATGTAACTATTTTTAGAAAACAATTAATGAGAAGAGTGGCATTGTTTTACACTTTTGAAAATCTCATTGATGTCTAGCTTAATAGAAGACAACTGGATTATAGTACCTAGTTCTGCCTTCCAGCTGTTGTGACATCACACATCTAGAAAACTCTACTGGATACTTGTAAGAGAATGAAAATTAAAAAGACAAATAATATCTTAGTATTATGATGAAAGTAGTTTTTACTTCACATGCACCCCAAGACTACATATTGAGAACCATGGCTATAGAAAATTCTAGTAAGACCTTTAAAAAGTGTAACTCTATTATTTTTTGCAAGGTCTTTAATAAGCATTCTAGGCCTTGGACCCTCTAGGTGAGAAAAAAAGATAAAAAGTGAGGAATATGAGGCCAAATTTTGGAAGAAACTAACATTGATTGAATGCCTATCATTTTCCAGGTTTTGGACAAAGCTGAGTTTCTACTGGTTTTCTCAGAACTCAAAGAATTTTCCAGCCTTAATCACTGACTATTTCAAAGTTTATCACCTTCCTCCAATGAGCTAAAAAAATCACAGGCCTAGCCTACTGGCTTAGGGATTTAAACTTGCTGTTGTAACACCAATAAATTCCACCTCAGCTCTTTTTTTAAAAAATTATCTGTTGTTTGTTTACTCTGTGCCAGACAGTGGTAAAGGGCTTTACATGAATTATTCCATTTAATAATCATATTAACTTTGGTAATCAAATATATATTTTATAGTTGATGAAACTTGATAACTGTTTTTTGTTTTGTGTTTAGGAGTTTGATAAATGGAAAGAGAAACAGGACAGGGCAAAAAAAGAGCCTCAAGCCTCAAGGATTACTTTTAACAGAAGTTCACAGCTGAAAGGTCACTGAAGATCATCTAGGTCAATGGCTCTTAACCTTTTGCTGTTTTCTTGTTCCGGAACTATTTGAGCATCCCTCTCCTAAATGCCCTTCCCCTCAAAAAAATGCGGAGACCCACTTACAAATGTTTCCTTATAATTTCAGGGACTTTACAGACCTTTCAAAGTACACTCATAGATATTGCCAGGTTAGGAACCCCATGATATTCCCTTTATATTTCATCTGAAAAAAGTGAATTCCAGTGTCACACAACCAATAGATGTCAACTGTTAATCAGAACAACACTGCATACCATATCCCAGACCAGGGCTTTTCCTACCACCTCATGTTGTCTTTTGGAAATAGAACCAAAGGGAAATGGGTTAGTGTAGGTGTAGCGGAAGTTAAAGGAGGACTTAATATGAGAGCCCATCTTTTTAAGTGTTATCAATGTTTTTTCTTATTTTTTAATATAGACACGTTACATAAACATGCACCAGGTATGGTGGCTCAGAGGCCATGGCAGAAGGATTCCTTGAGGGCAGGAGTTTGAGACCAGTCTGGGCAATGAAGTGAGAACCTGTCTATACACACACAAAAAAATAAAAAAATTAGCTGGGTTTGGTGGACTGTACCTGTTGTCCCAGCTACTTGGGAGGCTGAGGTGGGAGAAGCACTTGAGCCCAGAAGTTGAAGGCTGCAGTGAGCTATGATGGTGCCACTGTTCTCCAGCTTGGGCAACAGAGTGAGACCCAGTCTCTAAATACAAACAAACAGACATGCAAGCCTGCTAGTAAAATAAGCCAATATATTACTGTAAATAAATAAAATTGTCATCAAAACTATTCTCCTATTAATTATATGCATGAAAATTACTGAACACATCATTATTAGTTCATACCATGCATTCATTCAACAAAAACATGCCGCAAATAAAAAACGTTTTAAAAATTGATTTTAATTATGAAATGATACAGAAATATATTCTTCCTTTGAAAAATTAGAATATTTGTAGATATATGCTACAGCCTCCTCTGACCTTCATCCCAAATCCAATAACTTCTTTTCTGTACCCAGGAATAATCACTGAGGAATAGGGCTTGATTCTTTCCAGAAAACTTAAAGATATTTTTATAGACATGTGTGTACACACAGAAAACACCTAACATTTAGTGTACATTTTTAAGTGGTATGTTTAAGTGAGAATGCAGATATCTCTTCAACACCAATTTTAATTCCTTTGGCTATACACTCAGAAGTGAAGTTGATGGCTCATATTGTAATTCCATTTTTTTTTAAAGACCCCCATACATTTTCCAAACTGACTCAGACAACTGGTCATCTTAACATGCTGTATTTCACAATTTATTCAGATTTTCTTTTATATCCTTTTGTAAGTTTTTTTCCTATAAAAGTATTTCACTTTTTCATTAGGTTTATTTGGGGGTTTATTTTTGTTGTTAATACAAATGGAATTTTTCTATCATATTTTTGAATTGGTGATTTCTATTGTATAGGAAGCTGTGAACGTATTCATTCTGATTGTGTATTTGACTATCTTGCTGCACTCTTATTATCTTTGAATGTTTGTCAATTAATTTTGGGGGGTTCATTTTGTCTGAAACTGATGAACAAATTATCTTTCTTTCAACATTGATTCCACATTTCTAAATTATTTATTGCGGTAAGATACACATAATATAAAATTTATCATTTTAATCATTCTTGGTGTACCATTAAGTAGCATTAGTACATACATATTGTTGTGTAACAGTCAAAACCTTCCATTTCCAGAAATTTTACATCTTCCCAAGCTGAAACTCTGTATCCATTCAACAATAATCCTCCATTCTCCCTTTCCATCAGCAGCCATCATTTTCTTTTCTGTTTCAATGAATTTGACTACTCTAGGTACCTTATCTAAGTGAAGTCATACAACATTTGTCCTTTTGTGTCTGGCTTCTTTTGCTTGGCATAATTTCTTCAAGACCCAACTGTGTTGTAGCATGTATTGGAATGCCATTCCTTTTTAAGGTTGGATAATATTTCATTGTATGTAAATACCACATTTTGTTTATCCATTAACAAAACGGACATTTAGGCTGTTTCCACCTTTTGGCTATTGTCGATAACACTGCTATGAACGTGGGTCAAAAAGTATCTGTCCAAATCCCTGCTTTCAATTGTTTTGGATAACTACCCAGAAGTGGAATTGCTACCTCATTTCTTATTGATTAGGACTATCTAAATATTAGTACTCATAGTAGGCATCCTTGTCTTCTTTCTGACTTCAATGACATTGTTCTAATGTTTCAGTATTTGAAGTAGAGTATAATGTTTGCTATAGATTTCTGTTAGATAGCCAATATCAGATTAAGAAAGTTCCCTTCTATTCCTAATTTGCTGAAAAGTTCTACTACAAATGAGTTTAAAATTTTATCAAATGTCTTGTTCAATCTACTGAAAGGATTATATGTTTTTTTCACTTATTTTTAAATGATATTAATTGATTTTCAAAAGTTAAACAGATCTTGGAATCTTTTGGTAAACTCTATTTGGGAAATAAATTTGGGACACTCCTGGAATTGATATGCTAATATTTTATTAGGATATTTGCATTCTGTGTTCATAAGTGAAATTAATCTATAGTTTTATGTTCTTGGGCTTTCACTATCTAATTTTTGTACCTGACAAAATTGGTTGGGAAATTTTCATTCTTTTCTGTGCACTGGAATAGTTCATGCAAAATGTGGATTTCTTAAAGGTTTGGTAGATCTAGCTAAAACTAGTGGGTGGGCCTCCTGACTTTGGAGTTTGAAACAGTCAGTCTTTCATGGTTGAAAATAGAAAGTCAGATATAGATTCCTTGGCAATTGACATTTTCTTACTAACTTATCCATTTTGTGTTGATTTCAACATTACTGGTACTTAGTTGTTTATAATATTCAATTTTTTCAGCTTTTTGAAGGGATAACTGACAATAATATTCTATTTTTAAATCATTAGTTTATCTGTAGTTATTTTTGTTACTTTTTACTGCTCTTTAACCCTTTGCAAAAGGTTGCAAAATATATTATGCCTTTAATTACCAAAACACTTTACCTTTAATTCTATTTTAATCTGCTGTTAACTGCATTAGTGTTTGCCTGCCATATCTTTTACATCCTTCTCTTTTAATCTTTACTTTGTCATTTGTTTTAGGTGTGTTTTTAATAAACAATATATAGTCAAATATGGGTTGTTTATTTATTTAATTGGAGTTTATCTGTTAATAGAAAAAATCAGCCAATCATTGCCTTTAAAAAAAATTTAAACAACCTATAGAAAAGGCAAAGTATGAAACAGGATGGCAGAAATACTATGTTAGTTAAATGAACATAATTAAAATAACATAATTTCAAAAATGTAAATAGCCTAAACTAATGAAATAACAGAGACATTTATAGTTGATAAAAACTACAAAAAAGATTCAACATGTTGTCTACAAAATACATGCTTAATAATTATATACATATTATATATAATTACATATATAATCATATATAATTAATTCAGATTGATAACAGGATGCAAAAACTATTAAAAATCACATAACCTATCTTTAAAATTTGTCACATTAATATACTAAAAAAATTAAAATAACATGTTCATCTCAATGCAGGAAATACATTTGACAAATCTCAATGCATATCAAAGATAAAAACTCATACTAGAAATAAATGGAAATTTATTAATATATCAAAAAATACAGTATACCTTATAATTAATGAAGAAATCTTAGAGGCATTCCCTTCAGAAACAAAATCAGGAGCAATATCATTATTAGTGTTTGCCATAGTGGGGTGCCCTGCCCTATGCTATAAGGAAAGAAAGAGAAATAAATACATTGGTAGAAAAAAAAAAAGAAAACAAATGACATTATTTGCAGGTAAGATAATATGACTCTCTAGCTAGAAAAAAGCACCTAATCAACAAAGTATTACAACTAATAAGATAATTCAGCAAGTTTATCAGAAACAATCAAGTTACAAAAATTAAAAGCACTTTTCTCTCCAACAATAACCAATTACAAAATGTATTTAAAAATAAGATATCATTCAGAACAGCAACAAAAAATGTTAAATAACTAGAAAATAATGACAACATATAATACTTCCATGGAGAAAATTTTTAAATCTAATAAATGACATAGAAGATTATCTGAATAAATGGAGTGACATTCCATATCTTGGGGGAGATGACTTAATATTATAAACATGTCAGTTCATATTAATCTATACATTCAACACAATCACAAATACTTCAAAATATTTGTGTTGAATTTCTTGAGAAGTTCAATAACCTCAAGTTTTTATGGAAGAATAAAGATCCACGAACAGGTAAGTCAACATTTCAAGAAAAAGGCAAAGAATGGGTACTTGCCCTTCCAAGTATTAAGACATACTACACAGTCAAGTAATAATAACAATGTGATATTATTGCAATGACAAAAAGATCAGTGAAACATGATAAGGAGCTTAGAAATTAAGTATGTTTATATGGGAACTTAATATATAGTAAAGTGGGTACCATATATCAATGGGAAAAGGGCAGATTAATAGAAGGAGTTGCAAACCTGGCTCATGCCATAGATAAAAACAAAATTGGATATTTACCTAAAGTCACATACAAAGATAGACTGCAAATGAAATAAATATCTGAATGTGAAGCTTAAAACAACAAAGTAAAGAGAAGAAAATATGGGAAAATACCTTAGTAATCTCAGCACAGGAAAGAACATTGTAGATAGAACTTTACAGGCACACATAATACAAAACTAGTGATGACTTTTATTACATCATAATTAAAGATTTCTGTTCAGTGAAAGACACCACGAACAAAGTTAACAGAGAGAAGACACATTGAAATTATTTGCAGTGTCTAAAAATAACAATGTACTAACGTCTAGAACATACAATGAACTTCTTAAAGTAAAAAAGAAAATTAACAGAAAAATGGACAAAGTATTTGAACAGGCAATGTATAGAATAGGGTAATCAAAATGGCTTACAAATATACATAAAGATGTTCAAACTCATGGATAAGGGAAATCAAAATCAAAATAACAGTGAAATGAGCTGGAAAAAGTTAGGAAACTAGATATTGCTAGGTGTTGGCTGGGATGTGGGTTTAGGAAATCTCATGTACTCCTGGTAAGAAAGTAAAGCTGTTCTGGAGAGTTATCTGACAGTATCTAGTCAATATCAAGTATACATATAGCCTACCACCCAGAAATTCTACTTCTGTGTTTATGACCCCCAAAAATGTCTCCCAGAGATCCATAATGGACATATGTAAGAGGATGTTCGTCGCAGCATTATTTTTAGTGCTGAGGAATTAATTAGAAGCAATTTGAGTGTTCATCACCAGGGAAGTGCAGAGGTATACTGAGTAGATGCAAAACAACAGCACAATTAGAAGCAATGGACTAGACTTACATACTGCAACATGGATACTAAATGAAAAAAAAAGGTAAAAAAAAGAATGAGATCTAAAAAAAATAGCACTTACATAAAAGTAAAACTCTATGAACATAAAAGTAACAATAGATACTTTACAAACACCTGTACAAGTTAAGCCATATACAGTAAACTCATTAGAATAATTTATCTGTTGAGGGAGGAGGAGAGGACTGGGAATAAAGAATGGGGATGAAAGTTAACCAACTCTTCCACAGAAGAGTCTGCATAGCTCAATAATTACAATGTGCCATGAAATAAGGAATATGATTAACTCACATCTCTATACCTAGGATTTAAAAAAAAAATTGATATCCTGAGTGCTGATGGTCTCAAGTCAGCAAAAACTCTGGGGCCAAAGTCTATGAATGGTTAATTTTGCAAGCTCACATAACTGTCTGCTACAATAGAATATCCTTGGTGAAAGCATAGGAGAGAATAAAAGGGCTGAGACCTAAGAACAAACAGATTCTGGATTTCTGACTTCAGAAGACAAAGGAAAAGAAAGACAAGGAAAATTGAATCATTTTCTAGAGGGGTGTTAACTTAAAAATTACACAATTTATAAATTTTGAAAGGAAAGTTATATTTCTCATAGAGGGTTACAGTTGCAAAGTTGACAGGCAAATTCTGACAAGCTGGGAAGCCTGGCCTCTGGCTGACGCCAGAAAGGCAGGTACTTCAAAAGAGGAGGGATTGGGATAGGAACTTTATGCTGAATGGGTTGACTAAACATATTCAATGGATTACAGAAGGAGCCATGAATATTCGTGGTCCTCCTAATGCACACATACTGAATAAATGTACATATTACATCTGACCAATGTTCACCTTGGGGTGGAGACTTAACATTTAAATATATTATAATAAGGCTTTATAAGGTCGTTTCAGGACACAAACGCACTCACGTATGCAGCCTTTGTAAACTGGCCAGAATCCGTCCACGGTCGGTGGTCTTCTTATCAGGAGAAAGTTATTGAAATAGCCTCTCGTCTAATCAAAGCTGTAGCTATAGTTTGTGAAACAGGGGGATGGAGTCAGTGTCTGGCAGTGAATGAGCTACAAATTGTTTTCATATTGCTTACCTGAAGGCCAGTGCTTGTTTAGCTGCTGAAGAAAAATAGAAACCTTATGGCATTTAGAACATAGTTTATTCTTTAAGTGCAGAAGTGTGTGACTTAACCCTTGACTGGCATGGTCTTAGCTCCTGTTTACAATTTGGTATCTTACTGCCACAAAGAGTCTGTTCTATCAGTCTTACATTCTCTATTTTCACATCAATGCTGGCCAGTTGTGTCTAAACACTGCAAAAGGGAGGGTATATAACAAGATATGTCTGACTTCCTGAGCCATCATGGCTGGGAACTCAGTTTTTAAGATTTATCTAGGGTCCATTTGGCCAAGATTGGGGTGGGGAGGGTCTGTTCAGTCAGTTGAGGGCTTTAAGATTTATTTTTAGTTTACAGGAGGAACCATGTTCAGACTACCAAATAGTTTCCAATGCTGAGCAGGGCTAGGGCCACAGACACACACTCCTGTTTCCATAGAAATTCCTCAGGCAGGCCTCATGTACTTAGCCAGGACCCTGCTCTTGCCCCCAAAGGAATTTATCCTTTTAAAAGTATAATATTCCTCTTATCTGACTGTTCTACTGCACAGTGGGGTAACCACAGTTAACAATATCATATACTATATTTCAAAATAGCTATTAATAGAAGAGAGAATTTTGAATATTCTCACCATAAAGAAATGACAAATGTTTGAAGTGATTGATATGCTAATTACCCTGATTTGATCATTACATAATGTAAACATGTATAGAAACATCACTTAAATATAAACATGCACAATTACTAGATGTCAGTTAAAAACAAAATAAAACTTAGAAAAGTATAATGTGATGATACTGGTTCAGGGATCTGATCTTTAATCCGAAGGAAAAGAGGAGACATGAAAGAACTGAGGGGAGGGCTTGTTATTCCTCTTCCTCCCCTTTCTCTATTACCACCCTTGCATTAACATGCCCCTGGTTATCTTGCTATGTTTTTTATATTTATTATGAATGCAGAACACAGCAAAAAGTAAATAGCAATTATATCAGTTCTAATTCTGCTTCAAGTAATAGAACAACTCAAAGCTTATTAAATTAAAGGGAGAATGTATTGGTTCACGTAATTGAAAAGTCTTGAAATGGGGCTAGCAGGCTGTACTCACTCCAAGGCTCAAAGTATATCATCAAGATTGGGTGAGTCTCTCAATCTCTCAGCTCTGCTTTTCCCTCTGTTGACTACAGTTTTGACATGTAGTCATGAGATGGCTGCAGCAGCTTGGCCTACATTCTTCCCTGTTCAAATCTCAAGGTGCAGGGGCCAAGGGGTTGGGGGGAGAGGTGGAGGAGGAATGCTATGTCTTTATTGGTAGTTCACACAATAGTCCTGAGATTCACTCTGCCTTAGACATCCCAGGTCACATGCTTACCCATCCCTGTCCACTAACATCCAAGCAACATCTTCACCCTCATAAGTCAAAGATAAACTCACCCCCTCACCCTGACCACAAGGAGTAAGAATGGGCAATGGTTGGATTCTTAAATGAAAATCAGGGACTGTTGCCAGAAAAAAAAAAAAGTGGAATGTATACAATGGAGGAAAACAATAAATGTACTAGAGCAATTTTTGCTACTTTTTTTGTAGTATTTGTATTCAACATTCAATATTCTCCTGAAGCTACTCTTTTCCTAAAACAGATGAAAACCTTCTCCCCGATCTTCTAGAGATGATCACACTGAACCCTAAAGGACATTTAAAAACCTCCATAATCACACAGAGAGGGACTCAATTAAAAAAAATTCTTGGAAAAGAAAAAGGAAAAGATGTATGTTTCTTGCTCTTCTCTCTTGATGGAAACAAACACACATGCAAAAATTCAATTGCAATAAGTGTCTCATATTGAGTTTACCAATTCTGTAAGACTTCATAGTTATATAAAACTAATAATTACCATTTACTGAATACCTTGCTATCATGCTAGGCAAAGTGTCAGACCATTGACATATAATTCATTTAATATACTGAAGAACTATCAAAATGAAGTATTATTATCTTTACTCTATAGATGAGGAAACAGACCCAGAAAGGTTAAGAAATTTGCTCAAAGTCATAGAGCTGGCAACTGGAGGAGCCAGTAGTCAAAGGCAAGTCTGTGAGGTGTGTGAGATTGTGCTCTCAACACTACACCATGGATTTTGTGATCTTGGCTCTAATTAGGGGGCCAATATGGTGGACATGGTGTTATTTGAATTTAACCATTTTTCATATCTCATATGAAAAGTTCCTAGAATTAAAAATTTCATGAAGAAAACAAAAAATAGCTGAGGATTTCTAGATGCATACTGTGAAAAGAAATGCAAATATTAATAGTAACCATGTTCTATGAATTAGTTTAAGCATATACATGAAATGCTGTTAGAGTACACGTTGCAAGAGTAACTAACTGATGGCCTGATTAGAAAAATGATAGAATGAGGTAAAGAAAGAGGTAGATTCTGGGAAATATGGATTAAAATGATGAAACAAAAAATGAGAAAAAAACTACCTTACCTTCTCAAGTATTGCCATAGAAGAGCAGAAGTCATCCTGAGCAAAGCTAAAGGCAAAAAACCTAGGCTCCAGACTGATACACTGGCTTGATAATCCACACTGTGAGATGTCACCAAAAGTTGTCTGATCCAGCTGTGGGGACTTGGCTCCAAGTTGTCTGGATATCCTAAAATAATATAAATCCCTTGAAACAAGTGCTCTAAGAAATGGAGGAAGCCATACTTTAGGGAATGCTGATAAAATGAGTGGAAATGTTGGTGGTGTGAGTCCACCTCTACCTCAACAAGGTCACCACTGATGTGAGAATCCATGAGGTTAACAAAAACGAGCATCATTAGTCTCATAAATTAACACTTGAAGGACTTTGGAGCCTTGGGTCTCAGTGATTCTTCTGGAAATATGGTAGTTTAGGGTCTTTAATAATTTTTTTAACTTTTGTTATGAGCAGAAATTGTAAATAACATGTAAATACAACTCCAGAGTGGTTCTGATGTTCACCTTCTGAACTCATCTAGTTCTCAAACTACTAGATTATGCAACCCTTGTGCTCCTACAGCTAAACCACATATACTATTCTGAGCCCTCCCCTAACTACACCTGGGTAAGAGGAGTGTGGTGTAGTCTGGTGTTGTGCTATACCAATAGTCATGGAGATATCAATCAAACATCTGCCTAATCTACAAGGTGTAGGTGGTGAATTATGAAGAATGAGTAACCAGGAGACTTACGATGAGAGAATAAAGTCTAAGTTGATAAAAAGTTAGTGCTGAGTAGATAGAGGGGTCTTCAGGAATTGGAAGCTTGGTGAGGGTCCCCATCATCCAGAATAAGTACTGGTCTTCAGCAGGAAGAATTTAAGAATAGAAGTTACCTAAAGCTCATGAATTAGTATCAGTTCAATTATGCTGGTAATCTGATTTTGATCTTTCTCAGTTATGATAAAAGTCTCTGCCTGGTCATGATATAAACCTTCTTTGTTCTTTAGTCTTCCCTACTTACAAGATTAAAGTCCTGGCCTAAAATATGAGCCCTAAGGTCCTGCTACCTAGTGACATGATATTGTTGATACCAACTCTCCATTACCCACTGCCTACTGAAATCTCCTATTCCTGCCTTCTCCATCATTGAGTTCTGTCCACCTGTCAGAGTCTACTTCATTGGGTTGCCCTCCCTAACCTGCCCAACACCAACTGCTTGCCAGGCCGCTAACCTATTCCCTCTTGTTCTGCACCTTCTCTCATAGTCCACTTCCAATGCATCACCAAGATCTGCCTCTAAAATGTATCTTCTCTTCAATCCCACTGCCAATGCCTTAGTTTGAGATTTTACTATCTCTTCCTTCTTTTATATAAATTGCCTGTATCCAGCTCAATCCGCCATCCATACTTCCAGTAGTTACATTTACTGAATGAAAATCTGGTCCTGTCACTTTTCCACTTAAAAACCCTTCAGTTGCCACCCAATATAAATAATATATACATCACTTAGAGGCTTCCAAGGCTTCCAAGCCCTTTCCATATGACCTTTCAGGCCTGCCTCTCCCTGATCTTTCCCATACAATCCAATAAGTGCTTTTATTGTTCTTTAATGTTCTTTAATGTCCTTTAATGTTCAGCTCAAATATTACCTCCCCTTGACCTCTCTAAAAGAAAACAGCTTGCTTCCTCAAGTAAAGCTATTTACTAATACCTAAGGTATTCCTAAAGGTATTTACAAATACCTTTATTATAACACATATCATACTGTTTATATGTATGCTTTCTTCATTAGATTATAAACTCTTGGAGGACAAGGAGCATGCCTTCTTCATTTACAGTTCTGTGACAAGCATGGTGACTGGCAAGTAGTCACTGGCAAGAAATGTTTCTTGAATGAATAAATGATCCCTAAATACTGTGACCTATCTCTTAGTCTGAATTTCCCTCAGTTACCTGCAGAAATTTTCCCTCTGGAATATATTCTTGTTTATCTATCTGTCTACCTGTCTGTCTGTCTGTCTATTCTATCTATCTATAATCTCCCTATATACAAAGGAAACAGGTGAGAAAGGAGAGTAGAAGCTTATTTCAAGTTCCAGTCCCTCCTGATCTACATTCTCCTGTAATTATTAGCCTATGTTACCATGTCTGAACAGAAAATATTGGTGATGCCCTTGATCATGAATAGCTATCATGTCTCTGTTCTGGCTTGCTCCTGGATTTTTTTTTTTCCAGTTTCATGATGCTGCATCACTCTGTCACCAGTCCTCACTGTTCGTTTCTATGGAACATGAAATGGTGAATGGTCCATCCTTTACTGCTGATACTAGTCATTGCTGAAACAGCCACCCTAAAGATCTCACAGTCTCTCTGTTTATAAACATTTAAGAGTCAAGTCATGAAGGCTTTCTCCCTTAACTACATGGGATGATCAGTTGTTTTATCTGTTATTTTTTCTGTTATTACTTTTGTCCTTAATTGTTAGAGAAAACTTTCATATAACACAGTTACTACATAAATGCCCCCTCCCTTCACATCTTAGAATGCCTCTGGCCATCTCTGTAGTTGTACTTGAGAGGTTTAATAAAGTACCATAAGTTTGGGAAAATTAGCTTTATTGATATAAGCACTTCCTGGAGAATATTTCTTCACTATACAAAAAGCTCATATTTGATCATTGTTTTCTCTATATCTGTCTATCTCTCTCACATACATTCTGAGTGCCTGTGTGTGTGTGTGTGTCCCCAGTGACTTCTGCATCTGTAGTAGCTGGAATAACATGTGTGTCACATGTACCCCCACCACACACACACACACACACACACCTCTGCCACGGGCTTCGTTCAATTCTATTCTCAATTTCCAACCTTGTCAGCCATCTTGATTTCCTCTTCTCCAAACCTCAAAGAAACTGTTAATGAGTACCCGAGAATGAAAATGTTGGGCATATGGAAAAACTGAAAGACAATCCATATTGCCATAAAATGGCCTGCTTTTATCTGGAAAAGCCTTATTATCACTCACACTCATTCCTTCTACATCCTTTACCTCCTTCTCTTTGTCTTTCTGTCTGTCTCTCATTCTGTCTCTATCACACACACACACACAACACACACAGAGAGAGAGAGAGGGAGAGAGAGAGAGAGAGAGAGAGAAAGAGAGACTGGCTATAAAGAAAGCAGCATCTGAGGGCATCAATGGTAATTCGAACATTTTGTTTGCTTGGGATCAAGATTCCTTTCCATCACCATTGTCCTGGCAAATATAAGCTGCAAGTGGAAGTGTTTTAGCCAGATACTGCTCCACCACTCTATGGCTAACTAAGCAGGAATATCAGCTTCAACTATGCCATGGAATTCAAGAGAATATTCAACCTGGAAAAATTCTAACCCCAAACAGCACCTCCCAAAAGATGACTACAGCTCCTGTAGGAAATCATTTAACCACAAATTCCAACTCCCCTTCACTCCTACAGCCTCAGTCACACATCTCAAAGGGCTGATCCTTGAATTGTGACAACCTGACCCACATCAGCAGCCCAGAGGCCAGATGGCAACACAATGCCTTTCCAGCCTACTGGGTAGGAAAAGGGAGGGACAAGCAATTGAATGATTATAATTGAAATCCTGTAATTTATTATTTGTCAATAACTCCTGCCTTGGGGGAGTTCCCTTCACTCCTTAGCAAATGCTGGCAGCCGCAATATGTGACCACAGACACCTAAAACACCACTGAAAGCATTTCATTATGTGGCAACAATGATATGGAGAATAAGATCTCTCTGGAGATAAGAAGACATGCCACATCTCAGAGTTCACTATTCAACAGCAAAGAATTTGAATAGGGGGAAAAATTCCTTAGACTTAGGGGGAAAAATTCCTGAGATTCTGAGGGTAAAAAGCTAGCATGCAAGTGGGATCAGCCAGACTGGCAGGAAGTGGGGCATGAAAACCCAAGAACTATCCTCCTGTTTGCAGTATAATGTTACCCCTGCAGTTATTAAACTGCACAGATCAAATAACTATTTGAACTGAGCTGAGCTGAGTCAAGCAAAGAAATGTACTTCAATCATAGAATAGTAGCTGTCAGGTTGAAAAGGGCATCTATCAGACATCTACCCAATGTTCCTCTACCTAACTCCCATCCTAATTATCCCTGTCTCATGTTCATCTCCCTGTAATTGATGCAACCTGATGCAACATAAAGAGGATTTGGAGTGAAAAGCCCTGAGTTGGAGGCCTGGGCCTTGACTTTTTAATTTACTAGCCATACCACATTGGTCCTTCTAGTCTTCAGCTACAATGTGAGCAGATTAAACTAGTTGATGCCAAGATTCCATCCAGTTCAAAATTCTCTAGGCAATAATAGGGAACTCACTATCTCCAAAAATAATTATTTGCATGTTTGGACAATTCTATTAAAAAGTCGTCACTTACATAAAGCCAAAACATGGTTTCTTATAGTTTCTACATATTTATCTGAGTTCTACCTGCCTTGAGATTATATAGTCCAAGTATAATCCCTCTTCTATATAACAGCCACTCATATAGCCAAAGACAGATATTGCATCTCCCATCCATCTATCCATCCATCCATCCATCCATCCATCCCACTGAGTTCTGTTTGCCACTCATCTAGACAATCATTCTATCTACTTTACTCAGAACACATACCAATTTGTCCATATCCTTACTGAAAAATGGTCATCAGAACTGAACAAAGAGCTACAGAAATAGTTTGATAAATGCTGAGCCAAGTACCTCACCACCTATTTTGTTCCAGCTAATGTGTTTATTTTAATGCAGCCTAATATCACATTATCTTTTTGGCTATGGCATCACTCTGCCACTGCCACAATATTGCTTTTTTTACTCATGTCTTCTACCCTATCCTTGTAAAGTGTAATTTGGAACTGGAGTCAGAATTTTACTTTTTCAATAATATTCATTTATCAGATTTGAGCCATTGGTGCAACATGATAAAATCTTCTTGAATCCTCAGTCTATCCTAAAAATATTTGCCATCTATCCAAATTTTCACCTAAGTTATTGATAAAATACAATGAGCACAACATGGTCAGGAAAAAAGTCCTAGAGCAGACCACTAAACAATACCCTCCATATTGACATAATTCTGCAAGATTTGGGGTCTTTTGGCCCCAAAGAAGGTCATATCCAAGATTGCCTCATTCTTGACACTCTCTCAATGCTACCTTCTTCACTCACTCATAGTCCATGGTCTAGTCTTTCTGCTGATCCTGCAATGATTTCCACAGTTAAGTTCACCCAGACATAGGTACTTTGAGAGAAATCACTGTTTAAAACATTAAAAATATAAATAAGGTTAACAAAAAAAGGATAAAAGTTCACACCCAGAACAATATGCCATGGTGGAAATAATGTGGGAGTTGGAGTCTGAATAACCTCAGATTAAATCCTAGTTCTGTAACTTACTTGCTTGGTGACCTTGGGTGCCTTATCAGTATCAGTTCCCTCATCTCTAAAATAGAGGAATAATAATGACCTCAAAGGGTTGTCCTGATGATTAAAATTAATACACGCAAAATCTTAGCACATTCCTAGCACATAATGGGTATACAATATAGATTACTATCATTATTACATCATGGTAGAGACAAAAATGCAATAACTACTGGCATAAAAAAATTAGACCCAAGAAGAAAAAAGGAGAAAATGAATATCTGTGTTCTACAGATGTTAACCAATACTCCACAAAAGAAAGAATCAATGGTCTAATAAGGTTAAGAACGAGGACATTAAACACAGTTTTAAAAACTCGGGCATATTTTTATCTCTTTGACTCTGAACAAGATTGGCACACCCTTGCATCCCTTATTTGATCATGTCCCAGGCATTGCTGTAGGGCCCAAGGACACAAAGGATGACTCAGACCCAGTCAATGCTAGGGTGAGAAGAAACACAGGATTCAAGGCACCAGGGGGCAGGGGGCACACATATAAATAAGTAATTAATATAAAATATCACCAGTGCTATTGAGAGGTAAATACAGAGTATGTGAGGGAACACTGATAAATCTGGAGATGTCAGGTAAGGCTTTATGCAGGAGGTGGTAATTTTGAAGAATCTTAAAAGATAAAGAGAAGTTAAGGATGAGGGTCTCTCAAGTCAAGGTAGTGGAGGATAGCACGCAAAGATTTTGAACAGTAGTGGACCAATATGGGCTCGTCCAAGAAATATTGCTCATTCTAGAGTGACTTTTCCATGAGATACAGGTAATAAGAGGGACAATTGAAAAGATACAGATTCATGCCTATTGTAAAGGGGCTTGTACGTCAGGTAAAAAAGTCTGAAATTCTGCAGGCAAGAAGAAACCAGCACAGCGAATGACATAAGATGGTAAGCCAGCTTAATAGTAGAGAGAGAGGCTAGTTACGACACTTTTTTTTCTTTACCAATACCCAATTGAAAGATGGTCAGGTCCAGAACTAAAATTATAGCACTGGAGGTAGAGAATAGGCCTACATAACAAAATCTAAGCCTGAGTATAATTGATACGATGTGACATGAGCATGAGGGGTTAAGGAAAAGGAGAAATGAAAATGACTTTGTCTAGCTTGAGACACCCAGTGTGTGGGGGCATCATTACCAATATATGGGCTTCTGGAGGATAGTACATTTTGGTAGGAGGCACAATGTAAGTTCAGTTTTCAACACTATGGATTGAGATAACCATGGGACATCCATATGGAGATGCAATCTGCTCAACATAACAGTGTGTATATCATAAGACAGACCAGGGATAGGAGTCCCCTGTATATTTATGGCAATAAAAGAAAATTCATGGTTTAAGAAGGAAGAGTATGTGGAACATGTCTCTGATGCCACGATGTAATAACCTTGAAAACAAAGTAAAATTACACTAATGAGTCTTGCCTAATTAAACTCATGCTCCTAGTGATCACCACTTCTAGTTCAATTGTTCACATTCTTGCTCTGCTTTGAAAAATTAAAATTAAATTTGCCTATCCTCTACTGACCATAATTTCTAGAAGACGGCATTCATCTCATGGCAAGTTCTTCAGTACCCAAAGATGGAATACATAGATTAAAAAAGAACATATATGTAGATGCTTGTGATGTTTTCCTATCATAAATTGAATTTCAAGTTCTTATAAACGTATTAATATGTCCTACTCTTCTAGAGACAAGGATCAGGAAGTGTATTTATCAATAGATATTTACCAAGCACCTGTCAAGCCAAAGTGGGGTTACAGAAAAGTAGGTATGGGCCCTGCACACAAACAACCTGTATTAGCCAAAGGGACCCTTCCATAAAATTTCCAATATGTAAACCCAAATTTGGAACTTGCTGAAACAAGTACAGATGAGTACGTGAGGAAGCTGGGAAGTAAACACAGGTTGCTGGAGAAATAGAGGTGGAGATATGGGTGGATCTAGGTTTGGTTAGGAATGAATCAGACCATCCCACAGAGGGTGGCTCCTCCCTGCATGGGGCCTGCTATAAAAGGGCCATTATCTCAGCCTTCAGTACCCAGCAGGCTCCTTCAGGCTACATTCTATTTGCTCTTTTGGTGAACAAGGTAAGAAGGAATACATTTAATTTTGTCTACTTACTATTAACCAAGGTGGAAATCTGAATGTATGTGTACTGTAAGGCAAAAGGTTCTGGAAGTTTAGGGTTTTTCTCTTTCTTTTTAGTGGCACTGTCACTAAAAGGTTTATTTCTATATAGAAGGAAAATGAGGGCATAAATTTGCTTTCCATGGAGCTACTCAATACTCTGTATTGTTAGATTGTCCATTTATTCATTTACTTAACAAATATGTATTAACTACCTTCTACTTGGTCTTGGCTCTATCTATGCAGCAGTGAACTATATAAACTCCTAGCAGCTTACCTTTAATAGGGGGAAACATTTAGTAAACAACAATAAACAAATAAGATAATTTTAAATAGTGATAAGAACAATGAAGAAAATAAAAGAGTGATGTAGTAGAGCAGGGGTGTCCCGTCTTTTGGCTTCCCTGGGTCATAATGGAAAAAGAATTGTCTTGGGCCACACATAAAACACACTGACACTAATAATAGCTGATAAGCTTAAAAAAAAACTCGTAATGTTTTAAGAAAGTTTACAAATTTGTGTTGGGCCACATTCAAAGCTGTCCTGGGCCACAGATTGGACAAGCTTGTAGTAAAGTGATGGGAGGGAGGAGGAAAGTGCTTTAAATTAGATGGCCAGGGGAAGACCTCTCTAGGGAATTATCTTTGAGTTGAGATCTTAAACACAAAAGAAACTAGCCAAGGCAAAGGGCAAGATTCTAAGCAAGAGTAAACTTGTCCCAAAGAGCAAAAAGAAGCTAGTGTGCCTTAGAGCATACATAGTTAAAAAGAGGACCAGTGGTATATGGTGATGTCAGAGAGCTAGACAGCGTAGCTCATGTAAAGAGGGGCACAGTAGAATTAAAACAGTACATGTTAGATTTTAGCATGTACTTAAAGGGGTATTAAGCAGGAGGAGTAAGATAATCTATGTTTTTAAAAGACCACTCTGGGCTGCTACGTGGAAAACAGGAATATAGGAAGGCAAGAGCAGGAGCAGGGAGAGACTGCATTCTTTTATGTGAAAGATGATGGAAATAATAGAAATAACGAGAAATAACTGTTTGCTCATACCAAAATCTAGAAGTTATCCATGATTCCTGTTTTCTCATCACACTGATTCATCACCACGTCCAGTCAACTCTGCCTACAAACCTGCCAAATCTATCCATTTATCCCCCTCTCTGCCATTATCATCCTAGTCCAGTCTACCTTCATCTCCCAACACTGACTATTATGTTATCTGAAAATATAACAATTTATTCATCCATTTGTCTATGGGTAGATACTTGGGTCTCTTCCATTTTGGGGGGTATTATAAATAATAGGGCTATGCACTTTTTTGTGTACTACTTTTGGTTACACATATGTACATATTTCAGTTGGGAATATTCCTAAGAGTAAATCGCTAGGACTTAGATACTGTCAAACAATTTTCCAAAGTGCTTCTGTCACTTTATGTGCCTCCAGCAGTACATAAAAAAAAAAAAAATCTCAATTCTCCACATTCTCACCAATATTTGGTATTGTCAAGGATTTTTTTCTTTCTTATCTTTTTAGTCACTTTGGTGGGTGTATTGAGGTCTCACACGTTATTTCAATTTGCATTTCCCTAGTGCATAACAAGGTTGAGAAGTTTTGATATGTTTATTGGCCATTTGGATATCCTTTTCTGTAACGTTCCTAAGGTATTCATTTTTCCATTGAGTTAACTGTATTTTTTATTGATTTATAGAAGCTATTTTTATATTCAGGACAGATTCCTTTATTGGTTAAATGTGTTTTGTATATCCTCCCACTGTGTGGCTTGTACATCTCTCTTCTAATGCTATCTTTAAAAGAATAAACATTCCTACTTTTAATGCAGTACAATTTATCAGTCTTTTTCTTATTAATTAGTACTTTTTGAATTTTATTTAAGTATTTCCCCACCCCGAGGTCCTGAAGATATTCTCCAATGTTATCTTCGTTTATCTCTTACATGTAAAATCAACCTGGAAACTATTTTTTTTCCATTTGAAAATTCAATTAACCCAGCACCATTTATTCAAGACTATTCTTTCTCTACTGACCTACACTACCATCTTTGCCATTAACCAAATGTCCAGAGTGATATAAGACTGACTTTATACTATTATCTTTTATCATTCCATTTGTTTAGCCTTGCATCATGCCATATTTTCTTCCTTTATAACACACCTTGCTATCTGGTATGTCTTCCAACTTAGTCTTCTTAAAGATGGTCTTACCTAATCTTAGCCCTCTACATTTTCATATAAATTTTAGAAATCACCTTATTAATCTTTATTTTTTAAAAAAACTTCAGATATTCAGAATGGGATTTCATTGCATCTATAAATGAATTTAAGGAGATTTGATATCTTAATGCTATTTAGACTTTCAGTTCATAAACAAGCTATATATTGTCCATTTATTTAAATCTTTATCTCAATATTTATAATTTTCTGAGTATAGCTCTTTCATGTTTTCTTAGATTTATTCCTAAAAATTTCCTCTTTTTTTATGCTTTTATGAATAGCCTCCTTTCCTATTTCATTTTCTCAGCACTTATAATCTCAACTTTTATAATATTCTGAGTACAGCCATTTCATATCTTTAATTAGATTTATTCCTAAAATTTTTCTGATTTTTTTATGCTTTTGTAAATAGCATCTTTTCTTATTTCATTTTCTAAGTGTTTATTGCTGTTATATAGAAATACAATTGATTTTTGTATACTTATAACCAGAAGCATGTTTAGTTTATTTATTCTAATAGTTTAGCTATACATTCTTTTGGATTTTCCACATACAAAAGTTATATCATTCTGTGAGTAATAACAGTTTTATTACTTCTTTTCCAATTACTCTGCTTTTAATTCCTTTTCCTAACGTATTGCTCTAGCTAGGACTTTTAGTACAATGTTAAATAGGATGATACTATACATAGTATATATCAATAGGATGATGCAGGCATACTAGTTTCATTCCCAAACTTGGAGATGAAAGCTTTCATTTCACCATTAAATATAATTTTTGCTATGACATTTTTCAAAGACATAATCTTTTATTTATTAATCAGAATTAATATTGGATTTTATCAATTTTTCATCTATTGAGAGGTTCATATAATTTTCCCCATTATTCTATTTCAGTACTTAATTGGTTGGTTTTCAAATGTTAATCCAAAAATGAATTTTGGAATAAAATGTAGTTAGGAATAACATATATTCTTTTTATATACTACTGAATTCAGTCTGCTATTATATTCTTTCAGAGTTTTGCATCTATATGAAAGGAATTGTCCTGAAAATTTTGATTCTTATATCGTTGTCAGGTTATGGTACTGAGGCCAGTTTGGATTAATAAAATGGGTGTTTCCTGTTTTTCATTTCTCTGAAATAATCTATGTGATGTTATAGTTATTTCTTTCTTTCACTTTGAATAGAATTCAGTAAAGCCATCTGACCTGCAGTTTCTCCCCCACTGGAAATGAATGCATTTAAGATTCAATTTCTTTAATAAACATAGTACTATTTAGGTTTTCTATTTATTGTTGGTTCAGTTTTGGTAACAAGTGTTTTTCTAGACATTTCTTCTATGTCATCTAAATTTTCAAATTAGCTGGTATAATGTTTTTTATAATATGCTCTTGTCATCTTTCTAATGTCTAAAACCTCGATAGCAATGTCCCCTTTTACTTTCCTGATATTGGTACTTACTCTTCTTTCCTTGATTAATCTTGCAGGGGTTATCAGTTTTATTAGATTTTTCAAAGGCTGAATCTTGGCACTGTTGGTTCTCTAAATTTTCTTTCTCTTTTATTAATTTTAGTTATCTTTATTATTTCCTTCATTATACTTTCTTAGGGCTTAATTTGTTCTTTTTAAAACTTCTTGAAATATATGCTTAGGTAATTAATTTTTCAGTCTTTCATATACATATATATACACACACAACTGTATGCTGCTTATAAGATTCACACATAAAAAATGATAACAGTGATTGAAAATGAAAGGATGGGAAAAAGAGATATCATTCATATATATATGTATGTGTTTATATACATATATATGTGAGTGTATATATGTATATATGTGTGTGTGTATATATATATAGGCTATAAATATCTATTAGGCATGGAATTAATGTATTCCACAAGTTATGCTATTTCATATTTTTCTCATTTTCATTTAGTTCAAAATATTTTCTAATTTTGCATTGTAATTTATTCAATGACCCATTGATTATTTAGAAGTCATTAATTTTCAAACACTTAAAGATTTTTCTAGTTATCTTCCTATTATTTAATGCTTGCTTCATTCCACTGTGTTAGAGAACAAACTCTATGATTTCAACCCTTTAAAATTTATTGAAACTTGCTTTATGGCCCAGTATATGGTCAATTTCAAAAGAATGGATATTCTGCAGTTGTTAGGTGTAGTGTTCAATGTATGTTGATGTTTTATTAATAATTTTGTAGAAATATTCTACATTCTTACATATTTTTTACTTCTTCTATCAGTTGCTGAGAGAAGTGTATTTAAATACCCCACTATGATTGTAGATTGCCTGGTCCTCCTTATACTTCTGTCGATTTTTATTTATGTATTTTGAGGCTTCCTGGAGAATTGATCTTTTATTATTATAAAATTTCCTTCTAGCAATATTTTTTGCCTTAAAGTCTGCTTGACAGATATGAATATAATAATAACAGCTTTCTTTTAGTGTTTGAATGGTATCTCTTTCTTCCACCCTTTCATTTACAATCATTTTAATCACATTTTATGTGTGTCTCTTATAAGCAGAATACAGTTGGTTTTTTTTAATCCAGTCTGACAGCCTTGTCCCTTAATTAGCATATTTACTCTATTTATATTCAGAGTTATTATGGAACTATTTGGTTTACATCTCTACAATATTACTACTTGGTTTCTACTATCTCACCTGTTCTGTATTTCTTTTTCTATTCTTGACTTTTTTGGATTAAGTTAATATTTACCAGTTAATTATCTTTATACAAAAGCTTATTAATTATACACTCTTTTATTATTATCTGCATCCTTGCCCTAAAAATTATAGCATGCATCCTTGATTTGTTAGGGTATATTATTAAGAAAAAAATACTTTAACCCCTACCCAAATAATACAAGTATCCTACAATACTTAACTCCATTTTCTCACTGCCTTATCTGGGATTGTTATGTATTTTAATTCTATTTATCTTAAATCCTGAAAGATTACTATTATTATTTTATGCAATCAATATCTAGCTATATTTTTCCACACATATGCTCTTTCCATTGTTCTTATTCTTTCTTGCTCCTCTGTGCTTCCAACTAGAATTATCCTTTAATATTTCCTTTACAGTAGGTCTCTGGTGATTAGCTCTGTTTTTCTTTGCTTGAAAATATCTTTACATGTTTTCTTTTTGGTGGATATTTTCACTGTTAACATATAACTTATTTTGCTTCAGAAAGATGAATATAACATTTCATCGTCTTTTAGCTTCCATTGTTTCTTTTGAAAAGACAAGTATCAATCTTATTGTCGCTCCTTTGAAGGTAATACAAGTGTTTCTCTGTCTGCTCTTAGGATTTCCTCATTGCCTCAAATGTTCAGCAGTTTTATTATTATATGTCTTGCTTTGGTTTTCTTTTATATCTCCTGCTTGGAGTTTATAATATCGTTTTGAACCTGTACCTTGATATCTTTCATCAGTTTTAGAAAATTTTGTCTTTTAATTCCCCAAATACTATATTTCCCTCTAAATCTGAATGTAAGCCCCAATAAATTGTCACAATCTTGATAGCTCTGTGATACCTTCAAACACACACACACACACACACACACACACACACATTTTCTAGTTGTATTCAGAGTTAGTCTGAAACTAATAAACAATTGCACAAAGCAATCTTTAAAAATCAAACCATATTAGATCACTCTCTTACCAAAAAATATCATCTAGTCTCATCACACCTAAAATAAAATGCACAAATGTCACCTTATTTAGAAGATCATTATCTGACCCGTCTGTATCTCTGACTTTATGTTGTATTACTCCTGCTTTGTCCACAATTTTCTAACTGAGTTGGTCTTTTTCTATATCTCTAACATGACAAGCTGATTTTCATCTTGGAATCTTTGCACTGTTCCTTGTGCTAAAATTCTCTAATTAACAAGGCTACTTCCTTCTTATTTTTCCATTTTAAGTTCAAATGTCCCCTCTACCACAAAACCTCCTTTCCTTAAAGTACCCCCAAATATTCTGTATAATAGCACTCTTATTTTAGTTATGTACATATCACTTATCAATATCTAATTGTTGAATTAATTTATTGTTTGTTTATTGTCTTCACAAAAGTAGGCAGGCACCTCATCTATCTTGTTCACTACTATATCTCCAAAGCATGAAACAGTGCCTAACCCTTTAGTAGCTGTTCAATACTTGTTAAATAAATGAAGGAATGAATGAATGAATGTAAGCTCTGAGAAAAGGTTATGCCTAGAGGTATCAATTTTGAAGTCATCAGATAGATGGTATCTGAAGTGATGGGATCCAATGACATTGCCTCAGAAAGGAGTGTAGATTTTTTTTAAAAAGAAGGTCTAAGACACAGCCACAGATATTTCCAACCTTTTGAGATTGAGTAGAAGAGAGGTTAGTAAAGAATACTGAGAGACAACAGCATTCAATGGGTAAGAGGAATATCAGAAGAATATGGTGTCATGAGATCCAAGAAAAAAAGACTCCATTAAGAAAGGAATGGTTAATTCTATTTCACATACCAAGAGATTAAGTAAGATGATGATGATGAGGTAATGATGGAGAAATGACACTGTATTCAACAACTTGGAGATCACAGATGATTTGACACAAAGCAGTTTCAGTAGAGTTTGGTGATAGAAAATTGAGAGAAGCAGGTTAAAAAGAAAGTGGGTGGTAAACATTTTAAGAGAGAAAGCAGAGAAAACTTCTCCAAGACTCCTGTGAAATGAAGCAGTTAATTAGGCTAGTAAGATGTTAGGAGAAATGTTGGGGGAGGGTGGAATAATGGTTCGAGGGAAGGGTTTTAAGATGGAAGATACTCCAGCATGTTTCTGTGGTGATAAAAATAAACTACTAGAGAAGGAAACAGAGTGAAGTAGGGAAAACTGACTAATTTTAGGGATATTTTGAAAGTAGGATCAATAAAACATGTTGATGGAATAGATATTGGATGTAAGAAAAGGAGAATCAACTAATTTTCAGGTTTACGACTTGAGCCATCAGGAAGACAGGAATAACTGATGAGGATAACGGGTGTGCGACATTTTTAGGGTAAAGCAGTTGAAAATCAAGACTTCTGTTTTGAACATAATAGATTTAAGATCTCTACAAGACTCAAGTAGAAATACTGGATAGGCATTTAGACATACACATCTCAAGTTTAGGGGACAGTCAGTGACTGGGGGTATAAACTTGTGAGTTGCCAACTTATTTAAAAAGTTATATAGAACTAGATGAGATGACCCGAGGGAGTATAATAAAGAAAAGAAGCTAAGGAGTGAATCATAGGGCATAGCAACATTAGGAGCTGAACGAGGAGGCTAAGAAAAAAGTGGCCATTGAGGTTGGAGGAGAAACTTGAGAGTGCCAGGTCTCTGAAGAAGGATGAAGCCAGTTGCATCAAATGCTGCTGATATGTCAAGTAATATGTAAAATAAAAATGGATATGTGGATTTGGAAATATGAAGGATATTTTTTACTTGGTGAGAGTTTTAATACATTTTTTAGAAAGAAAAATACCTTGAGTAAAGGAAAACAAGAATGAGGAAGTAAAGACAGAATGTATAGGCATATCTTTTGAGGAATTTTGCTATAAAAGGGAACAGATAAATCAGATGGTACCTAAAGGCAGATGTGAGATTGAGGGTGGGGTGGAGATGGGAAGGTAAGTGTTAGATAGATATTTCAGCATGAATATATATTGAAGGGAATGATCCAGTAGACAAAGAAGAATTAATGATGCATATGAGAAAGTAGGCAACTGCAAAAGCAAAGTGTTTGGGTAGGCAAGAGAGAGTGGGGCTCAGTGCCAAAGTAAAGGACAGGAGGAGCACAGACTGTTTATTACCCTAAATAAAGTGAAGGCAAGGTATATGGATAGAAATGTAGTAGGTTGGGAGATCAGATATTAGGAGAATGAGGAAACTCTTTTCCAATGGCTTCCAAGTTCTCAGGAATCAAAATCAAGGACATCAGAGATAAAGGAAAGAAGAAGTTGTTGAAGCTTTGGCCAGTGGGTATAAGAAAAAGTAGGACAAGTGGATGTATCCAAGGGGCATTTGGGGAGATTAAACATAATGTCTAACCAAGGTAAAAAGGGAAGTGAGTACATAAAGCAGTAAATAGAGAGGTTAAAGAATTATTGACATCAGCGTACAAGAGAAGGTCAAAGAGTGAGATCCTTCAGAAAGAGATTTTGCATATGTTGCAAGTAACGATAAGTTCAGAGAATACAATATCATCATAAATAAGACTGGCTGAAAATAATCATAAACTTTAAAATGCATTTGTAAGAAGCATATACCTGTAATTTTTTAAATTCAATCTTTACAATCTATATTTTAACTGGCAAGATATGGTCTATTTTACATGTATTGTAATTAGTAATAATAAAATTATTTGTAATTCTATTAATTTATTTTATGCTTTCTGTTTACCCTTCTTTTTCTATGCTTCTTATTTTCTTCTTTCCTGGCTTCTGTTGAATTATTAAAGTTTCTTAATTCCCCTTTTTCATCTCTAATGGTTTAGAAATTATAAATTCTATTATTTTAGTAAATACCCATAAACTTACCCAAATACATATATCACTTAACCACAGCAAAATTCATTAATATCTAATTCCTCTTACCAAACAAACCAAGGTCCAAAAATGTTTTAGTTGTGACTGCTACAGTAATCTCCTTCACATTGTTTTCTACAGTATTTTAGTTTCACCTGGTTTTGTAAGTCCTAATAAAGTTATAATTCTTTATATAATACACACTTAGATTTATTGACATGCTTACTAATTTCTTCACCAATGAGATAAACTGAACATTCCTTAAATGGCAAAATGAAACCCAGTCAGAAAAACCTTTCTCTTTAAATATTGAAGAGCTATTAAATCCATCCTATACAATGAAATATTATAAACTTCATGAAATGTTTAAAAAACAAATAAAAAATTGAATGAACTTTCATTGAGTATCTTGTCATATGGCTAACTGGCTTTCAGAGAATTGTGTCTTAGCAAATTAATCATTTATTAAGTTAGCTTTTGGGGAAGTAATTTTCAGTAAATTTGTATAAGTAAATTTTACTGCTTAAAACCAGTCAGCCTTTCTAAATTCTTGTTGCTAGCAATGGCAAGATCAGCAAGAGGGATGATCTTACCTAGAGCACACTGAGGTCTGTGAGACTACTAAGTCCAGCTGTAAGTGGGCACAAGGCCAAAAAATGGGCAATTTTATTTAAGTCAGGAAAACTCTATTCATTTGTTTTATGTAGATGGTAGAGAAAAGTTTCTCATGTCCATCTTCCATTCTTAAAGATGGATTACTTAGAGGAAAATGTAGGTTTAAAATGTGGAAAATGATTGTAATAATATAACCTAGAAAAAAAGATGTATAAAAAAGTGCATTTTCATTTCTTCTTTCTAGGTTCACATTTATTGCCAAAAGATGTCTACTCTCCTGGAAAACATCTTTGCCATAATTAATCTTTTCAAGCAATATTCAAAAAAAGATAAAAACACTGACACATTGAGTAAAAAAGAGCTGAAGGAACTTCTGGAAAAGGAATTTCGGCAAATCCTGAAGGTAAGAGTCTCTGACAAGACCAAAGATAGAGCATTTGTTTTTCTCATCAATAATCTAAGCAAGGGTTATTTTGAGCTCTTTGTGAACTATTTCTCTTAAAATAGGAAAAGAGTTAATCTTGTCTCAAAAGAGATAGATTTTATTTTCTTCCCCTATACCTGGATGTATATTATAAACATAAAGACACCCTCAGAGAAAAAAATATAAATATTTAAAAATTAATGTAAATTAGTTCTTAGTATTTTGGTATTTATAATATTCTCCCAAACATCAACATTACTAAGGGGATTTTTGTTAAAGACAACTAAGTAATGAATTATATACACTTCTGACTTTTAAAATAAGAAAAAGAGTCACTTACCCCATCAAATCTTGATACCTTACTAGTCTACATCTTTGTTCACATATAACACCTGAATGAGGATGAGACAAAAAAGTCTTAAAAAAAAAAAAGATTTTGTCCCACTTTTTAATACTCAAAGATCAGGTTCCTTAAATTAACTTTGAATTAATTGGCTGATAATGTGATTCTGTCTGATGCAGTCTCCCTCTGTGACTTCCCTCTGTACAGAATCCAGATGACCCAGATATGGTTGATGTCTTCATGGATCACTTGGATATAGACCACAACAAGAAAATTGACTTCACTGAGTTTCTTCTGATGGTATTCAAGTTGGCTCAAGCATATTATGAGTCTACCAGAAAAGAGAATTTACCGATATCAGGACACAAGCACAGAAAGCACAGTCATCATGATAAACATGAAGATAATAAACAGGAAGAAAACAAAGAAAACAGAAAAAGACCCTCAAGTCTGGAAAGAAGAAACAATAGAAAAGGGAATAAGGGAAGATCCAAGAGCCCAAGAGAAACAGGGGGGAAAAGGCATGAATCTAGTTCTGAAAAAAAAGAAAGAAAAGGATATTCACCTACTCATAGAGAAGAAGAATATGGAAAAAACCATCATAACTCAAGTAAAAAAGAGAAAAACAAGACTGAAAATACTAGATTAGGAGACAATAGGAAGAGGCTAAGTGAAAGACTTGAAGAGAAAGAAGACAATGAAGAAGGAGTATATGATTATGAAAATACAGGAAGAATGACTCAAAAATGGATACAATCAGGCCATATTGCCACATATTACACAATCCAGGATGAAGCCTATGACACCACTGATAGTCTATTAGAAGAAAACAAAATATATGAAAGATCAAGGTCATCTGATGGCAAATCATCATCTCAAGTGAACAGGTCAAGACATGAAAATACAAGCCAGGTACCATTGCAGGAGTCCAGGACAAGAAAGCGTAGGGGATCCAGAGTTAGCCAGGACAGGGACAGTGAGGGACACTCAGAAGACTCTGAGAGGCACTCTGGGTCGGCTTCCAGAAACCATCATGGATCTGCGTGGGAGCAGTCAAGAGATGGCTCCAGACACCCCAGGTCCCATGATGAAGACAGAGCCAGTCATGGGCACTCTGCAGACAGCTCCAGACAATCAGGCACTCGTCACGCAGAGACTTCCTCTCGTGGACAGACTGCATCATCCCATGAACAGGCAAGATCAAGTCCAGGAGAAAGACATGGATCCGGCCACCAGCAGTCAGCAGACAGCTCCAGACACTCAGCCACTGGGCGCGGGCAAGCTTCATCTGCAGTCAGCGATCGTGGACACCGGGGGTCTAGCGGTAGTCAGGCCAGTGACAGTGAGGGACATTCAGAAAACTCAGACACACAATCAGTGTCAGGCCACGGAAAGGCTGGGCTGAGACAGCAGAGCCACCAAGAGTCCACACGTGGCCGGTCAGGGGAACGGTCTGGACGTTCAGGGTCTTCCCTCTACCAGGTGAGCACTCATGAACAGCCTGACTCTGCCCATGGACGGACCGGGACCAGCACTGGAGGAAGACAAGGATCGCACCACGAGCAGGCACGAGACAGCTCCAGGCATTCAGCGTCCCAAGAGGGTCAGGACACCATTCGTGGACACCCGGGGTCAAGCAGAGGAGGAAGGCAGGGATCCCACCACGAGCAATCGGTAAATAGGTCTGGACACTCAGGTTCCCATCACAGCCACACCACATCCCAGGGAAGGTCTGATGCCTCCCATGGGCAGTCAGGATCCAGAAGTGCAAGCAGACAAACACGAAATGAGGAACAATCAGGAGACGGCACCAGGCACTCAGGGTCACGTCATCATGAAGCTTCCTCTCAGGCTGACAGCTCTAGACACTCACAGGTGGGCCAGGGACAATCATCGGGGCCCAGGACAAGTAGGAACCAGGGATCCAGTGTTAGCCAGGACAGTGACAGTCAGGGACACTCAGAAGACTCTGAGAGGTGGTCTGGGTCTGCTTCCAGAAACCATCATGGATCTGCTCAGGAGCAGTCAAGAGATGGCTCCAGACACCCCAGGTCCCATCACGAAGACAGAGCTGGTCATGGGCACTCTGCAGACAGCTCCAGAAAATCAGGCACTCGTCACACACAGAATTCCTCTAGTGGACAGGCTGCGTCATCCCATGAACAGGCAAGATCAAGTGCAGGAGAAAGACATGGATCCCGCCACCAGCTCCAGTCAGCAGACAGCTCCAGACACTCAGGCACTGGGCACGGACAAGCTTCATCTGCAGTCAGAGACAGTGGACACCGAGGGTCCAGTGGTAGTCAGGCCACTGACAGTGAGGGACATTCAGAAGACTCAGACACACAGTCAGTGTCAGGCCATGGACAGGCTGGTCACCATCAGCAGAGCCACCAAGAGTCCGCACGTGACCGGTCAGGGGAAAGGTCTCGACGTTCAGGGTCTTTCCTCTACCAGGTGAGCACTCATAAACAGTCTGAGTCCTCCCATGGATGGACAGGGCCCAGCACTGGAGTAAGACAAGGATCCCACCATGAGCAGGCACGAGACAACTCCAGGCACTCAGCATCCCAAGATGGTCAGGACACCATTCGTGGACACCCGGGGTCAAGCAGAAGAGGAAGGCAGGGGTCCCACCACGAGCAATCGGTAGATAGGTCTGGACACTCAGGGTCCCATCACAGCCACACCACATCCCAGGGAAGGTCTGATGCCTCCCGTGGGCAGTCAGGATCCAGAAGTGCAAGCAGAACAACACGTAATGAGGAACAATCAAGAGACGGCTCCAGGCACTCAGGGTCACGTCACCATGAAGCTTCCTCTCATGCCGACATCTCTAGACACTCACAGGCAGGCCAGGGACAATCAGAGGGGTCCAGGACAAGCAGGCGCCAGGGATCCAGTGTTAGCCAGGACAGTGACAGTGAGGGACATTCAGAAGACTCTGAGAGGTGGTCTGGGTCTGCTTCCAGAAACCATCGTGGATCTGCTCAGGAGCAGTCAAGACATGGCTCCAGACACCCCAGGTCCCATCACGAAGACAGAGCCGGTCACGGGCACTCTGCAGACAGCTCCAGACAATCAGGAACTCCTCACGCAGAGACTTCCTCTGGTGGACAGGCTGCGTCATCCCATGAACAGGCAAGATCAAGTCCAGGAGAAAGACACGGATCCCGCCACCAGCAGTCAGCAGACAGCTCCAGACACTCAGGCATTCCGCGCAGACAAGCTTCATCTGCAGTCAGAGACAGTGGACACTGGGGGTCCAGTGGTAGTCAGGCCAGTGATAGTGAGGGACATTCAGAGGAGTCAGACACACAGTCAGTGTCAGGCCATGGACAGGATGGGCCCCATCAGCAGAGCCACCAAGAGTCCGCACGTGACTGGTCAGGGGGAAGGTCTGGACGTTCAGGGTCTTTCATCTACCAGGTGAGCACTCATGAACAGTCTGAGTCTGCCCATGGGCGGACCAGGACCAGCACTGGACGAAGACAAGGATCCCACCACGAGCAGGCACGAGACAGCTCCAGGCACTCAGCGTCCCAAGAGGGTCAGGACACCATTCGTGCACACCCGGGGTCAAGGAGAGGAGGAAGGCAGGGATCCCACCATGAGCAATCGGTAGATAGATCTGGACACTCAGGGTCCCATCACAGCCACACCACATCCCAGGGAAGGTCTGATGCCTCCCATGGGCAGTCAGGATCCAGAAGTGCAAGCAGACAAACTCGTAAGGACAAACAATCAGGAGACGGCTCCAGGCACTCAGGGTCACGTCACCATGAAGCTGCCTCTTGGGCTGACAGCTCTAGACACTCACAGGTGGGACAGGAACAATCATCGGGGTCCAGGACAAGCAGGCACCAGGGATCCAGTGTTAGCCAGGACAGTGACAGTGAGAGACACTCAGACGACTCCGAGAGGTTGTCTGGGTCTGCTTCCAGAAACCATCATGGATCTTCTCGGGAGCAGTCAAGAGATGGCTCCAGACACCCTGGGTTCCATCAAGAAGACAGAGCCAGTCACGGGCACTCTGCAGACAGCTCCAGACAATCAGGCACTCATCACACAGAGTCTTCCTCTCATGGACAGGCTGTGTCATCCCATGAACAGGCAAGATCAAGTCCAGGAGAAAGACATGGATCCCGCCACCAGCAGTCAGCAGACAGCTCCAGACACTCAGGCATTGGGCACAGACAAGCTTCATCTGCAGTCAGAGACAGTGGACACCGAGGGTCCAGTGGTAGTCAGGTCACTAACAGTGAGGGACATTCAGAAGACTCAGACACACAGTCAGTGTCAGCCCACGGACAAGCTGGGCCCCATCAGCAGAGCCACAAAGAGTCCGCACGTGGCCAGTCAGGGGAAAGCTCTGGACGTTCAAGGTCTTTCCTCTACCAGGTGAGCTCTCATGAACAGTCTGAGTCCACACACGGACAGACTGCACCCAGCACTGGAGGAAGACAAGGATCCCGCCATGAGCAGGCACGAAACAGCTCTAGGCACTCAGCATCCCAAGACGGTCAGGACACCATTCGTGGACACCCGGGGTCAAGCAGAGGAGGAAGGCAGGGATCCTACCACGAGCAATCAGTAGATAGGTCTGGACACTCAGGGTACCATCACAGCCACACCACACCCCAGGGAAGGTCTGATGCCTCCCATGGGCAGTCAGGACCCAGAAGTGCAAGCAGGCAAACAAGAAATGAGGAACAATCAGGAGACGGCTCCAGGCACTCAGGGTCACGTCACCATGAACCTTCCACTCGGGCCGGCAGCTCTAGACACTCACAGGTGGGCCAGGGAGAATCAGCGGGGTCCAAGACAAGCAGGCGCCAGGGATCCAGTGTTAGTCAGGACAGGGACAGTGAGGGACACTCAGAAGACTCTGAGAGGCGGTCTGAGTCGGCTTCCAGAAACCATTATGGATCTGCTCGGGAGCAGTCAAGACATGGCTCCAGGAACCCCAGGTCCCATCAAGAAGATAGAGCCAGTCATGGGCACTCTGCAGAGAGCTCCAGACAATCAGGCACTCGTCATGCAGAGACTTCCTCTGGTGGACAGGCTGCATCATCCCAGGAACAGGCAAGGTCAAGTCCAGGAGAAAGACATGGATCCCGCCACCAGCAGTCAGCAGACAGCTCCACAGACTCAGGCACTGGGCGCAGACAAGATTCATCTGTAGTCGGAGACAGTGGAAACCGAGGGTCCAGTGGTAGCCAGGCCAGTGACAGCGAGGGACACTCAGAAGAGTCAGACACACAGTCAGTGTCAGCCCACGGACAGGCTGGGCCCCATCAGCAGAGCCACCAAGAGTCCACACGTGGCCAGTCAGGGGAAAGGTCTGGACGTTCAGGGTCTTTCCTCTACCAGGTGAGCACTCATGAACAGTCTGAGTCCGCCCATGGACGCACAGGGCCCAGCACTGGAGGAAGACAAAGATCCCGCCACGAGCAGGCACGAGACAGCTCCAGGCACTCAGCGTCCCAAGAGGGTCAGGACACCATTCGTGGACACCCAGGGTCAAGCAGAGGAGGAAGGCAGGGATCCCACTATGAGCAATCGGTAGATAGTTCTGGACACTCAGGGTCTCATCACAGCCACACCACGTCCCAGGAAAGGTCTGATGTCTCCCGTGGGCAGTCAGGATCCAGAAGTGTCAGCAGACAAACACGTAATGAGAAACAATCAGGAGACGGCTCCAGGCACTCAGGGTCGCGTCACCATGAAGCTTCCTCTCGGGCCGACAGCTCTAGACACTCGCAGGTGGGCCAGGGACAATCATCAGGGCCCAGGACAAGCAGGAACCAGGGATCCAGTGTTAGCCAGGACAGTGACAGTCAGGGACACTCAGAAGACTCTGAGAGGTGGTCTGGGTCTGCTTCCAGAAACCATCTTGGATCTGCTTGGGAGCAGTCAAGAGATGGCTCCAGACACCCTGGGTCCCATCACGAAGACAGAGCCGGTCACGGGCACTCTGCAGACAGCTCCAGACAATCAGGCACTCGTCACACAGAGTCTTCCTCTCGTGGACAGGCTGCGTCATCCCATGAACAGGCAAGATCAAGTGCAGGAGAAAGACATGGATCCCACCACCAGCTCCAGTCAGCAGACAGCTCCAGACACTCAGGCATTGGGCATGGACAAGCTTCATCTGCAGTCAGAGACAGTGGACACCGAGGGTACAGTGGTAGTCAGGCCAGTGACAGTGAGGGACATTCAGAAGACTCAGACACACAGTCAGTGTCAGCACAGGGAAAAGCTGGGCCCCATCAGCAGAGCCACAAAGAGTCCGCACGTGGCCAGTCAGGGGAAAGCTCTGGACGTTCAGGGTCTTTCCTCTACCAGGTGAGCACTCATGAACAGTCTGAGTCCACCCATGGACAGTCTGCGCCCAGCACTGGAGGAAGACAAGGATCCCATTATGATCAGGCACAAGACAGCTCCAGGCACTCAGCATCCCAAGAGGGTCAGGACACCATTCGTGGACACCCGGGGCCAAGCAGAGGAGGAAGACAGGGGTCCCACCAAGAGCAATCGGTAGATAGGTCTGGACACTCAGGGTCTCATCACAGCCACACCACATCCCAGGGAAGGTCTGATGCCTCCCGTGGGCAGTCAGGATCCAGAAGTGCAAGCAGAAAAACATATGACAAGGAACAATCAGGAGATGGCTCTAGGCACTCAGGGTCGCATCATCATGAAGCTTCCTCTTGGGCCGACAGCTCTAGACACTCACTGGTGGGCCAGGGACAATCATCAGGGCCCAGGACAAGCAGGCCCCGGGGATCCAGTGTTAGCCAGGACAGTGACAGTGAGGGACACTCAGAAGATTCTGAGAGGCGGTCTGGGTCTGCGTCCAGAAACCATCATGGATCTGCTCAGGAGCAGTCAAGAGATGGCTCCAGACACCCCAGGTCCCATCACGAAGACAGAGCCGGTCATGGGCACTCTGCAGAGAGCTCCAGACAATCAGGCACTCATCATGCAGAGAATTCCTCTGGTGGACAGGCTGCATCATCCCATGAACAGGCAAGATCAAGTGCAGGAGAGAGACACGGATCCCACCACCAGCAGTCAGCAGACAGCTCCAGACACTCAGGCATTGGGCACGGACAAGCTTCATCTGCAGTCAGAGACAGTGGACACCGAGGGTCCAGTGGTAGTCAGGCCAGTGACAGTGAGGGACATTCAGAAGACTCAGACACACAGTCAGTGTCAGCCCACGGACAGGCTGGGCCCCATCAGCAGAGCCACCAAGAGTCCACACGTGGCCGGTCAGCAGGAAGGTCTGGACGTTCAGGGTCTTTCCTCTACCAGGTGAGCACTCATGAACAGTCTGAGTCCGCCCATGGACGGACCGGGACCAGCACTGGAGGAAGACAAGGATCCCACCACAAGCAGGCACGAGACAGCTCCAGGCACTCAACGTCCCAAGAGGGTCAGGACACCATTCATGGACACCCGGGGTCAAGCAGTGGAGGAAGGCAGGGATCCCACTACGAGCAATTGGTAGATAGATCTGGACACTCAGGGTCTCATCACAGCCACACCACATCCCAGGGAAGGTCTGATGCCTCCCATGGGCACTCAGGATCCAGAAGTGCAAGCAGACAAACTCGTAACGATGAACAATCAGGAGACGGCTCCAGGCACTCAGGGTCGCGTCACCATGAAGCTTCCTCTCGGGCCGACAGCTCTGGACACTCGCAGGTGGGCCAGGGACAATCAGAGGGGCCCAGGACAAGCAGGAACTGGGGATCCAGTTTTAGCCAGGACAGTGACAGTCAGGGACACTCAGAAGACTCTGAGAGGTGGTCTGGGTCTGCTTCCAGAAACCATCATGGATCTGCTCAGGAGCAGCTAAGAGATGGCTCCAGACACCCCAGGTCCCATCAAGAAGACAGAGCTGGTCATGGGCACTCTGCAGACAGCTCCAGACAATCAGGCACTCGTCACACACAGACTTCCTCTGGTGGACAGGCTGCATCATCCCATGAACAGGCAAGATCAAGTGCAGGAGAAAGACATGGATCCCACCACCAGCAGTCAGCAGACAGCTCCAGACACTCAGGCATTGGGCACGGACAAGCTTCATCTGCAGTCAGAGACAGTGGACACCGAGGGTACAGTGGTAGTCAGGCCAGTGACAATGAGGGACATTCAGAAGACTCAGACACACAGTCAGTGTCAGCCCACGGACAGGCTGGGTCCCATCAGCAGAGCCACCAAGAGTCCGCACGTGGCCGGTCAGGGGAAACGTCTGGACATTCAGGATCTTTCCTCTACCAGGTGAGCACTCATGAACAGTCTGAGTCCTCCCATGGATGGACGGGGCCCAGCACTAGAGGAAGACAAGGATCCCGCCATGAGCAGGCACAAGACAGCTCCAGGCACTCAGCATCCCAAGACGGTCAGGACACCATTCGTGGACAC
This sequence comes from Homo sapiens, assembly GCF_000001405.40. Classification (NCBI taxonomy): domain Eukaryota; kingdom Metazoa; phylum Chordata; class Mammalia; order Primates; family Hominidae; genus Homo; species Homo sapiens. The sequence goes on along the minus strand of NC_000001.11, from coordinate 152,306,518 downwards.
CCGGGGTCAAGCAGAGGAGGAAGGCAGGGGTACCACCACGAGCATTCGGTAGATAGCTCTGGACACTCAGGGTCCCATCACAGCCACACCACATCCCAGGGAAGGTCTGATGCCTCCCGTGGGCAGTCAGGATCCAGAAGTGCAAGCAGAACAACACGTAATGAGGAACAATCAGGAGACGGCTCCAGGCACTCAGGGTCGCGTCACCATGAAGCTTCCACTCATGCCGACATCTCTAGACACTCACAGGCAGTCCAGGGACAATCAGAGGGGTCCAGGAGAAGCAGGCGCCAGGGATCCAGTGTGAGCCAGGACAGTGACAGTGAGGGACATTCAGAAGACTCTGAGAGGTGGTCTGGGTCTGCTTCCAGAAACCATCATGGATCTGCTCAGGAGCAGCTAAGAGATGGCTCCAGACACCCCAGGTCCCATCAAGAAGACAGAGCTGGTCATGGGCACTCTGCAGACAGCTCCAGACAATCAGGCACTCGTCACACACAGACTTCCTCTGGTGGACAGGCTGCATCATCCCATGAACAGGCAAGATCAAGTGCAGGAGAAAGACATGGATCCCACCACCAGCAGTCAGCAGACAGCTCCAGACACTCAGGCATTGGGCACGGACAAGCTTCATCTGCAGTCAGAGACAGTGGACACCGAGGGTACAGTGGTAGTCAGGCCAGTGACAATGAGGGACATTCAGAAGACTCAGACACACAGTCAGTGTCAGCCCACGGACAGGCTGGGTCCCATCAGCAGAGCCACCAAGAGTCCGCACGTGGCCGGTCAGGGGAAACGTCTGGACATTCAGGATCTTTCCTCTACCAGGTGAGCACTCATGAACAGTCTGAGTCCTCCCATGGATGGACGGGGCCCAGCACTAGAGGAAGACAAGGATCCCGCCATGAGCAGGCACAAGACAGCTCCAGGCACTCAGCATCCCAATACGGTCAGGACACCATTCGTGGACACCCGGGGTCAAGCAGAGGAGGAAGGCAGGGGTACCACCACGAGCATTCGGTAGATAGCTCTGGACACTCAGGGTCCCATCACAGCCACACCACATCCCAGGGAAGGTCTGATGCCTCCCGTGGGCAGTCAGGATCCAGAAGTGCAAGCAGAACAACACGTAATGAGGAACAATCAGGAGACAGCTCCAGGCACTCAGTGTCACGTCACCATGAAGCTTCCACTCATGCCGACATCTCTAGACACTCACAGGCAGTCCAGGGACAATCAGAGGGGTCCAGGAGAAGCAGGCGCCAGGGATCCAGTGTGAGCCAGGACAGTGACAGTGAGGGACATTCAGAAGACTCTGAGAGGTGGTCTGGGTCTGCTTCCAGAAACCATCGTGGATCTGTTCAGGAGCAGTCAAGGCACGGCTCCAGACACCCCAGGTCCCATCACGAAGACAGAGCCGGTCACGGGCACTCTGCAGACCGCTCCAGACAATCAGGCACTCGTCACGCAGAGACTTCCTCTGGTGGACAGGCTGCATCATCCCATGAACAGGCAAGATCAAGTCCAGGAGAGAGACACGGATCCCGCCACCAGCAGTCAGCAGACAGCTCCAGACACTCAGGCATTCCGCGTGGACAAGCTTCATCTGCAGTCAGAGACAGTAGACACTGGGGGTCCAGTGGTAGTCAGGCCAGTGATAGTGAGGGACATTCAGAAGAGTCAGACACACAGTCAGTGTCAGGCCATGGACAGGCTGGGCCCCATCAGCAGAGCCACCAAGAGTCCGCACGTGACCGGTCAGGGGGAAGGTCTGGACGTTCAGGGTCTTTCCTCTACCAGGTGAGCACTCATGAACAGTCTGAGTCTGCCCATGGGCGGACCAGGACCAGCACTGGACGAAGACAAGGATCCCACCACGAGCAGGCACGAGACAGCTCCAGGCACTCAGCGTCCCAAGAGGGTCAGGACACCATTCGTGGACACCCGGGGTCAAGCAGAAGAGGAAGGCAGGGATCCCACTACGAGCAATCGGTAGATAGGTCTGGACACTCAGGGTCCCATCACAGCCACACCACATCCCAGGGAAGGTCTGATGCCTCCCGTGGGCAGTCAGGATCCAGAAGTGCCAGCAGACAAACTCGTAATGACGAACAATCAGGAGATGGCTCCAGGCACTCATGGTCGCATCACCATGAAGCTTCCACTCAGGCGGACAGCTCTAGACACTCACAGTCCGGCCAGGGACAATCAGCGGGGCCCAGGACAAGCAGGAACCAGGGATCCAGTGTTAGCCAGGACAGTGACAGTCAGGGACACTCAGAAGACTCTGAGAGGTGGTCTGGGTCTGCTTCCAGAAACCATCGTGGATCTGCTCAGGAGCAGTCAAGAGATGGCTCCAGACACCCCACGTCCCATCACGAAGACAGAGCCGGTCACGGGCACTCTGCAGAGAGCTCCAGACAATCAGGCACTCATCATGCAGAGAATTCCTCTGGTGGACAGGCTGCATCATCCCATGAACAGGCAAGATCAAGTGCAGGAGAGAGACATGGATCCCACCACCAGCAGTCAGCAGACAGCTCCAGACACTCAGGCATTGGGCACGGACAAGCTTCATCTGCAGTCAGAGACAGTGGACACCGAGGGTCCAGTGGTAGTCAGGCCAGTGACAGTGAGGGACATTCAGAAGACTCAGACACACAGTCAGTGTCAGCCCACGGACAGGCTGGGCCCCATCAGCAGAGCCACCAAGAGTCCACACGTGGCCGGTCAGCAGGAAGGTCTGGACGTTCAGGGTCTTTCCTCTACCAGGTGAGCACTCATGAACAGTCTGAGTCTGCCCATGGACGGGCTGGGCCCAGTACTGGAGGAAGACAAGGATCCCGCCACGAGCAGGCACGAGACAGCTCCAGGCACTCAGCGTCCCAAGAGGGTCAGGACACCATTCGTGGACACCCGGGGTCAAGGAGAGGAGGAAGACAGGGATCCTACCACGAGCAATCGGTAGATAGGTCTGGACACTCAGGGTCCCATCACAGCCACACCACATCCCAGGGAAGGTCTGATGCCTCCCATGGGCAGTCAGGATCCAGAAGTGCAAGCAGAGAAACACGTAATGAGGAACAGTCAGGAGACGGCTCCAGGCACTCAGGGTCGCGTCACCATGAAGCTTCCACTCAGGCTGACAGCTCTAGACACTCACAGTCCGGCCAGGGTGAATCAGCGGGGTCCAGGAGAAGCAGGCGCCAGGGATCCAGTGTTAGCCAGGACAGTGACAGTGAGGCATACCCAGAGGACTCTGAGAGGCGATCTGAGTCTGCTTCCAGAAACCATCATGGATCTTCTCGGGAGCAGTCAAGAGATGGCTCCAGACACCCCGGATCCTCTCACCGCGATACAGCCAGTCATGTACAGTCTTCACCTGTACAGTCAGACTCTAGTACCGCTAAGGAACATGGTCACTTTAGTAGTCTTTCACAAGATTCTGCGTATCACTCAGGAATACAGTCACGTGGCAGTCCTCACAGTTCTAGTTCTTATCATTATCAATCTGAGGGCACTGAAAGGCAAAAAGGTCAATCAGGTTTAGTTTGGAGACATGGCAGCTATGGTAGTGCAGATTATGATTATGGTGAATCCGGGTTTAGACACTCTCAGCACGGAAGTGTTAGTTACAATTCCAATCCTGTTGTTTTCAAGGAAAGATCTGATATCTGTAAAGCAAGTGCGTTTGGTAAAGATCATCCAAGGTATTATGCAACGTATATTAATAAGGACCCAGGTTTATGTGGCCATTCTAGTGATATATCGAAACAACTGGGATTTAGTCAGTCACAGAGATACTATTACTATGAGTAAGAAATTAATGGCAAAGGAATTAATCCAAGAATAGAAGAATGAAGCAAGTTCACTTTCAATCAAGAAACTTCATAATACTTTCAGGGAAGTTATCTTTTCCTGTCAATCTGTTTAAAATATGCTATAGTATTTCATTAGTTTGGTGGTAGCTTATTTTTATTGTGTAATGATCTTTAAACGCTATATTTCAGAAATATTAAATGGAAGAAATCAATATCATGGAGAGCTAACTTTAGAAAACTAGCTGGAGTATTTTAGGAGATTCTGGGTCAAGTAATGTTTTATGTTTTTGAAAGTTTAAGTTTTAGACACTCCCCAAATTTCTAAATTAATCTTTTTCAGAAATATCGAAGGAGCCAAAAATATAAAACAGTTCTGTATACCAAAGTGGCTATATCAACATCAGGGCTAGCACATCTTTCTCTATTATCCTTCTATTGGAATTCTAGTATTCTGTATTCAAAAAATCATCTTGGACATAATTAATATTATAGTAAGCTGCATCTAAATTAAAAATAAACTATTCATCATATAATACTGTTTGTCTCTTGTATTCTTATTTGTCATAAACACAAATTACATACTTCCCCATGGCCAGAATTAGATGTCTTCTATATCATTGGAAAGCTATATGACCATAAAGCAGATACATTACATTCAAAATAACAAGTAATTAATAATGAAAGACAAAATTTAATCAAGGCCTATATTTTTCTCCAACATAATCACTGTCCCACAATCACATGCAGGAAAAAAAAAAACATGCTCTGCTCAATCATGAATATCACTATTATTAATATGGAATTATCAACTTAGGTGGTGATTAAGCCATGTCAAAGGCAGATCACGAAACAGGAATTACTGACCATAGATCCTTCTTCCAAAGACACTAGGAGATGCTTTGCAATGTAGACTAGTTGGAGCAGAGAAGTTGTGCTGATATATCCTGAAAAAGGGAAAAGAATTAAAAAGAAGTGTCCTCCTGACCTGGAAGGAAAATATTTGTATCTTTGTAATTTAAGCAAGTAGATGAAAATGCTGAAAAAAGAATAGTAAAAATATGAATGAAGTTCTACCAGTAGAAGGAATATGCTTCTGTAAGAATCCTACCCAAATTTTCATTCCCATAATATCAGACTAGAAGTGATATGTAGGTCAGCGATCACATTTTGCAGATGAGTCTATTACACAAATAATCCACACCAAAGTAGCACTTAGATCTCAAGTCTCCAAATCTGCTTTTAGTGGTTTTATAAAAGCACTTCCAAAAAGCTGCCTTTATTGAACTTACACTTGAGTAAACCAAGATAAAGTGACACTGATTGTCAAAGTTACAATAATACCCAATAGGTGCAGGGACTGAATGAAAAGCAACAAACAAGCTCGTTTTTCTAATTAGCCTCAAACAATAGTCTATATGTGTTCTCCACAAGCCACTTGAAGATGGCATTTCCTTCCCACCAGTGTCATCCCTCCCTGCTTGAAGTGTTGTCCCCAAATGCCCCTACAAAGCTGCAAACTCCATAAGATATCATACCTTCAGACCTCATTGAACTTCCACAGACATACCTAGAGAGGATGCCTTTGTCCATTTCTCTGATACACTTTGCTACCTTGCCCCCAGTCTCACAACCAGCTTATGTGGCTACCTCCTGTAGCTCCTGTCTAAAGAAGCCAGGCATAACTAACTGGCTAAGAAAACAATATATAATGAGGAAACAGTGCAGACCTAGTCTAACTATGGGAGAGGTACTGACAGAAGGACAGACAGACCTTAAAGTAGTTTTAGCCAGACGTTTAGAGAGCTAAATTCTCAAGTTTTCTGAAGAACCCATAAACAACTGGAACTGTTTTCTTTCATATCCCTGCCCACTCAAGGATAAAATTACCAGATGCTCCTTTTTGTTGAGAGAAAATCAGTTTACCCAAAAAGATGCTAACAAGATTCACTTGGAACATCAATTTTTCTCTGTCCTCTCTCCTTCCTTTATAAAATTTGTTTTTTACATTTTTCCTTAACTTGTTCGACCAATTCTCTCACATATAAGTCAACAATTTTCCTGCAAGATAACTACAGGTTTCTAAGTTTTTCTTTGGGACAATCGTTTTTAAAATTTTTGTGGGTACATAGTAGGTATACATATATTTATGGGATACATGAGATATTTTGATACAGACATACAGTGTATGATAATCATATCAAAATAAATGAGGTATCCATCACCTCAAGCATTCATCATTTGTGTTACATGCAATCCAATTATACTATTTTACTTATTTTTCAATGTACAATAAATTACTGTCGACTGCAGTTGCCCTGTTGTGCTATCAAATACTAAATCTTATTCACTCTATTTAACTATATTTTTGTACCCATTAACCATCTCCACTTACCCCCTACCTTTCATTACCCTTCCCAGCCTCTGGTAACCATCATTCTACTTTCTATCTCCTTGAGTTCAATTGTTTTAATTTTTAGATCTCACAAATGAATGAGAACACGTGAAGATTATCTTTCTCTGCCTCACTTACTTTACTTAATATGATGTCCTCCAGTTCCATCCATGTTGTTGCAAATTACAGGATCTCATTCTTTTCTATCACTCCATTGTGTGTAGGTACACTTTCTTTATCCATTCATCTCTTAATGGACACTTAGATTGCTTCCAAATTTGGCTATTGTGAATACTGCTGCAATAAACATTGGAGTGCAGATATCTCTTCATTATAACGACTTACTTTCTTTTGGGTATGTACCTAGCAGTGGGATTACTGGATCATATAGTAGCTCTATTTTTAGTTTTTTGAGAAACTTTCATGCTGCTCTCCACAGTAGTTGTAATTTACATTCCCACCAAAAGTGTACTACTGTTCCCTTTTCTCTACATCCTTGCCTTTTTTTGTTATTTCCTGCTTTTGGATAAAAGCTATTTTAACTCAGTGAGATGATATCTCATTACATTTTTGATTTGCCTTTCTAAGATGATCAATGATAGTAAGCACATTTTCATATACTTGTTTGCCATGTGTATGTCTTCTTTTGACAAATGCCTGTTCAGATATCTTGCCCTTACACACCCACCAACAGTGTACTACTGTTCCCTTTTCTCTACATCCTTGCCTTTTGTTACTTCCAGCTTCTGGATAAAAGTTATTTTAAGTTAGATGATATCTTATCATATTTTTTATTTGGATTTGATTTGCATCTGATGATCAATGATGGTAAGCACCTTTTCATATATCTGTTTGCCATTTGTATGTCTTCTTTTGAGAAACTCCTGTTCAGATCTTTTGCTCATATTTAAATTGGATTATTAGATTGTTTTTCGTATTAAGTTGTCTAAGCTATTTACTTATTCTAGTTATTAATGCCTTATCAGATGGAGAGTACAAATATTTTCTTCCATTCTGTGGTTTGCCTCTTAACTTTGTTGATTGTTTCCTTTGTGCTGCAGAAGCTTTTTACTTGATGTGATCCCATTTATCCACTTTTGCTTCAGTTGCTTGTGCTTAGGGTATTACTTAAGAAATCTTTGCCCAGAAATCTTTCTTTTTTTTCTTTATTTATAATACTTCAAGTTTTAGGGTACATGTGCACAACGTGCAGTTTTGTTACATATGTATACATGTGCCATGTTGGTGTGCTGCACCCATTAACTCATCATTTACATTAGGTGTATCTCCTAATGTTATTGCTCCCCCTTACCACCACCCCACAAGAAGCCCCAGTGTGTGATGTTCCCCTTCCTGTGTCCAAGCATTCTCATTGTTCAATTCCCACCTATGAGTGAGAACATGTGGTGTTTGGTTTTTTGTTCTTGTGATAGTTTGCTCAGAATGATGGTTTCCAGCTTCATCCATGTCCCTAAAAAGGATATGAACTCATCGTTTTTAATGGCTGCATAGTATTCCATGGTGTATATGTGCCACATTTTCTTAATCCAGTCTATCATTGTTGGACATTTGGGTTGGCTGCAAGTCTTTGCTATTGTGAATAGTGCCGCAATAAATATACGTGTGCATGTGTCTTTATAGCAGCATGATTTATAATCCTTTGGGTATATACCCAGTAATGCGATGGCTGGGTCAAATGGTATTTCTAGTTCTAGATTGCTGAGGAATTGCCACACGGTCTTCCACAATCGCTGAACTAGTTTACAGTCCCACCAACAGTGTAAAAGTGTTCCTATTACTCCACATCCTCTCCAGCACCTGTTGTTTCCTGACTTTTTAATGATCGCCATTCTAACTGGTGTGAGATGGTATCTCATTGTGGTTTTGATTTGCATTTCTCTCATGGTCAGTGATGATGAGCATTTTTTCATGTGTCTTTTGGCTGCATAAATGTCTTCTTTTGAGAAGTGTCTGTTCATATCCTTCACCCACTTGTTGATGGGGTTGTTTGTTTTTTCTTGTAAATTTGTTTGAGTTCTTTGTAGATTCTGGATATTAGACCTTTGTCAGATGAGTAGGTTGAAAAAAAATTCTCCATTCTGTAGGTTGGCTGTTCACTCTGATGGTGGTTCCTTTTGCTGTGCAGAAGCTCTTTAGTTTAATTAGATCCCATTTGTCAATTTTGGCTTTTCTTGCCATTGTTATTGGTGTTTTAGACATGAAGTCCTTGCCCATGCCTATGTCCTGAATGGTATTGCCTAGGTTTCCTCTAGGGTTTTTATAGTTTTAGGTCTAACATGTAAGTCTTTAATCCATCTTGAATTAATTTTTGTATAAGGTGTAAGGAAAGGATCCGGTTTCACCTTTCTACATATCGCTAGCCAGTTTTCCCAGCACCATTTATTAAATAGGCAATCCTTTCCCCATTGCTTGTTTTTGTCACGTTTGTCAATGATCAGATGGTTGTAGATGTGTGGTATTATTTCTGAGGGATCTGTCCTGTTCCATTGGTCTATATCTCTGATTGGGTAACAGCATCATGCTGTTTTGGTTACTGTAGCCTTGTAGTATAGTTTGAAGTCAGGTAGCGTAATGCCTCCAGCTTTGTTCTTTTGGCTTAGGATTGCTTGGCGATGTGGGCTTCTTTTTGGTTCCATATGAACGTTAAAGTAGTTTTTTCTAATTCTGTGAAGAAAGTCATTGGTAGGTTGATGGGGATGGCATTGAATCTATAAATTACCTTGGGCAGTATGGCCATTTTCACGATATTCATTCTTCCTACCCATGAGCATGGAATGTTCTTCCATTTCTTTGTATCCTGTTTCATTTCACTGAGCAGTGGTTTGTAGTTCTCCTTGAAGAGGTCCTTCACATCCCTTGTAAGTTGGATTCCTAGGTATTTTATTCTCTTTGAAACAACTGTGAATGGGAGTTCACTCATGATTTGGCTCTCTGTTTATCTGTTATTGGTGTATAAGGGTGCTTGTGATTTTTGCACATTGCTTTTGTATCCTGAGAATTTACTGAAGCAGCTTTTCAGCTTAAGGATATTTTTGGCTGAGACGATGGGGTTTTCTAGATATACAATCATGTCATTTACAAACAGGGACAATTCGACTTCCTCTTTTCCTACTTGAACACGTTTATTTCTTTCTCCTGACTGATTGCCCTGGCCAGAACTTCCAACACTATGTTGAATAGGAGTGGTGAGACAGGGCATCCCTCTCTTGTGCCAGTTTTCAAAGAGAATGCTTCCAGTTTTTGTCCATTCAGTATGATATTGGCTGTGGGTTTCTCATAGATAGCTCTTATTATTGTGATCAAGTGGGCTTCATCCCTGGGATGCAAGGCTGGTTCAACATACGAAAATCAATAAACGTAATCCAGCATATAAACAGAACCAAAGACAAAAACCACATGATTATCTCAATAGATGTAGACAAGGCCTTTGACAAAATTCAACAACCCTTCATGCTAAAAACTCTCAATAAATTAGGTATTGATGGGACATATCTCAAAATAATAAGAGCTATCTGTGACAAACCCACAGCCAATATCATACTGAATGGACAAAAACTGGAAGCATTCTCTTTGAAAACTGGCACAAGACAGGGATGCCCTCTCGCACCACTCCTATTCAACATAGTGTTGGAAGTTCTGGCCAGAGCAATAAGGCAGGAGAAGGAAATAAAGGGCATTCAGTTCGGAAAAGAGAAAGGCAAATTGTCCCTGTTTGCAGATGATATGATTATATATCTAGAAAACCTGATCATCTCAGCCCAAAATCTCCTTAAGCTGATAAGCAACTTCAGCAAAGTCTCAGGATACAAAATCAATGTGCAAAAATCACAAGCGTTCTTATACACCAATAACAGATAAACAGAGGGCCAAATCATGAGTCAAACCCCATTCACAATTGCTTCAAAGAGAATAAAATACCTAGGAATCCAACTTACAAGGGATGTGAAGGACCTCTTCAAGGAAAACTACAAACCACTGCTCAATGTAATAAAAGAGGATACAAACAAATGGAAGAACATTCCATGTTCATGGGTAGGAAGAATGAATATCGTGAAAATGGCCATACTGCCCAAGGTAATTTACAGATTCAATGCGATCCCCATCAAGCTACCAATGACGTTCTTCACAGAATTGGAAAAAACTACTATAAAGTCCATATGGAACCAAAAAAGAGCCCACATCGCCAAGTCAATCCTAAGCCAAAAGAACAAAGCTGGAGGCACCATGCTACCTGACTTCAAACTATACTACAAGGCTACAGCAACCAAAACAGCATGGTACTGGTACCAAAACAGAGATATAGACCAACGGAACAGAACAGAGCCCTCAGAAATAATACCACACATCTACAACCATCTGATCTTTGACAAACATGACAAAAACAAGCAATGGGGAAAGGATTCCCTATTTAATAAATGGTGCTGGGAAAAATGGCTAGTCATATGTAGAAAGCTGAAACCGGATCCCTTCCTTACACCTTATACAAAAATTAATTCAAGATGGATTAAAGACTTACATGTTAGACCTAAAACCATAAAAACCCTAGAAGAAAACCTAGGCAATACCATTCAGGACATAGGCATGGGCGAGGACTTCATGTCTAAAACAGCAAAAGCAATGGCAACAAAAGCCAAAATTGACAAATGGGATCTAATTAAACTAAAGAGCTTCTGCACAGCAAAAGAAACCACCATCAGAGTGAACAGGCAACCTACAGAATGGAGAAAGTTTTTTCAACCTACTCATCTGACAAAGGGCTAATATCCAGCATCTACAAAGAACTAAAACAAATTTACAAGGAAAAAACGAACAACCCCATCAACAAGTGGGTGAAGGATATGAACAGACACTTCTCAAAAGAAGACATTTATGCAGCCAAAAAACACATGAAAAAATGCTCATCATCACTGGCCATCAGAGAAATGCAAATCAAAACCACAATGAGATACCATCTCACACCAGTTAGAATGGCGATCATTAAAAAGTCAGGAAACAACAGGTGCTGGAGAGGATGTAGAGAAATAGGACCACTTTTACACCGTTGGTGGGACCGTAAACTAGTTCAACCCTTGTGGAAGTCAGTGTGGCGATTCCTCAGGGATCTAGAACTAGAAATACCATTTGACCCAGCCATCGCATTACTGGGTATATACCCAAAGGATTATAAATCATGCTTCTATAAAGACACATGCACATTTATGTTTATTGTAGCACTATTCACAATAGCAAAGACTTGGAACCAACCCAAATGTCCATCAATGATAGACTGGATTAAGAGAATGTGGCATATATACACCATGGAATACTATGCAGCCCTAAGAAATGATGAGTTCATGTCCTTTGTAGGGACATAGATGAAGCTGGAAACCATCATTGTCAGCAAAGTATCTCATGGACAAAAAACCAAACACCGCATGTTCTCACTCATAGGTGGGAATTCAACAATGAGAACAGATGGACACAGGAAGGGGAACATCACACACCGGGGACGGTTGTGGAGTGGGGCGAGGGGGGAGGGACAGCATTAGGAGATATACCTAATGCTAAATAATGAGTTAATGGGTGCACCACACCAACATGGCACATGTATACATATGTAACAAACCTACCCATTGTGCACATGTACCCTAAAACTTAAAGTGTGACAATAATTTAAAAAACGCAGTCCAAACTTTGTTTCATGCACAAAATTTTTTAAAATATTATATAAAATTACCTTCAAGGTATGCATATAATGTATATATGCAACATACATGAATTCCATGTTAGACTTGGGTCTTATCCCCAGGATATCTCATGTATATGCAAATGTTTTAAAATCCAAAATTATCCAAAATCTGAAACACTTTTGGTCCCAAGCATTTTGGATAAGGGATACTCAGTGTGTAAAAGGCAAGTGAAGCATATAGTGAGGACTTAATGTTTCTTTAACAAATAAACCATGTCCTCCAAGTCTTATATTCCTCACAACAGATACTGGGCTAAGAATACAGGATGTGTTTAATTTAAGGGCCAAAAATGTTTTGTTTTATTGATACAATCTCTTTATTTTCTTTGAATAAAATAAAAATATTAAAAAATATATATTTATATAAAGTATATATATTTTATATAAAATGTAAATATTTATACTTTACATGAACTATATATATTTATATATTTATACTTTACATAAACTATATATATTTATACTTTAAGTTCTGGGATGTGTAGAACCTGCAGGTTTGTTACACAGGTATCAGTCTGTGTCTATTAACCTGGGCAATTAGCCCATTTACATTTAAGGTTAATATTGTTATGTGTGAATTTGATCCTGTCATCATGATGCTAGCTAGTTATTTTGCACATTAGTTGATGCAGTTACTTCATAGTGTCGTTGGTCTTTATATTTTGGTACGTTTTTGCAGTAGCTGGAACCAATTTTTCCTTTCCATATTTCCATATTCCCATTGTCTTTCCTTCAGGAGCTCTTCTAAGGCAGGCCTGGTGTTGACAAAATCGCTCAACATTTGCTTCTCAGTAAAGGATTTTATTTCTCCTTCCCGTATGAAGCTTAGATTGGCTGGATATGAAATTCTGGGTTGAAAATTCTTTCCTTTAAGAATGTGGAATATTGGCCCCCTCTCTCTTCTGGCTTCTGGGTTTCTGAGGAGAGATCCACTATTAGTCTGATGGGCTTCCCTTTGTAGGTAACCTGACCCTTCTCTCTGGCTGCCCTTAACATTTTTTTCTTTATTTCAACCTTGGTGAATCTGATGATTATGTGTCTTGGGGTTGCTCTTCTTGAGGAGAATCTTAGTGGTGTTCTCTGTATTTCCTGAATTTGAATGTTGGCCTGTCTTGCTAGGTTGGGGAAGTTCTCCTGGATCATATCCTGAAGTGTGCTTTCCAACTTGGTTCCGTTCTCCCCATCACTTTCAGGTACACCAATCAATCATAGGTTTGGTCTTTTCACATAGTCCCATGTCTCTTGGGGGTTTTGTTCATTCCTTTTCATTCTTTTTTCTCTAATCTTGTCTTCATGCTTTATTTCATTCAGTTTATCTTCAATTTCTGATATCCTTCCTTCTGCTTGATCAATTTGGCTATTGATACTTGTGTATGCTTCACAAAGTTCTCAAGCTGTGTTTTTCAGCTCCGTTAGGTCAATTATGTTGTTCTCTAAACTAGTTATTCTAGTTAGCAGTTCCTGTAACCTTTGTCAAGGTTCTTAGCTTCCTTGCATTGGGTTAGAACATGCTCCTTTAGCTCGGAGGAGTTTGTTATTACCCACCTTCTGAAGCCTACTTCTGTCAATTCGTCAAACTCATTCTGTGTCCAGTTTTGTGTCCTTGCTGGCAAGGAGTTGTGATCCTTTGGAGGAGAAAAGGCATTCTGGTTTTAGGAATTTTCAGCATTTTTGAGCTGATTTTTCCTCATCTTCATGGATTTATCTACCTTTGATCTTTGATGTTGAAGACCTTTGGATGGGGTTTTTGCACGGGCGTCCTTTTTGTTGACGTTAATGTTATTGCTTTCTGTTTGTTAGTTTTCCTTCTAACAGTCAAGCCCCTCTTCTGCAGGTCTGTTAGAGATTGCTGGAGGTCCACTACAGACACTGTTTGCCTGGATATCCCCAGCAGAGGCTACAGAACAGCAAAGATTCCTGCCTGCCCCTTCCTCTTGAAGGTTTGTTCCAGAGGGACACCTGCCAGATGCCAGCCAGAGCTCTCCTGTATGAGATATGTGTTGATCCCTGCTGGGAGGTGTCTCCAGTCAGGAGGCATGAGGGTCAGGGAACTACTTGAGGAGGCAGTCTGTCCCTTAGCAGAGCTCAAGTCCTATGCTGGGAGATCTGCTGCTCTCTTCAGAGCCAGCAGGCAGCAATGTTTAAGTCTGCTGAAGCTGCGCCCACAGCCGCCCCTTCACCCAGGTGCTCTGTCTCAGGGAGAAGGGAGTTTTATCTATAAGCCCCTGACTGGGTCTGCTGCCTTTCTTTCAGATATGCCCTGCCCAGTGAGGAGGAATGTAGAGAGGCAGTCTGGCCACAGCGGCTTTGCCATGCTGCAGTTAGTCTTGCCCAGTCCGAAATTCCTGGCAGCTTTGTTTATACTGTGAGGGGAAAACCACCTATTCAAGCCTCAGTAATGGCAGGTGCCCTTCCCCCAATGAAGTCGTATCATCCAAGGTCGACTTCAGACTGCTGTGCTGACAGCGAGAATTTCAAGCGAGTGGATCTTAGCTTGCTGGGCTCCATAGGGGTGCCACCAGTTGAGCAAGACCACTTGGCTCCCTGGCTTCAGTCCCCTTTCCAGGGGAGTGAACAGTTCTGTCTTGCTGGGGTTCCAGGTACCACTGGGGTATGGAAAAAAAATCTCCTGCAGCTAGCTCAGTGTCTGCCCAAACAGCCACCCAGTTTTGTGCTTGAAACCCAGGGCCCTAGCTGTACAGGCACCCGAGGGAATCTCCTGGTCTGTGGGATGTAGAAACTATGGGAAAAGTGTAGTATCTGGGCCACAGAGCACAGTCCCTCATGACTTCCCTTGGCTAGGGGAGGAAGTTCTCCAGCCCCTTGTGCTTCCTGGGTGAGGCAATGCCTCCTGCTCCCCCTCCATGGGCTGTACCCACTGTCTAACCAATCCCAATGAGAGGAACAAGGTACCTCTGTTGGAAATGCAGAAATCACCTGCCTTCTGCATTGGTCTCACTGGGAGCTGCAGACCGGAGCTGTTCTTCTTCAGCCATCTTGCCCGCTCATCTCTAAAATTACTTTCTTGATTACTTTTTTTTCCGTAAATATTAGCTGCTTTTCCATTTATTTAGATCTTTTATTTCTTTCAAAAAAAATTTTAACTTTACAGTGGATAAATCTTAAAATTCTTTTGTTTTGCTGTTGTTGTTTACTTTTATTTTAGATACAGGGGTACATTTGCATGTTTGTTATATAGGCAAATTTGAGAATATGTAGTATTTGGTATTCCTGGTCCTGTGTTAGTTTGCTTACAATAATGGCCTCCAACTCCCTCCATGTTGCTACAAAGGACATAATATTGTTCTTTTACATGGCTGTGTAGCATACCATGCTGTACATGCATCACATTTTCTTTATCTAGTCTACCGTTGGTGGACATCTAGGTTGATTCCATATATCTGCAATTGTGAATAGTGCTGCAACAAACATATGCATGCATGTGTCTTTATGGCAGAATGATTTCTATTCCTTTGGATATGTATGAATCCATTATTACATTGCTATAAAGAAATACCTGAGACTGGGTGATTTATAAAGAAAAGAAGTTTAATTGACTCATAGTTCTGCAGGGCAACATAGGAAGCATGATTCTGCCATCTGTTCAGCTTCTGAAGAGGCCTCAGGAAACTTACATTCATGGGAGAAGACAAAGGGGGAGCAAGGCATCTTACATAGCAGGAGAAAAGCAAGATAGAGAAGGGGAGGTGCTACACACTTTTAAACAAGCACATTGCACAATAACTCACTCTCTATCATGAGAACAGCACCAAGAAGATGGTGCTAAACCATTCACAAGGCATAAACTCTCATGATCCAATCACCTTGCACCAGACCCCACCTCCAACACTGGGGATTAAAATCAAACATGAGATTTGGGCAGGGACAGAGATTCAAACCATATCAGGGTATATATCTAATAATAGGATTGCTGGCAATAGAAGAAGAGGGAATCTTCCCTAACTCATTTTATGAGGCCAGCATCATCCAGATATCAAAGCCTGGCAGAGACACAACAACAAAAGAGAATTTTAGACCAATATCCCTGATGAACATCGATGCAAAAATCCTCAGTAAAATACTGGCAAACTCAACCCAGCAGCACATCAAAAAGCTTATCCACCATGATCAAGTGGGCTTCGTCCCTGGGTCACAAGGCTTCTTCAACATACGAAAATCAATACACGTAATCAAGCATATAAACAGAACCAAAGACAAAAACCACATGATTATCTCAATAGATGCAGAAAAGACCTTTGACAAAATTCAACAGCCCTTCATGCTAAAAACTCTCAATAAATTAGGTATTGATGGGACATATCTCAAAATAATAAGAGCTATCTATGACAAACCCACAGCCAATATCATACTGAATGGATAAAAACTGGAAGCATTCTCTTTGAAAACTGGCACAAGACAGAGATGCCCTCTCTCACCACTCCTATTCAACATAGTGTTGGAAGTTCTGGCCAGGGCAATCAGGCAGGAGAAAGAAATAAAGGGCATTCAATTACGAAAAGAGAAAGCCAAATTGTCCCTGTTTGCAGATGACATGATTGTATATTTAGAAAACCCCATCGTCTCAGCCCAAAATCTCCTTAAGCTGATAGGCAACTTCAGCAAAGTCTCAGGATACAAAATCAATGTGCAAAAATCACAAGCATTCTTATACACCAATAACAGACAAACAGTCAAATCATGAGTGAACTCCCATTCACAATTGCTTCAAAGAGAATAAAATACCTAGGAATCCAACTAACAAGGGATGTGAAGGACTTCTTCAAGGAGAACTACAAACCACTGCTCAGTGAAATAAAAGAGGATACAAAAACAAATGGAAGAACATTCCATGCTCATGGGTAGGAGGAATCAATATCATGAAAATGGCCATACTGCACAAGGTAATCTACAGATTCAATTCCATCCCCATCAAGCTGCCAATGACTTTCTTCACAGAATTGGAAAAAACTACTTTAAAGTTCATATGGAACCAAAAAAGAACCTGCATTACCAACACAATACTAAGCAAAAAGAAGAAAGCTGGAGGCATCATGCTACCTGACTTCAAACTATACTGCAAGGCTACAGTAACCAAAACAGCATGGTACTGGTACCA
The DNA here is from genome assembly GCF_000001405.40 of Homo sapiens. Classification (NCBI taxonomy): domain Eukaryota; kingdom Metazoa; phylum Chordata; class Mammalia; order Primates; family Hominidae; genus Homo; species Homo sapiens. The sequence goes on along the minus strand of NC_000001.11, from coordinate 152,289,440 downwards.
AAACAGAGATATAGACCAATAGAACAGAACAGAGTCCTCAGAAATAAGACTACACGTCTATAACCATCTGATCTTTGACAAACCTGACAAAAATAAGCACTGGGGAAAGGACTCCCTATTTAATAAATGGTGCTGGGAAAACTGGCTAGCCATATGTAGAAAGCTGAAACCGGATCCCTTCCTTACACCTTATACAAAAATTAATTCCGATGGATTAAAGACTTAAATGTTAGACCCAAAACCATAAAAACCCTAGAAGAAAACCCAGGCAATACCATTCAGGACATAGGCATGGGCAAGGACCTCATGTCTAAAACAGCAAAAGCAAAGGGAACAAAAGCCAAAATTGACAAATGGGATCTAATTAAACTAAAGCGCTTCTGCACAGGAAAAGAAACTACCATCAGAGTGAATAGGCAACCTATAGAATGGGAGAAAATTTTTGCAACCTACTCCTCTGACAAAGGGCTAATATCCAGAATCTACAAAGAACTCAAACAAATTTACAAGAAAAAAACAATCAATCCCATCAAAAAGCGGGCAAAGTATATGAACAGACACTTCTCAAAAGAAGACATTTATGCAGCCAAAAAACACATGAAAAAATGCTCATCATCACTGCCCATCAGAGAAATGCAAATCAAAACAATGAGATACCATCTCACACCAGTTAGAATGGCGATCATTACGAAGTCAGGAAACAACAGGTGCTGGAGAGGATGTGGAGAAATAGGAACACTTTTATACTGTTGGTGGGACTGTAAACTAGTTCAACCATTGTGGAAGACAGTGGTGATTCCTCAAGGATCTAGAACTAGAAATACCATTTGACCCAGCCATCTCATTACTGGGTATATACCCAAAGGATTATAAATCATGCTGCTATAAAGACACATGCACCATATGTTTATTGTGGCACTATTCGCAATAGCAAAGACTTGGAACCAACCCAAATGTCCAACAATGATAGACTGGATTAAGAAAATGTGGCAGATATACACCATGGAATACTATGCAGCCATAAAAAAACGATGAATTCATGTCCTTTGCAGGGACATGGATGAAGCTGGAAACCATCATTCTCAGCAAACTTTCGCAAGAATAAAAAACCATACACCGCATGTTCTCACTCATAGGTGGGAATTGAACAATGAGAACACTTGGACACTGGAAGGGGAACATCACACACCGGAGCCTGTTGTGGGGTAGGGGGAGGGGGAGGGAAAGCATTAGGAGATATACCTAATGTAAATGACGAGTTAATGGGTGCAGCACACCAACATGGCACATGTATACATATGTAACAAACCTGCACTTTGTGCACATGTACCCTATTGTTGTGGGGTGGGGGGAGGGGGAGGGAAAGCATTAGGAGATATACCTAATGTAAATGACGAGTTAATGGGTGCAGCACACCAACATGGCATATGTATACATATGTAACAAACTTCCATGTTGTGCACATGTACCCTAGAACTTAAAGTATAATTTAAAAAATAGGATTGCTGTGTCAAGTGATAATTCAGTTTTGAGTTCTTTGGGAAATTGCCACTCTGCTTTGCACAATAGCTGAACTAATTTACATTCCCACTAGCAGGGTTTAAGCATTCCCTTTTCTCTGCAACCGCACGACCTTCTGTTATTTTTTTACTTTTTAGTAATAGCCATTTTGTCTGATGTGAGGTGGTATCTCATTGTGGTTTTGATTTTCATTTCTCTAATGATTAGTAATGGTGAGCATTTTTTCATATATTTGTTGGCCATGTGGGTGTCTTCTTTGGAAAAATGTTCATGTCCTTTGCCCAGTTTTTAATGGGGTTGTTTATTTCTTGCTGATTAATTTGTTTAAATTCCTTATATATTCTGGATATTAGACTTTTGTTGGATGCATAGGTTATACATATTTCCTCCCCTTCTGTACGTTGTCTGTTTATTCTGTTGATAGCTTATTTTGCTGAAGCTCTTTAGTTTAATTAGGTCCCATTTGTCAATGTTTGTTTTTGTTGCAACTGTGTTACGTGTCTTCATCATAAAATCTTTGCCAGGGCATGTGTCCAGCATGGTATTTCCTAGATTATCTTCCAACATTTTTATAGTTTCAGGTGTTACATTTAAGTCTTTAATCAATCTTGAGTTGATTTTTGTATATGGTGTAAGGAAAGGGTCCAGTTTCAACCTTCTGTTTAGGGCTAGCCAGTTACACCAGCTAGCATAGCTGAATAGGGACTCCTTTCCCCATTGCTTGTTTTTGTTGACTTTGTCAGAGATCAGATGGTTGCAGGTATGTGGCATTATTTCTGGGCTCGGTATTCTGCTTTGTTGGCCTATGTGTCTATTTTTGTATCAGCACTATGCTATTTTGATAACCTTGTAGCATAGTTTGAAGTTGGTTAATGTGATGTCTCCACATTTATTCTTTTTGGTTAGTATTGCCTTGGCTATTTGGGCTCTTTTTTTGGTTCCATAGAATACTTAAAATATTTTTTTAATTCTATGAAGAATGTCATTGGAAGTTTGATAGTAATAGCACTGAATCTATAAATTGCTTTGGGTAGTATAGCCATTTAACAATATTGATTCTTTCTATCCATGAGCATAGAATGTTTTTCCATTTGTTTGTGTCATCTCTGATTTCTTTTAGCAGTATTTTATAATTCTCATCGTAGAGATCTTTTACCTCCCTTGTTAGCTGTATTCCTGGGTATTTTATTCCTTTTCTGGCTAATGTGAATGGGATTGCTTTCTTGATTTGGCTCTCAGCATGCATGTTGTTGATGTATAGAAATGCTACTGATTTTTGTACACTGATTTTGTATGCTCAAACTTTATTGAAGTTGTTTATCCGATCTAGAAGCTTTTGCACAGAGACTGTGAGGTTTTTGGGGTATAATATCATATCATCTTCAAACAGAGATAGTTTGACTTCCTCTCTTCCTATTTGAATGCCTTTTATTTCTTTCTCTTGTGTAACTGTTCTGGCTAGGACTTCCCATACTATGTTGAATAGGAGTGGTGACAGTGGGCATCCTTGTCTTGTTCCAGTTCTCAAGAAGAATGTTTCTAGCTTTTGCTGTTCAGTATTATATTGGCTGTGGGTTTCTCATAGGTGGCTCTTATTATTTTGAGGTATGTTCCTCCAATGCCTAGTTTGTTTCTAGTTTTTAACATGAAGGGATATTAAGTGTTATTGAAAGTCTTTTCTGCCATTGATTGGGCTAATCATGTGATTTTTATTTTTGTTTTTGCTCATGTGATGAATCACATTTATTGATTTGTGTATGTTAAAACAACCTTTCATCCCAGGGATAAAGCCTACTTGATTGTGGTGGATTAACTTTTTGATGTGCTGCTAAATTTGGTTTGCTAGTATTTTGTTGAAAATTTTCACATCTATTAGCATCAAGTATATTTGCCTGAAGTTTTCTTTTGTTTTGTTGTTGTGTCTCTGCCAGGTTTTGGTATCAGGATGATTCTGGCCTCATAAAATGAGTAAGGGAGGAGTCCTCCTCTTCAATTTTTTTGTAACAGTTTCAGTAGAAATTATACCAGCTCTTCTTTACACATCTGGTAGAATTCGGCTGTGAATCTATCTAGTCCTGGGCTTTTCCTTGTTGGTAGGCTTTTTAATACTGATTAAGTTTTGGAACTCCTTATTGGTTTGTCCAGGAATTCCGTTTTTTCTTCTTGGTTCAATCTTTGGAGGTTGTATGTTTCCAGGAAATTATCCATTTCTTCTAGATTTTCTACTTTGTATACAGGTGTTCACGATAGTCTCTGAAGGTTTTTTGTATTTCCGTGGGGTCAGTGGTAACGTTCCCTTTATCATTTCTGATTGTGTTTATTTGGATCTTCTCTCTTTTTTTCTTTATCCGTCTGACTGTCTATCAGTTTTGCTTATTCTTTCAGTGAAACAGCTCCAGGATTTATTGCTCTTTTGTATCATTTTTCACATCTCAATTTCCTTCAGTTCAGCTCTGATTTTGGTTATTTCTTGTCTTCTGCTAGCACTGATGTTGGTTTGCACTTGTTTCTCTCTTTCCTCAAGGTGCAATGTTAGTTTATTAATTTGAGATCTTTCTAACTTTTTGATGTGGGCATTTAGCACTATAATCTTCCCTCTAAACACTGCTTTGGCTGTGTCCCAGAGATTCTGGTATGCTCTCCCTTTATTCTCATTAGTTTCAATGAATTTCTTGATTTCTGCCTTAATTTTATTTACCCAAAGTCACTCAAGAGCAGATTGTGTCATTTCCATATAATTGTATAGTTTTGAGCAATTTTCCAAGTACTGACTTCTATTCTTATTGTGCTGTGATTCGAGGGTGTGTTTGGTATGTTTTCATTTTTGAAAAAATATGCTAAGGATTGTTTTATGGCCATTTGTGCAGTTGATTTTAGAGTATGTGCCATGTGCAAATGAGAAGAATGTATATTCTATTGGTTTTGGGTGGAGAGTTTTGTAGATGTCTATTAGGCCTATTTTTGTCAAGTGTCAGTTTAAGTCCCAAATATCTTTTTTTATTCATAATATTGTATTTTTCTTTGCTTTATTTTTCTTAATACCTTCAACCAACTCACACCACCAAATATCTTTGTTAGTTTTCTGCCTCAGTTATCTGTATGATAGTGTCATCGGGGTGTTGAAGTTTCCCACTATCATTGTGTGGTTATCTAATTCTTTGTTGGTCTCTAGGAACTTGCTTTATGAATCTGAGTGCTCCTGTATTGGGTGCATATATATTTAGGATAGTCAGGACTTCTTGTTGAATTAAACCCTTTACCAATATGTAATGCCCTTCTTTGTCTTTTTTGATGGTTGATTTAAAGTCTGTTTTGCCTGAAATTTGAATAGGAAACCCTGCTTTTTTCTGTTTTCCATTTGCTTTGTAGATTTTTCTCCATCCCTTCACTTGAGCTTATGAACGAACATTACATATGAGATGGGTCTGTTGAAGAAAACATCCAGTTGGGTCTTACTTCTTTATCCAATTCGCCATCCTGCGACTTTTAATTGGAACATTTAGCCATTTGCACTCAAGGTTAATATTGATATGTGCAGATTTGATCCTGTCATCATCTTAGCTGGTTGTTACACAGACTTGATTGTGTGGTTGCTTCATAGTGTCAATGGTCTATGTACTTAAGCATATTTTTGTGGTGGCCAGTAATGGTCTTTCCTTTCCATATTTAGCACTCCCTTAAGGACCTCTTTTAAGACAGATCTGGTGGTAACAAATTTCTATGGCATTTGCTTGTCTGAAAAGGATCTTATTTCTTCTACACTTCTAAGGCTTACTTTGGCTGGATATTAAAATATTGATTGGAATTTGTTTTCTTTAATAATGCTGAATATAGGCCATCAATATCTTCTGACATAGAGTTTCTGCTGAAACATACACCTTAGGCTGATGGGGTTCCCTTTTTGGGTTGCTTGCCCATTCTCTTTAGCTGCCTTTAATGCTTTTTCTTTCATTTCTATCTAGGAGAATCTAATGACCATGTATCTTGAGGATGGTCATCTTGTGTAGTTCTCTGCATTTCCTGAATTTGAATGTCAGATTCTCTAGTGAGGTTGGCGAAACTCTTGTCAATGATATCCTCAATATGTTTTCCAAGTTGCTTGCTTTCTCTCCCTCTCTTTCAGGTTTGCCAATGAATCATAGACTTGGTCTCTTTACCTCATTCCACATTTCTCAGATATTTGGTTCATTTGTCTTTATTGTTTTTTCTTTACTTTTGTCTGACTCAGTTATTTTGGACAACCAGTATTTCAGCTCTGAAACTCTTTCCTCAGCTTGGTTGATTCTGCTGGTAATACCTGTGACTGCATTATATTCTTTTTTCCATAAGTTATTGGGGTACAGGTGGTATTTGGTTACCTGAGTAGGTTCTTTGGTGGTGATTTGTGAGATTTTGGTGCACCCAAAGCAGTAAACACTGCACCATATTTGTAGTCTTTTATCCCTTGCCCACCTCACACTCTTCCCACCAAGTCCCCAAAGTCCATTGTATCATTCTTATGTCTTTGCATCCTCATAGCTTAGCTCCCACGTATCAGTGAGAACATACAATGTTTGGTTTTCCATTCCTGCGTTACTTCACTTACAGTAATAGTCTCCAGTCTCAACCAGGTCACTGCAAATGCTGTCAATTCATTCGTTTTTATGGCTGAATAGTATTTCATCATATGTATATATATATACCACAGTTTCTTTATCCAGTCATTGATTGATGGGCATTTGGGTTGGTTCCACGATTTTGCAATTGTGAATTGTGCTGCTATAAACATGCATGTGCAAGTGTCTTTTTCAAATAATAACTTCTTTTCCTCTGGGTAGATATCCAGTGGTGGGATTGCTAAATCAAATCATAGTTCTACTTTTACTTTAAGGTATCTCCACACTGTTTTTCATAGTGGGTGTTCTAGTTTACATTCCCACCAGTAGTGTAGAAGTGCTCTCTCTTCACCACATTCATGCCAACATCTACTGTTTTTTGATTTTTTGATTATGGCCATTCTTGCAGGAGTAAGATGGTATCACATTGTGGTTTTGATTTGCATTTCCCTGATCATTAGTGATGTTGAGTTTTTTTTATATGTTTCTTGGCCATTTGTATATCTTCTTTTGAGAATTTTCTATTCATGTCCTTAGCCCACTTTTTGATGAGATATTTTTTTCTTACGATTTGTCTGAGTTCATTGCAGATTCTGGATATTAGTCCTTTGTCAGATGTATAGGTTGTGAAGATTTTCTCCCACACTATGGGTTGTCTTTTTACTCTGCTGATGTTCCTTTTATCATGTAAAAGCTCTTTAATTAGGTCCCAGCTATTTATCTTTGTTTTTATTGCATTTGTTTTTGGGTTCTTGGTCATGAAATCCTTGACTAAGGCAATGTCTAGAAGGGTTTTTCCAATGTTATTATCTTCTAGAATTTTTATAGTTTCAGGTCTTAGGATTAAGTCTTTAATCTATCCTGAGTTGATTTTTGTATAAAGTGAGAGATGAGGATCCGGTTTAATTCTCCTACATATGGCTAGCCAATTATGCCAGCATCATTCATTGAAAAGGCTGCCCTTTCCCCACTTTATGGTTTATTTGCTTTGTCAAAGATCAGTTGGCTGTAAGTACTTGGGTTTATTTCTGGGTTCTCTATTCTGTTCCATTGGTCTATATGCCTATTTTTATAGCAGTACCATGCTGTTTTGGTGACTATGGCCTTATAGTATAGTTTGAAATCAGGTAGTTTATGCCTCCAGATTGGTTCTTTTTGCTTAGTTTTGCTTTAGCTTTGTGGGCTCATTCTTTATTATGTGAAGAATGATGGGATATTTGATGGGGATTGCATTGAATTTGTAGACTGCTTTTGTCAGTATGGACATTTTCACAATATTAATTCTACCCATCCATGAGCATGGATGTGTTTCCATTTGTTTGTGTCATATATGATTTCTTTCAGCAGTGTTTTGTAGTTTTCCTTGTAGAGGTCTTTTGACTCCTTGGATAGGTATATTCCTAAGTATTATCTTTTTTTGAAGCTATTGTAAAACGAGTTGAGTTCATGATTTGGTTCTCCACTTGGTCACTGTTGGTGTATAGAAGAGCTACTGATTTGCGTACATTAATCTTGTATCTGGAAACTTTGCTGAATTCTTTTATTAGTTCTAGGAGCATTCTGGAGGAATCTTAGGGTTTTCAAGGTAAATGATCATATCATCAGCAAACAGTGACAGTCTGACTTCCTCTTTATTGATTTGGATGCCCTTTATTTCTTTCTCCTGTCCAATTGCTCTGGCTAGGACTTCCAGCACTATGTTGAAGAGGAGTGGTGAGAGTGGGCATCCTTGTCTTGTTCCAGTTCTCAGCAGGAATGCTTTCATCTTTTCCCCATTCAGTATTATGTTGACTGTGGGTCTGTCATAGATGGCTTTTACTACGTTAAGGTATGTCCCTTGTATGTCGATTGTGCTGGGAGTTTTAATCATAAAAGGATGTTGGATTTTGTTGAATGTTTTTTCTCCATCTACTGAGATGATCATGTGATTTTTTTAAAAAATTCTGTTTATGTGGTGTATCACATTTATTGACTTGCGTATGCTAAACCACCCCTGAATCCCTGGTATGAAACCCACTTGATCATGGTGGATTACCTTTTTTATATGTTGTGGGATTCAGTTAACTAGTATTTTGTGAAGGACTTTAGCATCTATGTTCATCAAGGATATCAGTCTGTAGTTTTCTTTTTTGGTTGTGTCCTTTCCTGTTATTGGTATTAAGGTGACACTGGCTTCTTAGAATGATTTAGGGAGGGTTCCCTCTTTCTTGTCTATTTCTTTAAGCTATCCATTTCTCTATCTTGTGGAATAGTGTCAAAAGGATTGGTAGCAATTCTTCTTTGAATGTCAGGTAGAATTCTGCGTGAATCCATCTGGTCCTGGATTTTTTTGTTGTTGATAATTTTTAAATTACCATTTCAATCTCACTGCTTGTTACTGGTCTGTTCAGGGTATCTAATTCTTCCAGATTTAAGTTAGGAGGGTAGTGTTTTTCAAGGAATTTATCCATCTCTTCTAGGTTTTCTAGTTTGTGTGCATAAAGGTGTTCATAATAGCCTTGAATAATCTTTTGTATTTCAGAGGTGTCAGTTGTAATATCTCCTGTTTTGTTTCTCAGTGAAGTTATTTGGATTTTCTCTCTTCTTTTCTTGGTTAATCTTGCTAATGGTCTATCGATTTTATTTATCTCTCAAAGAGCCAGCTTTTTGTTTCATTTACCTTTTGTATTTTTTTGTTTGTTTGTGCCAATTTCATTTAGTTCTACTCTGACCTTGGTTATTTCCTTTCTTCTGCTGGGTTAGGGTTTGGTTTGTTCTTGTTTCTCTAGTTCTTTGAGGTGTGACCTTAGATTGTGCTCTTTAGAGGTTTTGACAGGTTGTGTCATTATTGTCATTCAGTTTGAAGAATTTTTTAATTTCCATCTCAATTTTGTTTTTGACCCAATGCTCATTCAGAAGCAGGTTATTTAATTTCCATGTATTTGCACGGTTTTGAAGGTTCCTTTTGGAGTTGATTTCCAGGTTTATTCCACTGTGGTCTCAGAGTATGCTTGATATAATTTCAATTTTTTAAAATTTATTGAGGCTCATGTTATGGCCTATCATATGGTCTATCTTTGAGAAAGTTCCATATACTGTTGAATAGAATGTGTATTTTGTGGGTTGTTGGATGAAATGTTCTGTATATATCTGTTAATTCTATTGGTTCCAAGGTATAGTTGAAATCCAATGTTTCTTTGTTGACATTCTGTTTTAATGACCTCTCTAGTGGAATATTGAAATCCCTCACTATCATTGTGTTGCTGTCTCTCATTTCTTAGGCCCATTAGTAATAGTTTTATAAATTTGGGAGCTCCAGTGTTAGGTGCATATATGTTTAGTACTGTGATATTTTCCTGTTGGACTAGGCCTTTTGCCATTATATACTGTCCCTCTTTGTTGCTTTTAACTGCTGTTGCTTTAAAGTTTGTTTTGTCTGATATAAGAATAGCTACCCCTACTCACTTTTGGTCTCCATTTGCATGAAATGCCTTTTTCTACCCCTTTACTTTAGGTTCATGTGAGTACTTATGTGTTAGGTGAGTCTCCTGAAGGCTGCAGATAGTTGGTTGGTGAGTTCTTATCCATTCTGCAGTTCTGTATCTTTTAAGTGGAGCATTTAGGCCATTTACATTCAATGTTATTACTGAAATGTGAGGTACCATTGCATTCAAAATGCTCTTTGTTGCCTGTGTACTTTGGGGTTTTTTTGTTTGTGTTTTGCTTTTCCTTTTTAGCTTGTATTTTTGTTTTACAGGTCCTGTGTGATTTATGGCTTAAAGAAGTTTTATTTTGATGGGTTTCCAGGATTCATGTCAAGATTTAGAGCTCTTTTCAGCAGTTCTTGTGGTGGCGGCTTGGCAATGGCGAATTCTCTCAGCATTTGTTTGTCTGAAAACGACTGCATCTTCCCCTTCGTATATGAGGCTTAGTTTCACTGGATACACAATTCTTGGCTGATAATTGTTTTGTTTGAGGAGGCTGAAGATAGGGCCCCAATCCCTTCTAGCTTGTAGAGTTTCTTCTGAGAAATCTGCTATTAATCTGATAGGTTTTCCTGTATAGATTACCTGGTGCTTTTGTCTCACAGATCCTGATTCTTTCCTTTGTCTTAACTCTGGATAATCTGACGACAATCTCTCTAGGTGAAGATCTTTTTGCAATGAATTCCCAGGTGTCCTTTGTGCTTCTTGTATTTGGATGTCTACCTCTGTAGCTAGGCGAGGGAATTTTTCCTTGATTTTTCCCCCAAATATGTTTTCTAAGTTTTTAGAATTCTCTTCTTCTTCAGGAACACCAATTATTTTTAGGTTTGGTCATTTAACATAAACCCAGATTCTTGGAGGTTTTGTTCATACTTTCTTATTCTTTTTTCTTTGTCTTTGTTGGATTGGGTTAATTTGAAGATCTTGTCTTCAAGCTCTGAATTTCTTTCTTCTATTTGTTCAATTCTATTGCTGAGACTTCCCAAAGTATTTCACATTTTTAAAAGTTTGTCCAATGTTTCCTGAATATTTGACTGTTTTTTATTTAACCTATCTAATTAAATGAGTATTTTTCCTTTCACTTCTTATATCATTTTTTGGATTTCTTTGCATTGCACTTCACCTTTCTCTGGTCCCTCCCTGATTAGCTTAATAACTAAACTCCTGAATTCTTTTTCAGACAAATCAGGAATTTCTCCTTTGTTTGGATCTATTACTGGTGAACTACTGTGATTTTTTGGGGGTGCGTTGAAGAGCCTTGTTTTGTTATATTACCATAGTTGGTTTTCTGGTTCCTTCTCATTTGGGCAGGTTCTACTGGACGAAAGGTCTAAGGCTGAAGGCTATTGTTCAGATTATTTTGTCCCATGGGTTGTTCCCTCAATGTACTACTCTCCCCCTTTTCCTATGGATATGGCTTCCTGTGAGCCAAACTGCAGTGATATTGTCTCTCTTCTGGGTCTACCCAGTGAGTCTACCCAGCTCCTAGCTGGTATTGGGGGTTGTCTGCACAGAGTCCTGTGATGTGAATCGTCTATGGGTCTCTCAGCATGGTTACCAGCAACTGTTCCAGTGGAGGTGTTGGAGGGTGCAATGGACTCTGTGAAGGCCTTTAGCATTGGTGTTTTAATGCTCTATTTTTGTGCTGGTTGGCCTCCTGCCAGGAGGTGGTGCTTTCCAGAAAGCATCAGCTGTAGTGTGTGGAGAGGAACGGGCAGTGGGCAAGGCCCTAAAACTCCCAATATTACATGCCCTTTGTCTTCTGCTACCAGGGTGGACAGGGAAGGACCATCAGGTTGGGGGCAGGGCTAGGCATGCCTGAGCTCAGAATCTCCTTGGGTGGGCCTTGCTGTGGCTGCTGTCAGGGGTACATGTGAGATTCCCAGGTCACTGGAGTTGCGTACCTACCTAGGAGGATCATGGCTGCCTCTGCTGAGTCATACAGGTTGTCAGGAAAGTCGGGGAAGGCCGGCAGTCACAGGCCTCACCCAGCTCCCACAGAATCCAAAGGGCTGGTCTCACTTCCACTGTGCCCTCCCCAACTGCCCTGAGGCTGTTTCCAGGTGGAAGGCAAGAGGGGCTTGAAAACTTGCCCAAGGCTATCCGCTTCATAGCTGCAAGAGAATAGGGCTTCAATTCTTCCCCAGCTGGTGAAGTCTGCATGCCAGATTTGCACCCTCACCTGAATTCTGGCCAGGAAACTTCTTGGTCCATTCAAATTGTTACAAAGTTTGGCTAGAGAATTGTTTCTCCCTGTGGAGTTTTACCCCCTGCTCCTCTGGCCACCCTCCCAATGGATCCTTGTGGTGCCAGGCAGTAATGGGCTGCTTGGGGACCCAGTGAGCTCCCAGGGCCTTTCTGATGCTTCCTCTACCCCTGTATTTTGCTCAGCTCTCTTAACTTGACTCAGCTCCAGGTAAAGTCAGAAACTTCTCCCGCAAACAGACTTTCAGCTTTTCTAGTTGGGGTGTGTGTTTGGGATAGGAGGGTCTCCCTTTCCCACTTCCACAGTTGGGGCACTCACAGTATTTGGGGTATCTCCCAGGTTCTGCAGGAGCAGTCCACTTCCTTCAGAGGGTCTGTGGGTCCTCTCAGGATTGGTGGTTTGTTCTTTCAGTCGATCTGGAGCTAAAATTCACAATGCAAGCCTCCAGGTCTTGCTTGGTCTGGAGCTGCAATCTTGTCCTGCCTCCCATCCACCATGATCCTCCACACTCCTGTATTATGATATTCTTGAAGTGAGTTTTTCAGCTCCATCAGATCAGTTGATTCTTTTTTAAAATGGCCATTTTGTCTTTCATATGCTGTATTATTTTATTGTATTCCTTAGATTCCTTAGATTGTGTTTCAACTTTTTCCTGAATATTGATGATCTTCATTCCTATGAATATTCTGAATTGTATTTCTGTCACTTCAGCCATTCCAGCATGGGCTAAGAACAATTGCTGGGGAACTAGTGCAGTCATTTGGAGGTAGAAAGACACTCTGACTTTTTGAGTTGCCAGAGTTATTGCACAGGTTCTTTCTCATCTGTGTGGGCTGATGTTCCTTCAATCTTCGAAGTTGTCCTTTGGGTCTTTTTTGGGGGGTGGTATCTTCTTTGATGCCCTTGGGGGTTTGACTGTGGTATAAGGTGAGTTCAATTGACTGGGTTCATTTCTGGAAAATTTTAGAAAGCTGAGGCTTAGCTCAGCACTCCTAGTCTGTGTGCTGTAACTCTGGTGGGGTGGTGCCAGGCCCCCAACTTTGTAAAATTGAGTAGTGAAGCCATCGAGGCCTGGGATTTTTATTGCTGCAAGGCTTTTTATTACAGCTTCAATCTTGTTACTTGTTATTTATTCAGGTTTTTTATTTATTCATGGTTCAATTTTGACAGGTTGTATACATCTAGGAATTTATCCATTTCTTATAGCTTTTCTGATTTATTGGCACATAGTTGCTCATAGTAGTCTCTAATGATCCTTGAATTTCCACAGTATCAGTTGCAATGTCTTCTTTTCATCTCTGATTTTATTTTTTTTAGGTCTTCTTTCTTTTTTCTTATTTATTCTGGTTATGTCAATTTTTATTACCCTTTCAAAAAATCCACTTCTCATTGTGTTGATCTTTCATACTTTTTTTTTTTTTGCATCAACTGCATTCATTTTTGCTCTAATCTGTATTATCTCTTTTCTTGCTACTACCATAGCTAGCACCTACCCACATGTGATACCTATGAGCTTGGACACTGGCCCACTTAGCCCTGTGCTGCTAATGCCAACACCAGCATGGATTACTTGGGTTCTAGAGGGCTTTCCCACCAATGCTGCTGCTATTACCCATGCCATGCTTGCTGCTCAGGGGCTAGAGAACCCGCCTATCCCCCAGGCCACTGTTGCCATTTCCAGAACCCAAGAAAACCACTTGGAGGCCCAAGAATCAGCCTAACCTAGCTGACTAACTGTGATGCTAGCATAGGCCATTCTGAGGCCCAAAGAAAGGCATAATCATCCCAATAATAAGGCCCAAACACTGGCTTCCCTAGTATCCCAGTCTCCAGCAAAACTACATCACAGCCTCCAGTAACAACCACACTCTAAGCTACTGAGGATATCACAGATACCACTGATTCTGTTTACAGCCAAAGAAATTATAAAGAGACTACACTACTGCATGCACCCAGAATGAAAACTGAAGTGCCCTACACAACCAACACCACAGATAAATCTTCAGGAAAATATCTTCCCCTACAAAAGCAAATTTAAAAATTAAAAGAATTGACTGTTATACAAAATGTACAGATATCAATGTAAGGACCCAGGAAACATGACACCTCAAAAGGAACACAATAATTCTCCAGCAACAGATACCAATTAAAAAGAAACTCATAAAATCTCAGAAGAATAATTCAAAATATCAATACTAAAGAAGCTCAATGAGATACAAGAGAATACTGAAAAATAATACAAGGAAAGAAGAAAAAATAACTCAGGATATAAATCGGAAATTTACCAAAGAGGTAAGATGAAAAGAACCAAATACAAACTCTGGAACAGAAGAATTCATTGACTGAAGTATAAAATGCATTCAGGTGCTTTAACAATACACTATAAAAAGCAGAATAATCTCAGAACCTGAAGATGATCTTTTGAAATAAGTTGGTCAGATAAAAATGAAGAAAAAAGAATAAAAAAGAATGAGCGGGGTTGGGCACGGTGGCTTACGCCTGTAATCCCAGTGCTTTGGGAAGCTGAGGCGAGCGGATCGCAAGGTCAGGAATTCCAGACCAGCCTGTCCAATATGGTGAAACTCCGTCTCTACTAAAAATACAAAAACTAGCCGGGCGCGGTGGTGGGTGCCTGTAGTCCCAGATACTTGGGAGGCTGAGACAGGAGAATCGCTTGAATCCAGGAGGTGGAGGTTGCAATGAGCCGAGATCACGCCACTGCATTCCAGCCTGGGTGACAGAGTGAGTCTCCATCTCAAAAAAAAAAAAAAAAAAAAAAGAATGAGCAACTCCTAAATGACACATGGAACATCATAAGGAAACCAAATCTGTAAATTTTAGGTTTCCCAAATGAAAACAAGAGGGTTAGAAAATCCATTTAATGCAATAATAGCTGAAAACTTCCCAAGTCTAACAAGAGATTTAGACAGCCAGATACAGGATTCTCAAACATCCCGAAATAGATACAATTTTCAAAAGAATTGTAGAGAACCACAGCACATTACAAACTATCAAAAGTCAAAGATATAGAGAAAATTCTAAAAACAGCAGAAGAGAAATGTTTAATCACTTATTTAAAAAAGAAATCAGACTAACAGCAGATTTCTCAGTAGAAACCTTATAGGCCAGGAGACAATTCAATGACATATTCAAAGTGCTGAAAGAAAAAAAACTGCCAGCCAAGGATGCTATACCAGGAAAACTTATTTTTCATAAGTAAAGAAGAAATAAAACTTTCCCATACAAGCAAAAGCTGAGAAACTTTACCACCACTAGACCAGTCCTTCAAGATATACTTAAGAGAGTCCTATACCAGGAAGTGAAAGAACAGTTACTAGCATCATGAAAACACATGAAAATGCAAAAACTACTGGCATATAAAACACACAAAGAAGACTTAAAAGCTTGAATATTACCACTATAGAGTACCACGAAACTGCAGTGCTAAACAATAAATGAGGTAACAAAGGTTATAGAAAAAAATCAGAAAACAATAAAATTAAAGAAATAGGCCTTCATATATGGGTAATAATTTCGAATGTGAAGGAATTAAACTTTCTTTTACTTTTACTGTGTTTTACTTATCATTTCTTTTATGATTTATTATTATTATTATACTTTAAGTTTTAGGGTACATGTGCACAACGTGCAGGTTTGTTACATATGTATACATGTGCCATGTTGCTGTGCTGCACCCATTAACTCGTCATTTAGCATTAGGTATATCTCCTAATGCTATCCCTCCCCCCTCCCCCCACCCAATAGGCCCCAGTGTGTGATGTTCCCCTTCCTGTGTCCATGTGTTCTCATTGGTCGATTCCGACCTATGAGTGAGAACATGCGGTGTTTGGCTTTTTGTCCTTGAGATACTTTGCTGACAATGATGGTTTCCAGCTTCATCCATGTCCCTACAAAGGACATGAACTCATCACTTTTTATGGCTGCATAGTATTCCACGGTGTATATGTGCCACATTTTCTTAATCCAGTCTATCATTGTTGGACATTTGGGTTGGTTCCAAGTCTTTGCTATTGTGAATAGTGTCGCAATAAACATACGTGAGCATGTGTCTTTATAGCAGCATGACTTATAATCCTTTGGGTATATACCCAGTAATGGGATGGCTGGGTCAAATGGTATTTCTAGTTCTAGATCCTTCAGGAATCGCCACACTGACTTCCACAAGGGTTGAACTAGTTTACAGTCCCACCAACAGTGTAAAAGTGTTCCTATTTCTCCACATCCTCTCCAGCACCTGTTGTTTCCTGACTTTTTAATGATCGCCATTCTAACTGGTGTGAGATGGTGTCTCATTGTTTTGATTTGCATTTCTCTGATGGCCACTGATGATGAGCATTTTTTCATGTGTTTTTTGGCTGCATAAATGTCTTCTTTTGAGAAGTGTCTGTTCATATCCTTCGCTCACTTTTTGATGGGGTTCTTTGTTTTTTTCTTGTAAATTTGTTTGAGTTCTTTGTAGATTCTGTATATTAGCCCTTTGTCAGAGGAGTAGGTTGCAAAAATTTTCTCCCATTCTATAGGTTGCCTGTTCACTCTGATGGTAGTTTCTTTTCCTGTGCAGAAGCACTTTAGTTTAATTAGATCCCATTTGTCAATTTTGGCTTTTGTTCCCTTTGCTTTTGCTGTTTTAGACATGAAGTCCTTGCCCATGCCTATGTCCTGAATGGTATTGCCTGGGTTTTCTTCTAGAGTCTTTATGGTTTTAGGTCTAACATGTAAGTCTTTAATCCATCTGAATTAATTTTTGTATAAGGTGTAAGGAAGGGATCCGGTTTCAGCTTTCTACATATGGCTAGCCAGTTTTCCCAGCACCATTTATTAAATAGGGAGTCCTTTCCCCAGTGCTTATTTTTGTCAGGTTTGTCAAAGATCAGATGGTTATAGATGTGTGGTCTTATTTCTGAGGACTCTGTTCTGTTCTATTGGTCTATATCTCTGTTTTGGTACCAGTAACATGCTGTTTTGGTTACTGAAGCCTTGTAGTATAGTTTGAAGTCAGGTAGCATGATGCCTCCAGCTTTCTTCTTTTTGCTTAGTATTGTGTTGGTAATGCAGGTTCTTTTTTGGTTCCATATGAACTTTAAAGTAGTTTTTTCCAATTCTGTGAAGAAAGTCATTGGCAGCTTGATGGGGATGGCATTGAATCTATAGATTACCTTGTGCAGTATGGCCATTTTCATGATATTGATTCCTCCTACCCATGAGCATGGAATGTTCTTCCATTTGTTTGTATCCTCTTTTATTTCACTGAGCAGTGGTTTGTAGTTCTCCTTGAAGAAGTCCTTCACATCCCTTGTTAGTTGGATTCCTAGGTATTTTATTCTCTTTGAAGCAATTGTGAATGGGAGTTCACTCATGATTTGACTGTTTGTCTGTTATTGGTGTATAAGAATGCTTGTGATTTTTGCACATTGATTTTGTATCCTGAGACTTTGCTGAAGTTGCCTATCAGCTTAAGGAGATTTTGGGCTGAGACGATGGGGTTTTCTAAATATACAATCATGTCATCTGCAAACAGGGACAATTTGGCTTTCTCTTTTCGTAATTGAATGCCCTTTATTTCTTTCTCCTGCCTGATTGCCCTGGCCAGAACTTCCAACACTATGTTGAATAGGAGTGGTGAGAGAGGGCATCTCTGTCTTGTGCCAGTTTTCAAAGAGAATGCTTCCAGTTTTTGTCCATTCAGTATGATATTGGCTGTGGGTTTGTCATAGATAGCTCTTATTATTTTGAGATATGTCCCATCAATACCTAATTTATTGAGAGTTTTTAGCATGAAGGGCTGTTGAATTTTGTCAAAGGTCTTTTCTGCATCTATTGAGATAATCATGTGGTTTTTGTCTTTGGTTCTGTTTATATGCTTGATTACGTGTATTGATTTTCGTATGTTGAAGAAGCCTTGTGACCCAGGGACGAAGCCCACTTGATCATGGTGGATAAGCTTTTTGATGTGCTGCTGGGTTGAGTTTGCCAGTATTTTATTGAGGATTTTTGCATCGATGTTCATCAGGGATATTGGTCTAAAATTCTCTTTTGTTGTTGTGTCTCTGCCAGGCTTTGATATCCGGATGATGCTGGCCTCATAAAATGAGTTAGGGAAGATTCCCTCTTCTTCTATTGCCAGCAATCCTATTATTAGATATATACCCTGATATGGTTTGAATCTCTGTCCCTGCCCAAATCTCATGTTTGATTTTAATCCCCAGTGTTGGAGGTGGGGTCTGGTGCAAGGTGATTGGATCATGAGAGTTTATGCTTTGTGAATGGTTTAGCACCATCTTCTTGGTGCTGTTCTCATGATAGAGAGTGAGTTATTGTGCAATGTGCTTGTTTAAAAGTGTGTAGCACCTCCCCTTCTCTATCTTGCTTTTCTCCTGCTATGTAAGATGCCTTGCTCCCCCTTTGTCTTCTCCCATGAATGTAAGTTTCCTGAGGCCTCTTCAGAAGCTGAACAGATGGCAGAATCATGCTTCCTATGTTGCCCTGCAGAACTATGAGTCAATTAAACTTCTTTTCTTTATAAATCACCCAGTCTCAGGTATTTCTTTATAGCAATGTAATAATGGATTCATACATATCCAAAGGAATAGAAATCATTCTGCCATAAAGACACATGCATGCATATGTTTGTTGCAGCACTATTCACAATTGCAGATATATGGAATCAACCTAGATGTCCACCAATGGTAGACTAGATAAAGAAAATGTGATGCATGTACAGCATGGTATGCTACACAGCCATGTAAAAGAACAATATTATGTCCTTTGTAGCAACATGGAGGGAGTTGGAGGCCATTATTGTAAGCAAACTAACACAGGACCAGGAATACCAAATACTACATATTCTCAAATTTGCCTATATAACAAACATGCAAATGTACCCCTGTATCTAAAATAAAAGTAAACAACAACAGCAAAACAAAAGAATTTTAAGATTTATCCACTGTAAAGTTAAAATTTTTTTTGAAAGAAATAAAAGATCTAAATAAATGGAAAAGCAGCTAATATTTACGGAAAAAAAAGTAATCAAGAAAGTAATTTTAGAGATGAGCGGGCAAGATGGCTGAAGAACAGCTCCGGTCTGCAGCTCCCAGTGAGACCAATGCAGAAGGCAGGTGATTTCTGCATTTCCAACAGAGGTACCTGGTTCCTCTCATTGGGATTGGTTAGACAGTGGGTACAGCCCATGGAGGGGGAGCAGGAGGCATTGCCTCACCCAGGAAGCACAAGGGGCTGGAGAACTTCCTCCCCAACCAAGGGAAGTCATGAGGGACTGTGCTCTGTGGCCCAGATACTACACTTTTCCCATAGTTTCTACATCCCACAGACCAGGAGATTCCCTCGGGTGCCTGTACAGCTAGGGCCCTGGGTTTCAAGCACAAAACTGGGTGGCTGTTTGGGCAGACACTGAGCTAGCTGCAGGAGATTTTTTTTCCATACCCCAGTGGTACCTGGAACCCCAGCAAGACAGAACTGTTCACTCCCCTGGAAAGGGGACTGAAGCCAGGGAGCCAAGTGGTCTTGTTCAACTGGTGGCACCCCTATGGAGCCCAGCAAGCTAAGATCCACTCGCTTGAAATTCTCGCTGTCAGCACAGCAGTCTGAAGTCGACCTTGGATGATACGACTTCATTGGGGGAAGGGCACCTGCCATTACTGAGGCTTGAATAGGTGGTTTTCCCCTCACAGTATAAACAAAGCTGCCAGGAATTTCGGACTGGGCAAGACTAACTGCAGCATGGCAAAGCCGCTGTGGCCAGACTGCCTCTCTACATTCCTCCTCACTGGGCAGGGCATATCTGAAAGAAAGGCAGCAGACCCAGTCAGGGGCTTATAGATAAAACTCCCTTCTCCCTGAGACAGAGCACCTGGGTGAAGGGGCGGCTGTGGGCGCAGCTTCAGCAGACTTAAACATTGCTGCCTGCTGGCTCTGAAGAGAGCAGCAGATCTCCCAGCATAGGACTTGAGCTCTGCTAAGGGACAGACTGCCTCCTCAAGTAGTTCCCTGACCCTCATGCCTCCTGACTGGAGACACCTCCCAGCAGGGATCAACACATATCTCATACAGGAGAGCTCTGGCTGGCATCTGGCAGGTGTCCCTCTGGAACAAACCTTCAAGAGGAAGGGGCAGGCAGGAATCTTTGCTGTTCTGTAGCCTCTGCTGGGGATATCCAGGAAAACAGTGTCTGTAGTGGACCTCCAGCAATCTCTAACAGACCTGCAGAAGAGGGACTTGACTGTTAGAAGGAAAACTAACAAACAGAAAGCAATAACATTAACATCAACAAAAAGGACGCCTGTGCAAAAACCCCATCCAAAGGTCTTCAACATCAAAGATCAAAGGTAGATAAATCCATGAAGATGAGGAAAAATCAGCTCAAAAATGCTGAAAATTCCTAAAACCAGAATGCCTTTTCTCCTCCAAAGGATCACAACTCCTTGCCAGCAAGGACACAAAACTGGACACAGAATGAGTTTGACGAATTGACAGAAGTAGGCTTCAGAAGGTGGGTAATAACAAACTCCTCCGAGCTAAAGGAGCATGTTCTAACCCAATGCAAGGAAGCTAAGAACCTTGACAAAGGTTACAGGAACTGCTAACTAGAATAACTAGTTTAGAGAACAACATAAATGACCTAATGGAGCTGAAAAACACAGCATGAGAACTTTGTGAAGCATATACAAGTATCAATAGCCAAATTGATCAAGCAGAAGGAAGGATATCAGAAATTGAAGATAAACTGAATGAAATAAAGCATGAAGACAAGATTAGAGAAAAAAGAATGAAAAGGAATGAACAAAACCTTCAAGAGATATGGGACTATGTGAAAAGACCAAACCTATGATTGATTGGTGTACCTGAAAGTGATGGGGAGAACGGAACCAAGCTGGAAAACACACTTCAGGATATGATCCAGGAGAACTTCCCCAACCTAGCAAGACAGGCCAACATTCAAATTCAGGAAATACAGAGAACACCACTAAGATTCTCCTCAAGAAGAGCAACCCCAAGACACATAATCATCAGATTCACCAAGGTTGAAATAAAGAAAAAAATGTTAAGGGCAGCCAGAGAGAAGGGTCAGGTTACCTACAAAGGGAAGCACATCAGACTAACAGTGGATCTCTTCAGAAACCCTACAAGCCAGAAGAGAGAGGGGGCCAATATTCAACATTCTTAAAGAATTTTCAACCCAGAATTTCATATCCAGCCAATCTAAGCTTCATAAGGGAAGCAGAAATAAAACCCTTTACTGACAAGCAAATGTTGAGCGATTTTGTCAACACCAGGCCTGCCTTACAAGAGCTCCTGAAGGAAAGACTAAATATGGAGAGGAAAAACTGGTACCAGCTACTGCAAAAACATACCAAAATATAAAGACCAACGACACTATGAAGCAACTGCATCAACTAATGTGCAAAATAACTAGCTAGCATCATGATGACAGGATCAAATTCACACATAACAATATTAACCTTAAATGTAAATGAGCTAATTGCCCCAGTTAAAAGACACAGACTGATACCTGTGTAACAAACCTGCACATTCTACACATGTATCCCAGAACTTAAAGTATATATATGTATATATATACTTTACGTAAAGTATATATATACTTTACGTAAAGTATATATATTCATATATATACTTTACGTAAAGTATATATATACATATATATACTTTACGTAAAGTATATATATATATAGTTTACACAAAGTATAAATATATATAGTTTATGTGAGGTATAAATATTTATATTTTATATAAAATATATATACTTTATATAAATATATATATATTTTAATATTTTTACATTTTATTCAAAGAAAATAAAGAGATTGTATCAATAAAGCAAAACATTTTTGGCCCTCAAATTAAACACATCCTGTATTCTTAGCCCAGTATCTGTTGTTGTGAGGAATATAAGACTTGGAGGACATGGTTTATTTGTTAAAGAAACATTAAGTCCTCACTATATGCTTCACTTGCCTTTTACACACTGAGTATCCCTTATCCAAAATGCTTGGGACCAAAAGTGTTTCAGATTTTGGATAATTTTGGATTTTAAAACATTTGCATATACATGAGATATCCTGGGGATAAGACCCAAGTCTAACATGGAATTCATGTATGTTGCATATATACATTATATGCATACCTTGAAGGTAATTTTATATAATATTTTAAAAAATTTTGTGCATGAAACAAAGTTTGGACTGCATTTTTTTTATTATTATCATACTTTAAGTTTTAGGGTACATGTGCACAACGGGCAGGTTTGTTACATACGTATACATGTGCCATGTTGGTGTGCTGCACCCATTAACTCATTATTTAGCATTAGGTATATCTCCTAATGCTGTCCCTCCCCCCTCGCCCCACCCCACAACCGTCCCCGGTGTGTGATGTTCCCCTTCCTGTGTCCATCTGTTCTCATTGTTCAATTCCCACCTATGAGTGAGAACATGCGGTGTTTGGTTTTTTGTCCTTGAGATACTTTGCTGACAATGATGGTTTCCAGCTTCATCTATGTCCCTACAAAGGACATGAACTCATCATTTCTTAGGGCTGCATAGTATTCCATGGTGTATATATGCCACATTCTCTTAATCCAGTCTATCATTGATGGACATTTGGGTTGGTTCCAAGTCTTTGCTATTGTGAATAGTGCTGCAATAAACATACGTGTGCATGTGTCTTTATAGAAGCATGATTTATAATCCTTTGGGTATATACCCAGTAATGGTATGGCTGGGTCAAATGGTATTTCTAGTTCTAGATCCCTGAGGAATCACCACACCGACTTCCACAATGGTTGAACTAGTTTACAGTCCCACCAACAATGTAAAAATGTTCCTATTTCTCCACATCCTCTCCAGCACCTGTTGTTTCCTGACTTTTTAATGATTGCCATTCTAACTGGTGTGAGATGGTATCTCATTGTGGTTTTGATTTGCATTTCTCTGATGGCCAGTGATGATGAGCATTTTTTCATGTGTTTTTTGGCTGCATAAATGTCTTCTTTTGAGAAGTGTCTGTTCATATCCTTTGCCCACTTGTTGATGGGGTTGTTGGTTTTTTTCTTGTAAATTTGTTTTAGTTCTTTGTAGATGCTGGATATTAGCCCTTTGTCAGATGAGTAGGTTGAAAAAATTTTCTCCATTCTGTAGGTTGCCTGTTCACTCTGATGGTGGTTTCTTTTGCTGTGCAGAAGCTCTTTAGTTTAATTAGATCCCATTTGTCAATTTTGGCTTTTGTTGCCATTGCTTTTGCTGTTTTAGACATGAAGTCTTTGCCCATGCCTATGTCCTGAATGGTATTGCTTAGGTTTTCTTCTAGGGTTTTTATGGTTTTAGGTCTAACATGTAAGTCTTTAATCCATCTTGAATTAATTTTTGTATAAGGTGTAAGGAAGGGATCCGGTTTCAGCTTTCTACATATGGCTAGCCATTTTTCCCAGCACCATTTATTAAATAGGCAATCCTTTCCCCATTGCTTGTTTTTGTCATGTTTGTCAAAGATCAGATGGTTGTAGATGTGTGGTATTATTTCTGAGGGCTCTGTTCTGTTCCGTTGGTCTATATCTCTGTTTTGGTACCAGTACCATGCTGTTTTGGTTGCTGTAGCCTTGTAGTATAGTTTGAAGTCAGGTAGCGTGATGCCTCCAGCTTTGTTCTTTTGGCTTAGGATTGACTTGGCAATGCGTGCTCTTTTTTGGTTCCATATGGACTTTAAAGTAGTTTTTTCCAATTCTGTGAAGAAAGTCATTGGTAGCTTGATGGGGATCACATTGAATCTGTAAATTACCTTGGGCAGTATGGCCATTTTCACGATATTGATTCTTTCTACCCATGAGCATGGAATGTTCTTCCATTTGTTTGTATCCTCTTTTATTTCGTTGAGCAGTGGTTTGTAGTTCTCCTTGAAGAGGTCCTTCACATCCCTTGTAAGTTGGATTCCTAGGTATTTTATTCTCTTTGAAGCAATTGTGAATGGGAATTCACTCATGATTTGGCTCTGTGTTTATCTATTATTGGTGTATAAGAATGCTTGTGATTTTTGCACATTGATTTTGTATCCTGAGACTTTGCTGAAGTTGCTTATCAGCTTAAGGAGATTTTGGGCTGAGACAATGGGGTTTTCTAGATATACAATCATGTCATCTGCAAACAGGGACAATTTGACTTTCTCTTTTCCTAACTGAATGCCCTTTATTTCCTTCTCCTACCTGATTGCTCTGGCCAGAACTTCCAACACTATGTTGAATAGGAGTGGTGAGAGAGGGCATCCCTGTCTTGTGCCAGTTTTCAAAGAGAATGCTTCCAGTTTTTATCCATTCAGTATGATATTGGCTGTGGGTTTGTCACAGATAGCTCTTATTATTTTGAGATATGTCCCATCAATACCTAATTTATTGAGAGTTTTTAGCATGAAGGGTTGTTATATTTTGTCAAAGGCCTTGTCTGCATCTATTGAGATAATCATGTGGTTTTTTTCTTTGGTTCTGTTTATATGCTGGATTTATTGATTTTCGTATGTTCAACCAGCCTTGCAACCCAGGGATGAAGCCCACTTGATCATGGTGGATAAGCTTTTTGATGTGTTGCTGGACTCAGTCTGCCAGTATTTTATCAAGGATTTTTGCATCAATGTTCATCAAGGATATTGGTCTAAAATTCTCTTTTTTTTGCTGTGTCTCTGCCAGGCTTTGGTATCCGGATGATGCTGGCCTCATAAAATGAGTTAGGGAGGATTCTCTCTTTTTCTATTGATTCAATAGTTTCAGAAGGAATGGTACCAGCTCCTCCTTGTACCTCTGGTAGAATTTGGCTGTGAATCCATCTGGTCCTGGACATTTTTTGGTTGGTAAGCTATTAATTATTGCCTCAATTTCAGAGCCTGTTATTGGTCTATTCAGAGATTCAAATTCCTGGTTTAGTCTTGGGAGGGTGTATGTGTCGAGGAATTTATCCATTTCTTCTAGGTTTTCTAGTTTATTTGCGTAGAGGTGTTTATAGTATTCTCTGATGATAGTTTGTGTTTCTGTGGGATCGGTGGTGATATCCCCTTTGTCATTTTTTATTGCGTCTATTTGATTCTTCTCTCTTTTCTTCTTTATTAGTCTTGCGAGTGGTCTGTCAATTTTGTTGATCTTTTCAAAAAACCAGTTCCTGGTTTATTCACTTTTTGAAGGGTTTTTTGTGTCTCTATCTCCTTCAGTTCTGTTCTGATCTTAGCTATTTCTTGCCTTCTGCTAGCTTTTGAATGTGTTTGCTCTTGCTTCTCTAGTTCTTTCAACTGTGATGTTAGGGTGTCAATTTTAGATCTTTCCTGCTTTCTCTTGTGGGCATTTAGTGCTATAAATTTCCGTCTACGCACTGCTTTACGTGTATCCCAGAGATTCTGGTATGTTGTGTCTTTGTTCTCGTTGGTTTCAAAGAACATCTTTATGTCTGCCTTCATTTCGTTATGTACCCAGTAGTCATTCAGGAGCAGGTTGTTCAGTTTCCACGCAGTTGAGCGGTTTTGATTGAGTTTCTGAATCCTGAGTTCTAGTTTGATTGCACTGTGGTCTGACAGACAGTTTGTTACAATTTCTGTTCTTTTACATTTGCTGAAGAGTGCTTTACTTCCAACTATGTGGTCAATTTTGGAATAAGTGCAGTGTGGTGCTGACAGGAATGTATATTCTGTTGACTTGATATGGAAAGTTCTGTAGATGTCTGTTAGGTCCACTTGGTGCAGAGCTGAGGTCAATTCCTGGATATCCTTGTTAACTTTCTGTCTCGTTGATCTGTCTAATGTTGACAGTGGGGTGTTAAAGTCTCCCATATTATTGTGTGGGAGTCTAAGTCTCTTTGTAGGTCACTAAGGACTTGCTTTATGAATCTGGGTGCTCCTGTATTGCATGCATATATATTTAGGATAGTTAGCGCTTCTTGTTGAATTGATCCCTTTACCATTATGTAATGGCTTTCTTTCTCTCTTTTGATCTTTGTTGGTTTAAAGTCTGTTTTATCAGTGACTACGATTGCAACCCCTGCTTTTTTTGTTTTCCATTTGCTTGGTAGATCTTCCTCCATCCCTTTATTTTGAGACTATGTGTGTCTCTGCACGTGAGATGGGTTTCCTAAATGCAGCACACTGATGGGTCTTGACTCTTTATCCAATTTGCCAGTCTGTGTCTTTTAATTGGAGCATTTAGCCCATTTACACTTAATATTGTTATGTGTGAATTTGATCCTGTCATTATGATATTAGCTGGTTATTTTGCTCATTAGTTGACACAGTTTCTTCCAAGCCTCGATGGTCCTTACAATATGGCATGTTTTTGCAGTGGCTGGTACTCATTGTTCCTTTCCATGTTTATTGCTTCCTTCTGGAGCTCTTGTAAGGCAGGCCTGGTGGTGACAAAATCTCTCAGCATTTGCTTGTCTGTAAGGTATTTTATTTCTCCTTCATTTATGAAGCTTAGTTTGGCTGGATATGAAATTCTGGGTTGAAAATTCTTTCCTTTAAGAATGTTGAATATTGGCCCCCACTCTCTTCTAGCTTGTAGAGTTTCTGCCAAAAGATCAGCTATTAGTCTGATGGGCTTCCCTTTGTGGGTATGTCTACCTTTCTTTCTGGCTGCCCTTAATATTTTTCCTTCATTTCAACTTTGGTGAATCTGACAATTATGTGTCTTGGAGTTGCTCTTCTCGAGGAGTATCTTTGTGGCATTCTCTATATTTCCTGAATTTGAATGTTGGCCTGCCTTGCTAGATTGGGGAAGTTCTCTGGGATAATATCCTGCAGAGTGTTTTCCAACTTGGATATCCTTCTTAACAAGGATACCCAGGAATTGAACTCAGCTCTGCACCAAGCGGACCTAATAGACATCTATAGAACTCTCCACCCCAAATCAACAGAATATACCTTTTTTTCAGAACCACACCACACCTATTCCAAAATTGACCACATAGTTGGAAGTAAAGCACTCCTCAGCAAGTCCAAAAGAACAGAAATTATAACAAACTATCTCTCAGATCGCAGTGCAATCAAACTAGAACTCAGGATTAAGAAACTTACTCAAAACCGATCAACTACATGGAAACTGAACTACCTGCTCCTGAATGTCTACTGGGTACATAACGAAATGAAGGCAGAAATAAAGATGTTCTTTGAAACCAATGAGAGCAAAGACACAACATACCAGAATCTCTGGGACACATTCAAAGCAGTGTGTAGAGGGAAATTTATAGCACTAAATGTCCACAAGAGAAAGCAGGAAAGATCTAAAATTCACACCCTAGCATCACAATTAAAAGAACTAGAAAAGCAAGAGCAAACACATTCAAAAGCTAGCAGAAGGCAAGAAATCACTAAAATCAGAGCAGAACTGAAGGAAATAGAGACATAAAAAACCCTTCAAAAAAATTACTGAATCCAGGAGCTGGTTTTTTGAAAGGATCAACAAAATTGATAGACTGCTAGCAAGACTAATAAAGAAGAAAAGAGAGAAGAATCAAATAGACGCAATAAAAAATGATAAAGGCGATATTACCACCAATCCCACAGAAATACAAACTACCATCAGAGACTACTAAAAACACCTCTACGCAAATAAACTAGAAAATCTAGAAGAAATAGATAAATTCCTCGACACATACACCCTCCCAAGACTAAACCAGGAAGAAGTTGAATCTCCGAATAGACCAATAACAGGCTCTGAAATTGAGGCAATAATTAATAGCCTACCAACCAAAAAAAGTCCAGGACCAGATGGACTCACAGCCAAATTTTACCAGAGGTACAAAGAGGAGCTGGCACCATTCCTTCTGAAACTATTCCAGTAAATAGAAAAAGAGGGAATCCTCCCTAACTCATTTTATGAGGCCAGCATCATTCTGATACCAAAGTCTGGCAGAGACACAACAAAAAAGAGAATTTTAGACCAATATCCCTGATGAACATCCCTGCAAAAATCCTCAATAAAATACTGGCAAACTAAATCCAGGAGATAATCAAAAAGCTTATCCACCACAATCAAGTTGGCTTCATCCCTGGGATGCAAGGCTGGTTCAACATACGAAAATCAATAAAGGCAATCCATCACATAAACAGAACCAATGACAAAAACCACATGATTATCTCAAAAGATGCAGAAAAGGCCTTTGACAAAATTTGACAACTCTTCATGCTAATAACTCTCAATAAACTAGGTATTGATGGGATGTATCTCAAAATAATAAGAGCTATTTATGACAAACCCACAGCCAATATCATACTGAATGGGCAAAAACTGGAAGCATTCCCTTTGAAAACTGGCATAAGACAGGGATGCCCTCTCTCACCACTCCTATTCAACATAGTGTTGGAAGTTCTGGTAAGGGAAATCAGGCAAGAGACAGAAATAAAGTGTATTAAATTAGGAAAAGAGAAGTCAAATTGTCCCTGTTTGCAGATGACATGATTGTATATTTAGAAAACCCCATTGTCTCAGCCCAAAATCTCCTTAAGCTGATAAGCAACTTCAGCAAAATCTCAGGATACAAAATCAATATGCAAAAATCACAAGGATTCCTATACACCAGTAACACACAAACAGAGAGCCAAATCATGAGTGAACTTCCATTCACAATTGCTACAAAGAGAATAAAATAACTAGGAATCCAACTTACAAGGTATGTGAAGGACCTCTTCAAGGAGAATGATAAACCACTGCTCAACAAAATAAAAGAGGACACAAACAAATGGAAGAACATTCCATGCTCATGGATAGGAAGAATCCATTTCGTGAAAATGGCCACACTGCCCAAGGTAATTTATAGATTCAATGTCATCCCCATCAAGCTACCAATGACTTTCTTCACGGAATTGAAAAAAACTACTTTAAAGTTCATATGGAACCAAAAAAGAGCCCACATTGCCAAGACAATACTAAGCAAAAAGAACAAAGCTGGAGGCATCACGCTACATGACTTCCAACTATACTACAAGGCTACAGCAACCAAAACAGCATGGTACTGGTACCAAAACAGAGATGTAGACCAATAAAACAGAACAGAGTCCTCAGAAATAAGACCACACTTCTACAGCCATCTGATCTTTGACAAACCTGAGAAAAACAAGAAATGGGGAAAGGATTCCCTACTTAATTAATGGTGCTGGGAAAACTGGCTAGCCATATGTAGAAAGCTGAAACTGGATCCCTTCACTACGCTTTATACAAAAATTAATTCAAGATGGATTAAAGACTTAAATGTTAGACCTAAAACCATAAAAACCCTAGAAGAAAACCTAGGCAATACCACTCAGGACATAGGCATGGGCAAGGGCTTCAAGACTAAAACACCAAAAGCAATGGCAACGAAAGCCCAAATAGACAAATGGGATCTAATTAAACTAAAGAGCTTTTACACGGCAAAAGGAACTACCATCAGAGCGAACAGGCAACCTACAGAATGGGAGAAAATTTTTGCAATCTACCCATCTGACAAAGGGCTAATATCCAGAATCTACAAAGAACTTAAACAAATTTATAAGAAAAAAACAAACAACCCCATCAACAAGTGGGCAAAGGATATGAACAGACACTTCTCAAAAGAAGACATTTAGGGCTGGGCGTGATGGCTCATGCCTGTAATTCCAGCACTTTGGGTAGCAAACGCCGGTGGATCACAAGGTCAGGAGACTGAGACCATCCTGGCTAACATGGTAAAACCCTGTCTCTACTAAAAACACAAAAAAAATAGCCAGATGTGCTGGCGAGTGCCTGTAGTCCCAACTACTCAGGAGGCTGAGGCAGGAGAATGGCGTGAACCCAGAAGGCAGAGCTTGCAGTGAGCCGAGATCACACCACTGCACTCCAGCCTGGGCAACAGAGTGAGACTCCATCTCAAAAAAAAAAAAAATTCATGCAGCCAACAGACACATGAAAAAGTGTTCATTATCATTAGTCATCAGAGAAATGCAAATCAAGACCACAATGAGATACCATCTCACACCATTTAGAATGGCGATCATTAAAAAGTCAAGAAACAACAGATGCTGGAGAGGATGTGGAGAAATTGGAATGCTTTACACTGTTGGTGGGAGTGCAAATTAAACCATTGTGGAGGACAGTGTGGCGATTCCTCAAGGATCTAGAACTAGAAATACCATTTGACCCAGCCATCCCATTACTGGGTGTATACCCAAAGGATTATAAATCATGCTACTATAAAGACACATGAACACGTACGTTTATCGCAGCACTATTCACAATAGCAAAAACTTGGAACCAACCCAAATGTCCATCAATGAGAGACTGGATTAAGAAAACGTGGCCCATATACACCATGGAATACTATGCAGCCATAAAAAAGGATGAGTTCATGTCTTTTACAGGGACATGGATGAAGCTGGAAACCATCATTCTCAGCAAACTATCACAAGGACGAAAAACCAAACACCACATGTTCTCACTCATAGGTGGGAACTGAACAATGAGAAAACTTGGACACAGGGCAGTGAACAACACACACCAGGGCCTGTCGGGGGTTTGGGGGCTAGGGGAGGGATAGCATTAGGAGAAATACCTGATGTATATGACGAGTTGATGGATGCAGCAAACCAACATGGCACATGTATACCTATGTAACAAACTTGCACGTTGTGCACATGTACCCTAGAACTTAAAAGTATGTAATATATATATAGAGAGAGAGAGACTTAAATTTAAGACCCAAAACTATGAAACTGCTAGAAGAAAACACATGGAAAAACCTTTCAGGACATTGATCTAGGCAAAGATTTTATGGCTAAGACCTCAAAAACACAGGCAGTAAAAACAAAAATAGACAAATTGGACTATGTTAAACTGAAAACCTTCTGCACAACAAGGGAAACAACAGAGTGAAGAGACAACCTGTTGAATGAAAGAGAATATTTGCAAACTATTCATCTGATAATGAACTAATATCTAAAATTACAAAAAACTCAAACAAAACAACATAAAAAATAATCTCATTAATAAGTAAGCAAAAGACATGAATAGGTATTTCTCAAAAGAAGACATACAAATGGCCAACAAGGATACGAGAAAATGCTCAACATCACTAACCATCAGGGAAATGCAACTCAAAACAACAATGAGATATCACTTTACCCCAGTTAGAATGACCATTATGAAAAGGACAAAAAATAACAGATGCTAGCAAGGATGAAAACAAGCAACTCTTACACACTGTTGGTAGAAATGTAAATTAGTATAGCCACTATGGAAAACAGTATGGACATTTCTCAAAAAACTAAAAGTAGAACTACCATATGATCCAGGAATTCCACTGCTGGGTATTTATCCAAGGGAAAAGAAATCAGTATATCAAAGAGATGCCTGCACTCACATGTTTATAGTAGCACTATTCGTAATAGCAAAGATATGAAACCAACCTAAGTGTCCATCAATGGACAAATGGATAAAGAAAATGTGGTATATATATACATACATACTGTGACAGTTAATATTATGTGTCAGCTTGACTGAATTGAAGGATGCCTAGATGGCAGGTGAAGCATTTTTTCTGGGTATGTGTGTTATGGTGTTTCCACAGGAGAATGACAGTAGATTGGGAGGGAAGACTTGCCTTTAATGTGAGCAGACACCATCCAATTGGCTGCTGTTGGGGCTAGAACAAAGCAGGCAGAAGAGGAGGATATTCAGCTTGCTTGGCTTTATCTTTCTCTCTCTCTTGCAGAGCAAGTCACCTTTTTGCCTCCTGCCCTTGGACATCAGACTCCAGTTTCTTCAGTCTTTGGACACTGGAACTTGCGCTAGCAGTTGTCTGGGGGCTCTCAGGCCTGTAGCCTCAGACTGGGAGCTGCACTGTCAGCTTCCCTGGTTTTGAGGCTTTTGGGAGTTCAACTGTGCCACGCTGGCAGCTTTTCTCAACCCCAGCTTGCCAATGGCCTATCATGGGACTTTGCTTTTGTAATTATATAAGCTAATTCTTTCTAATAAACATCTATATATATATATACACACACACACACACACACACATATATGTAGTAATATATATGTATATATGTACACATATATTACATACATGCATATATATATATTCAGATTCTCTACTTTGTTCCACTGGTCTATGTGTCTGTTTTTATACCAATGCCATACTGTTTTGATTACTATAGCTTTGTAATAAGCCAATAGCATACATACATATATACATATGTATATATGTGTACATTATACATATATGTATAGATGTATACATATATACACATAATATACACCTACATATACATATATACATACATATACATATAGGTATTTACATATTTATGTATACTAATATACATCTACACATACATATACATATGTATACATGTTTGTATACCATTGGTTCTGTTCCTCTGGAGAAATCTGACTTATAAATATACAAGGAAATACTATTCAGCCATAAAAATGAATGAAATAGCGCTCTCCCTCTCCCTCTCCCCACGGTCTCCCTCTCCCTCTCTCTCCACGGTCTCCCTCTGATGCTGAGCGGAAGCTGGACTGTACTGCTGCCATCTCGGCTCACTGCAACCTCCCTGCCTGATTCTCCTGCCTCAGCCTGCCGAGTGCCTGCGATTGCAGGCACATGCCGCCACGCCTGACTGGTTTTCGTATTTTTTTGGTGGAGACGGGGTTTCGCTGTGTTGGCCGGGCTGGTCTCCAGCTCCTAACGGCGAGTGATCTGCCAGCCTCGGCCTCCCGAGGTGCCGGGATTGCAGACGGAGTCTGGTTCACTCAGTGCTCAATGTTGCCCAGGCTGGAGTGCAGTGGCGTGATCTCGGCTCGCTACAACCTCCACCTCCCAGCCGCCTGCCTTGGCCTCCCAAAAGGCCAAGATTGTAGCCTCTGCTCGGCCACCACCCCGTCTGGGAAGTGAGGAGTGTCTCTCCCTGGCTGCCCATCGTCTGGGACGTGAGGAGCCCCTCTGCCTGGCTGCCCAGTCTGGAAAGTGAGGAGCATCTCTGTCCGGCCGCCACCCCATCTAGGAAGTGAGGAGCACCTCTTCTCGGCCGCCATCCCATCTAGGAAGTGAGGAGCGTCTCTGCCCGGCCGCCCCGTCTGGGATGTGAGGAGCGCCTCTGCCCTGGGATGTGAGGAGCGCCTCTGCCCGGCTGCGACCCCACCTGGGAGGTGAGGAGCGTCACTGCCCAGCCGCCCCGTCTGAGAAGTGAGGAGACCCTCTGCCTGGCAACCGCCCCGTCTGAGAAGTGAGGAGCCCCTCCGCCCGGCAGCTGCCCCATCTGAGAAGTGAGGAGCCCCTCCACCCGGCAGCCACCCCATCTGGGAAGTGAGGAGCGTCTCTGCCCGGCAGCCACCCCGTCCGGGAGGGAGGTGGGGGTCAGCCCCCGCCAGGCCAGCTGCCCCGTCCGGGAGGGAGGTGGGGGGGTCAGCATCCCCCCGGGCCAGCCGCCCCGTCTGGGAGGTGAGGGGCGCCTCTGCCCGGCCGCCCCTACTGGGAAGTGAGGAGCCCCTCTGCCCGGCCACCACCCTGTCTGGGAGGTGTACCCAACAGCTCATTGAGAACGGGCCATGATGACAATGGCTGTTTTGTGGAGTGGAAAAGGGGGAAAGGTGGGGAAAAGATTGAGAAATCGGATGGTTGCCGTGTCTGTGTAGAAAGAAGTAGACATGGGAGACTTTTCATTTGGTTCTGTACTAAGAAAAATTCTTCTGCCTTGGGATCCTGTTGATCTGTGACCTTACCCCCAACCCTGTGCTCTCTGAAACATGTGCTGTGTCCACTCAGGGTTAAATGGATTTATGGCGGTGCAAGATGTACTTTGTTAAACAGATGCTTGAAGGCAGCATGCTTGTTAAGAGTCATCACCACTCCCTAATCTCAAGTACCCAGGGACACAAACACTGCGGAGGGCCCCAGGGTCCTCTGCCTAGGAAAACCAGAGACCTTTGTTCACTTGTTTATCTGCTGACCTTCCCTCCACTATTGTCCTATGACCCTGCCAAATCCCCCTCTGCGAGAAACACCCAAGAATGATCAATAAATAAATAAATAAATAAATAAATAAATAAATAAAAAAGAGAGCATCTTAAAAAAAAAATGAATGAAATAATGTCATTTGCAGCAAGATGGGTAGAAATAAACTTCATTATGTTACATTAAATAAGCCAGACACAGAAAGACAAATATGAGTTCTACTCATATGTAGGAGGTAAAAACAGTGACCTCATGAAGATAGAGAGTAGAATGATAGATACTAGAGTCTGAGAAAAAAGCGTGGATGAAAGGGGGAATGAAGTGAGGTTGGTCAATGGGTATAAATATACAGATATATGTATAAGTTCTAATGTTTGATAGCAGAGTAGGGCGACTATAGTTAGCAATAATGAATTATATATTTTAAAGTAGCTAGGAGACAGAACTCAAAATGTCCCCAAAACATAGAAATGATAAATACTCAAGGTAATAGCTACCCCAAATACCCTGACTTGAAAATTACACATTTTATGCATTTTATGCATGTAACAAAATATCACACATACCCTATAAATATGTAAATATTATGTGTCAATTTAAAAAACATAAAATTCCTAGGAATAAATTTAACCAAAAAAGTATAAGACCACAACACCAAAAAGTACAAAATATTGCTAAAAGAAATTAAGAAGTCCTAAATAAATGGAGAGATATACCATGCTTATGGATTAGAACAGGAGTTGACAAACTATGGCCCAAAGGCCCATCCAGCTTGTTATCTGCTTTTGTAAATAAAATTGTATTAAAACAAAAAACTTTACAATCGTCACCTATGCTCTTACAAAAGTGACTCAGCTATTGGCAATAAGATTGTGGTTTACAATTTAACAAATAATCTAAATAGTTTCATATGAAAATGAGCAACATAGTCCCTAGCTCTTAGTTGGGCCACACTGCCATCAGTTTTTATTGCTCTTTCCCTTCAAAGACTTGATCCACTATCACGTGAGGAAAGACTGGACAAGACTGAGACTGGGCTCTAGCTATGTGCCAAACACACTTCCACATATCTTCAAATAGAAGGCTGAAAATAAGGCTTAGACTAATAAGAATCTAAATAATGTGGATATCTGGCTCTTGATGCAATATTACTTCATTCTCTCATTAGAAGGAAAGTATTGAACATTTAATTGTCAGGCTCTACACTAGATGAATTTACAAAGATGGGAAAGACAGATCTGTCCTTCAGAAGTTTACTGACCAGGGAGGAAAGTGTGACAAATAATTTTAAAAAGATATTATTAAGATGCAGTGGTAGTATAAATTATAGTGGTACCAGCTAACCATGTTTAGTGGTAAGGAAGAGATGGCTCAAATAATACTTCTGAGTTTAACAGACATGGGCATGGAAACTCTAGAAATGGCTGGAAATGTGCCAGCTTGATTTGGGAAGGAAAGTATTCCGGGGGATTAAACAACTTGTGCAAAATCCCAAAGAAAAACAAAGGTGGGCTCAAGAAACTGATAGCAGCAGTTCGGTATAGCCAAGATATGAGGTGAGTGTGAGGGGCATGGCAAAAAATGATTCCAGAAACATGAGAACCAGATCAAAAGGAGGCTTATAAGCCATGCTAAGATGCTAGGTCTCTATCATCTGAGAGTAGGAAATAAAGGGTTTTAATAAGAAGTCACATGATAAATATTTTGGCAGCAAGACAGGAAGGAGATGAGACCAGAGGCAAGAAGACTAGGTAGGAGACCATTGCACGACCCAGGCAAACAGCAGAGCAGTATTTACTGTTTTATTAGTCCATTCTTATGCTGCTAATAAAGACATACCCATGACTGGATAATTTATAAAGGAAAGCGGTTTAATTGACTCACAGTTCAGCATGGCTGGGGAGATCCCAGGAAACTCACAATCACAGTGGAAGGGGAAGCAAACATTCTTTTCCTTGCTGCTGCCATGTGAAGAAGGATGCGTTTGCTTCCCCTTCTGCCATGATTTTAAGTTTCCTCATCCCCAATCCTGCCACCCTGCCTTCTCTCCCCCAGCCTGCACTGATGGCCTCATGGGGAGCTCCCTATGATGAGTTGACAGAGAAAGCGAAGACTAGGGCCTGGTTTATAGACGGCTCTGCACAATATGCAGGCACTACCTGAAAGTGGACACAGCTGTAGCACTGCAGGCCCTTTCTAGGGCATCCTGAAGGACAGCGGTGAGGAAAATCTTCCCAGTGGGCAGAATTTCAAACAGTGCACCTGGTTGTATACTTTGCCTGGAAAGATAAATGGCCAGATGTATGAATATATACTGATTCATGGACTATAGCCAATGGTTTGGCTGGATGGTCAGGGACTTGGAAGAAGCATGATTGGAAAATTGGTGACAAAGAAATCTGGGGAAGAGGTATGTGGATGGACCTCTCTGAGTGGTCAAAACTGCGAAGATATTTGTATCTAATATGAGTGCTCACCAAAGGACGACCTCAGCGGAGGAGAATTTTAATAATCAAGTGGATAGGATGATTCGTTCTATGGACACCACTCAGACTCTTTACCCAGACACCCCGTCATCGCCCAGTGGGCCCATGAACAAAGTGTCCATGGTGGCAAGGATGGAGGTTACATATGAGCTCAGCAACATGAACTTCCACTCATCAAGGCTGACCTAGCTATGGCCACTGCTGAGTGCCCAATTTGCCAGCAGCAATTTGCCAACACTGTGCCCTCGATATGGCACCATTCCTTGGGGTTATCAGCCAGCTACTTGGTGGCAGGTTGATTATATTGGACCTCTGTCATCATGGAAAGGGCAGCAGTTTTTCCTCACCAGAACAGACACTCTGGATGTGGGTTTGCCTGTCCTGCACGCAATGCCTCCACCAAGACTACCATCCGTGGACTCACAGAATGCCTTATCCATCCTCATAGTGTCACATATAGCATTGCCTCTGACCAAGGCACTCACTTTATGGCTAAAGAAGTGTGGCAGTGGGCTCATGCTCATGGAATTCACTGGTCTTACCATGTTCGCCTTCATCCTGAAACAGCTGGATTGACAGAATGGAGGAATGGGCTTTTAAAGTCACAGTAGCTGACTCTTTTGCTATAGCAAACTCTGAATAAATACCATTTGCTTATTTTCATTTGGTTGGTCTTTATTTTTAAGCCTTCTCGGTTCCCTAAGCTGCCACGTAAAAATTCTGACTACCCTGCTGCAGAGATCATGTGGAGAATTCCTGAATATACAGATAAAGAGAGATACTCAGTCAAGCCCAACCTTCTAGTCATCGTGCCAGAGCTCTGAGTATGTGAGTCAAGTCCAGCCTAGCCCATGGCTGAATGCTACAGACTCCAGCCAAGTTTTACCCAGAAGTTTTACCCAGCTGAGCTGTCCCCAGATTCTTAACCCATAGAATCCTGAAATATAGTAGAACGACTGGAATTTCTAACCACTAAGTTTTGGGATTGTTATACAGCAACCAAAAAACTTCCCTTGGAGAGAAGGAAGAAACACCATGGATTGGGAAGTCTATAGATAGCACTGCTGGGTCTCCTGACCATCCTAGAACAGCCAAGAATGTTCAGGAGGCTAAAGCAGAAGTTTCAACCCCTCTTCTCACTTCACCTCTTCTGGTGAAAATATAGCTCAGTTTTTTACTGAAGGAAAGAAAAAAGAAGATATTATGCAGATGACCTGGCTGGGAGACTTTGAGGGAAAAAGTTAAGAATGAAGTATAAGGATACTCTTCAAGATAAAAATAGCAGAACCAAGACACATTACAAAATGTCCCAATCTACATATCTAACAAAGTAGACAAAACAGAGTACAAACAAATCAGAATTTCACCAGTGGCAACCAAACCAGGAATCGGGTCAAACTCATATCATAAATTTCAAATACTTACGGCTAAGAATTGTAGTAGGTATTAAATATTTGTTCAATGAATAAATAAATTCCAGTGTGGCAAAACTCAGATCTGCTTATAAACATGCCTCCACAACTCCAAGGTACTACAAAGAAAAAAACAGTAAACTATAAGATACTGAGACTCAATACCCAATTTGGAACAAAGTCAACTGGGGATGAGTCAGTAATATCCTTGAGAATAAAGCTCCTAGATTTACCTCAGGATCCCACAGAGCGTAAAGTGCTTAAGAGCTTGCCATCTCCCAGGGCACTGCACTGAATTCAAGTACTTATTTTATTTATGTAAACTGCAGCTATTTCCAAAAAGAATTTTAGCTCATTCCAAAATTAAACTTTATTCTTTGGCATTAGGCATTTTATAAGTACCCAAGCTTCTTGGATGAATATAGAAGAAAATGAGAGAAAAAATACGATTAAACTAATACTGACCAAGCCCACCATTTCCCAAGCTGGAAGGAGCACATACACTTATTTCATTTGAGATTCAGCTAAAGGTTTTTTTTTTAATTTCTGAGCTAAAATTTCTTGCTTTTTCAGGTGTCCTAATTTTATAAAAGCTGGCCACAATTCTCCAAAGAATTAAAAACTACAGGCCTAGATTTATAATTCTGGAACCTAAAACTGCTGCTGTACACCTTGTAGCACATTCCACTATAGAGTTTTATATAATGTTGATTATTTACTATATGCCAAGTATTCTACTGAGGATTTTACATGGATTAACTAATTTAATCTTCTAATAATGTTGAGGTAGATACTGTTACTATGTATATTTTAGAGATGAGAAAATTAAAGCATAATAAAGTAATCTTTCCCAATAGTACCAGATTTTATTCCCAGGCAGTAAAATGCCAAAGCTTCTATTCCTGTCCACTAAAAAATATTGCATCCTTAGGTGATACACGGATGATGAAGAGATTTCTGGTTAGGAATATAGACTATCTCCATTCTCTGGCCTCCAGGACTCAGAAACTTGAACTTTTTGACATGATCTCTGTTGTCAGGAGTTCAAATGACTGGATTTGCAAGAATATTAACAACATTAATAAACAGTCAATGGTTAATATTAACAACACTGATAAATAACCAATGGTTAATATTATGACTTACTGCTTCTCTGCCTTAGCCTCACACTTTCCATGTATTCACTTGGAAATATACTCAATAAGCCACTTGCTGATAACCAAATAAATATTCATTGTTATAACTAAATTCATTACTGAACTGTGATTAAAAGCTGTCAGCACACTAGAAAGAGAAGGGAACAGACATGCATACACATGTTAACCAAAAGACACATAAAACAATGTACATAGCAGCACTATTTTTACAAGTCAAAAACTGGAAATTACTCAAATAGCCATCACTAGGAGAAAGAACATATCATTTGTACCACACTCATATAATGTAATACAATAGAACAATGAGAATGAATGAAAAGTGGCTACATGCATAAACATGGGTGTTAGGTGAAAGAAGCCAGATATAAAAGCACTGTATGATTCCTTTTATATAAAATCCAAAAATAGGTAAAACTAATTTATGATGTTAGAAGTCAAGATAATTATTACTCTTTGAGAGAGTGGGGAGTGCCTGGATGGAAAAAGAGGTGGGGGCTTCTGGGGGTGCTAGTAACATTACGTTTTTTTAATCTGGGAGTTGGTTACATGGATGGTTCAGTTTGAGACAATTAACCAATCTGTACACTTCTGATTTGTACACTTTTCTGTATATATACATATATACATACATATGTCAAGTATTATATATATATTACTTCAATGAAAAACTCAGAAAAAAACAGATTAGGATGCAGACAGCCAGTCAGAAGTAGAATACCTTATGCTTCTTCCCTACTCTCCCTGTCCTACTGTCCATCCCCTCCAAAGGCTGACTTGTATTTTTCCCCATGCTTCACTCTCCTATACATCCTCTAACCATTTGAGGACTCTTTGATAATTACTTTCTAATTCTGCTTTCACTTCCACATGTCAAAATTAGGCTTCAGTGCCTGAATGCCGAAGACCTCAAGATGCCAGAAAGTTTAGAGCACAAAGTAAAGACTAACCCAGCAAGATCATGAAATAATTTTAGGAGTGAAAGAGAACAGTCCAGCGTGGTGAGAAAGCTTAAGAGAAGAAAAGGCATCTAGGAATTGAGCTTGGGAACCTTGACATCTGAAAGTCTTGATAGAAAAGGAAGAGAGTGTAGCCAGAAAGAAAGGAACCAGAGAGTATTGCCAGAGAGTGTAGCCAGAAAAAAAAGGAACATTAGTGTTCAAGCTACAGAGGAGGCTCCAAGCCCTAGGCTCAAGCTAGCCAAAATCCTGGCTAAGTCCCTAACTAAGCCTCCCAAACAAAGTCACATTAAATATTAATATTTACAATGTGACATTAGATAGAAGACTATATTTCATTTGAGGGAGAGAGAGCACAGAACATAGTACACCTGAAGTCAGCTGGGTACAAAAAGAGAAAGGGATAAATGCATTTTTTTAACCATTTAGTAGCACTATTTGCCCCCATCCCTATCCCATTCTCCTAACTACTTTCTTCTTACCATGTTCCTGGCACTTTTGCTACATTTTTCCAATAAGGTTCTCATTCATCAGGTGTAAAAATACAGAGGAAATCAAAAGGCAAAAGACAATATTTGAAGGAACTCTACTCTTACGTCACAATTTCTCTGAAGTTCTGCTTTATCTATAAGACATGAAAACCTACCATGATTTTCTGAAGTTTAGAAAGGAGATTAGGCAGGACCCAGATCACACTGTACCCTATAGAACCCACATCATTCTTCATGAGGTCTCCAGGGAAATAAATCCTAAGAGGAAAAATCCTGGAAAAAGAAAAAGACATTTACATTCCCAGATCCTCTCTTACTGGAAATACATACAAGTACAAAAGTTCACACAATTAATATAGCCAATATTAGAATAACAACTAAACTGCGATAATTATATAATAGCTGAGTTTTAATGTAACTAAAATGTTACACAATGTGCTGTATAATTGACATAATTAGCTTACTTAATACTTCAACAGCCCTTTAAAATGGGCATTATCATCCTTACTTTGATGATGAGGAAACAGACTCAGAAAGGCTAAGTAATTTACCCAAGGTCATACAACAGTAAATGGAAGCGCCAGGAGGCAAACTCAAGTGAGCCAGACTCCAAAACCTTTGAAGCTGACATAGTTGCAGGCTAGTTTGTGACCTGTTCTACTCAAGAAGCATAAAACCATTGTGTTATTTAAGTCAACCCAATCATATATACTTACCTTAAAAGGTTTTTTTTAAAATAAAAATTGCATAAGAAGAATACAAATATTAGTTGAAATATACCCACACTACAAATGAATGATGCATAATTCAGTGATAGTTATTTTAACTGACAGGAGTACACTTTGCATGAGTACTAATGGGTTCTAACAAAGAAACAGTAAAAAGTGGGGAAAAGAGTTTGATTCCAGGGTATGTAGATCAAAAATTTTGAAGAAAGGGAGAGAGCAAAGACTACCTCCTAACCCCTTAAAAAGTATGCCAGAGAAGAAAAAAATTCACCCTGAAGCAGTCAAAACTCAAAAAGTATGTGTTCCACATAATTTCACTGATATGCTTACCACTACTGGGAATGGCATTTAACATGTCTGATCCAGCCTTGGAGGATTTTGCCCAAAGTTGTTTGGGCAATCCTAAAATAGAGATGAATTCCTGGAAAACTATAGGAAATTGTAAAAGCAGGTCACACCAATAAAAGTATTAAAATGCTGATGGAGACACTGAACCAGTCTTCACCACCACAAGATCAGCATTGATTGAGAAATCTATGGCTTCAACATAAAAGCGCATAACCGCTGACACAAGTCCACACTTGAAGGACTTCTGGAACTGTACTTCACTGATTATTCTAGTTATATAGAGGTTCGCAGCTCAGGATACTTTTTTATACAATTGTTAAAATTATTTCTTCCAGATTTTCCCACCATTTCATCCCAGCCTATAAAATCTTCTTCATGCATCCTGAATCTTATACATATTTGCCATCAATTCACATTGTCATTCAAGTCACTGATTAAAATGGTGATCTACATTCATTCAAAGAAATTGCCTTTCAACATAATAGCTAACCACCCTGCAAGCTGTGTTAGCAACCCACGAATCAGTAAGATTTGGAAGCCTATCCATTGTAAGGACAGAAACCAGGGTACCAGTCCCCTGAGGGCATTACCCATATCATACATTTTCAGCTAGGTGGCTGGAGTGATAAAGTGATAAAATCCTCTGGAAAAGAGAAGAAATAAAGAGAGATAAAGATGCTAATGCTGACAATGAAGCAAAAACATGGCTTTTTGTCTATCATTTTTTAATGCTTCAGAGAGTATTTGATACAGAACAACAGTTCCCTTACTGAATTCCTTGATTAATAATAGATGTTCTTCAAAAGAAGAGTTCCCTGATTAGAAATATTTGGGAAACCCTGGTTACAGACAGGGTCCTGGGTTCTACAGAGCTTCTCAGAGTCAGAGCCTTTAATAGGCTAATGTACATTGTGGCTCCAAGAGGAGGACCATCTATGCCTTCCCTAAAGGTCCCAAACCACTAGAGATTATTGCTTGCAAAATCTCTATTAACCATATCTATTGGCATAGAGATGGGGGCCAGGTGATAGGGATGGGTAACCGACAGGCAAATGAACAAACGATTGTAACACAATGTGACAGGAGCTATGGGATGGCCCTACTTCAATGCAAGTAACTTCACTAGAAGGAATTGCTTAAACTGCAGAGAATGTCACAGAAAGCATCATAAAGGAGATGACATTTCCAGGCAGATCTTATAGGATTTGTAAGAGAGCTTGTCTGGTGGAGAAGAAAAATGGCAGAGAAAATAGTATGTGCAAAGACATTAATTAGATAAGAAATGATCAAGGATTGTTGTTAACATTCAAAGGAACAATCCCATAAAAGACAAGTGGTAGTAGAGAAGGCTAAAAAAGTGAAGTTTCATGCCTGATTTTCAGGAGGCTTGCATGCCAAGGTAAGAAATTTGGAATTTATTATAGACAAAGGAGAGCTACCAGGAGCTTTAAGGCAAGAAAATGTTATAATATTTGTTCATAGGAATATGAATCTTGCAGCAATGTAGAAGGACTGGTATGAAGATATCTTGATGGTAGAAAAAGACTAATTAAGAAGATTCTGGAAATAATCCAGATACAAGGTAGCCAGGGCCAGAATAAAACAAGCCATGCCAAGGACAGAGAGGAAGCTTAGATCCAGGAGATAAATCTGTGGTAAAACTGACAGAATGTGGTGGTCATGTGAGTGTGAAGGTGAAGAAAGGGAAGAAATGAAGAATGACTATAGAGTCCTTAGTCTGAGACACAAAAGAATGTCACTGATATGTGACAGGAGACAATAGAAGAAAAGACACACCTGGGGGAAAGATTATAATGGGTCCAGTATGAGATGACGGGGATATCTAAGTATCTAAGTATCCACGTGGCGAGATTATATATGCAGTGAGATACAAAGGACTAGAAACAAAAAGTCCAGGGTTGAGAATCTCCTGCACAGAGTTAGTGAGAATCTCTATGAGAGTCTCTTGCACAGAGTTAGTGGTGCTACTATAGAAGTAAACATACTGTCTCAAGGTTCACAAAGGCAGAGTGTGCAGCATATGTCTGATATTCCAGGTTAATAACCATGACAAAAAGAGAAAAATAGACCTCACTTTTCAATTTGGGATAATACAACTAAATCTGCCAACCTCCAGTGTTCTCTCATTTCCATTTATAACAATATATCAAAGATCACAGTTAGTAGTGCATTAACTCCCAGGCATATTTCTATAATACTCACATATAGAATTCACAGTAACAAACTAGGTGAGATTAAATCCTAGCTGGGAACTCTCCAAAACTCTTCACCTATTTTGGATTTCAGATCCCTCTTACACATGCATATTCTACTACCTCAGCTCAAGGATCATTGCTTTTCAGCATATATGCCTCAAGCCTTTGTTAGGTCAATATGGGAAATAAAACAAAGTATAAATAATGACAGATGTACACAAGGAGGCTATTATTTCCAAAGAGATCCTTCTGTAAAATTTATGCTAGCCAGGACAAATGTCAACCTAAATCTGGAAGCTGCTAATATAAGCAGAAACTAGTACTTGAAAAAGTTAGGAAATAAACAGTAGAGAAAGAAAAGTGGACATATGGGTGGATCAGAATGTGATGAATCAGACCATTCACAAAAGGGGGCCTCTCCTGAGCAGGGACCTTTAGCTGGTATAAAAGGCCACTCTCCTGACCTTTAGTATCCTGCCATTCCTTCAATCGACATCCTTACATGTATGTTGGTGAACTGGGTAAGAGAGAACCCATCCAACTATTCCTACTTATTGTTAACCAAAGTGGAAATCTAGGGACGTACTCTGCAAAACACTACTGGATGCTTGGATTTCTTAAAAAGTT
Organism: Homo sapiens; assembly: GCF_000001405.40. Taxonomy (NCBI): domain Eukaryota; kingdom Metazoa; phylum Chordata; class Mammalia; order Primates; family Hominidae; genus Homo; species Homo sapiens. Next base: position 152,245,248 of record NC_000001.11, on the reverse strand, counting down.
ATTTTAGGTCCCCTGTAACCATAAGATTCTCTAATAGAGAAAGAAATTGAAGATTGAAATGTGCTTTCTCTGAGATTACTCAGTACTCTTTGCATTGCTGCATTGTACAGCCCTAAGACATGGTAGGCTGAAAGAAAGACAGCATTATTGATTGTCTCCACTATTTTCAGAGGGCTTTATCTAAATATCATGCAGCTCTTACTGTGGACTGGATGAGTCATACATCTTGTTGAATCTTTAGATGCAGAGGATGCTTATATCCTGCATCCTTTTTGATATACAATAATTTAGACAGGATCAGTAAGATCAGTTAGATCAATATCAGTAGGACAGAAGCTGATTTCAGGAAACCAAACCTCTGATTCTCTATTTTCTGAATTCATGATGGTTGAATTCTAATGGAATGATTCATCCATTGATTCATGTAACTGAGTCCTACTGCTGAGTAGGTACTTTGACACATGACACGGATACTAACATGAATAAGCTGTAATCACTGGCCTCGCCTGACAAAGATCACTTATCATATGAGACAATCCCATAAAATGTCAACTGTAATTCAGTACACTACATGCTATATGTAGAATGAGTGCTAGGCATGCAAAGAAAACAATGTGAACAATGTGCTAAAGAAAAATGAAGGAAGGATACTTTACACAGATGGAAACACTTATTTGTTTATTCATACAACAATAATCGATAAGTGCCTGCCAACCATGAGCAAGGCCCTATTCTAGATTCTGAGTTTACAGTAGTAAACAGACAAAATCATCACTCTCAAATAGCTTACACATTCTGGAGGGGGAAACAGAAGCTAATCAAATTTCAAACAGTAATAAAATGACATAAAGAAAAATACATGTACCAGAGACAGAAAGGAAAGTTACTCATAGGAGAAATCATCTGAACAGAAACCAGAAATACAGACACCAGCTATATAGAGAAAAAGAGATCAACAAAAAAGGCAGAGCACAGCATCTTTAGAAAAGAACAGGCAGAATAGACACCATATTCTTCTGAACTGAAAGGTCAGTGAGTCCACAGCATGGAGAAGAAGGAGAAGGGAGGGACAAAATAAGATCAGAGAGGCAGATGAGGGTCAAATCACTAAAAGAATAATAGTAAAAAGTTTATCTAAGATCCTAAGAATAATAAGAAGTTCTTCGAGTGTTTTAAGCAGGGAAGTAACACTGATTTACATTTTTAAAAACTTCATGCTGGTTGTTGTGTGGATAGGAGATTGTGGGATGAAGCAAGAAGAAAGAGCAGAGACTAGTTGCAATAATATAGCTGAGATGATGGCAACATGAACTAGATTGTTAGCAGTAAAGATAGAAATAAAGATGGATTAAGAATATTTTGAGGCTGGGTGTGGTGGCTCATGCCTGTAATCCCACCACTTTGGAAGGCCAAGGTAGGTGGATGGCCTGAGCTTAGGAGTTCAAAACAAGCCTGGCCAACATAGCAAAGCCCCGTCTCTACCAAAAATACAAAAATTAGCCAGGCATGGTGGCGTGCACCTGTGGTCTCAGCTACTTGGGAGGCTGAGGTGGGAGGATCGCTTGAGCCTGGAAGACAGAGGTTCCAGTGAGCCAAGATCGTGCCACCACACTCCAGCCTGGGTGACAAAATGAGACCCTGTCTCAAAAAGAAAATAAAACTTTTTTGAGAGAAAACTGACAGCGCTTGCTGATGGACTGTACTTACAAGATGAGGAAAAGAGAAATGAAAGATGACTCGATGTTTTAGTCTGACCAAGCTGGTTGACGATGATACTTTTTATGATTATTTGGATGAAGAACAACGGGTGCACTATAGTTTGATGATAGAGAAATCAGGAGCTCTGTTTTAGTCACATCAAGTTTGAAATGCCTATAAACATCTCAAATGCCAAATAAGCCACTAAGCAACATCCATATGGCTAAGTTCAATGGTCATTTCAATTGCTTAGTACCCTGGCAGCATTTAGCATTTAGCTAACCTCTCCTTCCTTCTTTCTCTTGGCTCCCATGACACTATACGTTCCTAGATTCCCTCCTACCTTACTGGCCACTACTTCTGCATCTACTTGACTGGCTTTGCCTCCTCTGCTTGACTTCTAAAGACTGAAAGTCTCCAGAGTTCTATCTGTTGCTTTTTTTCTTATATATCTACACATTCTTCCATAGGGAGTCTCATTCTAGTTCTTTGACATGCCATCTGTATGCCAGGAGTTCTAACTATAGTTAGTCCAGTGACAGTGAGGGACAATCAAGAGATTCAAAAGAACAGTCAGTATCTACCCATGACCAGTCTAAATATGGTCATAGGCAATACCGATCCAGCAAAAGAGGAAAACAAAACCCTAGTCATGGTCAAACAGGAAGAAGCTCCAGATAGTCAGTATCTCAGCAGGGCCAAATAACCAGTCATTGACAGTTTGCATGAATTCAATGGACAGTCAGGAGAGAGTGCCAAGTCATCTCATAACCAATCATCACCTACAGAGTCTGGAATCAGTACAAATGGACCAAGGTGCCCAGGTATAGTCAATCTAATGATATTGAAAGACAATCAGAAAACTCAGACAGTCAGCATGAACCCATGAATAGCCTGGGTATGGCCACAAACAACAGAAATCTGATAAAATAGGAAAACAAGGCTCTCACCACAGATAATCATAAGATAGCATTAGATGCTCAGGACAGACATCGATTTATGGACAGTCTGGGTCTACACATGGAAAATCTGGACCCAATATAAGAAGACATGGATCCAGCTACAGTCAATAAGGAGAGAGCTCTGGACATTCATGATCTTTTCATAGATAATCATCACCTGTACAGTCTACATCCAGCATAAACAGCAGAGATCTAAATTTACTCTTTCCAGTAATGAAGCATAGTTAGGAGGCTGGGATAGACAGTTACCCTTCTCCTGTGGTCAAGTTGTATATAGGCATAGGCAGTCTGGATCCAGAAAAAAAAAAAGAGATAGTTCTAGCCATGGACAGTCAAAAGGTAAGCCAGAAACTCATCAAGGATGGACATCTACTCATAGGCAATCTAGTCTTCCAAGAAGAATCTGTGTTCAACATAAGGAAAAGAAATTGGTTCACTACAGACAATCAAAAGGCAGCACTAGACCTTCAGGGTCAATTCACAGATGAGCACTATTAATATATTCTGGACCCAAAATAAGCAGACTTCAAGGATGAAGTTACAATTAGGTCAGTGGCCATAAAATACAATCTGGAGACACAGAGATAGAATCAGCCCATGGACAGTTGGTTGATAAGAGATATTTCTATAAACTCTAAACGCTCAGTCTTATCACAGACAAACATCCACTAATGGTTAGTCTGAATCTATATATGAACAATCAGGATCCAACACTAGAAAAAGGCAGATAGATGGCCCATGAATAGATATGAGACAGCTCTAGACAATCCATGTCTTTTCCTAGCCAGATATAAATTCATGGACAGTTTGGGTCTAGTCATGAGAAGTGATGATCAGTAAAACAATGGACAGAGGAAGTTCCCTCCAGTGACAAGCAAGTCATAGTCATAATCAAGCAGGAGATAGATAACACACTCAGAAGCCAGACAAGTCAAACCCAAGGTGAATTTGGGTCTAATCATATACAGAGTGATAGTAATGGTGCAAGGATCAGGTTATAGTTGTAAACATGGCAGCTATGGAAGTGCTGATACAGCTGTGTATAGTCTGAAAAACAATAGACCATTCAACCTTGATTTCAGTCCATTGAAATCTGGAGATAAAAGCACATAAAAGCACAAATAAGCATAGTCCTTTTTTTTTTTTTTTTTTTTTTTTGAGGCAGAGTCTCACTCTGTCGTCCAGGCTAGAGTGCAGTGGCACCATCTCAGTTCCCTGCAAGCTCTGCCTCCCAGGTTCACACCATTCTCCTGCCTCAGCCTCCCGAGTAGCTGGGACTACAGGAGCCCACCACCACACCCGACTAATTTTTTGTGTTTTTAGTAGAGATGGGGTTTCACCAAAGCCTAGTCTTAAGCAGTCAGGATCTTCCTGATCATTCAGGGTCTGAATCAACAGGTAAGACAGAAAGGCAAAGATTTAATCTTGGATACTCAGGAATAAGCCATAAACAATCATTTGATACTATTAAAGCAAAAGAATACACTAACACTTGTTAAACTGGTAAGATAGGTGTTATTCAGGGCTACCTTGAAAAGTGTAGGGACTGCTGCAATGGGATTTTTGTAGTGGGGAGAGAGATGGAGCTCAATTCCTAATGCAACAAAGAAAAGAGGAAATTTATAGCCAAGAAGAAGAATGTGGAGGGTCAGTAGTTTAAAAACTACTGCAAGGGTAAGATAATTCTTGATAAGCTGACCTAACAAGATTCTTACTGAAGACAGGCCACAGTGATCCCATATTACCTGGGAGATGGTGAGAGAGGAAGAATTTGGTCAGATACTGAAGGTGATCAGATATTAAGGGTGGAGGATTCTGTCTAAACTGATTTAACAGGATTCTTGCTAAAACTGGACTCTTGCGGACATTCCCAAGAATGGGCTCTAGTTGGGTTCAGAAGAGCCTGACTAGTTATAGTTAGGTCAAGGGGAAAGTCTCTGTCAATATTCATTGTCAGTCTGGACCTAGCAGAGGTAGAAGACCATGAATTAGTTACAGCCCATCAGTGGCCTATAATAATTATGGGACATCATCAAGTGAACTAACCTCCATATAACAAGAATTCCCAGGAGACAAAAAAGAGAAGGGCCTAGAAAGCATATTTAAGGAAATAATGGCTGAAAGTTTCCAAAATCTGGAGAAAGATGATGCCGTCCAAGTACAAGATGCTCAGAAGTCACTAATCAAATTCAACCCAAAGAGGAAATCCCCAAGACATATCATAATTAAATTACCAAAAATTAAAGACAAAGCAAGAATACTCAAAGCAGCAAAAGAAAAGAAATATATCATATTCAGTGAAGCCCCAATACAATTTTCAGCAGAATTCTCAGCAGAAACTCTACAGACCGGGAGAGAACAGGATGCTATATTCAAAGTGACAAAGGAAAAAAGGAATTGCCAAACAAAAATTCTGTACCCAGCGAAGTTAGCCTTCAAACATGAAGAAGAGATAAAGAATTTCCAGACAAACAAAAGCTGAGAGAATTCCTTAACAGCAGACCTGTCTTACAGGAAATGCTAAAGGGAGTTCTTCAATCTGAAAGAAATGGATGCTAATGTACAAGAAAACATCTAAAGTAATTAAACTCACTGCTAAAAGAAAAAAAAAAAAAACAGACAAATTCAGAATACTCTAAATGTCTTGACTGCCCATGGCAGGATCCTTGATTTTCTCCTGTGCTGGATCACACGTGTCCATGAGTGGACTCAGACTGTCTACTTACTTCAACTGTAATTGAAGTCAGTCAGTCACTTATATTTTAAGAATAAAGACTAAAAGAAAAATTTATTAAAACAATAACTAAAACAATTGGTTAAGAGATAGGCAATATAAAAATGTAAATTGAAACATCAAAAAGTCAAAAAATGGGGAGGAAACAGTGTTAAAAAATAGTGTTAAATAGTGTTAAAGAAATAGTGTTAAAGAATAGTGTTAAACCCTCTGCAGAGGGTTTTTTATTGTTGTTTTTGTTATTGTTATTTTTCTTTTCTTTGCTATGAAGTTAAGTCATTATCAGCTTAAGATAACCTGTAATAACATAAGATGTTTTTGTAGGCCTTATGGTAATCAAAAAGCAAAAACCTATCATAAATACACTACAAATAAATAGCACAAAATCAAAACATACTATGGGAAAAAACCACTTAACTACAAAGGTAAACAAGAAGAGAGAGAAAACTCTGCCAAACAACCAGAAAATAAGTAACAAAATGCCAATAGTAAACCCTTACCTATCATTAATAACTTTTAATATAAATGAATTAATTTCTAAAATTAAATGACATAGAGTGGCTGAATGGATTTTTTTAAATGACCAAACTATAAGCTGTCTATAAGAAACTTAGTTCACCTATAAAGATATGCACAGACTGAAAGTGAGGAGATGGAAAAAGGTACTTTATGCAAATGGAAATCAAAAGAGAGCAGGAGTAGCTATGCTTAGATAAAAGAGGTTTTAATTAAGAATGATTTTAGACATGAAGTCCTTGCCCATGCCTATGTCCTGAATGGTATTGCCTAGGTTTTCTTCTAGGGTTTCTATGGTTTTAGTTCTAACACTTAAGTCTTTATTCCATCTTAAATTAATTTTTGTATAAGGTGTAAGGAAGGGATCCGGTTTCAGCTTTCTACATATGGCTAGCCAGTTTTCCCAGCACCATTTATTAAATAGGGAATCCTTTCCCCATTGCTTGTTTTTCTCAGGTTTGTCAAAATCAGATAGTTGTAGATATGTGGCATTATTTCTGAGGGCTCTGTTCTGTTCCATTGGTCTATATCTCTATTTTGGTACCAGTACCATGCTGTTTTGGTTACTGTAGCCTTGTAGTATAGTTTGAAGTCAGGTAGCGTGATGCCTCCAGCTTTGTTCTTTTGGCTTAGGATTGACTTGGTGATGTGGGCTCTTTTTTGGTTCCATATGAACTTTAAAGTAGTTTCTTCCAATTCTGTGAAGAAAGTCACTGGTAGCTTGACGGGGATGGCAGTGAATCTATAAATTACCTTGGGCAGTATGGCCATTTTGACAATATTGATTCTTCCTACACATGAGCATGGAATGTTCTTCCATTTGTTTGTATCCTCTTTTATTTCATTGAGCAGTGGTTTGTAGCACTCCTTGAAGAGGTCCTTCACATCCCTTGTAAGTTGGATTCCTAGGTACCTAGGTATCTTATTCTCTTTGAAGCAACTGTGAATGGGAACTCACTCATGATTTGGCTCTCTGTTTGTCTGTTATTGGTGTATAAGAATGCTTGTGATTTTTGCACATTGATTTTGTATCCTGAGACTTTGCTGAAGTTGCTTATCAGCTTAAGGAGATTTTGGGCTGAGATGATGGGGTTTTCTAGATATATAATCATGTCATCTGCAAACAGGGACAATTTGACTTCTTCTTTTCCTAATTGAATGCCCTTTATTTCCTTCTCCTGCCTGATTGCCCTGGCCAGAACTCCCAACACTATGTTGAATAGGAGTGTTGAGAGAGGGCATCCCTGTCTTGTGCCAGTTTTCAAAGGGAATGCTTCCAGTTTTTGTCCATTCAGTATGACATTGGCTGTGGAAAAAAAAAATGTATGTATATATATATATATATACACACATATATTTATATATAAAATTATATAAATTATATATAATTATATAAAACACATATATATAAATTTTTTAAAAAAGTTTTTGTATTAGTCTGTTCTCACATTGCTATAAAGAACTACCTAAGACTGGGTAATTTATAAAGAAAAGAGGTTTAATTGACTCACGGTTCCACAGGTTGTACAGGGAGCCTGGCTAGAGAGACCTCAGGAAACTTACAATCACGGCAGAAGGTAAAGGGGACTAGGCATGTCTTACGTGGCGGGGGCAGGAGAAAGAGATGGGGGGAGGTACTACACAATTTTAAACAATCAGATCTCGTGAGAACTCACTCACTATTATGAGAACAGCAAGAGGGACATTCTACCCCCATGATCCAATCACCTCCCACCAGACCCCACCTCCAACACTGAGAATTACAATTTGACATGAGATGTAGGGAGCGGGGTGGACACAGTCCCAAACCATAGCAGATTTTTCTAATTTGCCTTAGATCCCTCCCCTCCCTCCATCCCAGCACCACACCACTCCAATCTACTTCCAGTCTCTATTGTTTTGTGACTTTCTAGAATTTTATGTAAATACAATTATGCAATCTTTTGTTCAACTTTTTTCTCCTAATGTTTTGAGATACAACCATGTTGTTACATGTATTAAGATTTTACTGATTAATATTAATTATTAAATAATTATATTTTGTTCCCTAAAAAAATAAATAAATAATAAAATAAAATAAAATAAGGAAGAGAAAACATACGATTCATCAAGTGGAAGTGGATCATCATAAAGGTCTTTATCCTTGTTGCCTTCATGTTGAGTAGGCTGAGGAGGAAGAGGTAGAAGAAGAGCTGGTCTTGATGTCTCAGAGGTAGCAGAGGCAGAAGAAGAGGTGGAGGAGGTAGAAGAAAAGGCAGGAAGGCAGACAAACTCAGCGTAACTTTTACAGAAAAAACCAATGTATAATCCCTCTCTCTCTCTCATATATAAATATAAATAAATAAATATATATATATATATATGCACACACATACACGAAGGCCTAAGAACTCTGAGAGTAAGTCCTAGTCCAAGTTCTGAAGGCCTATGAACCAGAAGTGCAATGTCCAAGGGCAAGAGAAGATGCAAGTCCCAGCTCAAGCAGAAAGCAAATTCTTCCTTCCTCTGCCTTTTTGTTCTATTGTGGCCATCAACAGATTGGATGATGCCCAGCTGCATTGGTGAAGGTGACCTTTTCTATTCAGTTTACGGATTCAAATACTCATCTTTTCCAGAAACATTCTTATTCTGTTTCTGGTAAAACAGTGAGAAATAATGTTTTACCAGCTATGTGGGACTCCCTTAGCCCAGTCAAGTTGACACATAAAATTAAACATCAGGATTTCTTTGCCCTTTGGCTTCTAGTTAGGTTCAGCCAATGGGGACCCTGGTAGCAGATAAAAGGAAAGGAAAAGTGTGAGGTGGGATACTGAGTGTATCCTCAGCCTCTTCCACAACCTGTATCTGTTTCTCAGAAGTCACAATGCCTTTCTAGTAAAGTCCTTCAACTACCCATTGGAATGTGTGGTGTGTTTCCTGCAAGGCCCTGAGTGATACATTGTGGGAGCATTAAATCCTGTGGGGATTCCAGAAAGACTTCACAGAGGAAGTAGCACTTGAGCTGGGTCTTTATGGAGGAGTAGGAGTTCCTGAGGGCACAGGGGAGAAGATCCAGGGGCTTCAGCAGAGGGCAAGTAGATGAAAGGAAAGAAAAAACTAAGATGACTTTGGGTGTGGATTGGAAGGGCTGTTTGGACTGAATATAAAGAATATATGCAATAGGGTATTTTGGTGAATTTTTAAGCAGAAGGTTACTGATAATAGTAAAAAGTGGTGCTTCTCAAATATAATTATTATGTTAACCCTTCCAATGAAGATATTTTTGCAGACTTCATTTCCAGGATTGACTTAAATTGTTTTTATTGTAATGTGTATCCTGTATGTGTCAGTTTTAACTAGTTATATATAAATTCATTTCCCTTGTAATTTTTACACAACTGAAGAACCAAAATTAACTTACATAAAAGATAAAAACAAAACCATATAAACTCTAAAATCCAAATTAATGTTAACTTAATACAAAGGATGATGTTTTGCTGAAATAAATGTGTGAAAAAATAAAATAAAAAATAAAAAACGAATGATTTTGAAAAAAGACAAAAAACACCATTACATAATGATATAAAGGAGTCAATACAACCAAACAATATAACAATTTTAAATATATGTGCACCCAACACCAGAGCATCCAAATATATAAGTCAAATATTAATACATTTAAAAGGGAGATTCGCTGCAATACAATATAGTGGGGAGCTTAAACATGCCACCTTCAGCAATGGACAGATCATGCAGACAGAAAGTCAATAAACATCAGAGTTAAGCTACACTCTAGATCAAATGGACCTAAAAGACATTTACAGAACATTCCATCCAATAGCTACAGAATACACATTCTTCTCATCAGCACGAGAAACATTCTCCAGGATGGATCATGTTAGGATAAAAAACAAGTCTTAATAAATTTTTAAAAACTAAAATCATATCAAGTATATTTTCAGACTACAAAGGAATAAAACTAGAAATCAATAACAAGAGGAACTTGGGAAACTGTACAAATACATGGAAACTGAACAACATGCTCCTGAATGACCACTGGGTCATGAAAGAAATTAACATGAGATAAAAAATTTCTTCAAACAAATGAAAAGTGAAACAAAACATACCAAGATCTGTGGGATACAGCAAAAGCAGTGATAAGAAATAAGTTCACAGCAATAAACACTTACATCAAAAAAAAAAAAAACAGAAAGATCTCAAATAATCCTAAAATGCACCTCAGGGAACTAAAAAGTAAGAACAAACCAAACCCCAAATCAGCAGAAAGAAAGAAATAGTAAAGATCAGAGCACAACTAAATGAAATATAGACTAAAACAATGTTACAAAGGATCAATGAAATGAAAAGTTGTTTTTTGAAAAGATAAGCAAAATCAATAAAACACTTGCTAGACTAACCAAGGAAAAAAAGAAAAAAGACTCAAGTAAAATCAGAAATGAAAAAGGAGACATTACAACTAATATCACAAAATTACAAATGTTCACCAGAGACTATTATGAACTATACACTAACAAACTAGAAAACCTAGACGAAATATGTAAGTTCCTGGACACATACAACTTACCAAAATTGAATCAGGAAGACAGAAAACCTGAACAGTCAATTAATGAGTAATGAGATTAAATCAGTAATAAAAAGTTTCCCAGCAAAGAAAAGTCCAGGACAGATGGCTTCACTGACAAATTCAACTAAACTTTCAAAGAACAAAACAAGTCTTTACAAATTTTTAAAAATCAAAATCATATCAAATATCTTTCCAACAATGGATTAAAACTAGAAATTAATAATAGAAGGAACAATAGAAATTGCACAAAATCATGGAAATTAAACAACATGCTCCTCAACAATGAATAGGTCAATGAAGAAAATAAGAAATTTGTTGAGGAAAAAATGAATAAACAATGTATGAAAATCTATAGAATATGGCAAAAGTAGTTCTAAGAGGTAAAGTCACAGCAATAAAGGCCTACATCAAAAAAAGTAGAAAGACTCCAAATAAACAATCTAATGAGGCACTTCAAGAAACTAGAAAAGCAAGAACAAACCAAACCCAAAATTAGTAGAAAAAAAGAAATAATAAAAATTAGAGCAGAAAGAAATGGCATTGAGACTATATATATAATCAATGAAAAAATGGCATTGAGCATATATAATATACATAATCAATGAAAAATGACATTGAAACTATATATATAACTATATATATAACTATATATAACTATATATATAACTATATATATAACTATATATATATAACTATATATAACTATATATAACTATATATATAACTATATATATAACTATATATAACTATATATAACTATATATATATAATCAATGAAATGATAATTTGGTTTTTTGGAAAGATAAACAAAATCAAGAAGCCATTAGTTAGACTAAGAAAAGACCCCAGTTAAAATCAAGGATGAAAAAAAGACATTACAACTGATTACTGATTCCACAGATACATACAAAGGATTATTAGAGATCATAATGAACAACTGTATGCCAACAAATTGGAAAACCTAGAGGAAACAGATAAATTCCCGGAAACATACAACCTACCAATATTGAATCAGGAAAAAAAAAAGAAAATTTGAACAGACCAATAATGATTAATGAGATTCAATCAGTAATAACAAATTTCTCAACAAAGAAAAGTCCAGGACCAGACAGCTTCACTGCCAAATTCAACCACACTTTTCAAGAAGTATAAACATCAATTCTTCTAAAACTGTTCCCAAAAATTGAAGAGGAAGGAATTCTCTCTAACTCATTCTATGAGGCCAGCATTACTCTGATACCCAAACCAGACAGAAACACAACAAAAAAAGAAAACTACAGGCCAATATGCCTGATGAACATAGATGTAAAAATCCTGAACAAAATACTAGCAAACCAAATTTAACAACACATTAAAAAGATTATTTATCATGATTAAGTGGGGTTCACCCTAGGAATAAAAGCTTCCTATGCATATGCTTCAACATATGCAAATCAATAAAAGTGATACATCACATGAACAGAATCAAGAACAAGAGCCATGATCATTTCAATAGATGCTAAAAAAAGTACTCGATAAAATTCAACACTGCTTCATGATAAAAACTCTCAATAACTGGGTATAGAAGAAACAATAAAGGCCATATATGACAAATCCACAGCTAACATCATAATGAATGGGGAAAAATAAAGGCTTTCCTCTAAGCTCTGGAACAAAACAAGGATGACCACTTTCACAATTCCTATTCAACATAGTACTGGAAGTCCTAGCCAGAGCAATTAGGTAGGAGAAAAAAACAGAGGGCATCCAAACTGGAAAGGAAGAAATCAACTTATCCTTGTTTGCAGACAACATGATCTTGTATTTAGGAAAACTTAAAGACTCTACCAAAAAATTCTTAGAACTGATAAACAAATTCAGTAAAGTTGCAGGATACAAAATCGACATGAAAATTCAGTGGTATTTATATACACCAGCAGCAAGCAATCTGAAAAAGAAACCAAGAAATCCATCTTATAATCCCATTTATAATAATACCAAAAAAAACCCTAAATGTCTAGGAATTAATTTAACCAAAGAAGTGAAAGTTCTCTACAATAAAAACTATAAAACACTGATGAAAGAAACTGAAGAGGAGACAAATAATGGGAAAATATCCCATGCTCATGGATTAGAAGAATTAATATTGTTAAAATGTCCATACTACTCCAAGAAATCTATAGATTCAATGCAATCCCTATGAAAATACCAATGACATCCTTCATAGACATAGAAAAAAGCATTCCTAAAATTTGTATGAAACCACAAAAGACCCCAAATAGCCAAAGCAATCTTGAGCAAAAAGAAGAAAGCTGGAGGCATCACACTACTTGACTTCAAATATACTACAAGTCACACCAACATGGCACATTTATACATATGTAACACACCTGCACATTGTGCACATGTACCCTAAAACTTAAAGTATAATTAAAAATATATATTTACTACAAGTCTATTATAATCAAAACAGCATGGTATTGACACAAAAACAGACACATAAACCAGTGGAACAGAATACAGAACTCAGAAATAAATCCACATATTTATAGCCAAATCATTTTCATAAATGTGCCAAGAACATACATTGGGGAAAGAATATCTTTTTCAATAAATAGTTCTGGGAAAACTGGATATCCATATGCAGAAGAATGAAACTAGACCCCTATGTCTCACTATATACAAAAGTCAACTCAAAATGGATTAAAGACTTAAATGTAATACCTAAAACCAGGAGACTGCTGACAGCAAACATTGGGGAAACACTTTCAGACATTCATCTAGGCAAATTTTTTGGGGGGTAAGACCTCAAAAGGACAGGCAACAAAAGTAAAAATAGATAAATGGAACTATATTGAATTAAAAAGTTCTGCACAGCAAAGGAAACAATCAACATAATGAAGAGACAGCCTGCAGAATGGGAAGAAATATTTGCAAACTATCCATCTGACAAGGGATTAATAACCATTACTTATAAGGAAACCAAACAGCTCAACAGCAAAGAAAAAAATTAAAAAGTGAGCAAATTAGCTGAATAGATATTTCACAAAAGACATTTAAGTGGTCAAAATGCATAGGAAGAAATGCTCAACATCACTAATTATCAAGGAAAACCACAATGAGGTATCATCTCAGCCCAGTTAAAATGTCTATTATTAAAAAGAAAAAAATAACAGATGCTAGCAAGGATGCAGAGGAAAGAGAACTCTTATACACTGTTGGTAGCATATATATTAGTACAGCCACTATGGAAAACAGTATGAAAGTTCCTCAAAGCACTAAAAATAGATCTACCATATGATCCAGCAATCCCACTCCTGGGTGTTTATCCAAAAGAAAGAAAATCAATTTATTGAAGAGATATCTGCATACCCACATTTATTGTGGCACTGTTCACAATAGTCACAATATGGAATCAATCTAAGTGTCCATCAGAGGATGAATGGATAAAGAAAAGTGGTATATATACACAATGGAATATTATTTAGCCATTAAGAAAGAATGAAATTTGCAGCAACATGGATGAAACTGGAGGACATGTTAAGTGAAATAAGCCAGGCACAGAAAGGCAAATATTGCATGTTCTTACTAAATGTGGGAGCTAAAAAAGCTTATCTCATGGAAGTAGAGTAGAATGATGGTTACCAAAGGCTGGGAAAGGTAAAAAGGAGGAAGGATAAAGAGAGATTGGTTAATGAGTACAACAATACAGCTAGAAGGAATAGTTCTAGTGTTTGATACCATCCTATGGTGAGTATAGTTAACAATAATTAATTATTTATTTCAACATAGCTAGAAGAGATTTGGAATGTTCCCAACACAAATAAATAATAAAAGTTAGAGGTGATAAATACCCTGATTGCCCTAATTTGATTATTACACATCATATGCATGTATCAAAATATCACATGTATCTAATAAATATGTATAATTATTAGGTATCAATTTTAAAAATTAAAAAAAAGCTAAGTGTATCTAAAACAGAGCCTTGCAAAATTCCAACACCATAAAAAGAAGCAAGCAAAAACAACTGGAATTAACATTTTTGCTAATCAAATAGTAACTCCATATTTATATTATATAACTTAGGTTAGTAAATTATAATTATAAAGCCTATTATTATCATTAATTATGATAGTTTTATAAGACATGTATAATTACACAATTCCACATACACAATACTGTTGATTCAGACTAACATTCTGCATGTGTTAAATATTCTTGCCCAGTGTAATTGTCACTTTAAGAGTTGAGTCTTTTAAGAGTTAAGAGTCCTAATTTAAAGTCAGAAACCTGAGTTCAAATTCTACTTCTGCCACTTAGTATTGATGTGATTTTGCAAGTTAATTAACATCGTCAAACCTCAATTTCACTGTCTGTAAGACAGAAATACTAATATTTCACCTAAGGATTTGAACAGTTAATGTCTAAATATCTATAAATCACATTGACATGTACACAGAAGATACTAATTTAAAAAAAAAGCTCTGTGGCAAGTAACAATGAAAGCAAGCAAAAACAAGTTTTTACTATTTTTTATAACAATGCTACACTCTAAAAATATATCGACAAGCAATGTGACCATTACCTTAATAAGTGAGACACCAACAGGAGAGGAACTAACTCAAAAACCAAGACGAGAAGAAAAACATAAAAAACAGGAATTTATTGTGACAAGTTCTTTCTGAGGACAAAGTTATCTGGCTCTAACCTTTTCTTTAAAAATGTAATCCTACCTTAATTCTTCTACTTAATATTGATCTTCTTTTAAAGGACAGTGCATACTTGCCCTCCTCAGTTAGCATATGTAAGTGGTGTAAGTTTAAATTTTAATATTAAAGAAAAATTTTGTTGTTGGGTTTCAACTAGAGCATTAAATATGAAAGTTCAAGTTTTGAAGTTTCTGCCAAATTTTATATTTTACATAACTTGTACAGAAATGTATTAAGTCTTATAGTATCATCAGATCACTGTGACTGACTGCAATATGCTTGAGTTTATAGACAGAGCTTCTAACGCTCTAGTTTTGACATTCCAATTGCATAAATATTGCCAACAAAAATTTATGAATTAACAATGTGTCTT
The DNA here is from genome assembly GCF_000001405.40 of Homo sapiens. Taxonomy (NCBI): domain Eukaryota; kingdom Metazoa; phylum Chordata; class Mammalia; order Primates; family Hominidae; genus Homo; species Homo sapiens. The sequence continues at coordinate 152,229,710 of NC_000001.11, read as the reverse complement.
GTCTCTATTCTGCTCCATTACCCTACTTTATAAATGGTAAGACTGGAAACTGATCCAAACAGGCAAAGAGCTAAGGATGGAGCTTTGGAGAGTAAAAACATTTAAGCACAGACCATGGAAGAAAAGCCCTTCAAAAAGCCTGAAAGAAGCTGTGAAAATCAACCTATAAAGTGTTGAAGAGTAAGTGAAAGTTACGGGAGTCAGAGACAAGGAGTGCTGACTGCTCTTTTAAGGAGTTCAGTTATTAAGAGATGGAAATGGATGATAGAAATAAATTAGATGATAATTCATCATTATTTCCCCTCATCTCATACCTTCTCTTTCTCATTTATTGCTTTGCTTTTTATTTATTTATTTACTTTGAGATGGGGTCTTGCTCTATTGCCCAGGCCGGAGTGCAGTGGCAAAATCTCAGCTCACTGCAGCCTCCACCTCCCAGGTTCAAGCAATTCTCCCACCTCAGCCGCCTGAGTAGCTGGGATTACAGGAGCATGCCACCACGCCCTGCTAACCTGGCCAACATGGTGAAACCCCATCTCTACTAAAAATGCAAAAAATGTATTGCTGTTCTTCGTGAATGTTACCACCATACATACTGCCATCCAAGTCAGAAGCCTTGATTACTTCCGTTCCTTCATCTGTCTTCTGACTCATCTTCCTTATTCTATCTTACCTCTCAGTCTAGTATCAACATAGCAGTGAGTCAGATCATGCCACTCCTCTGCTCAAAACCTTACCTAGTAAATAAGCCAACCATATGGTATGTTAGAAGTATATATCAAATAGAAGGGTCAGGGTAGGCTTTATTGAGAAGGTGGTATTTGAGCAGAGACTTGAAGGAGATAAGTGATATAGCCAAATGGACATTTAGGGGAAGAGCATTTCTGGCAAAAATTCTTTTAAAAAGAAGGATGCCTGGAGGTTTTGGAGAATAGCAAGGAAGCTAATATGGCTTCAGCAGGGTACCACAAGGGAGAGAGTGGTGAAAGATGAGGCCAGAAAGGAAACAGAGGTCTGATCAGTTTGCTACTCATTACATTCATACTACAATGCCTCACTCTCCCTTCTCTATCTGCTATCCCACCACTATCCCCTGCCACACACACATGCACGCACGCACGCACGCATGCACATCGAAAGGCAAATGTTCTGGATTTGATTTCCAACAATCAAGGTCCTTATATCTCAGCTTTTTTTTTTTTTTTTTTGGTACCATTTCTAACACTTGAAGTGTTTGTGAGAATCGCTTCCAGTCACTCTTCTCCATTTGTCCACTTTAATGGACCAGGTCTGCATGCTGAATGTTTCAGGTAGTAGGAACTAAGGGATAGAGACTATGAATACCAAGCCAGTAAGAGCATCAAACATCAAGATAAGAACACACAGCCTAAGTAACACAGTGAGACCTCATCTCTACAAAAAAATATAAAAATTAGACAGATGCAGTGGCATACACCTATAATCTCAGCTACTCGGGAAGCTAAAGTGGGAGGATCACTTGGGCCCTGGAGTTGGAAGCTGCAGTGAGCCATGGTTGCACCACTGCACTTTAGCCTGGGCAACAGTGAGACCCAAAAAAAAAAACTATATATATATTTTTTTCTCATATATATATATATATATATATATATATATATATATATATTAGAGAAAGATACTGATGGAATAAATAAAAGGATACATGTATGAATGAGCTCTGGATTCCCAGCATTTGAAGCATTTTGGAGTTCTCGGAAGAGAAAATGGAGGATATTAAGGGAGAAAGAAACAACTCAATAGGCAGACCAGTACTGAAGCAGAATATATTCCAGGGTGTGGGTCTGAAGCTGAAAGATATGTCACCATGCCTGTCTCATCCCCAGGGAATATATACTAAGCTGTAAAATTATATCGAATCCATTTTTTATTTTTTGAGATAACAGTAAAAAGGACTCAAAAGAGGATATAGAAGGAAGCACTATTTAACCAGTTTCATATTATAGCTAACTTCTTTTGATTCCATTTACCCAAAATCATGACCATCAACCTTCTCTTATATACATACCCCTATTTTTTACATAGTCTCCTCATTTATAGAGACTAGGCTACAAAGAACTATAGAAATTCCATGAAATAATTTCTGTAAGGAAAAAGGGCAGAAAAGGCAATGAAGAAAAGATCTGCTTTAGAATTTCCCTATGACCCAGCAGATGGTGCAATAGGCACATTACTCTGCCTTCCAGACAGGCAGAAAAAAATGAGTGCACACAGATGGTACTGGAACTTCACTGTTTATCCTTGCTAGTTTTGTTTGTTTGTTTTTCCTAGGTGAAACACTCCATTCCTGAAGAACTGTTTCCAAAACCCTTCCTTTACCAAGACATGAATATTTCCCTACTTGCTGACTATTCCTAGGAAAAAGCAGATTTGAATTTGAATTCTGTCTTCTCCACTTAACAGCTAAGTGACTTGAAACAAGTTACAGATTTCATCTGAGCCTCAGTTTTCTCATCTGCAAAATGGAAATATAATATCTAGATAACAGGGTTGTTGTAAGAATTAATGAAACAATGTACACCCACACACAAAGCACTGTGCTTGTCATAAAAAGGAATGTAATTTTCATTCTTCTGCCAACACACAGAGAAAGGCACTCAAAAACCTAGAACATGGCACATACCATAGAAAAGCTTTTCTCCTGAAACCTATCATCTCCAAGTGGAAAAACCACTAACCAAACCCATGATGGAGGAATCTTCATGTCCAACTCTGTTACTATGGAGCACACACTCTAAAAAAAACAAGAAACTGTTTTGAAAGTGACTTTTGTGATAATCTAGTCCTACTCTTAATAAGTAATTCTCAATGGGGAGAGAAGAGACCAAGACGCATATGTAATATGCTTCTTATTTTCATGATACAAACGAGGAAAAAAAGCCCAACAAAATTCTAGTTGGTGAGCATATCCAGAAAACAACGTAATGAAAGAATTAATTTTTTCTTTAATAGTAAAAAACTATTCATATGATACTTGACAATAAATTCAGTTACTTCACAAAGAGCTCACTGCATTTTCAGTCAATGCAAATATTAAATATTTCTCCCTTACATCAAATCAAAATTTATCTCCCTTTTACGAGCAGCCAAAGGTCCCTTGTTCTGTTCCCTTTCCCCACCACCCCACACATGCTGATATTTACAAATTCACCTTCACTCTTGTTCTCTCATGCAAGAGTTAGTGGTTCTGATGTCCCACACTTTTCAGCCCTTCTTTTCTCTCAGATCCTCCTCTCCCAGAGAATCTTCCTGAAAAGCAAATACAGAAGAGGAGCAAAGAGTGGTAAACTACAGCCTGCAGTTCATAGCTAGCTTGTCATCCATTTTTGTGTAGCCTACAGGATAAAAAGGTTTTCTACATTTGTAAGCGGTTGAAAAAATATATGATATGTGAAATTATATGACATTCAAAGATCAGTATTGATAAATAAGTTTTACTGAAACATAGCCATGCTCATTTGTTTACATATCATCTATGGCTGCTTTTATGCTACAATAGCAGAGTTGAGTAGTTGCAACAAAAACTATCTGTCCTGCAGAGATAATATTTTGTACCATCTGGCCCTTTACAAAAAAAAAAGTTTGCTGGCCCCTATTTCAGGAGAACACTAGCCCCAAGAGCACGTTCACCTGGAATAGTCTTCTCTCACAACCCTCTCCTCCCTTCGTGACAACAGCTGGTTCCTGCAGGAAATCAGTCTTCACTCAGCAAATTCCACCCCCCTTTACTCCCACAGTCTCAGCCACACCTTTAAAAAGTCATTGTTCTGATGAAGCATGAAAACCTGGCCCAATCAGATGTCCAGAGGAAACACGGCTACAGAATGGATACTGACTCTGCAGCCCTCTGGGCAATTCTTAAAAGAAAACACATAGCCTAACAATAGTTGAATTTGGAATCATGTAATTTATCACTTGCCAACAGTTGCTACCACACCTTCTCAAATCCTGATGACCATATTGCACAAGTTTTAAGTCCATGTAACTTCACACACCTTCAGTGAAATTTGTGTTATATGTTCACAATGGAAGAAATGCAGAGCGAGGGCCTCAGAAAAAAGCAGAAAGCCACTCATTGATTCTCAATGCTAAGATTCCGTTTATATTCAGGTAAAATCATGTCCTCTGAGGCAAAGATGGCAAGAGAGAGGGCAGACCCTAGTCCTCCTGTGAAAAGATGGAAGTTGGCCAATGCAGAGGACTATAGTCTTGATCCTTGCTTCTCTTTCAAATGAATTCAAACTGACATTTATTGGAGACCGTTATGTGACAAGCAGTATACTAGGTCTCCAAATGACATAAGGATAAATAATGTCCATTCCTTATTCTCAAGGAGCTCATAGCCTAGAAATGAAATAAGCCCATAGACAAATGTGTGTGTCTGTGTGTGAATGTGTGTGTTTGTGAAAGGCAAGGATATACAACAAATAACTAACAGTAGTTATTTTTGGCTAGTGGCTTTAAAGGTATTTTGATTTTATCTTATTTGCTTATCAATATTTTCTAATTTTTATATTAAACAATAATTGTATAGTAAAACAATTTTTAAAGATTACAATATAGTATGATTGATACAACAATAAATATGAATAAGGTACACAATTACAACTCCCTCTTGAGTAATTCAGGAAAGATTTTCTATGGGAAGCCTAAATTGGATTTTGAAGAATAATTAGTTCACTAGGCAGACAATGAGGAAAGACATTCTAAGAAAAAATATGAAATAACATATCCCATGGTATATTGAGGAAGTTTGAAATATTACTAGTTAATTACTGTTGGAGTACAAAGAGAAATATGGAGGGGAGAAATGGAGCTGGAAAAAAGCCACAGCCCAGATCATGAGGAACCATGGATACCATGCTAACAAGCACGCATTTCTTCCTAAGGTTATATGGTGTTTGAAATGAAAGCTATGGTGATGAATGGCCAATAAGGGGTCTGGTAAATTGAGGTACTTAATGAGTTAAAGGATGGCCTGGAGCCATTATCCAATTCAAAAGGTAATAACAATACCAAAGATGACACTTTGGCTGGAATACCATTTAAGAACATTTAGCTTAGAATGGGAGAGTTTGACTAGATGATCTTTACAGTCCTTTTAATCATCAATTTCCATGATTTTTTGACATTTGGGCCATGATGTCCCTGCACACACTCCATTCAACTTCTATTAAAATCCACACAATTTGTTGTCAATATATTGTGCTAGATAGTTTGATGAATACAAAAACAGGCCTTTCTGCAGTGTCCTGACCCTTTGGCAGGTGGGGCTGAGAGTAGCCCAGATTTGGGAACTGCTAATGCAATCTTAGGTGAACCTGTAAGGAAGTCAGGAAGAAGGTAAACACCTGGGAGGTGGAGATAGAGGTGGAGATGGGCTTGTTTAGGAGTAAATTAGGACATCTCAAAATTAGCAACTCCTCCCTAAGAGGGACCATTATTCCCTCTATAAAAAGGCCACTCTGCCCAACTCGCAGCACCCTGAAAGCTGTTTCTGTCTCTACCCTACTTGTTCCTCTGGTGAGCTAGGTAAGTGAGCAGTTCAACTCCGCTCAAGGGTACTTAGGGCTATAAATTATGAAAGTCCAGGATGTGCTCTAAGGCAAAGAGGCACTAGATACAAGGCTTCTTTTTAGTATACTCTGGGGAACTTTGGTATAAGTTTAAATTTACTGAAAAGAAAAATGAAACAAAGACTAGGACTATGTATATTATCTCCTTTCTTTGAGGTCGCTTCCCTTATAACATGGATATCATGGGGTTCTAATTATCCACAGGCAGGTTGCCTTCTTTACAACTGAGCTTTTCCTCTCTATTGTGTAATAAGGTCTGAGGGTCACTTCCTGCTTGGAGAATGAGAACAGAAGCTGGATCTAATAGCAGTTACCCTTAGCTTCATATCACCTAGGCTTGTTGGCTTTGCTCACATTGTCTATTTTCTCTGACCTAGAAGTCTTGAGAGTTCAGTTCAGCCATTGATGCTCCTTAGGTTGAGTAAGGCATGTCATGTAGATGATGGACCTATGCCCACAGTATGCTTCGAACCTAGAAAGAGGAAGCAGATGAAGTGGAACACTCAGGACTTCTACAGCTCCAGAACAAAGCTAATATTATCCCTGGTAATGGCAGGAAGCCAAAAACAGAAAGTCATTTTTCCTACATTCATTCAGGAATGGAAATAAGACCTATGGATTATATTCCTAATTTCATCACTCTCTTGCTACATGGCTTGAACAAGTCATTCAACTCTGAATTGGTTCTTGATTACAACAGAATGAATTTAATCATGACTGACTAATTCTGAACAATTATTATAAATAATTAGAACTATTTATGTGTTTAAACAAGAAATAAGAATAGTAAGGGGTTGGTCTCTCTTTTTCCTCCCTTTAGGTTACTCAAACTTGCAAAAAAAAAAATGCCTAAACTCCTACAAGGCGTCATCACTGTCATCGATGTTTTCTACCAATATGCCACCCAGCATGGGGAGTATGATACGTTGAACAAGGCAGAGCTGAAAGAACTTCTGGAAAATGAGTTTCATCAAATTCTGAAGGTAAGAACTCCACGCCAGGATGGAGTTATGCAGGAATTTTCTTCTTTATCCCTTTCCACCTTCTTGTCACATATGTCAAACATCCTAGAGGATTGTCCTTACTTGGTGAGAGAGAACAGGGTTTGGTAAAAGTTTGAGATAAGGTCAAAAGCAGATCCGTGATGGTTTCCATAGCATAACTAACGGAAGTGACCTTACTAAACAACAAACAAAACCCACAGGTTAAATAATGTCCTATCTAAGTGACTAATTCCTACAAACCCAGACAGTCCTCAGAAAAACTGTGAAGTAGATTTCTGAGTTCAGGAAATTGGCATTTACTCCTGAATCACAAAAGAATGTGTCCACCACCTTAAAACTGTCAGGTCTAGATTTGATAGCTTAGATATTTGGGACCTTATATCAGACTCCTGAGTTTCAATTCCTTAAATTTGGATTTCTGTGGATTTCAGATATGATATTCAGATATCAGATGTCAGATATTCAGTGTGTCAGCTATGAATCTCATAATCTTCCCCACTAACCTTTTTCCTTCATCTTTTTGCCCAAAGCAAAAACCTGGTGTCATTTTTTATTGTCTCTCTCTCAGCAGACACCACTACCTTCTAACCTCCATCTAACTCATCAATAATCTCTCAAAACAACCCATTTCTCTTCATCACTATTATTAGTCCTCTGGTTCAGGCCACCTACTACTTCTACTCTCAGCATTGGATGCAAATATAATCATTTCACTCCTCAGCTAAAAATCCTTCAATAGTTCCCAATTGCTCTTAAAATGAAGTACAAAGTTCCTTAACATAACTTAAAAGTCATAATCTAGTCCCTATTTGTCTCTCTATCCACATTTCTTGACTCTTCAAACTCTAAATCTAGCAATCCTGAATTTCCTTCAGTTCCTTGAATGCTCCATAACTTCTCTCACCTCTAGCCCTTTGTTCATATAATTCCCTCTGCCTAGAACAATCTTTTCCCCTTCTCTTTCTCTTCCTACTTCTTCATTTGGCTAATCCTAATCCATCCTTCAAAAGGCATCATTTCCTCTCATTAACCTTTCTAGGACCCCCAATGTTTCCTCTCTGATGTACTCTTGTAGAAACCTTACCACAATAAATTATAATTTTAAGTTTGTATATCTGGCCAACTAAACTTTAAATTCCATTTTTTTTCAGGAAGCAAACTTGTTCACTTCTTTATACTCTCATATGACATAATGGTAGGCAACTAGTAAAATAATAAATCTTTGTTCAGTGAGTAAATTAAGTAGCTAGTTAATTTAATTGGATAAATAAAGTTGATATAATTAATGTAGGTATAAAAACATATTACTTATAAATTAGCTAATCATTCATATTTGACCCATTCTTTACCAAAAATAATCAGCCCTCTTGTTTCCTTTCATCTTCCAGTTGCATCCTATTCTAGCTGTTTCCCACCACATTATTCATTCCATATTCCTTTTTCTCTTTCTGCTCAGGATACAGAAATGCAGCCTAAAGGACTGTGTGAATGAGTTCCATATAAATAACCCAAACATTTACATTTTCACATCTTTCCTTCAGTTCGTTAGCCAGATGTATTGTCCATACTAACAGAGCTACTCTTTGTACCTTTCTCTTATACAGAATCCAAACGATCCAGATACTGTGGATATCATCTTGCAAAGTCTGGATCGAGACCATAACAAGAAAGTGGATTTTACTGAGTATCTTCTGATGATATTCAAGCTGGTTCAGGCTCGTAATAAAATCATTGGCAAAGATTACTGCCAAGTTTCAGGGTCAAAGCTGAGAGATGACACTCACCAGCACCAAGAGGAACAAGAAGAAACTGAAAAAGAGGAGAACAAACGGCAAGAATCCTCTTTTAGTCATTCAAGTTGGAGTGCAGGAGAGAATGATTCCTATTCCAGAAACGTCAGAGGAAGTCTTAAACCTGGGACTGAATCCATATCCAGAAGACTGAGTTTTCAAAGAGACTTTTCTGGCCAACATAACTCCTACTCAGGTCAGTCTTCCAGCTATGGTGAGCAAAACTCCGACTCCCATCAGTCTTCAGGCCGCGGCCAATGTGGGTCTGGGTCAGGGCAGTCTCCCAACTATGGCCAACACGGCTCTGGCTCCGGACAGTCTTCCAGCAATGACACACATGGGTCTGGCTCAGGCCAGTCTTCTGGCTTTAGTCAACACAAGTCTAGCTCAGGGCAGTCCTCTGGTTACAGTCAGCATGGATCTGGCTCAGGTCACTCCTCTGGCTACGGACAACACGGCTCTAGGTCAGGACAGTCATCTAGGGGTGAACGACACAGATCTAGCTCAGGTTCGTCTTCCAGCTATGGTCAGCATGGGTCTGGTTCCCGTCAGTCTTTGGGCCACGGCCGACAAGGGTCTGGATCTCGCCAGTCTCCTAGCCACGTCCGACATGGGTCCGGTTCGGGGCACTCCTCCAGCCACGGCCAACACGGGTCTGGCTCAAGTTACTCTTACAGCCGTGGCCATTATGAGTCTGGCTCAGGCCAGACTTCTGGCTTTGGGCAACATGAGTCTGGCTCAGGACAGTCCTCTGGCTATAGTAAGCATGGTTCTGGCTCAGGTCACTCCTCTAGCCAGGGACAACATGGATCTACGTCAGGGCAGGCATCAAGCTCTGGCCAACATGGCTCCAGCTCACGTCAGTCTTCCAGCTATGGTCAGCATGAGTCTGCCTCCCGTCACTCTTCAGGCCGCGGCCAACACAGCTCTGGATCTGGCCAGTCTCCAGGCCACGGCCAGCGTGGGTCTGGGTCAGGGCAGTCTCCCAGCTCCGGCCAACATGGGACTGGCTTTGGTCGATCTTCCAGCAGTGGCCCATATGTGTCTGGTTCAGGCTACTCTTCTGGCTTTGGTCACCACGAGTCTAGCTCAGAGCATTCCTCTGGTTACACTCAGCATGGATCTGGCTCAGGTCACTCCTCCGGCCACGGACAACACGGCTCTAGGTCAGGACAGTCATCTAGGGGTGAACGACAAGGATCTAGTGCAGGTTCATCTTCCAGCTATGGTCAGCATGGGTCTGGCTCCCGTCAATCTTTGGGACACAGCCGACATGGGTCTGGATCTGGCCAGTCTCCTAGCCCTAGCCGTGGCCGACATGAGTCTGGTTCCAGGCAGTCTTCCAGCTATGGCCCACATGGGTATGGCTCAGGGAGGTCTTCAAGCCGTGGCCCATATGAGTCTGGCTCCGGTCACTCTTCTGGCTTAGGTCACCAAGAGTCTCGCTCAGGACAGTCCTCTGGCTACGGTCAACACGGATCTAGCTCGGGTCATTCCTCTACCCATGGGCAACATGGTTCTACATCAGGACAGTCATCGAGCTGTGGCCAACATGGAGCTACCTCAGGTCAGTCTTCCAGCCACGGTCAGCATGGCTCTGGCTCAAGTCAGTCTTCTCGCTATGGCCAACAGGGCTCTGGATCTGGCCAGTCTCCTAGTCGCGGCCGACATGGGTCCGATTTTGGGCACTCTTCCAGCTACGGCCAACATGGGTCTGGCTCCGGTTGGTCTTCAAGCAATGGCCCACATGGGTCTGTCTCAGGCCAGTCTTCCGGCTTTGGTCACAAGTCTGGCTCAGGGCAGTCCTCTGGTTACAGTCAGCATGGATCTGGCTCAAGTCACTCCTCCGGCTACAGAAAACACGGCTCTAGGTCAGGACAGTCATCTAGGAGTGAACAACACGGATCTAGCTCAGGTTTGTCTTCCAGCTATGGTCAGCATGGGTCGGGCTCCCATCAATCTTCGGGCCACGGCCGACAAGGGTCTGGATCTGGCCACTCTCCTAGCCGTGTCCGACATGGGTCCAGTTCAGGGCACTCCTCCAGCCACGGCCAACACGGGTCTGGCACAAGTTGTTCTTCCAGCTGTGGCCATTATGAGTCTGGCTCAGGCCAGGCTTCTGGTTTTGGGCAACACGAGTCTGGCTCAGGACAGGGCTATAGTCAGCATGGTTCTGCCTCAGGTCACTTCTCTAGCCAGGGACGACATGGATCTACGTCAGGGCAGTCATCAAGCTCCGGCCAACATGACTCTAGCTCAGGTCAATCTTCCAGCTATGGTCAGCATGAGTCTGCCTCCCATCACGCTTCGGGCCGCGGCCGACATGGCTCTGGATCTGGCCAGTCTCCAGGCCACGGCCAGCGTGGGTCTGGGTCAGGGCAGTCTCCCAGCTATGGCCGACATGGGTCTGGCTCCGGTCGGTCTTCCAGCAGTGGCCGACATGGGTCTGGCTCAGGCCAGTCTTCTGGCTTTGGTCACAAGTCTAGCTCAGGGCAGTCCTCTGGTTACACTCAGCATGGATCTGGCTCAGGTCACTCCTCCAGCTACGAACAACACGGCTCTAGGTCAGGACAGTCATCTAGGAGCGAACAACATGGATCTAGCTCAGGTTCGTCTTCCAGCTATGGTCAGCATGGGTCTGGCTCCCGTCAGTCTTTGGGCCACGGCCAACATGGGTCTGGATCTGGCCAGTCTCCTAGCCCTAGCCGTGGCCGACATGGGTCTGGTTCCGGGCAGTCTTCCAGCTATGGCCCATATAGGTCTGGCTCAGGGTGGTCTTCAAGCCGTGGCCCATATGAGTCTGGCTCCGGTCACTCTTCTGGCTTAGGTCACCGAGAGTCTCGCTCAGGACAGTCCTCTGGCTACGGTCAACATGGATCTAGCTCAGGTCATTCCTCTACCCATGGGCAACACGGTTCTACATCAGGACAGTCATCGAGCTGTGGCCAACATGGAGCTAGCTCAGGTCAGTCTTCCAGCCACGGTCAGCATGGCTCTGGCTCAAGTCAGTCTTCTGGCTATGGCCGACAGGGCTCTGGATCTGGCCAGTCTCCAGGCCACGGCCAGCGTGGGTCTGGGTCAAGGCAGTCTCCCAGCTACGGCCGACATGGGTCTGGCTCCGGTCGGTCTTCCAGCAGTGGCCAACATGGGTCTGGCTTAGGCGAGTCTTCTGGCTTTGGTCACCACGAGTCTAGCTCAGGGCAGTCCTCTAGTTACAGTCAGCATGGGTCTGGCTCAGGTCACTCCTCTGGCTACGGACAACACGGCTCTAGATCAGGACAGTCATCTAGGGGTGAACGACACGGATCTAGCTCAGGTTCGTCTTCCCACTATGGTCAGCATGGGTCTGGCTCCCGTCAGTCTTCGGGCCACGGCCGACAAGGGTCTGGATCTGGCCATTCCCCTAGCCGCGGCCGACATGGGTCCGGTTTGGGGCACTCCTCCAGCCACGGCCAACATGGGTCTGGCTCAGGTCGTTCTTCCAGCCGTGGCCCATATGAGTCTCGCTCGGGTCACTCTTCTGTCTTTGGTCAACATGAGTCTGGCTCAGGACATTCCTCTGCTTACAGTCAGCATGGTAGTGGCTCAGGGCACTTCTGTAGCCAAGGACAGCATGGTTCTACATCAGGACAGTCATCAACCTTTGACCAGGAGGGATCTAGCACAGGCCAGTCTTCCAGCTATGGCCACCGTGGCTCTGGCTCCAGTCAGTCTTCTGGCTATGGCCGACATGGGGCTGGATCTGGCCAGTCTCCTAGTCGCGGCCGACATGGGTCCGGTTCTGGGCACTCTTCCAGCTACGGCCAACATGGGTCTGGCTCCGGTTGGTCTTCCAGCAGTGGCCGACATGGGTCTGGCTCAGGTCAGTCTTCTGGATTTGGTCACCACGAGTCTAGCTCATGGCAGTCCTCTGGTTGCACTCAGCATGGATCTGGCTCAGGTCACTCCTCCAGCTACGAACAACACGGCTCTAGGTCAGGACAGTCATCTAGGGGTGAACGACACGGATCTAGCTCAGGTTCATCTTCCAGCTATGGTCAGCATGGGTCTGGCTCCCGTCAGTCTTTGGGCCACGGCCAACATGGGTCTGGATCTGGCCAGTCTCCTAGCCCTAGCCGTGGCCGACATGGGTCTGGTTCTGGGCAGTCTTCCAGCTACAGCCCATATGGGTCTGGCTCAGGGTGGTCTTCCAGCCGTGGCCCATATGAGTCTGGCTCCAGTCACTCTTCTGGCTTAGGTCACCGAGAGTCTCGCTCAGGACAGTCCTCTGGCTACGGTCAACATGGATCTAGCTCAGGTCATTCCTCTACCCATGGGCAACATGGTTCTACATCAGGACAGTCATCGAGCTGTGGCCAACATGGAGCTAGCTCAGGTCAGTCTTCCAGCCACGGTCAGCATGGCTCTGGCTCAAGTCAGTCTTCTGGCTATGGCCGACAGGGCTCTGGATCTGGCCAGTCTCCAGGCCACGGCCAGCGTGGGTCTGGGTCAAGGCAGTCTCCCAGCTACGGCCGACATGGGTCTGGCTCCGGTCGGTCTTCCAGCAGTGGCCAACATGGGTCTGGCTTAGGCGAGTCTTCTGGCTTTGGTCACCACGAGTCTAGCTCAGGGCAGTCCTCTAGTTACAGTCAGCATGGGTCTGGCTCAGGTCACTCCTCTGGCTACGGACAACACGGCTCTAGATCAGGACAGTCATCTAGGGGTGAACGACACGGATCTAGCTCACGTTCGTCTTCCCGCTATGGTCAGCATGGGTCTGGCTCCCGTCAGTCTTCGGGCCACGGCCGACAAGGGTCTGGATCTGGCCAGTCCCCTAGCCGCGGCCGACATGGGTCCGGTTTGGGGCACTCCTCCAGCCACGGCCAACATGGGTCTGGCTCAGGTCGTTCTTCCAGCCGTGGCCCATATGAGTCTCGCTCGGGTCACTCTTCTGTCTTTGGTCAACATGAGTCTGGCTCAGGACATTCCTCTGCTTACAGTCAGCATGGTAGTGGCTCAGGGCACTTCTGTAGCCAAGGACAGCATGGTTCTACATCAGGACAGTCATCAACCTTTGACCAGGAGGGATCTAGCACAGGTCAGTCTTCCAGCCACGGTCAGCATGGCTCTGGCTCAAGTCAGTCTTCTAGCTATGGCCAACAGGGCTCTGGATCTGGCCAGTCTCCTAGTCGCGGCCGACATGGGTCCGGTTCCGGGCACTCTTCCAGCTACGGCCAACATGGGTCTGGCTCCGGTTGGTCTTCCAGCAGTGGCCGACATGGGTCTGGCTCAGGTCAGTCTTCTGGATTTGGTCACCATGAGTCTAGCTCATGGCAGTCCTCTGGTTACACTCAGCATGGATCTGGCTCAGGTCACTCCTCCAGCTACGAACAACACGGCTCTAGGTCAGGACAGTCATCTAGGGGTGAACAACACGGATCTAGCTCAGGTTCATCTTCCAGCTATGGTCAGCATGGGTCTGGCTCCCGTCAGTCTTTGGGCCACGGCCAACATGGGTCTGGATCTGGCCAGTCTCCTAGCCCTAGCCGTGGCCGACATGGGTCTGGTTCTGGGCAGTCTTCCAGCTACGGCCCATATGGGTCTGGCTCAGGGTGGTCTTCCAGCCGTGGCCCATATGAGTCTGGCTCCGGTCACTCTTCTGGCTTAGGTCACCGAGAGTCTCGCTCAGGACAGTCCTCTGGCTACGGTCAACATGGATCTAGCTCAGGTCATTCCTCTACCCATGGGCAACATGGTTCTGCATCAGGACAGTCATCGAGCTGTGGCCAACATGGAGCTAGCTCAGGTCAGTCTTCCAGCCACGGTCAGCATGGCTCTGGCTCAAGTCAGTCTTCTGGCTATGGCCGACAGGGCTCTGGATCTGGCCAGTCTCCAGGCCACGGCCAGCGTGGGTCTGGGTCAAGGCAGTCTCCCAGCTATGGCCGACATGGGTCTGGCTCCGGTCGGTCTTCCAGCAGTGGCCAACATGGGCCTGGCTTAGGCGAGTCTTCTGGCTTTGGTCACCACGAGTCTAGCTCAGGGCAGTCCTCTAGTTACAGTCAGCATGGGTCTGGCTCAGGTCACTCCTCTGGCTACGGACAACACGGCTCTAGATCAGGACAGTCATCTAGGGGTGAACGACACGGATCTAGCTCAGGTTCGTCTTCCCGCTATGGTCAGCATGGGTCTGGCTCCCGTCAGTCTTCGGGCCACGGCCGACAAGGGTCTGGATCTGGCCATTCCCCTAGCCGCGGCCGACATGGGTCCGGTTCGGGGCACTCCTCCAGCCACGGCCAACATGGGTCTGGCTCAGGTCGTTCTTCCAGCCGTGGCCCATATGAGTCTCGCTCGGGTCACTCTTCTGTCTTTGGTCAACATGAGTCTGGCTCAGGACATTCCTCTGCTTACAGTCAGCATGGTAGTGGCTCAGGGCACTTCTGTAGCCAAGGACAGCATGGTTCTACATCAGGACAGTCATCAACCTTTGACCAGGAGGGATCTAGCACAGGTCAGTCTTCCAGCCACGGTCAGCATGGCTCTGGCTCAAGTCAGTCTTCTAGCTATGGCCAACAGGGCTCTGGATCTGGCCAGTCTCCTAGTCGCGGCCGACATGGGTCCGGTTCCGGGCACTCTTCCAGCTACGGCCAACATGGGTCTGGCTCCGGTTGGTCTTCCAGCAGTGGCCGACATGGGTCTGGCTCAGGTCAGTCTTCTGGATTTGGTCACCACGAGTCTAGCTCATGGCAGTCCTCTGGTTACACTCAGCATGGATCTGGCTCAGGTCACTCCTCCAGCTACGAACAACACGGCTCTAGGTCAGGACAGTCATCTAGGGGTGAACGACACGGATCTAGCTCAGGTTCATCTTCCAGCTATGGTCAGCATGGGTCTGGCTCCCGTCAGTCTTTGGGCCACGGCCAACATGGGTCTGGATCTGGCCAGTCTCCTAGCCCTAGCCGTGGCCGACATGGGTCTGGTTCTGGGCAGTCTTCCAGCTACAGCCCATATGGGTCTGGCTCAGGGTGGTCTTCCAGCCGTGGCCCATATGAGTCTGGCTCCGGTCACTCTTCTGGCTTAGGTCACCGAGAGTCTCGCTCAGGACAGTCCTCTGGCTACGGTCAACATGGATCTAGCTCAGGTCATTCCTCTACCCATGGGCAACATGGTTCTACATCAGGACAGTCATCGAGCTGTGGCCAACATGGAGCTAGCTCAGGTCAGTCTTCCAGCCACGGTCAGCATGGCTCTGGCTCAAGTCAGTCTTCTGGCTATGGCCGACAGGGCTCTGGATCTGGCCAGTCTCCAGGCCACGGCCAGCGTGGGTCTGGGTCAAGGCAGTCTCCCAGCTACGGCCGACATGGGTCTGGCTCCGGTCGGTCTTCCAGCAGTGGCCAACATGGGTCTGGCTTAGGCGAGTCTTCTGGCTTTGGTCACCACGAGTCTAGCTCAGGGCAGTCCTCTAGTTACAGTCAGCATGGGTCTGGCTCAGGTCACTCCTCTGGCTACGGACAACACGGCTCTAGATCAGGACAGTCATCTAGGGGTGAACGACACGGATCTAGCTCAGGTTCGTCTTCCCACTATGGTCAGCATGGGTCTGGCTCCCGTCAGTCTTCGGGCCACGGCCGACAAGGGTCTGGATCTGGCCAGTCCCCTAGCCGCGGCCGACATGGGTCCGGTTTGGGGCACTCCTCCAGCCACGGCCAACATGGGTCTGGCTCAGGTCGTTCTTCCAGCCGTGGCCCATATGAGTCTCGCTTGGGTCACTCTTCTGTCTTTGGTCAACATGAGTCTGGCTCAGGACATTCCTCTGCTTACAGTCAGCATGGTAGTGGCTCAGGGCACTTCTGTAGCCAAGGACAGCATGGTTCTACATCAGGACAGTCATCAACCTTTGACCAGGAGGGATCTAGCACAGGCCAGTCTTCCAGCTATGGCCACCGTGGCTCTGGCTCCAGTCAGTCTTCTGGCTATGGCCGACATGGGGCTGGATCTGGCCAGTCTCTTAGCCACGGCCGACACGGGTCTGGTTCAGGGCAGTCTTCCAGCTACGGCCAACATGGGTCTGGCTCAGGACAGTCCTCTGGTTATAGTCAGCATGGAAGTGGCTCAGGGCAAGATGGGTATTCTTATTGCAAAGGAGGAAGTAACCATGATGGGGGAAGTTCTGGCTCATATTTTCTCAGTTTTCCTAGTAGCACTTCACCCTATGAATATGTCCAAGAGCAGAGGTGCTACTTTTATCAGTGAATAATAAACATAAATGCAATTTACTCAAGTAGCAATTTAAGAAATAGGAAAGTCATCTATGAATTCATCATGAAAGACAAGCAATCCATCATGAAATTCGTTCTAAAAGTGAATCAATGCATTTCTGTCTCTTTCTTTAGAGCCTAAAACTGTAGCATATATCTTGTTATGGGGTTCCTTCCAAAGACTGTTAGGCATTTGTGCTACTTTGTTAGAAAATACTGAGTGGAATAACTTGTTAGAATGAGGGTTAAACTTTGAGGAATAATGAAAAGCTTTTAAAGAGCTTTGGGTTTAGTTGGAGTTGTCTTTTTGAGAGCTCATCATTCATTTATAGATGGTGCCAAAGCTAACCTTACATTTCTTAGAAGCAAAATATTACAAATGCATTACCAGTCCTAGATACAAAGCTTTGTTTTACAGCAATTAGTGTACCCTAATTTTTAGTGTGCCCCAAGTTTGGTGTGTCCCAATTTTTGGTATTGTGGCAGAAGGTGAAGGCTCTGAAAGCAAAGATGCAGCAGCGGTAGTGTCTTTACTTATCAAAACCATCAAGTCCTTTTTCTTGGGTATATATTTAATCAGTAAGTTAATTAGTGGCATAAAAAAGTAGCATCAGGGTCTTTTCCCAAGCCAGTGAGCAAGAGCATTATTTCATAAAGAATAGGGATTTATCATTTCAGGAAAAAAAAAAACATTCAAATGTGGGCTTTAGCTTGTTTTCAGCAGAAAGATCTTGCTCCCTATTTCTAAGAGGCTGCTCAATATTGGGAAATATATTGAGGAGTTATTCCATGGAAATACAATGCTTTCCACCTACTACTGTAGTTCAATAACGTTTCCACCTGAAAAAATATCATCCATGCCCAGATGAAAAGGAAGAGTATCTGTCACTGCTACATAGTTCCTTAATTTGACTGTAACACATTTGTTTCAAGTCTTTGGATTCAAACAACCGGATTGTATTAAAATTGACAATAAATAAATGTTGATTAAATACTAAGACTTTTCTCATCTGTGCTTCATTTCACTTCTTACATACAGATGGTCATCCTAGAAACCAAACCAAACAGCGATTTCCCAATATTCTATTTTTCACAATGAAGAATAGATAAAGCATTCTTAAAACTCAATAAGACAAACTACTTCATTTTAAAATGATCAAAATTCCATCACACTGGTATTGGCAATGATTTTTTTGATATGACACCAAAATCACACACAATAATGTGGAGCTGTCAGCTCCATACATTTTATTGTCCCTGAAGCCCTTAGAGGGAGACAACATATGGAGGTAGAAGGCGATATTTGTCTTGGTTTAACAAAAACTTTTTAGTGTTAGTTTTAATTTTTAACAAAAAAAGTTTTTTAAAAAAATTTAAAACAGAAAAAAGCCTACAGAATAATGATGTAAAGAAAAAAATATTTGTGTTCAGCTATACAATGTGTTCGTGCTTTAAGCTAGGTGTTAATTAAGAGAGTCAAAAAGTTTAAAAATGTAAAAGTCTATAAACCTAAAAATTTACAGTAAGCTAAAGTTAATTTTTACTGGAGGAAGAAATTCTTTTATAAATTTAGTGTAATTCAAGTGTATAGTGTTTACACACTCTACAGTAGTATACAGTAATGTCCTAGGCCTTCCCATTCACTCACCACTCACTGACTGACACCTACAGCAACTTCTAGTCCTACATGCTCTATTCATGGTAAGTGCCCTATACAAGTGTACCTTTTTTATCTTTTATGCCATATTTTTACTGTACCTTCTTTATGTTTAGATACATTTAGATGCACACTTACCATTGTGTTAGTTGCCTACAGTACTCAGTACAGTAACATGCTGTATAGGTTTGTAGCCTAGGAGCAATAATCTATACCATATAGCCTAGTTGTTTATTGGCTATACCATCTATATTTGTGTAAGTACACTCTCTGATGTTTGCCTAAGGGTGCATTTTTCACAACATATCCCCCATTGTTAAGCAACACGATTGTGTACTTTACTATAGGGCCTAGCAATTCCACTCCCAAGCGAAATGACAACGTATGTCTACATTGAAGATTTTTACATGAATGTTTATAGCAGCTTTAATAATAGCCCCAAACTTGAAACAATCCAAATGTCCACGAACAGATGACTGGATAAACAAATTGTGGTATGGCTATACAATGGAATTCTATTTAGCAAGGAAAAAAAGAATAAACTACTGATACATGTAACACAGATGAATCTCAAAAACACGTTGATCAAAAGAAGCCATCCACAAAAGAGTACATATTTATGATTCCATCTATATGAAACTTACTAAAACAAACCTAATCTATAAAAATAGAAAGTAGATCAGTGGTTGACTAGGGCTGGGAGTAGAACTTGTGAACTGTCTGGAAGAGTCACAAAGGAACACTCTAGGGTGATGGAATAAATCTATATGTAGATTATAATGGTAGTTACATATATATATACTTTTGTCAAAACTTACATAATCGTACATATTATGTGGAAATTATATCTCAATAAAGTTGATTGTTTAAAGGCTTTCTGTGCAACTTGACACACGAATTTTTTTTGTTTTTTGTTTTTTGTTTTTTGTTTTGAGACAGTCTCACTCTGTTGCCCAGGCTGGAGTACAGTGGCACAATATCGGCTCACTGCAACCTCCATCTCGTGGGTGCAAGTGATTCCCCTGCCTCAGTCTCCTGGGATTACAGGCAGGCAGCACCACATCCAGCTAATGTTTGTATTTTTAGTAGGCAGGGTTTCACCATGTTGGCCAGGCTGGTCTCGAACTCCTGACCTCAGGTGATCTGCCCGCCTCGGCCTCCCAAAGTGCTGGCATTATGTGAGCCACCAAGATACAGAAGGGGAGGAGTTTCATCTCATCAGATATCAAAATATATTACAAAGTTATATGATTTAAAACAGTGCAGTATTGTTGTAGGAACAGATATACAGAGCAATGTGACTCCAGAAACAGATCCATGCATACTTGATATACAAGAGCAGTGGTTTTGCTTATCAGTGGAGAGAGGCAACTCTTTCAATAAATGGTGCCAAGGTAATAAATTTTCCATAGGAAAAAAATTATCTCTATTTCACACCATTTACAAAAATCACTTCCAAGTAAATAAAAACCTAACTGTGATAAGCCAAACTTTTAAAAATTTTTAAAGAAAATATAGGAGAATATCTTTATGACTTTGAAATAAGTGCAGATTCTTTAAACAAGAAATATACAAACCACCAAGGAAAGACTCATGACTTTTACTATAATTAAATTACAAATGTCTGTAAATCCAAAGACAATCTCAAAAAGTAAAAAGGACAAACCACAGAGTCCAAGAACATTTTTGAAATGCCTATAAACAACAGATGATCAATAGCCGGATTATGTAAATAACTTATAAAAATTAAAAATTTAAAAAACAGCAAAACTTAGAAAATTCACCAAAATTTATAAAAATTAAAAATTAAAAAGAAACAGCAAAACTTATAAAAAGAAAATTCACCAAAGGTAATCTGAATGGCAAAGTGACATTTTTAAAACAATGCTCAGGGAAATAGATAATTAAAACACAATGAAATTCATTTCATACCCATCGGATCAGAAAAAAACTAAAGTCTGGCAATATCCAGTGTCGGGAGGATACTGAGCAGCAGGAGTCTGAACTGATACCTAATTAAGAGGAAATCTGGCAACCACAGACAAGTCTGTAACAGCAAAATGTTACAAACAACCTAAAAGTTCAATAGAAGAATGGATAAATTGTAATATACCCACACACTAAAATGCTATATAGCAGTTAAAATTCATGAGCTACAGGTACGTATATATCAACATGGACAAATTCCAAAAGTGTAATGCCAAGTGAAAAGGTTGCAAAACAAGTATACATGGTGTGATACCATTTATATAGGTTTACAATATACATAACAATACCATATATTGTTTGTGGTTAATACATATTTGGTAAATGTAAAAATCTTTATGGGAATGATAAACAGCAAATTCAAGACAGTGTGTACCTCTGGAAGGATGGAAGAAAATGGAACTGAGATCGAGTAAACAATACCAAAAGTTTTCTTAAGAAGATGGTATTCATTATATCATTCACTGACTTGTAAATCTACACTTACTTGTAAATCTTAAATTATTTTGTAAGAAAAAGGAGAACACAAAGAACAATGTTAGAATGCCCATCAAGGACTGCTCAAGGGAGAGTGTTCTGACAAGCTAGTCCACTGGTGTATCTGGTCCAGCATGTCCTAGTCTTTTAAATAAATGTCTCACCACATGAGTGCCTAATGATATTCATCAGCTGAACCACACAACACACCCTCTGCCACAGACTTCAAACACACCAAGGGGCCTTCTAGAAAATTTGGCTTTCTCAAAATTGACAAATGGGATCTAATTAAACTAAAGAGCTTCTGCACAGCAAAAGAAACTACCATCAGAGTGAATAGGCAACCTACAGAATGGGAGAAAATTTTTGCAACCTACTCATCTGACAAAGGGCTAATATCCAGAATCTACAATGAACTCAAACAAATTTACAAGAAAAAAAAAAACAACCCCATCAAAAAGTGGGTGAAGGATATGAACAGACACTTCTCAAAAGAAGACATTTATGCAGCCAAAAAACACATGAAAAAATGCTCATCATCAGTGGCCATCAGAGAAATGCAAATCAAAACCACAATGAGATACCATCTCACACCAGTTAGAATGGCAATCATTAAAAAGTCAGGAAACAACAGGTGCTGGAGAGGATGTGGAGAAATAGGAACACTTTTACACTGCTGGTGGAACTGTAAACTAGTTCAACCATTGTGGAAGTCAGTGTGGCGATTCCTCAGGGATCTAGAACTAGAAATACCATTTGACCCAGCCATCCCATTACTGGGTATATACCCAAAGGATTATAAATCATGCTGCTATAAAGACACACATACACATTATGTTTACTGCGGCACTATTTACAATAGCAAAGACTTGGAACCAACCCAAATGTCCATCAATGATAGACTGGATTAAGAAAATGTGGCACATATACACCATGGAATACTATGCAGCCATAAAAAATGATGAGTTCATGTCCTTTGTAGGGACATGGATGAAGCTGGAAACCATCATTCTCAGCAAACTATTGCAAGGACAAAAAACCAAACACCGCATATTCTCACTCATAGGTGGGAATTGAACAATGAGAACACTTGGACACAGGAAGGGGAACATCACACACTGGGGACTGCTGTGGGGTGGGGGTAGAGGGGAGGGATAGCATTAGGAGATATACCTAATGCTAAATGACGAGTTAATGGATGCAGCACAGTAACATGGCACATGTATACATATGTAACAAACCTGCACGTTGTGCACATGGACCCTAAAACTTAAAGTATAATAATAATAAAATTTTTTAAAAAAAGAAAATTTGGCTTTCCATAATTTTCCCAAAAGGAGAAAGCATTCATCAGCAAGATTAATATAAATACCCAGTGTTTCTGATAATGCATTTCTGACTGTAAATTAATAAAATGGCACTCTGGTTTTTATACTTCAGTCCCTGATGAGTTCAGTTACAATGAAACAGTTTTCCTGAGTCTGATCAACTCTGGGGCACTGATATGAGTGCATTTCTGGGTATATAAGAATGAGAACCAAACCCTGACCCTTTTTCTGGGCAACACCCCAACCTTATTCTTTGCCTTCCAAGGGGTAAGGGGCAAGAAAATTTTTCTAATAAGAGAAAGCAAACAAATTCCCAATAAATGCTTAGTTATATAGTTAAGCCAAGTTTTTCACAATGTTTCTCTTTTCCTTGTTATGACTCTAGAAACTTAAGAACCATAATGTTACAGCTAAAATAAGAAAAGAGAAAGAGGTGGGCTGTTTCAGGCAGGATCTTACAGAATCCCAATACCTCATCCCCAGATGGATCTCACTTTTGTTAGTTTTTGTCTGTACATTCAAATGTGATCAAGCTCTGGGAGACAGATTCACTCTAAGCAAAGTCTTAAGGGTCCAATTGATTTATTTACTAACTACAAGATAATAAACGTATTCAGAACAAGAATCAGCTGTTTAACATGGGGTATTCCCTGTCATTGGATAGATTCATTTGAGAGATATCAGGTTATTAGATGAGCTTCAGAGCAAAAGAGTTTTATTCTCCAAGGTTGTGCTATGGTAATCTGATGATTCAAAAATTTTTCCTAAAAGGGATAGAAAAATACAAAAGCAGCATTGTTATTGAACATCTTATGAACTGGGAACATTACATTATGTGCTATATACTTGACATATATTTATTTATTGTTTAATTTCATTCTCATAGCAACCCTGTGGTTATAAATGTTATTTTACTGAAGAGCAAACTGAGACTTTAAAAGGTCAAGTATATTATATTAGTAAAGTCAGGTTTTATACCTAAATCTGTCTAACTCCAAAACATATGTGTTTGCTAACATAACACTGTCTTGTGCTTCAGTAATATTTTTCTCTAAACAACTACAGTCAAACAACTAGGACTGGTGCAATCCACTCTTCTGGACACTGCTGGAGACACACCAACTAGTACTCATCCTCAGACTCCCCCTTTCCTGCTTCAATGCAACCAAACTTAATGTCTTGAGAGAGACTTGAGGAACACCCTGCTCATTAGCAGCACTTAATTTCCAAGGGTGGACTCCTGCTGCAGATAACTCATCTCTTCACATTTTATTTATTTCATCACATTTAACAGTTCTCATTAGTTTCAATTCCAGAGGGTGGCATTTTCTGACTTGACCTCCTTAATGCATGCCTTACTTTGTAGGTCACCAGGGACTAATAATAAACAATCACACACAGTCTGGTATCTTTTGAAAGATAAGTATCTGATACCCAATTCCTTCAATAGCCTGTCTCAGCCCTCTTCCTCTACCCCTCCTGTTCTCTCAGACTCCCTGACTCTGTGTGCTCTACCCTAGAAACAAAGGGCTCCTGAGCATCACCACCCACCTTGGTTTGTCCTTACCTACAAATTCTTGCCAGAACACTCCAGATGTTGAAGACTTAAAATTGTGACAAATCAGCCATGCAATATTCATAGACTTCACAAGCAGAGAAGTGAACTCCATGTGCAAAGACACTGAGGAAATAGTGTTCTCAGGGATCAAAGAGTATATGTCTTTGGCTGAAGCATGTAGAAAAACCAGTATCAGGAACTGCAGCTGGAAAAGCAAGTTGGAGGCAGGCTGTAAAGGGCTTTAAATAGAATCACATGAAGGAGGCGGAGAAGAAAGGTCAGTGAAGGACACTGATAAAGATGAATCAAAGTTGGAGGAGAGGCAGAGAAAATGGTGTTCTAGAACCCAAAGAGAGGGAATTTCACTAAGTAATGGAAGATAAAATGCATTTTATAAAGTTATTATAAATACTCTTCTGCCAGATAGCATATTGGCAGAAGAGTAGATAATACAGATCAATATAACAATAAATAGCCCAGAAACAGATCCTAATATATATATTTTTAATTAATTTGTGAACTGTCTGCTACATAGTTAATATATATAGTGTACTTAGAAAAGTGTCTGGTCCACAGTAATCATCTAATAAATATTAGTGGCTATCTTTATTACTACTTGTTGTTATAATTCTTATTAAATATCAGTGTGAAAAGATTCTTTAAAAAGTTTGTAGTAAAGAGGAAATAAGAGAGTAGGCAAGGAAGAAAGAAAAATCCTTTATAAAGGAAGAAATTAAAATATATGCTGGAAACACAGGCAGCATGCAATAAAAATTTACTGAATGTGAATAACAGTTCTAAGTCAAGTGGAAGGTGATTTATAGAAAGTAAGAATCTGTTGATACAGAGAAAGGAATCGTTGTTGGATCAAGGACCTAGAAGGAATGACAGAAATTGAATCAAATATACACATAGAGAAATCAGTCTTGGAAAGGAAAAGAATACCTCATATACTCTTGAAACAAAAAGGAGATTAAAATTCAGCAAAAATACAATTACCTCCATGTTTTTAAAAGAGGTTCCTAGGATGAGCTGCATCAGAATCACCTATGGTAATTATTTAAAAAGCAAACTGATGGCCTCTATCCCAGATCAACTAAATCCAAATTTCTAGTAGATGGGACCCAGGAATCTGTATGTTAGTGGTCCATGACCTAGTTGATTCCTTTTAGAAACAAAGTTAGGAGAATTCACATCCGTTGGCCCCTATGGAGACAACAAAACTGACTCCTTGCCCAACCACCATTATGACTAAGCATATAAAGTCGCACCATTGGAGAGGAAAAACAAAAATCTTTACAACCCTGAGATAAGCTAAAAATGAGGAAGAAGATTCTACCTAGTCTTCCAAATCAATGAAGCCTTGAGCCCTTTCCTATAAATTGCTAACTCTCTAATGTAAACAACTTCATCCCTGACTTTTGCAACACTGACACCTACAAGTATGATAATGATATGGAGGAAATTTTTTCATCCACATGAATAGACTAACTGTAATCTTGGTAGCCTGACTCCTCATTCTTTTTGAATCACTTCCCAATCTTAACAAAGAAGGAAGTAAAGTGATCTACTAAAAGGAAGATGGGGAGGGAGTGAAGCAGGAGGCTTAGAAAGATCTGAAAAGGGAAAGGTCTGAAAATTCCAGCTGAGGGGTCTGGTAAAAGAAACCACCTAGGTATGATGAAAGGGATTGCCAGGCAATATTCAGAGTGTGGGCAAGGTTAATATAATAAATGTGTAGAAATAAGCTAAGGCACCATGTATGTGATATTTGCCATCTTAACAGCCTGGCAGAAGAAGCCAAAAAAAAAAAAAAATGGAATTAGGTTAATCCCAGGTTTGAGACTGGCAGGGCAGGTACAAGGAAAAATGAAGGGTCCAAGGACACATAATGGTCTGTAGAGAAGGTTATAGGTATGGGAGGAAAAACCAGAAACCCTTACAGCAGGGGTCCCCAACCCCTGGGCTACAGACTAGTACTAGTCTGTGGCCTGTTAGTAACCAGGCCACACAGCAGTAGGTGAGTGGCAGCCCACCGTGCATTACTGCCTGAACTTCGCCTCCTGTCAGATCAGCAGCTGCATTAGATTCTCATAGGAACACGAACCCTATTGTGAACTACACCAGGAGGGATCTAGGTTGCATGTGCCTTATGAGAATCTAATGCCTGATAATCCAAGATGGAACAGTTTCATCCCTAAACCATCCCACCCCCACTGTTCTCCCATCCATGGAATAGTTGACTTCCATGAAACCAGTCCCTGCTGCCAAAAAGGTTGGGAATTGCTCCCTTACAGGCCCCCTCCTTGGCCCAAACTATATGTGTGTGAAGGGACGGATAATTTTATAGCCAAATTTCCCCTAGGCAAGACCTTACACTCTCGACTCCATTATTGTAGGAAAGATGGGCCTTGTTAGCAGTAGCAACTTTTCAGGTAAAATAAAACTAACAATATGGAATATACTAGGAGCTATGTACCAATGTCTCATTACTTACCCCTTTTTTGCCTTCACAATAACTCTTTGATGCAGAGATCCTTAAACTTCTCCTCAGTATGCAAATTGAGGTTATAAATCCAAGGACACACAGCTCACCTATGATGTAGTTCAGATTTGAACTCAAGTGTGACTATGAACTCATTCTCAATCTACTAGCCCACAGTGACTTCACCAGAACAGCCAGGCTCCACTTCACAGAAAAAGGAAAACAGCATCATTAAAGGAAAACCAGATTTCTAAGAGCAAGGGATGGCAGGGAGTAAGGATATAGGGATATTTCTTGGCAACAAAACCAAAGAGAATGAAACATAATGTAGGATAATTAGCAGTGAGAGCACAGCAAATAAAAGGCAATAAGTAGCTGTAAATATTATATCTGAAGGCATGTGTGCATGGGGAGTAGTGGAGGTGAAGCTAAGAGCCAAGTGGAGAAGGAAGTGAGAGGAAGAAAGTGAATTTAGCCCACTCACCATCATTATCTCTGACATCTCTCAAAGGAAGTAGAGTGGGAAACAAAAGGAGATTAAAGCAAGTTTGTCTAGATAGGAAGATTCATCATGCCTGGCAGGAGGGGGTCACTGTTATTGCAACCTTTAACCCAATCCTTTTCTCTTCTGCCCACTTTGGGGAGTGATCTGGGTGACTTGGTTTGTTCTTTTTTGAGATGCTTACCAATTGCTGACAACAATCACAATGCATTATAACATGATTGAGGCCCACAACTTCAAAAGTGTGATGATGGAATCCTAGATAGATATGAAAGAAGGCAGGAAGGGGACTGGCAGACTGAAAAAATAGAGACAGGATAAGGAACAGATTTCTTTGAAATGTGCATACCCTGTCTACCAGCAGTTCTACTCCTACTCGTATACCTCAGAGGAGTTTGCATGCAGACATACTTCATTTTATTGTGCTCCACTTTATTGTGCTTCACAGACTGTGTGTTGTACAAATTGAAGGTTTGAGGCAACCCTGTCTGGCAAGTCCATCGGCACCATTTTTCCAACAGCATGTGCTCCCTTCATGTTTCTGTGTCACATTGTGGTAATTCTCACAATATTTCAAACTTTTTCACTATTATTATATCTGCTATGGTGATCTGTAATAAGTGATCTTTGCTGTTACACTTGTAATTGTTGAGGGCACCACAAACCTTTCCTATATGAAACAGAGAGTTTAATCGATAAATGAGTGTTCTTACTGCTCCAGTGATCAGCTGCTCCCCTTTCTTTCTCCCTCTAGTCAGGCCTATCTATTCCCTAAGATACAATATTGAAATTACGCCAGTTAGTAACCAGACAATGGCTTCTAAGTGTTTCAGTGAATGGAAGAGTCACATGTCTCTCACTTTATTTTATTTATTTATTTATTTATTTATTTATTTATTTATTTATTTGAGACAGAGTATCACTCTATTGCCCACGATAGAGTGCAGTGGCAAGATCTCGGCTCACTGCAACCTCTGCCTCCCGGGTTCAAGCGATTCTTATGCCTCAGCCTCCCAAGTACTGGGATTACAGGTACAGACAACCATGCCCTTCTAATTTTTAAATTTTTTGTAGAAATGGGATATCATTATGTTACCTAGGCTAGTCTCGAACTCCTGGCCTCAAGTGATCCACCTATCTCGACCTCCCAAAGTGCTGGGATTACAGGCATGAGCCACCAGGCACAGCCACATGTCTCTCACTTTAAATAAAAAATAAGAGCTGGGCACGGTGGCTCACACCTGTAATCCCAGCACTTTGGGAGGCCAAGGCAGGCAGATCACCTGAGGTCAGGAGTTCAAGACCAGCCTAATCAATATGGTGAAACCCTGTCTCTACTAAAAATACAAAAATTTACCAGGCGTGGTGGCAGGCACCTGTAGTCCCAGCTACTCGGGAGGCTGACACAGGAGAATTGATTGAACCTGGGAGGCAGAGGTTGCAGTGAGCCGAGATCATGCCACTGCACTCCAGCCTGGGCGACAGAGCGAGACTCCATCTCAAAAATAAATAAATAAATAAATAAATAAGATTAAACTTAGTGAGAAAAGCATGTCAAAAGCAGAGAGAGGCCAAAAGCTAGGCCTTTTGTGCCAGTTAGCCAAGTTTGTGAATGCAAATGAAAAATTCTTAAAGAAAATTAAAAGTGCTACTCCTGTGAACACATGAATGATAAGAAAGCAAAACAGCTTTACCACTGACTTGGAGAAAGTTTTAGTGATCTAGATAGATCAAACCTGCCACACCATTATCTTAAACCAAAGCCTAATCTAGAGTAAGGCCCTAACTCTCTTCAATTCTATGAAAGCTGAGAGAGGTAAGGAAGTTACAGAAGAAACGTTTGAAGCTAGCGGAGGTTGGTTCATGAGGTTTAAGGAAATAAGCCATCTCCAGAATATAAAAGTGCAGGGTGAAGCAGCACATGCTGATGGAGAAGCTGCAGCAAGTTATCCAGTAGATCTAGCTAAGATAATTGATGAAGGTGGCTACACTAAACAACAGATTTTCAATGTAGATAACACAGCATTCTATCAGAGGAAGATGTCACCTAAGACTTTTATAGCTACAGAGATGTCAATTCTCTGGCTTCAAAGCTTCAAAGGACAGGCTGACTCTCTTGTAAGGGACTAATGCAGTTGGTGACTTTAAGTTGAAGCCGATGCTCATTTACCATTCTGAAAATCCTAGGGCCCTTAAGAATCATGCTAAATCTACTCTGTGCTGTATAAATGGAACAGCAAAGCCTGGATGATGGCACATCTGTTTACAGCATGGTTTACTAACTATTTAAGCCCCCTGTTGAGACCTACTACTCAGAAAAAAGAGATTCCTTTCAAAATATTACTGCTCATTGACAATGCACCTGGTCATCCAACAGCTCGGATAAAAATGTACAACGATGTTTTTCCTGTGCCTGCTAACACAACATCCATTCTGCAGCCCATGGATCAAGGAGTGATTTCAATTTTCAAGTCTTCTTATTTAAGAAATACATTTTGGAAGATTACAGCTGCCATAAATAGTGATTCCTCTGATGGATCTGAGTAAGGAAAATTGAAAATCTTCTGGAAAGGATTATCCATTCTAGAAGTCATTAAGAACATCCACGATTCACAGAGAAGTCAAAATATCAATATTAACAGGGGTCTGAAAGAAGCTGATTCTAACCCTAATAGATTACTTTGAGAGATTCAAGACTTCAGTGGAAGAAGTAACTGCAGATGTGGTGGAAATAGCAAGAGAACTAGAATTAGAAGTAAAGCCTGACATATTTACCTAGGTAACAAACTGCACATCATGGACACATACCCCAGAACTTAAAAGTCAAATAAAAAACAATAAAAACAAATTGATTAAAAATTTTTTTTTAAAAAGTAGAGCCTAAAGACTTAATTGCTACAATCTCATGATAAAACTTAAACAGATGAGAAGTTGGTTATGAATGAGCAAAGAAAGTGATTTCTTGAGATGGAATCTACACCTGGTGAAGATGCTATGAACACTGTTATGATATTCCATAAACTTAGTTGATAAAGCAGTGGCAGGGTTTGAGAGGATTGACCAATTTTGAAAGAAATTATACTGTGGGTAAAACTGTATCAAACAGCACTGCATGTTAGAGAGAAATCTCTCGTGAAAGGAAGAGTCAGTCAACACAGGAACCTTCACTGTTGTCTTCCTTTAAGAAATTGCCACAGCCACCCTAACCTTCAGCAACCACCACCCTCATCAGCCAGCAGCCATCAACATCAAGGCAAGACCCTTCACCAGAAAAAAGATTACAACTTGCTGAAGGTTCATTAGCATTTTTTAGCATTGAAGTATTTTCAATGAAGGAATGTATACTTTTTTAGACATAATGCTATTGAGCACTCAATAGAGACTACTCTACAGTGTAAACACACATTTATACACACTGGGAAACCAAACAATTCATGTAACTCACTTTATTGCAATATTCTCTCTAATGCAGTAGTCTGGAACTGAACCTGCAATATCTCCAAGGTTTATCTATATTTGTGATAATAATATCTAATAGTTATATAAAACATACTATGCACTAAGCACTACTATGTATAACTCTCTCAATTACCCTAGGAGATAGACCATTCCAGATCACCATTTTACTGATGAGGCACAGAGGTTAAGTAATTTGCTATGGTCACATAGCTGCTACTGAAACCAAGCAATGAGACTCTAAAGTTTTTGTTCTTAACCCAGGGCACCACATGTGGCTATGCAATTCATTCACTGTCCCAGTGGTGCCAAGAGGAAGCAAGTTGGCACAGAAATCCAATCCATGTCCCAGTTAATAATCCATGCATACCTAGTTAAAAGCTACATCCACCTCAGTACTTTTATCTTTGCCCCAGGCACTTTCTATTTGCCAAGCTGTGAGCTCAGAGGACTAGGTCCATAAAAAGAGGAAGTCTTTCTTATTCACACAAAGGTGCCATATAGTCTAGCTGTGGTGCTACCTTAGCCATGGCACTACACTGACCTATTTTGTTTGGGAAGACATTTACAAGGGTGTTTAATACAGCATTGTTTGTAATAGTGAATTTGGAAAATGGATAAAGTATACTATATTCTTATATTGGAAAGCTACAGTGCACCTAGAAGAAAATAACTATTATATATACACATAGATTTTAAAAACATAATAACTTTGAGTGAAAATCAAGTTGCAAACTATTAATATGTACACTACATTACATAAATTTTAAAATGTAGTTACATATTTTATACATATATATACACATATATTTATACACATACATCACACATATTTACCAAATTAATTTTGGTGGTACTTCTGATAAGAAAAAAAAAAGATTAGAACTTGGGGGTGAGAAACACAGGAGACTTAAATTTACCTGCAATGTTTTATTCATTTTAATAAGACCTGAAGCAAATACAACAAAAAGTTTACTACTGTCAGCTCTAGATGGTAGCCATGCAATTACTCAAGATAAAAATAAAAAGACTATTTTTTAAGAACAGGCTTAGTGGGAACTTAAGAGTAGGAGAGCTAAAAGGCCATTCTGTGTGATCAATGAGTGACATTTCAGGGTTCACAGCTTCAGAGGTGGAGCAGTTATGGTTGATGACAAGGTCCAGGGGGTGGTCATTTGAATAGCTGGCTGAGGTAGAGTGGAGGTAGAGATCAATAGAGTGTAAGAAATGATGGATCCAGATGCATCACCAACATGACTGTTGAAGTTTTCCAGAATGATTATAATAGCTAGGGTGGAAAGAAATAGACAGTTGCCAAAGTCTTCACTGAAGATTATGTGGTTATAGGGGAAGGAGATCAGTCAAGGAAAAAGTAAGGATGGAAAGAGGGTGGAATGTATGTGCATCAATGAAGGAGTGTTTATTGAAAGAAGCCACAGTGGTGAGCAACAAAATCATGTTCAACGCACCTCTAGCCACAACACAACAGAGGGAGAATGTGTAACCTGTACTTGGAACTGCTGAAAAGTAGTATCATTCAGGAAAAGTCTAGTTTCGGTTAAGGTGAGGAGGTAGTTACTTCAAAAATCCTACTGAAACTCTAACTTTGTAATTCATTGACCCAAAGCTATGGGTTCAATCAGAAAGGAGCAGTAGATTTTACCAATAAGCCAAAAGAACAAGAAGGAGAAGGAGGATCATGAAGAGGAGGAGGGAGAAAGAAAAGAGGAAGGAAGGAAGGGAGAAAGAAAACAACAAATGAAAAAAAAAGAGAGAGAAAAAAGAAAGAGAGAGAAAGAAAGAACAAATGAATGAAAGACAAAAGAAAGAAAGAGAGACAGAGAGGAAGAAAGAACAAATGGAAGAAAGAAAAAGAAAGAAGAAAAGAGGAGAAAGGAAGAGGAGAAGGAGGAGGAGGAAGAAATAAAGGAAAGAAAGGAAAGAAAGAGAAAGAAAGAGGAGGAGGAGAAGGAGAAGAAAGAAAGGAGGAGGGGGGAGGAGAAGAAGATGAGGAGGAGGAGGAAGAGAAGAAAGGGAGAAGAAAGGAGGGGAAGGAGGAAGAGAAGAGGGAGAAAGGAGAGAGAAGGAAGGAGGAAGGGGGAAGGGGAAAAAGGAAGGGGGAAGGGAGAAAAAAGAAGAAGAAAGAAGAAGGAAGAAGAGGAAAGAAAGAAGAAAGAAGGAGAAGGAGGAGAAGGGGAAGGAGGAGGAGGGGGAGGAGGAAGAGGAGAAGAAGAAAGAAAGAGAGGAAAGAGAGAGGGGAAAGAAAGAAGGAAGGAAAGAAAGAAGGGAGGAAGGAAAGAAAAGGAAAGAAAGAAGGGAGGAAGGAAAGAAAAAGAAAGAAAGAAAGAAAAGCTCTCGCTCTCCCTCTCCCTCTCCCTCTCCCCACGGTCTCCCTCTCCCTCTCTTTCCACGGTCTCCCTCTGATGCCGAGCCGAAGCTGGACTGTACTGCTGCCATCTCGGCTCACTGCAACCTCCCTGCCTGATTCTCCTGCCTCAGCCTGCCGAGTGCCTGCGATTGCAGGCGCGTGCCGCCACGCCTGACTGGTTTTCATATTTTTTTGGTGGAGACGGGGTTTCGCTGTGCTGGCCGGGCTGGTCTCCAGCTCCTAACCGCGAGTGATCCAGCAGCCTCAGCCTCCTGAGGTGCCAGGATTGCAGACAGAGTCTCGTTCACTCAGTGCTCAATGTTGCCCAGGCTGGAGTGCAGTGGCGTGATCTCGGCTAGCTACAACCTCCACCTCCCAGCCGCCTGCCTTGGCCTCCCAAAGTGCCAAGACTGTAGCCTCAGCCTGACCACCACCCCGTCTGGGAAGTGAGCGTCTCTGCCTGGCTGCCCATCGTCTGGGATGTGAGGAGCCCCTCTGCCCGGCCGCCATCCCGTCTAGGAAGTGAGGAGCGTCTCTGCCCGGCCGCCCATCGTCTGAGATGTGGGGAGCGCCTCTGCCCTGCCGCGACCCCGTCTGGGAGGTGAGGAGTGTCTCTGCCCGGCCACCCCGTCTGAGAAGTGAGGAGACCCTCCGTCCAGCAGCCGCCCCACCTGAGAAGTGAGGAGCCCCTCCACCCGGCAGCCGCACCGTCTGAGAAGTGAGGAGCCCCTCCACCCGGCAGCCACCCCGTCTGGGAAGTGAGGAGCCCCTCCGCCCGGCAGCCACCCCATCTGGGAAGTGAGGAGTGTCTCCGCCCAGCAGCCACCCCGTCTGAGAAGTGAGGAGCCCCTCCGCCCGGCAGCCACCCCGTCTGAGAAGTGAGGAGCCCCTCCGCCCGGCAGCCGCCCCGTCTGAGAAGTGAGGAGCCCCTCCGCCCGGCAGCCGCCCCGTCTGAGAAGTGAGGAGCCCCTCCGCCCGGCAGCCGCCCCGTCTGGGAAGTGAGGAGCGTCTCCGCCTGGCAGCCACTCCGTCTGGGAGGGAGGTGGGGGTTCAGCCCCCGCCCCGCCAGCCGCCCCGTCCGGGAGGGAGGTGGGGGTTCAGCCCCCGCCCCGCCAGCCGCCCCGTCCGGGAGGGAGGTGGGGGTTCAGCCCCCGCCCGGCCAGCCACCCCATCCAAGAGGGAGGTGGGGGGCGCCTCTGCCCAGCTGCCCCTTCTGGGAAGTGAGGAGCCCCTCTGCCCGGCCACCACCCCGTCTGGGAGGTGTACCCAACAGCTCATTGAGAATGGGCCATGATGACGATGGCGGTTTTGTGGAATAGAAAAGTGGGAAAGGTGGGGAAAAGATAGAGAGATCAGATTGTTGCTGTGTCTGTGTAGAAAGAAGTGGACATGGGAGACTTCATTTTGTTCTGTACTGGGAGGGGTTCTTCTGCCTTGGGATGCTGTTGATCTGTGACCTTGCCCCCAGCCCTGTGCTTGCTGGGGCATGTGCGGTGTCCACTGAGGGTTAAATGGATTAAGGGCGGTGCAAGATGTGCTTTGTTAAACAGCTGCTTGAAGGCAGCATGCTCGTTAAGAGTCATCACCACTCCCTAATCTCAAGTACCCAGGGACACAAACACTGCGGAAGGCCGGCCGCAGGGTCCTCTGCCTAGGAAAACCAGAGACCTTTGTTCACTTGTTTATCTGCTGATCTTCCCTCCACTATTGTCCTATGACCCTGCCAAATCCCCCTCTGTGAGAAACACCCAAGAATGATCAATAAAAAAAAAAAGAAAGAAAGAAATCTAAAGATCAATTTGGGCAGAATTGACATCTTCCCAATATTAATCCAATAATATAGTATATCTCTCTATTAAGTATTCTTTAATTTCTCTCTTCAGGGTTTTGTAATTTTCATTATACAAATCTTGCACAGATTCAGTTAGATTTATTTCTATGTATTTGATGATTTTGGAAGCTATTGTAAATAGCATTTAAACTTTTAAACTTTCTGATTGTTCACTGTTAGTATGTAGAAGTATAATTGATTTTGGTATATTGAGTTTCTATCCTCAAATTATCCTAAACTCACTTATTATTTCTAGTAGCGTTTTAAATAGTTTTTTTATTTTGTATATAGGTGATTATAAATCTTCTAGCAAAGAGAGATTTATTTTTTCCTTTCCAAAAAAAGAAAAAAGAAAAATGGGCAAACACCTTGAACAGGCACTTCACAAAAAAGATATCCAAATGGCTAAGAAGCATGTGAAATGTAGTCCATTTCACTTGTCAATTGAGAACAGGAAATTAACACCACGATAGTATACCAATACACATCCATTGAAATGGCTAAAATAAAAAAGACAAACATCATGAATGTAGATCAACTGGAACATTCATACACTGCTCTTGGGAACATAAACTGTTACCATCAATTTGGAAAAGTGTTTGACTCTATCTTTTAAACCTGAACATATACAATTGTTATATTGTATGATTGCCAATTTCATTCCAAATTAAATATTCAAAAGAGGAAAAAAAAAAAAAGAAAAGAAAAGAAAAGAAGAAAGGGGGGGTGGGGAGGGGAGAGGGGGATGGGGAGGGGTGAGGAGGGGGGATGGGGGAGGGCAGGGCAAGGAAAGGAAAAGAAAGGGAAAAGAGAAGAGAAGAGAAAAGAAAAGAATGGCAGTGATGACTGGGGCCCTAATATATTGGACATGAAACTGCCAACTGCACCAAAGAGGAAGGAATGCTGAAGGACATTATCACAAAGCTAAGGGCCAATCAGTAAAATCTTGGAAAATCAAATTGGCTCAGAAAGAGTGAAATGACTTAAGGGAGTAGATAAAGAAATTTCAGAATATTTTAAATGAAGAGATGGTTTTGGTTCTGGAAACAGGTCTGGGAAAGTATCAAGGAATAAATGTAAAGAGGGAACCACATAAAAGGAAACTTGAGGTTTAGAGTCCAAAATGGACCCATATTGAAGGGAAAACCCAATATATTGAGACCTAAAACCTCTTAAAGATAGAATTTGAAAAGTGACCTCTCTTAAAGATAGATCAGAATGATGAAAAGGAAGACAAGCAAGAATCTAAGAAGGGAACAAGAATAATTGATAATTTCAGATGTCCTCTCATGCCATTTTAGGGCTAAGAGAAACTCAGGGGTCTGAATTTCTCCAACAAGCAAGGCCAAACATGTGAAACCAAGTTTTCCACTCCACAGCACTGAAGGGCCTCTCTACAGGGTTTGCAGTCATCTTGGTGACACTAAGAAAAGGAGACACGTGTCCTCTCAGCTCTGGGATTCCCATACGTACAGACAGGTTTGTGGTGTTCTTATTCACCACTCCTCACACTCAGTCTGGGGCAAGGGAAGAGCACAGGCCCAGCCCATACACTACAACCTACTCTACTTTTTCTCCAAACTCCTCTCCACTCTTGTTTAGATGGTCTTTTTTCTATTCTGGATAGGGGTGGAGTAGAAGGAAAAAAATGTTCCCAGTAGCGTCTTCTTTCAAACTTTAATGTCTCATACCTGCACCTTGCCTTTTGAATTTAGAAGAGAAAAATATTGATCTCTTTGTCTGCGGATCCCCCAGTTTGGACTAAGGGACCCTCAGAATAAATCTGTGCAAAACCCAGAGGGGGACTGGGAAAGACCTCGTTCATACATATCTGGCCATGGTTGTTTTTGTAGCTCTAAAATATTTCATTTGCATGTATTTACAAATTCAGCAAAATAAAATTACTTTAAAGTATATAATAAATGACATCAAATCCACCTTTTCTCTGTTGATGGGGGTGAGGCAGTAAAAATACCAAGTGCCTGAAATGGTGGGGCACAGGAACACAGGGATGAAAAACGTTTTATGGTTAAACAGTCTGATAAAACCACCAAACCCTTCTGCCCCACCTCAACAAGACACACTCTTGAAATGAAATGTCCCATTGTGTTTACAGAGAGGGAGAAACAGACAGTGAGGAAGGAGAGGATGGGAAAGTAGAGGAAGAAGGCTTTTTCTGCCTTAATAACAATGTTCAAAGGTTTGCCTGGCTTCACACTTGATTGTCTTCTCCCTCAAAAAAGCAAAAGCAAGGTAGCAACAGAGTTCTTTCAGTTTTCTGTGCAGATTCACATATAGATAACTAAGTAGTAATACTTCCTTACTTGTGTCAAAGAATTTGTGTGCACATTCCACTGGAAATAATTCCATCTGGACCTGGTAACTCCCTTTGGGGTGACTATATCTCCTGCAGGAACTCAGTCCTCACTCAAAAAATCCCAAATTTCCTTCAATCCCATACCCTCAATCACACCTTGCAAAGGTCATCCCTCAATGAAGTCTGGCCACCTGTTTCAGATCAGCAGCCCAAATGGCAATAGAGCCTATGTTGTTTCAATGGCCCACTAAATATTAACAGCTAATAATAGCTAATATAGCTAATAATAACATTTGATGAGCATTTACTATATGCTAGCACTGCTCTAAGAACTTCCCACATATTAATCCTCACAATAACTCTGTAAGTATTATTCTTACCCATATATTATAGATGAGAAAACTGAGAAACAGAGAAGTTAAGCAGCTTTCCCAAGGGTACACTGCTAGTAAGTGGCTGAGCCAGAATTTGAGCCCAGGCAGCCTAACTCCAGGGACCATGTTCTTAACCATTACATGATTCTTCCCCTTGGAAGAGGACAGAACAGATAATATGATGGTTACATTTAGATACACACAGTTTACAATTTGCCCATGGCCCTGGCTCCCAATAACTTCTCATTCCTTTAGCCTCACTGTTCATGTTTGATGTTTTCTGTCTTCATATTGAAAATGCAACACGTTACATTGTGTTAACTTGGCATAATGGAGTAAAAAACAAGGCTTCAGTGGGAATACAATCCTCATGTAAAGTTTAAGAATGGTCAAGACCTGTACTCATGTCTTCATCAAAATTGACTCCAAGTATCCAACTTAGCAGACCAAATGGATGGTGTTAGCACTAACAGAATTCAAGAATTCAGAAGGTAGAATAGATCAGGTTTAAAGAAATAAACTTAGCTCAGGGCATTCATTCATTCAACAAATATTTTTAAAGCATTGAATGTGTATCTGAAACTGTTGTACATTCTGGGCATTCAACAAGGAGGCAGAACAAGTCCTTGCCTCCTGGCAACATTCATTCTAGGGCACACTAGAAAAAACTGAAAAAGTAAATAAGTAAGGAACACAATGCTGTGAAAAAATAACCAAGGGAACCTCTTTCATATGGGGCATTCAGGGACAAAGCAAATTTGAGATGATCAAAGATAGGCAGGTAGATATACAGATCTTAATGACACATTGTCATTGTGCCTTCATGCCAGCTTCCCAAGAACCATAAAATATTTAAAAATAATTTATGATGTTGTAATGCAAACTTCTCAAGCTGATGCTCCAGGCTCTGCTCCAATCCAGCCCTGCCTATCTATCCTCTTCCCACCACCACTCCCAAACACATCTTCTCCATTCCACTTAGGCTAATCTCCTTACTGGCTCACAACATAACAAGTTCACCCCCAACCCTGTTCTCTCCCCTACACCTGTTAATTCTACCCATCCCTCAAGACCAGGCTCAAGTTCCACCTTCCTCATTCTTACCCACTCAGGCTTACCGAACACCCTTCTCCTTTAAACAACTAGTTCCCAGGCAATTAATTACGTAAAAATAGTCTTCTGTCCTTCGCGGCTGTTTCACATATGCCATAACCCAGGACTTTTAACACAAGGCACCACAATATCCTCCCAGCAAGTGTAGGCATGAAGGGAAAGGGGTGTGGCACATGTCCAGAGTTCCCTGGGCCAGAGGTGAAGAGAACTGACTCAGGCTCAGAGAGGCAGCTCAAGGGGAGCAAGCACAGCGAACAAGGGGCACAACTCCCAAATAGGAGCAATGCAAAGTCTCCACTCAAGTGGAAAGATCAACAACTGAGACTACAAGAGACAAGGAGGCAGTTCTAGAGGGGAACTAAGGATCCAGATGGGATATCTAATTGAGGAGTGAAAAGCATAGCATAAGCTCAGTCTCATAGACAAGTTCAACACAGGATAAAGGGAGTAGAGACTTGGGGGATAACCAGAGGCACAACAACTGTCAGCAAAAGGAATCCAGTGAAATTCTGGAACCTACAAACCAAGAATGGGTGACCAAGTTTAAGGACCTGACCTAATTCTAAGCTGTAGGTACAGATTATCAGTGGGCTTGTCTTGGGGGAAATGGGGAAAGTAGATGAAAAAGAGATGAAGGCCAAAATGGTTATGTATAGATTATTTGTCCCTTACGGGCAGGAGACAGGCTTTATGCCTCATTTCTATCCTCCACACCAGTTAGCAAAATAAATATTTACTGATTATGTAAAAAAAGAAAGATCACAGAGAATTTGGTATTACCCAATGATGGGAAGTATGCCAAGATAACCTTAGTCATGATTTAAGCAAGTTATGTATTGTGAAGTCTCCATCACCCTAAAAACACCAAGTGGTAATGTGATCTGGTGAATGAACACGACTGGAAATGAGGACATGAAACCAGACCAGTTTTGTTAGAAACCTCTTATGAGACCCTAAACAAGTTACTTTACTTATCTGAACCTCAATTACCTCATCTTTAAAGGAGTAAATGTAATAACTCCAATTTTTTCATATCTAGAACACACTTCCCGCCAGATCTGACTAATTTCCTCACATCTTTTGAATCTTTGCTCAATCTTGCCTTCCTAATGAAGCCTATTTAATACTAACCACTCTATTTCATACTGCAACCTGCCCATCCCACCAACCCTACCCACACACACAAACACTGGTCTACATTTTTTCTTTTTCATAACACTTCTAACATTTTACATAATTTATTATCTTTATTGTTGTGTGCTAGAATGTGATCTCTATGAAGGCAAAGATCTTTGTCTATTCTATTCATTGATATACTTCACATCTCTGAGTGGAAACTGGAACAGAGTAAACATCCAATAAATATTTGTTGAATGAATACATGAATCGATCTTTAAAAAGGCCAAAATCTTGTGAAAGACCAGAATAATAAATCATTTATATTCTCCCTGAGACCAGGGTCGGCCTCCCACACCCTCAGGCATCCCTATATCCCCTGGTACAGTGTACCATAGTGTGGAATAAGTATTCAATACGTCCCTACTAAATTACTAATTAAACATGGGACCCAAAAAGACAAACATAACCGCGTGCTCTGGGGCCACCTGCTGGCAACTCTTAGTAGGTACCTAAGCAACCAAACTGACAAGAATTTTCAGTGATGAATGGAGTGGCAGGGATTATCTCCTTTCAGCCAGTGAGAACAATCAGGCAACAGACGGCAACAGGAGGAAGGAGGGTAGGCTGGAAATCAGACGTTTCCAAAACCTGCTGTGAAGGACCATACACCCACTGTTTCCCAGAACTCACTTTCTACTTAACAATAATAACGGTAAGTACCCTGTACTGTTTTAAGCACTTTCATGTATCATCTCATTTAATCCTCACATTAATCCGCTGTACCATCTTTACCACCATTTTATAAATGACCAACATTTCCTTTTGAAATAATTACTTTACTTACGTGAAGCAGTGAAGCGGTAAAACAGTGTAAACTATTATTAGTAAGAAAAATCAAGGCATGACTTTTGGGGAGTACCAAGGCACCATGTGCGGGCAGAATGTGACACGCCTGGAGAGGACCAACGACGCCCCAAGGGGGCTGACCTACCAGCCCGCCCCTCAAGCCAAGCACAACCTCAGTCCGGGGTTCTGGATCCCAAAGTCCGCTCCGTTACATTCGGATCACACCAGAACAAGGAGGCAGCCCGCGCCCCGGCTAGCGAGCTCTGCGCCAGGGGAACGCGTGCCGGCGCCCTTAAGCTCCCAAAGCCCCTTCTCGGCGAAGCCGCCGGGGGACGCGGGCCCCGGAAGTGCAGCCCCTCCGCCCGGAAGCAGCTTTTCCTACTTCCCTTGGCGCGACGGGAGCCTGTGTTCACCAGTGCTCCGGCTGAGGCCAGATTCCTGAGGCCGTTCCTTTCGCTGTTTCCGAACGCACAGCCCCGAGAGGCCGGAGGGGATACGAAAGACCTAGGCCGATGGCCCTTCCACACTGCCGCCCCTCGGCTCCCCACCTCTACCAAGGGAGGCCACTGATGTCAGATTCCTCTGTGTTCTGGGAGGATGTTCTGGCCGAGGTCCGCGACCGGGCCCAGCAGCTGCCTGGGGCAGTCCCCGTGATCCTAACAGAGAACGGGGCCTCGGCTCGCAGGATCCCGCTCTGGGCTCCAAGGGCTCCTCGTATTGTAGGAGCTTTCCGCAGCCCCTCTAGGCGCTGGGACCCTTTGGTGGGATAACGGCTAGGGTTCCCTACTCCGTCCAGTGCCAGCGTCCGGCCTCTGAAAGACTTTCCTCAGCCTCCACCTTATCCCGTAAATAAGGACTTCAGGTGACCTGCAAGTGCGCCCCCTGCTGGCCCGTCGGACTCCCACCACCTTGGTTCGCCCCAACAGCCTTGGCTACATGGTTTCCCAAATGGAGTACCAAGATAGTCTTAAGTGCTACATGCACTTTTTAAGAATGTTTGAGTATTTATTCTTATTTGTGTTAGAAAATACTAAAACCAGCCCAACAAACCGGTTATCTCAAATATTAGTGTAAGGCTAAATTCTTAAGTGAGTAGTTAACATTGGTTCAAAAATATTAGGCCGGGCATTGTGGCTCATGCCTCTAATCCCAGCACTTTGGGAGGCCGAGGTGGGTGGATCACATGAGGTCAGCAGTTCAAGACCAGCCTGGCCAACATGGTGAAACCCCGTCTCTACCAAAAATACAAAAATTAGCCGGGCATAGTGGCACGCACCTGTAATCCCAGCTACTAAGGAGGCTGAGGCAGGAGAATCTCCTGAACCTTGGAGGCAGAGGTTGCAGTGAGCCGAGATCGCGCCACTGCACTCTAGCCTGGGCAACAGAGCGAGACTCTGTCTCTAAATAAATAAATAAGAATATTATTATTATATATACACAGATATTGCAAAAATCTTGAAGGTGGTACTCAGATGACTAAAGGAGAAAACTCAGTCTCACAGAGTCAATCAAGGGAAAAAACGGGTGTGGTA
The DNA here is from genome assembly GCF_000001405.40 of Homo sapiens. NCBI lineage: Eukaryota > Metazoa > Chordata > Mammalia > Primates > Hominidae > Homo > Homo sapiens. The sequence goes on along the minus strand of NC_000001.11, from coordinate 152,188,121 downwards.
GTTAATTTTATGTGTGAATTTTGTAAACCAAAAATTATCTGAGACGGGTCTCAAATCACCTTAGAAGTTTATTTTGCCAAGGTTAAGGACCACTCCAGAAACAGGTCTGTGCTTTCCCCAATGATAATTTTTTAGGACTTCAATATTTAAAGGGTGAAAGCAGGGTGGAGAAGAAATAGGGAGGGTAGGGTCACATTACTAAATCCACATATTGCAAGATAAAAGGAGAAGAAGGTAAGGGAATAGTCAATTATGTTTCCGTCTCATGCTCAGTAAATCGGTGCTTTACACAAGGTAGGGTGAACATAGAGTGGAGATATTTAATCTTTTATCAGTAGCTATGGGCCTAGGAACAAAAGGAAAGGCCGTTGCTTGCATGACTTACCTTCTGCTTAATTTTTTTCTTTTGGCATAGTGAACTTCCCTTTCACATTTCAGAGGATATTTTTAGATGGGATTAACATTTAAATCAGTAAACTTTGGGTAAAGCAGATTGCCCTCCCTAATGGGGTGGGCCTCATCCAATCAGTTCAAGGCCTGAATAGAACAAAAAGACTAGCATCCCTGAGCAAGAGAAAATTCTCCAGCAGACTGCCTTAGGATTGTGTATAATCAGCTCTCCCAAGTTTCTAGCCTGCTGTCCTACACTGCAGATTTTAGACTCTCCAGCTTCCATATTCACATCAGCCAATTCCTTGTAATAAATCTCTTTCTATAAATACACATGCTGTTGGTTCTGTTTCTGAGAAATCCTACTAATATGGTGGGTGATCTTAAATAGTCTTCCCTCTCTGACACTGAGTGGAGCTTCAAGGAGGACAGCAGAAGAAAGAGGGCTTGACTCCAGTATCCAAAGTGCTGAGGGCTCACCCTAGGACCTATTCACTGGGCATATTGCTGTAGCTTTACTTCTTCACTCCCCCTTCCCACCAGGTCCCTTGGATGCCAGGTTCTAAAGCACTCCCACTGCTCACTCTTCCTGGAAAAGGGCATTGTGGTGGAATGTTGAAGGAGCTTGGCAGCCAAATCAGCATATCCAGTGTCGTGACTCAACCCCTTCACAGCTCGCAACCTTAGTTTATCAAAGTCCCTTCCCTTCTCTGGAATTCCATTGTATCTGTATGATGAGAAGGCTTGATTAGGTGATGTCTAAGGTCTCTACTAGAGGTGAGCGCCTTTTCCCCACTCCTGGCCTCTTTTCACTCCTTTCTTCTCCTTGCCCCTGAGATGGTAGAAGGACTTAACTGGTTGGTAAATTTTGTAAGAATAATTGGCTTAGCTCTACTCTGCTTCTACTTGGGAACTGCAGAGATCCCTATGGCATAATAGGGACTTACTCTTAGGCAAGGATGCCCAGGCCTGTCATGATTAGGTGGGTAAGTTAGCCTAATTCTCAGTTCTAGTATGAGCAAGCCCCAGCTAGCAGACCTAGCGCTACTAATGTCTTACTTAATCACTATCAATAAAAAAGATGACATTTTGAGCACCACATTTTCTTTCTATTTTTCAGTACAGTTCAGAACAAGGGCAAAGAAATAAAACAGTTCCGTTTACTGAGATCCCTTTGCAGAACACAGTAATTCCTTCTAGCCCTTTCTAGCACTTATTAAACAAGACAATATAAAACATCTAATGAATAAATTCACACTAAAGGGCTAATATAACCCTTCATAGGCTATTTATACTTTAAAAAGCACTATAAGAAACAGAAAAAGGGCAGTGCTTTATGGTAGACATTATATAACTATACTACCTCAGTGGAAAGTATATTTTGGAGTAAGACCTTTTTCAGGGCCTCTCAAATTACACCCGTCTGTTCATCCGTCAACAGTTGTTAAGAAAGTTAAAAGTAGAGATTATGGAGTTAAATTGTCTGGGTGCAAATCCTGCTGATGTCCCTGACTAGCTGTGTGGCCTTGGGTAGGTTGTTTAACCTCTCTGTGCCCTAATTTTTCCATCTACAAGATGGGGATAATAGTAAGAACTTGAAAGACACTTGGTAAGCACCATAAAACTTCTATTGTGTGTAAGACACTGTGTTACTCCTAAATCCCCCAGGACTTTGCCTCTAGAATAAAATCTATAGAACCAAGAAAGGAAATTGATTGCAGAGGCCGTGGGAATGGTAAAATTAAATCAAATGTAAACATTTGGGCCAGTAACAAGGACGAATTTCTGGACAAACATGACTTTAAAAACAGGACTCTTTTCCCAGGATGAGCTCCTCAAACTGATATCAGATTGACTAGTTCAGCTTCCAAACCCAGGAAGCTCTTTTGGGCACTTGGGACACTCCTGAACAGCATGCACAGGGATTTGCTCCCTGATGATACTGAACGTAATTCCTCCAAACTGCCACCAGGTGTCTACAGACACTCACACACCCTCTGGCTCCTAAGTCAACAGATGGGTACTTTAACTGAGAAAGAAGTTACCAGCCCAAGGGCACGCGGTTTGTTAACGATGAACTCTGTGGTAGAACCCAGGTTTGTGTGGCTGGTTATTATTCAGTCTCAACTCCAAAGTGCCTCAGGGATAGAAGAAGCAAATTTCAAAGAAAGAATCAGGCCCAGGAGGAACCTGACATACCATCATACCTCTGCCTCCTTGAAGGATAACACGAGCCATCCCAACCATAAAAGGATCCTCTACTCCACCAGAAAAGAGATTTAAATTGCCCCTCAGTCTCCCTGAAGCTCAAGCCCAGGGTTTGGCGTTTTTCACTGCTTAGAAGTTTTTCTTGGCTCTGCCTTCAGATGTCAGCCCTGAAATTCTCAGCTTAGACCAGCAAGCCCAGATGTATTTCTTCCCTTTGCCTTTAATGGTCCTCTCCTGGTGAGCACAGAAGTAGTTTGGGCAGCATTCAGTGCAGAGCAGGGATCCCAAATGCAAACATCCTCTCTTCCCTGTCTTAGATCTAGCTGTTAACAAACCTAGAGGTAACTATATGCATCTTTCTTCTTGGTAAACACTGAGTACTTATAGCATGGAGTCCATCATTAGACACAAAGAATGTTCACACTTGCACTACACCTATGTATTTCTCTTGCTTACACAAGGGCACACTACCCCACCACCACTAAATCATAAGTTCCTTGAGGGAGGAACTCTGGCTTTCCTCCCAGCACTACACATGGCAGCTTACACAGTGAATGCTTGTTGAATTTGCCCCAGTGGTGACAAATTTGAGAGGCTTGTGTGGATTCTGTATGTGGGATTTTATGTTCATGTTAGATCATTGCCCCCTACCCTAAGGAGCTCCTACTTTGAAAAATGGCATATGTCTGTCTCCTCAGTGGCAATACGGGCTCTGGGTGTAGACACACATGGGTGGTATAATCCATGGCACAGGACCCTGGATCTTGGGATGAGGCTCAGGCTGAACAAAACTAAGAAAGCAAAGGGAGACATGGGTACAGAAACCTCCATAGCCTGGACCTCCCCTGACTCTATAGCTGCCCTAGGGTGTCATCAGATCCCCTTCTCATCTCTTCTCTTCCCCTTGCTTTCCCTCCACCTTTCTCTCTCTCTCCCCATCTCTCTGCTCCCCTCTTTGCCCCTTTTGCTCTCTCCTCTTACTTCCCCTTTCCCTCCCATCTCCATCGTTCCCATGTTTCCTCTTTTTTTCCATCTCCCTGCATTGAATGAACAAAAACAGAGCTTCATACCTAAGACTCAGAGTCCTCCTAAAGGAGTTCCCGAGATGAGCTCAAGGACAGCTCAAAGGCAATGGCATCTGGAGTCATCTGTGCTAAAGCACTCTGCACCAGTGAGGACTCTTGGAGAAGATTCTTCCTGTACCTCTGTCTGGTCTTATTGGTGTACATCATTCAATAAGTCACTGGCCTCCCAGACGCTGGCTTCCATTGTCCTTTGCACCAAGCCTCCCAGGACAGGACCAGTCCCATCTTGTTCCATAGGAGCCTGCCTCCCACCTTGCCACTTTCAGGCCAGTCCAGTCAAAAAGCCTAGGAGCCTACACTTCCTATAGAAGGCAGTCAGAACACCATCAGGCCCCAGGCCCACTTTAGAAGCCATTAAGTGCCTACTCCATACACAGTTCAATGACAGTACAGCAGCTTCACCACCATTGGGGGAGACACAAACATACAACCCTGAAGTAGGTTTATGCCCTGGGAGCACATGATCTTGCCAATTCTGCTGCCCTGGTCTCAGTTCAACACATCTTCACTGAGTATCAGCTCTGAGCAAGGTGCTGAACTGCCTTCTATGCCAGGTCACAACTAAAAAGCAACCAAACACAAATCTACCCAGCCTGCGGGTCCAATTACTCTGGTAATAGCTTCGCCAGCTATTTTGTCACCTTGTCTCTAACATAGGGGCTCTTCCCACTCACTTCCTTCATAGCTTAGGCCCTGATCTGAGAAATAAAAATCTCAGACACCTCTGCAAAGGGGTCTCTTTAGGAACTGGTGAGCAACTATACGTTTTTATTTACACTTTTGGTCATAATGGTAGGAGATGAAACTTGGCATAAAATGAAGACCACAGGGGAAGGGCCTAGAGCAAAACACACTGGAAATGCCAAATTCCAGAGCAACTCCATGAGCCTGTGATTAGTATGGAGAAATGGGTAATCTCCTTTGACTCCCAAGGCACTGCCAAGACCATGCCCAAGGCACCTTAGTGCCAAGATTGTTAGACTTGAATGGGAACGATGTCCTCTTTTTTTCTTCCCACCCCTAGCTGTTGTGTATTTGAGAAAACTAGAAAATATAGAGGTAAAGTGATCTGCCCAACAATATATGGCTGATCAGTGAAAGGACTGGGATGTGAGCCCAGTTTTTCTGACACTTATTACAACATTCCTCTTACAAGTACTCAGTGGTGCCTGATTCCTTAACACAATGCCAAATGTAACAGTGAACTTGTAGCAACTTGAAGCTAGAGTTGGTTCACCCAGAAAGCTGCAAAGCTAGCATACAAACTAGCTGCCATTTCAGTGGAATAATCTGACCTGAGTTTATTCCACTGGTAAGCTGATTGCTGAGGAGCCAGCCCATGGGTTCACCCAGGGGACTCAGGGCTCCAGGATGCTGACTCACACTAGCCACACTCAGCATCCCCTGGCAAGCCAGACACCAATATTCACATGTAATAGACACTGGGCCTCATCATCCGTCCGGGACACTGTGATGTGCCTGTCATAATGCACAAGATCACGCAGATGTCTACACCATGTATCAGAAGTTTACAGGGGAACAGAGGGTCAGGACAGAGAATTTTTCACTTTCAGAGATATTTTAAATTAAAGAACCAGAATGTCCTTTCCCTGAATACTGCTAAGGGAAATAAACATGTTTCACTCTCCTTTTTGAAAAACAGCGTGGTGACTTTTTTGTTAGTCCTTGTTACCCCAACATCCCCCAACAACATGTTAACAAGTGCTTATCACTTACTATAATTTCCAAGCCTACAGATGAATCTACACTGATTTCATTTCAGGGTGGTTGTTTCCAGGTGCTTCCTCAAGGAGGCACTATAGACTCATTCAACTGTCCCCAAAGCATAGCTGGAGAAATTACTTCTTGGAAGGTTTTCGGTAAAGCAAGCAGGGAAAACAAGTCACCTTCATAATGTGTGACTTCAGATTAGCCTCAAAGAGGACTCCTATTCTTGTGTTCTCTTCCAGACTTTTTGCCTCTTTTTTTGTTGGCCCAGATCTCAAGTTCTTTGGGCCTTATATACTCCTTGCCTTTTAATAATGAGGTCACACTCCAAATCCTGGTCTTTAGTGCCTAGAGCAAAAGAGAATATTGGGAGTGGGCCCCTTCCTCCCTGGTCCACCACATGGATGGGGATTAAACTCCATTTAAGTCTATGATGGAGACCATTCAGCCTTATCATCCCAATGTGCCTCGTTTTCTAGAAGGTCAGAACCCTGTCACTGGCTCTGGCTGTGTCACTCGAGGGGTCCTTAGTCTTCAGGACAATCCCTTGTTTGTTTCTTGTTTTTTTAAAGTGAACACAAGTTCTTTAGGAAAGTAAAGGAATAAAACGATGACTACTCCACAGGCAGAGCAATCAGGACAAGCCCTTTTATAATGCCTCTGACTATTTCTGACCTGGGTAAGCTATCAGGCTTCTGGGTAAAATAAAACTCCTCTTATTAGTGATTAGAATAGTCAGTGTGCAGTAATGACAGCAATGATGTTAATAGAGAAACAAGAGTAGCAACAATAGCAGCTATTGAATGGTCTCTTGTCACTTATGAGACAAGGGAAGGAGGCTAGGTTTCTACAGAGCAGGGCCTCACTTCACTGTGGCATGTGCCATCCAGCCTGTACCCAGGACAGTTGCTGCACCAGGGCCAGCAGGAAGAGCCACACTGACCTTTGCCATTCACCCAGCCAGAGGGGACATCCAGAGCTTGGAGGCATAGCCAGAAGGCCAGCCTGGGATGACTGAGCCAGCCTTTGCCCATCCTGGCAAAGGAAAGACATTAGAGGGGATGTAGCCCTGCCTCTGCTGAGAATCAGCACTTGATGTCTACAAAAACAAAGGCTTTCCGAAACATAGCATTCCCCAGAACTGGCTGAACCTAGGGAGCCATGGCTCAAAACTCTTCCAAAACCTTTCCCAAGACTTCTTGTGCAACTTTGGCCTGTCTCTCCCTGTGTCTTTCCCAACAGATAAGAAGAAAAGGAGGTGAGACAGAGAGACCACAGGTGAGAGAATGACTCTGGTATAATCCACCAGATCTGAAAATACCTGGAACTCCTCACTTTTTGGAAGTGAGTTGTCAAAAAGTGTGCTTAGGTCCCTCTTGAAAGCCCAGGACTTGCCATCCTAAATCTCCTCTAGGGCTTCTGCAGCTCTGGGTTCTGTCTCCATAGGCCAGAAGCACTAGGCTCTCCTTTAATGCTGACTTCTAATGTTAAGAAGCTCCCAAAAAAAATGTGCTGCATTTCTTCTTCACAGGATGTATCACAGTTTGTAATTATTTTTGCATGTGATGATTTGATTCTTAAATTAAGCACCACAGTCGGGAATTGAATCTGATCTTGTATAGAAATTGGCCCAGGGTTTGGGATGCAGTAAGCTCCATAAATATATGTTGAATAAATGAACATATGAACAAATGAGTACCAGTCAGTTCTGAGTACCATGTTTTATGAGAGGATTTGAGAAGCTATAGCATATACAGAGATGGCAGCCAGGATTGGGAATGTTCTTGAGATCTTATGTGAGAAAGGATTGAAATGACAGAGGCTATAGAGACTGAGATGAGGATGTGTAAGAAAGAGACTGGCCTATTGTTTCCTGATGTCACACAGAGAAAGCATTCATGAGACTTGATTTACATTGTTCTAGAAGGCAGAATGGGAACCAAGAAGCAAAAGTCCCAGGCAGATTGTAGCTCCAAGCAGATGAATATACCCCATGGCTAGAATTGTCCCAGGGTGGGACAGTTTATTCAGTCTCCCATCAGACTGAATGGTCATGCAGAGGCCGGATGCCACCCTGCAGGAGCAGGACAAGGTGGGCCTGCATCTTGCAAGAGGTTCAGCCAGCAGACCGGTTACTGAGATTACCTGGAAGATTCCAAGTTCGTTTCTCCCATGCTCCAGGAGAACAAAAGGACAAGTTTTCATGTGATATAAGTCTTGCAAGACCCCAGGAAAAACTGTGAAAGAGGAAAAATCTGACAGCCAACCTTGTTAACCTTTTCAGAAGCCTTATTCTCTCTACTAGCAAAACTCCTAAAGTTCACATTCTTGTTCTGGGTGCAAGCAAGCAAAGAAAAGAACTCACTTTAAAAGTGTTAATGCCTTAATATGTCAATCCATATTTTGAAAGAGGGTGCCTCAACAAAGCAATGTGCAGATATAATGGTAGGGCTTTTGGCACAATAGCATTTGAGCAGTAAAGTCTTAGATGTCCTCCAATCAATCAACCAACAAGGGCTCAGAAGCTATCTATGTCCAGCATAGTGCTAGGCAGGGGGAATGGGCACCAGATTGGGAGGTAGAAGTTTTGGATTCAAGTCCTAGCTCTGCATTATACTGACTATGCGATCTTGATTAATTACTTAGCTTCTCTGAACTTCATCTATAAAACTCACATGTACCTCACAGGGTCAAATGAAATACTAAATATGAGAGTGTTTTGTAAAATGTAAAGTACTATGGATGTAGCATTATTGTGATTATTATTTTTAGACATAAGTGGGAATGCAAAGCAATGTAAGGTCAAGTCTCTGTCTTCAGATAGCTCACCATTTAGTCACACCATATGGCAGGCCTAAACTGAGCTACTCTTCTTTATTCTCCCCTTCCTGAACACAAACTTGCAAAAGAACATAGGAAGAGGAGGGAGTGGAATGCAGAGAGAGAGAGAGAGAGAGAGAGAGACTGGCAGCTCTGGCCCAGGAAGAGGACTGAGCCAAGTCCTGGCCATGCCTGATCCCTGCACAGAGCCCTGTCTTCCTTCCTGGCACTGGGAGGCTTCCCTCTTGTTCTCTTCACTCCATTGCTCCCAGTAGCTCAAGGGACTCTGAACTCACTACCATCCACAACCACTTCAAGCACAACGGATATCCTCAACCTCCACCCTTCCCATCCCTACTTTAGAGGAGATGGTTCCCATAAATCAAGAACCAGCTTGACCCATTCAGGAAACTAAATCTTTATTGCAAATAAAGGGTTTCATTATTTCATTATTATGTTACATAGAACTGACTCAGAGCAAATTAAAACTGATTTCCACAATGGCGTGATGACCTTGCTTTTCACGGATGGCATGGCAGTACAAAAAGAAATCACTAAAACCACAAGACTAAGGATTTAACTGGGATTCAAGGATATATTTCCTGACAAGAAGTGAACTATAAAAAAATGGAATCTTTGAGTTATTGTCTGTCTGCTTGTTTGTTGTTCTGATAAATCAGAGCAGGCAAACTTTTTCTGTAAAGAGCCAGATAGTAAAGATTTTAAGTATTTGTGAACCAAAGATATTACAAAAGTACTTATATATGATGAGAGAAAACAAATTTCCACAATTTTTATTGGCAAAATCCAAAATATAATAATAATTGAATACAATGTTTTTGTAATACAGGTCTACCAATGAGAAAAATTGAATTCTGTTTTTGGGGGGGTGGGAGGGTAACATATCATCTAATTGGGGTTCAAAGCCATTGTCCCTATTATCTTTTTTTTTTTTTTTTTTTGAGACAGAGATTTGCTCTTGTTGCCCAGGCTGGAGTGCAGTGGCGCCATCTCAGCTCACTGCAACCTAATTTTTTGTATTTTTAGTAGAGACAGGGTTTCACCACGTTGTCCAGGCTGGTCTCAAACTCCTATTATCAAAATCTATTGCAAATGTTCATCTGCTAATGTTGATAAGTAACGCATAGTCCATTTTTTTAAATGTCTTTTCACACAGATAGATACTGCCAAATACTGATATCCACAAACATTTGATTTTACTTGAGCATATTTATCACTTTGAAGGTCTTTCTAGAACTCTACAAGATTCATCACTTGATATTTGCCTTACAACATGTCATTACACTAAAGACAAATCACTTCCAATTGAAGGTTGGGGGAAAGCTCTTTAATTACAATGCAATGAATTTTGAAATATGGAAATTTGCTTTGCATTTGCATTGATGTCCAAGAAACACTGCTGGAACTATAATTTGAGCTCAAAAAATATATTAGCTAAAATTTCTGTGGAATAAAAATTTCACTTTTTTTTGTTTTGTTTTGTTTTTTAGTAGAGACGGGGTTTCACCATGTTAGCCAGGATGGTCTCGATCTCCTGACCTTGTGATCCACCCACCTCGGCCTCCCAAAGTGCTGGGATTACAGGTGTGAGCCACCACGCCTAGCCTTAAAAATTCTACTTTTTATTGTTAATTTTTTTATTGTTTTTTAATTTAATTTAATTTAATTTTTGAGATGGAGTCTCACTCTATCACCAGGCTGGAGTGCAGTGGCACAATCTCGGCTCACTGCAACCTCCACCTCCCAGGTTCAAGCGACTCTTCTGCCTCAGCCTCCCAAGTAGCTGAGACTACAGGCACGCGCTACCAGACCCAGCTAATTTTTGTATTTTTACTAGAGATGGGGTTTCACCATGTTGGCCAGGATGGTCTTGATCTCTTGACTTCAAGATCCACCCACCTCAGCCTCCCAAAGTGCTGGGATTACAGGTGTGAGCCACCGTGCCCGGCCCCACTTTTTATTTTAACTTTTGACAGCACAAGAAATATATAAAACACTCTAACATTGCTTGTTACTCAACCAATGTTAGTTGTCTTTGAAATAACTTTACCACTGTATAAGTTTCACATTTAAGCACTGTTCTGCCTTGCAATTTTAGATTGAATTTATTAAGAAATACTATTAAGTCTGCCACATAAGCTAACTTCCAAAGCGATTTAGTGTGCAAAAATAGTGAATGAATGTAGCCAAGAAACATATGAAAAAAAACTCAACATCACTATCATTAGAGAAATGTAAGTCAGAACCACAATGAGATACCATCTCATGCCAGTCAGAATGGCGATTATTAAAAAGTCCAGAAACAACAGATGCTGGTGAGGTTGCAGAAAAAAAGGAACACTTTTACACTGTTGGTGGAAGTGTAAATTAGTTCAAGCATTGTGGAAGACAGTGTGGCAATTCCTCAAAGATCTAGAGGCAGGAATACCATTTGACTCAGCAATCTCATTATTAGGTATATACCCAAAGGAATATAATCATTCTATTATAAAGATACTTGCACACATGTGTTCATCAGACACTATTCACAATAGCAAAGACATGTAATCAACCCAAATGCCCATCAATGATAGATTGGATAAAGAAAATGTGGTGCATATATACCATGGAATACTATGCAGCCAGAAAAAGGAATGACATCATGTCCTTTGCAGGGACATAGATAGGGCTGGAAGCTGTTATCCTTAGCAAACTAATGCAGGAACAGAAAACCAAACATCACATGTTCTCACTTATAAGTGGGAGCTGAACAATGAGAACACATGGACACATGGCAGGGAGCACCACACACACTGGCGCCTTGTGGGTGGGGGAAGGGAGAGCATAAAGAAGAATAGCTAATGGATGCTGGGCTTAATACCTAGGTGATGGGTTGATCTGTGCAGCAAACCACCATGGCACAGGTTTACCTGTGTCACAAACCTGCACATCCTACACATGTACCCCAGAACTTAAAATGAAAGTTTAAGAAAAAAAAAATAGTGAATGAGGGTGATTCTTCTCATTCAAAACAAAAAACAAATCCAATCTTAGCCTTGAGCTCAAAACATCACAGTAAAACTTTACAACTGCTAAGCTATGAAACTGCTGCACTGTACAACAAGTAAGGATATTCAGCTTCTAGATCTGATTAACAAAATCACAAAACTGGCCATAGTTAAGTCACAAGAGTGAATGAAGTTCTCCATTGACACCACTGGTTCAATGCATATGAAAGATTCAACTATTTTCTGCAAAGTACCTGCTGAAGGATAGTACAATGAACAATCACAGGCTTTAAACACTGCATGTTCACAAGCTTTGAACATTTTCCAAAAGCCTTTTTCTTCTCCACATGTATGTTAGCATCAGTTGTAACATTTCTTAGATTTCACTTCAGGAAATTAGTATTTTCTGTACTTTGAAAACATCTCTGCACATAATTGTTCCACATGAACGTTTTATGGAAGCTAATTATTTAGTCATCTCAAACTCAGCATTAATTCCTAAAAAAAACAACTAAACAGTGTCAAAAACATCCTGTAAATTCATCAGGAACCAAGGAAAATCACTCAAAATCATGTGCCTTATTTTTTAATTGACTATTGATGTTGAGCCCAATGTCCTCCCTCACTCTTCACCCAAAAGCTGGTTGTCTTAAGCAAGTTTATTTTCTCTAGACACATTTCTTCAGCTGCTGCAATTGAACGTGATTTAATTAATGCACCATTGATTAACTTGTTTGGCTAACAAATGAGCCACTCAGAAACTTACTTTAGTTGCAGTCTCATTTTCATTTTTTTAATAAAGAAATTCTGCTATGATGACATATTTTATTTTAAATTTCCTAATTTTTCTAACTGTTGCTTCCTGTGAGTTGGAAATATTGTGATTAGTGCTTAGTCTGATCATTTCAACATATAGTCTATTAACACAGCTATAGTGTCATTGCATGATAAACATAATGCTTTGCCATCTAATTCATTACAAACAAAAGAATCCTGCCTTGAAAGTGTGACATTTGAAGTCCATTTCTGTCTTCTTTTTTTGTTTTGACATGATGGGCATGCACTAGTAATTAAAAAGTAAAATAAAACATTATGGTACAACTATAAAGTGGCACTCCCAATGGTGTCAAATTACAATAGCAGTACTGCAATTTTCAGCCCACCCAGAAACATTGAGCAGGTGTTGTCCCATGAAAGCAGCCATATACAATATTATGTAATGAATAAGCAAAGCTGTGTTTCAATACAACTTTATTTATAGACACTAAGATTTGAATTTCATATAATTTTTAGTGTCACAAAGTAGTATTCTTCTTTTGATTTTTTTCAATCAGTGAAAAATGTGAAACCATTCTTAGCTCGTGGGCCTTACAAAAACAGCAGGCTTGATTGGTCCCATGGGCCATCATTTGCCAACCCCTGAATTAAATTATTGTGTTGCCTTAAATGGTTTAGTTGTAGCTGTAGTTGGGGCTACTTGGAATCAGGGAAGTTCACCAGAAGACTTCTAACTTCTCCCCCAATTTGAGAATCTGTTGCACATGTCACAGACTATAGGTGCTATAATCCAATCAAGACCATCAGTTGGGTGAGCATCTACATCCAGCATACTGGGACAGGATAAAAGGGCAGAGGGTAAAAGAGAGATAGGAATAAAGAAGCTACCCTCAAGGAGCTTGCAGTCAAGTTGACAAGATTAGATTTCCACACAGGGACACTAGGAAGATGGGGCAATTTTAACATAAACTTTTAAAACTGTTTAAGGTCTTTTGAATATAGTCAGTATCTAGGAAATATTGGGTGAAGGAATCTGTGGGTAAATGATACAAAGTGTGGCTGTCTCCATACCAAATAGGAGCTCTGTATGGTTGCAACTGTTAGGCCCATAAGTTCTGGGATCTGACTGCCTGGATATAAATCTCACCACTACTATTTTCTACCTCTATGACCTTGGACAAATAATTTAATCTCTTTTAGCCTTAATTTCCTCATGTATAAAATGAGAGTGATAATATTATCTATCTCATAAGCTTGTTGTAAGCATCAAATGAGAGGATGGATGTAAAGTACATAGCATAGTTTAAAGAGCTCGATAAATATTTGGTAAAAGTGTGATTAATAGAGACACGAAGATAAATAGGAGCCTGAGGAATTACAGAAAGCTTCATGAAGGAGGTGGATCATAAAAGAACATGTATAGGCCAGGCATTGTAGCACATGCCTATAATCCCACTACTTTGGGAGGCCAAGGTGGGAGAGTCACCTGAGCCCAGGAGTTCAAGATCAGCCTGAGCAACATGGCAAAATCCCATGTCTACAAAAAATACAAAAATTAATTGGGTGTGGTGGAGCATGCCTGTAGTTCCAGCTACTCATGGGAGGCTGAAGTGGGAGGATCACTTGAGCTTGGAAGGTTGAGGCTTCAGTGAGCCGTGATGGCGCCACTGCACTCCAGCCTGGAGGAGAGAGCAAACCCTGTCTCAAAAAACTAAACTAAACTAAACTAAAAACATGTGTAGACAGAGTAGAAAGAGGAGTTCAGGCAAGGGAGCCAGACACAAGCTTGGACACTTTGTTTGTTAGGGAGTATTCCAGTTTCCTGGTGAAGCAGCTTTAAGGCCAGTGGTGAAAGGATGAGGAATAAAGGCAGAGTTGGTTCCTGTTGACCTTGCAGATAACTAAAAGCACAGTTAGGATCCCCATGAGGTGCCTTGCCTGAACTGAGGGCCCAGCCACTGCCATAAGCACATCAGTGGAAGGGCCAAAGCCAAGAAAGCCACCCAGGGTACTCTCAGGGGGCTTGCTAGATGTGTGTCACCCTTGTCATCACCATCAGCAGTGGCAGCTGATATTTGTTAAGCGTCTATGAGCAAGGCATTGTGCCAAAGAACGAGGATATATAAGACATTTTATGATTTCAAAGAGATTCTAATTCACTCTAGATAGTACAACAGAGCACATCACAACTCCACTGATACTTTCTGTTAATAGGAAGCATAGGTCTTGGGATCCTGGGGTGCTGATTCCAGCACTGCCTAGCGATGTGCCATTGTGTACATGGGCCTCTATTTCCATTTTACAAACAAATCAAATTTGATATTATAGTTTTCAAACTCTTTGACTGCAGAATCCTTTCCTCAGGGAAAAGCTTCAGATGTTTTAAAGATAAAAGCAGTGAGTTGAATGGGGATAAACAGCAGAATCCTGTCTGCTCAGCTCAGCCCCTGACAGGTGCCAAGGAACACAGTTTGAAAAATACTGGATTAGAGCTAAGCAGTGCTGGTCTGTTCCAGCTTGACGACTCTATATGGAGGTAGATGTTGATCTGAACCAAAGAAGCTCTATGAGATAAGATGTGATCCCCAAGTGCAGGTTGGAGAGAGATTAAAGAACTCGAGTGGTTTTGTTGGGAGTGGACATTGAAGGATGGGTAGATTTAAAGAGATTGAGGGGAGAATGAAACCTACTTCAGAGGACTTACCACCTTACTGGAGATGTGGAAATGCACCCAAGGCTAGGCAAAGAGATCATTTTAAGTAGAGCAGGGGAGTTTTGAAGGGGAGATGGAGTCAGAAATAGAAGACAGGACAGATTATGAAGACCCAGATAGAGAAAGGTGTCCTGCTTCTAAGGCCTCTGGTGCCCCCCCCACCCAGATCAGTGGGGTCTGTGACACAAGAACAAGAGAACTACTGAGAAGTCTGCATCAGTTCCCACTGTGGCTGTGGCTGACAATCATCAAGCTTCCCTGACACCTGTCACATCCCTTGTAAGTTCATCAAGTGCCACATTACTAAGCTCTCTTATCACAAAGTCCTATAAGGGAAAGAGGTGGGGTCCAAAGGACAAGGACTTAACACCCAAGACAATTGTGCCCAAATTTTCCAAACAGTAGCTAGTGTGAGCCTAAGGAGAAACAGAACTATTGCCACAGCGAAATCTGAGAGGCTTAGCAATGTCAGGTAGATCTCCTAATTTAGGAGGCGCTAAAAGCTTTTAAACTACCATCATGTCCTTAATCCTAAAATGCCATTAATCCCCTGTAACACTTCTGCATTCTTATGAGTATGTGGGTGGCAATAGCTATTATCTTCATTAAACTGGGAAGTAGAGGCCAAGGAAAAATCAGTCATGATGTCTAACACAACAAGAAATGTGAGATGGGACTTGAAATCTGAGGAAATATTCAGCAAAGAAAGGAGTGGACAGAAGACAAGGACAAAGGACTGGAAATGAAGAAAAGACAAACTCCAACTGAAGATTCCATCTCAGCTGGGAAGCCTTTCCTAATCACCCTCTAGTAAGAACAATGCCCTGCTCTGAGCTGGAAATGTCCTAATGCAGCATCCCTCACACTGTTGGGTAATAACCATTTACCTATTTCCTTTTTTTGGACTGAAAGGTCCACAGAGTCATGGAGCCTCTCTGTCTTGTTCATGGTGTGTCCCCAGCGCCTAATATTTACTGGGTAAAGGAAACTAGAGAGCCTGGGCCAGGGAAGGAAATGAGACTCAGGAGCACACAGTTAAACATAAATAACCCAGCTGCCCAGGACCAAGGAGGCCTCTGGTTGAAGCCAGAGAGAAAACTTCGCCTCCTTCAGGCCATTATCAAATGTCACCTTCTCAGAGGGGCCTTCGCTGGTCACCTGCCCAGTTACAAATCACAACCTGTCCCTGCCCCCCATTCCACCCACCATCCAGCACTTCCTGTCCCCTTCCCTGTATCTTTCTCACCATAGCACTTGGCACTGACATACACACGTTACTTCTTTGTTTATTGTATGTATCCCCAGCCTAGAATGTAAAAGCTGTATGAGGGCAGGATTTCACTGCTGCAAACTCCATCTCTAGAAGAGTGTCTGATACATAGTCGGTTATCAATAAACATTTGTTAAATGAAGAAACCATAGAATGCATGAACCTTTCTAACCCAAGGTCTATGGTAGTCCTCTAAACTTTTCAAATGTAAACACTTCTGCCAGGGTTTCTTCCCTGTGTCTCCCACTTGTGAAGACCCAGGGGAAATACCAATCCCTTATTCTCCACTCGGTCTCTTTCCAACCCTCCATCCCTCCTCTTTGCTCTTAACAACCTCTGTTCTTTGCCCTCTCACTTCTCTCTCTCATTATGTTGGTTCATAGAAACATCCAAAATGGCCAATTTGACACCAGCCCCATGTGTCTTCAGACAAGAGCCTGCCTCTAACTGAGGCCCCAGGAGCAGAATGCAAGAAAGCTAACGAAACCCCCAAGGCTAAATGGCTAGAAAGGTACCCAGATGTTCCAGAAATCTATGAACAGATTCTTACTTTCCACAAGGCACCACTTCTTGGATCGAGGAATTCCCCTAAACTATGCCCTGTTGTGTAAAATAAAACTTCCTTCCCTTTGTCTTAATCTTACCTTTTTCAAGCCTTAAAAAGATGGGACTTCCTTATTCTAGTATTTTAGGTAATTGTGATTATAACTATATTCATATAATACAGGCCTTTCTTGATCTTATAGTCTTCCACTTAACCTTTTCTCTGCTGTCATCCTCTCTAAATGAAGAGACTTGCTTTTACCACTCAATCCTATCAACAAACATTTACCCACCATGCCAGGCACTGTCCTAGGCACTGAGGCTACAAGGTGCTTACTTTCTAGTGGGGGAGAGAGATAATAAATGAACAAATATGTACTAATTCAAGTGACGGTAATAAGTGCCAAGAAGAAAAATAAAGCAGAGTAGTAGAATGGAGAATTAGTGGGAAAAGTTTGCTATTTACAGGATGGCCAGAAATTTTTCTGATAAGGTGACACTTGAGTAAATACTTGAATTAAATGAGGAATTAAATCATGTGACTGAGGGAACAGTATTTCTGTGGAAACAGCAACTACAGAGGCCTTGAAGTAGGAGATTCTTTGTCATCACCTTCTAGTTAACTTTTTCTAATATTTCAAAATTACTTCTTACTTATGGGTTTTGGAGGCCAAAACTGCACTCAGTATTTAAGAAGCCAGTCCACTAAAGACTTTTTATAATGATGATGATAAAAAATAATCATAGTTTACATTCATTGAGGGCTTACTATGTGCCAGTCACTGTATAAGCTCATCCAGCTCATAAGCACCAGAGCCAGCATTCAAACCCAGGCAGTCTGGCTCTAGAGCCAAGTTAGCTAAGAGTATTTCTGTTTCATTTTCTGTACACAGTTCAGTGGCATCCATCATTTGGTTCTCCTTTTTAAGTTATTCACCCGAAGGCATTTCCCAGAGCATGCTGTACGTTAGGAGCTGAGCTGTGAGCTGGGCAAACAAAGATGAATAAACCATCAATGGAGCCCTTAGGAAGGCCACAGCTCTGCATGGAGGACAGGCAAGCCAGGAGAGCAGCACAGAGGATGAGTGCTGCACAGGAGGTGGCAACACAGTGCCGGTAGACACAGCCAAGAGGTTAGCAGACAGATGGACACACTAAGGCACGTGCTCAACAGGCAGTACAGTAATTCCTGGGCCCCCCTTTCCTGGGTCAGAGCCCACTGTTCCATATGGATAATTTGGGTGGGTTTCAGTAAAAATAATAATCATGCTAAGACATCTACGAACAGAAAAATAATATTGAAAGCAGCTAACCTGTCCTGAGTGCCTACTATGTGCCAGCAGAGTTCTCAGCCCCTTGTTTTCATGAAAACTCCATGCTGTGACAGAGATAAGAGGCCCTATAAAGGCCAGCGTCTTGTATGTTCACAATCTAAAGATGGATGCTTACTGAGTAATAGGAAGAGAAAAGGTGGATATCAGGTCTGTTGAGATAAGCCTAGAACAAAAGTACTGGCCTAATATTATGGGCAAGAATTCCTACATTCTGGGAAGACTGAGGTAGAGAGACACTAACATGAGACCAAGATCCTATAATAAAATCAAGCAAAAGCTGGTTTTTCAAAGGAAGGACTCTGCATGAAGCTGAAGCTGCTGATCTAGTATCAGAGACTGGGCCACCCATACAAGGAGGCACAAGGACTACTTACTGGTGAAAATGTAAGAGTGTAACAAGTGAGCGACTGGATTACAGCTGAATCAGCATATACAGATTGCAGCGCAGGTTAACATCTACTTTAGTATACAGTGTTAAGTATGCAAGTGTTGCAGTGTCTGCAACACTTCTGTCAGCCTCCCTTCTCACTTTTTCTCCCCTATCCTCCCCTAAGCCCTGAAACGTGCCATCCTCCCCTTCCCTCTTCTCCTGGGACAGGAAAGTGCTGCTGATTCTGATGCTTCACAAAGGTAATGATTTATTCATTCTCTGCCTCAGAATGAGTCCTTCAAGTTTGATGGCAGTTTGCAGAACCAGGAATGGAAACCAGTTCTTCTGACCCCAGATTCAACTTCTCTTCCTGACAGTGCAGTTTCATGTGCTTCACACTACATTCCTCACTAAATATATTATTTCGCACTTGCCAACAATTACAATTCATATCATTTTCCTGCCCATTCTGGACTAAAGAGAGATGTTCACCCAAAATCACCACTGAACAAATAATGGAAATGATCTTCCCCTGCTTCCCTGTCTTTCTCCCACCCCATTCATAGTCATTCCCTTGTGGAAATTTCCCACCTCCTGTTCTGCAAGATGCATTGCTCTCCAAGAAGCATTTGATGAGAGCCTTACCCATGATGCTAGGTGGCCACGGGAATGTATTATGAAAGGCCAGGTTATGGCAAAGATGAGAGTGTAGCTTTAAACAAATTCTATAAAATGTTATACTCTCTGTAGTCCACATCCTCAAGACTTAAATTAACAGCACAAATCTTATTAGCCTCACAAAGTTCCTTCATTGTTTCTCAAATAGCATAGTTCAGGGAGCATCTCACCAGTGTGGGTGGCCAATGCATTAAATCATAAGAGCAATTAATCTCTGTTCATAAAGTACTTGAGCTCCTGACACATCCTATAAATGTAGGCCTAAATAAACTCAGGAGTGTGCCCAAGGAGGTCAAGATCTCTGATGCTCAATGAGTTTCCAGAAAGGAGATAACAGCCAGGCTACCTTGGAAGGGAAGGAGAGCAACACACTGAATGCATAACCCCCCATGCCAGGTACTAGGCTAGGCACTCACATATTCGAGCTCATTTAATTTCTTCAACAATCCTGAGAAGAACTGCTATTCCCTTGCAGATCTGCCTGACCTCAGAGTCATGTTCTCTCTGCCTTGGACTGGATCCATAAATGTGACAAGAGGAAAACATAGAACATAGAGTCCTGGGACAAGTATACATGTCATATGCTTGTGTTAGAAAGTCTGAATTCTGACTATAGTTTTGCTATTAACTTGTGTGACCCTGCATGACCTTGCAAAAATCACACTGTCTCTCCTGAGACAACTTTTTGCTTTTCAAAGGCAGGAAAGCTCTGGATACTTGAAACAGTACTGTGGAGCCTGAGAGGTTTGAGATGACAGGGAACCTCCCTGTACTCACCTTCAGCAGCCCAACTCCTCGTGGCACAGAGATGGGGCATGAACACCCTGCAGAGGGGACTCCCAGCCTCTTCTCTTGCATACAGCAGGTGCAGCCCAGGTAACATGTCGCAACAAAATCCTTCCTGGGCCTCTCCCTTTGCTTCCACTTTTTCTCCCCTATCCTCCCCTAAGCCCTGAACCATGCCATCCTCCCATCCCCTCTTCTCTTGGGACAGGAAGATGCTGCTAAGTCTGATGCTGCAGAAAGCTGATGATTTCTTTTCTGCAGGGTGACTGGGGCCATGTGGAGCATTTGTGACCACAATAAAGAGATTGAAGATTAAAGGAGGATGATTAGGCAGAATTCCCATGGCAAAGTGGTGTGGTAATTTAGCCAAGTCATGGCTCAGGCATGCAGAAGGGTGTGAAGCCACTGTGGTGTAAGCATCAGGGGCAAGAGCAGCAGAAGAGAGAGCACTTGTCTGGGCTAGTCCCACTGTGTGAGAAGAATTGATGATGATGAAATTTTGTTCTTACTCCAACGTGGCTGCAGCTCTGCCATAAGCTCTTCCCAGAATCCTTTTGACTGTTAACAGTTCTATCTTCCTCACTAAGCATTCGTCAGGAAGATAAATGAATAAGTGAATCAATGAACTAGGCAACCAGTGGAGAAAACTCTTACTTGATTTCCAACCCCTCGATCATATCTTCTTGTTTCTTGACTACACCAAGATTTTGCTAGGTGGACATGACAAGTAGGTGTATTATGCAAGCATCAACTGCCCCCACTTATGGGACCAGGCAATAAACCACAGAGGACTGGGGACAGCACCCCTCCCCAGTCCCAGATAATCTCCACCAAAGCCCTTACACCATCCCCTAGTAGCCTCTACTACTCTCGCTGTGCTTTACTGGCAAAGACCTCAGAAGGATTACTTTCCTTACTCAATCCCTCATGAAAGCTCCCTGGCATTACCTGATTTTCTCTCCCTGCTCTCTCTGCCTGCTTTCTCATCCCTGCCAGATGCCTGGATCTGGCATCCTACTATGCCTGACAGCTAAGGGAATAAGACACAGGCATGAGCTTCTTGGGGACAGTGGGCCATCTGCTCCTCTGGGGAGTCTTTGAATTGACACCTACAAAGAATGGACTGGGCACTGACCTACCTGGGTCAGAAGCAGGGCAAGATGATCTTTAGAAGCCCTGATGAATCTGCTTCTGACCAATCACTGCTTTCAACTTGCCTGCTGCTCCCGGTACACATGACCACATTCAGCTTCCCTGCTGGTGACAGCTGGGGCTCTTGGGCTGTGCCTCAAGTCCCACCTCTCAGTTTGGCCTGGAAACTTTAGCATCCAGATATTTCTGGAGAAACTAAAGCAGTTCCTCTGTTATTTCTGCATGTAAACTCTTCAAGATACCAGCAGCCATCTCCCAAACCTCCTGAAATTATCACAGCCCACCACTGGTTCATCTACCAACACCATCTTCCTGCCCCATACTCTGTAAGGCTCTAGAATTTTCACACATTATTCTTTTTTATTTCCAAGAGCCAACAAGTTGCAAATAAGTTCTAAATCCCAAAAGAATACTGCTCAGGGGGCATGGACTTGTGGAGGTGAAACATCATCCAGTTCAGTCACCTACTGGGGTCCCAGCACTATGGCAGGGCTCATGGGAGAATCAGAAGGAGAAATCAAGGACTCTTCCCTCAGAGAATTCGTCATCTAATTCAGAGGCAAGAATTATACATAGGCAACAACAGAGAGTGCTAAAGAGCCACAAGAAATAAAAGCCTAGTTATATGTTTTAGAATCTCAGTCTACCACAGGCATTGGAGCTAGAGAGAGCCAGTCAGTCTCACATTTAAAGAACACCTACCTTGAGGACGACAAAGAGAGCTTATAGGAGACAGAGAGAGAAAGGAGGAGAAATCTTTCCTTCATAGTGAGGAAGAAAAATGTGGTCTGGAGGCAGGGAACATAAGGCCGATTCCCACTTCAGCTATGAGAGGAAATATTCTCTCCATAGTGCATACACCAAGTAAATGACTTTGTAACTTTACTTCATCCTCTTCATTTACATAGGGTGTACCCCAAGTAGAGGTTATTAAACTCCCAAAAAATCTGTAACAGGGCCCTTGAGCCCCTATGTTCAGGCCCGCTCCACACTATGGAGTGTTCTTTCATTTTCAATAAATCCCTTTGTTCCTTCCTTGCTTTGTTTGTGCATTTTGTCCAATTCTTTGTTCAAGATGACAAGAACCTGGACACCCTCCACTGTTAACAATAGAGCTCAAGTCCAGTGAGATGGACAGGCAGAGACCCAGCCATCTATAAGAATACAAAATAGAGCATTATAAACACCATGAAATGACTGCAGAGGATGCAGGAAGAAAGAGGAGAGTCTGACTAGGAAGACTCAGAAGTGTTTTCATAGAAAAGGTAAGTATTTAGATGTGTTTACATGGCTAGAATTTAGATAGAAGATAGGGAGAGTAGGATCCAGGAAGAAGAAGCCAAGTGAATAAAAACAGAAACAGGAAGTGGAGGGTTGACTTAGAGAACATCAAGAAGTCCAGTGTGGTTGGAAAGAAGAATACATCACTGAAAAAAATCTGCTTGCCATGGAAGGCCTTGAATAGCATGTTAAAGTTTTGGGGCTTGATTCTTATGGAAAATTATAACCCTTTATTCTTAAAGGACACGATAACCCTTCTTGAGAAGAGAGAATTCCTCTGAGAATAGTGTGGAAAATAAATTAGAAAGGAAGATTAGAGGCAGGAAGATCTATTGATACTTACACAAAAGTCCAAGCAAATAGTAACCAGGACCTCTCCTGAGAGATGGCAGGAATAAAGATGACGAGGGGAGAGAGAAATGAAACAAGTTTTTACAGAATCTCAGAGCACGAGAGACCTCTGGAGACAAAGACTTTCAGAGGCGGAAGTCATCCAGTTCATCCAGCTGTGACTTCAAACCTCTTCCTCATTTTATAGATAAGGGGGGAAATAAAGTCACAATGTGGAAGTGTCTTTCCCAAGTTCACTTGAAAGTGAATTCAGGGCCCTGGAGAGAAGCCAGGGCTTCCAAGTCTCAATTCAAGGGATCTCTGGTGCACCAGGGTGAGGAAAGGCCAGGAAGGGCTACAAAGAAAATCAGCAGGAGACCTGACTGTTCTTGAAAGGGGAACAGGCAAATGCCTGAACATTGGCTTCCACATACCATCATCCCTAAATTCACCTCTTCCCTTCCTGATGGAATTGACCAGGGGAGGGGTGGCAGTGAGAGAACTGAAAACACTGATGGCACCCCAAAGGAATTGCTAAGAATCCCTAAAATACAATGGGAACATCACAGATTACAAAGCTATTTACCTATCTTCCCTACCCCATTTCCTCCACTCCCACTTTACCTCAAGACATATGCATTCCTTTAGTCAACAAACCTTTATCAGGTGCCTACTACTGTGGGTTTTCTGGCAGCTGCTGGATCATAAGGTTGTGCAAGACCTTTGGGAGATTCAGAGCCACAGTTCAACTCCACAGCCCTTGCCTCTGCCCAGCTGTGTCTTGGCCAGGCAGGTTTAGCCTGTTGGTATCCTCAAGTCAAGGCTTTTAAACCAACCACCCTGCTCCAGAAATTTCTTTTAAAAAAACTCAAAACAGTTTGGCAGTTCCTCAAAAAGTTAAACACGGAGTTACCATGTGACCCAACTCCACCCCTAGGTGCATGGCCTAGTTGCAGAGGACTAAAAACATACATCCGCACAAAAAGTTGTCCATGAATGTTCACAGCAGCATTATTCAAATAGCCAAAAGGAGGAAACAGCCCAAATGGCCACCAATGGATGAATGGATAAGCAAAATGTGACACATTGTCTATTCTTATAATGGACTATTATTCAGACTTAAAGGAAAAGAAGTGCTAAAACCTGCTTCAACATATATGAACCTTAAAAATATTATGTTATGTGAAATAAGCTAGTCCAAAAAAAGGCCACATATTATATGATTTCATTTGCATGAAATATCCAGAATAGGTAAATCCATAGAGACAGAAAACAGATTAGTGGCTGCCAGGGGCTGGAAGAGGGCAGAATGGCAGATTACTGCTAATGGGGACAGAATTTCTTACAGGGGGATCTTGGCAATGGCTGAACAATACTAGATAACATTGAATCGTACACTTTAAATGGGTGAATTGCATGGTATGTGAATTATATCTCAATAAAGCTCTTTAACAAAAAGTAAAAGAAGAAACTCAGAAACCTGACCTGAATGATCCAAATTCTGCCATGGTCAGCCACTTTGAAGATCTCAGATTTGGTCTGTAGCCTTATTAACCATGTGCTAGGAATTACCTAAAATTCCATGGGCTGTGTTAGCAGTGATTTCTGACATTTTCTAGTTCCTTTTATCGTGGGGAAGATAGGGCCTGTGATGTTGGGGAGAGGAGCAATGCTGGCTCTTGTATCCAAAAACAAAAGCCTACAGTAGAAGAAAAGGCTGGGCTGCAAGCTGGGGAGGGGGAGCACAGCTCCACGCTGAAACCTGTGCACTCAATCCCCAGGAAACCTAGGCTTCCTTCCTTCAGCTCAGAACACATTTTCTGACGGAGTAAAAATATCGCTGATATCAGCGTCACCTTCAGAAACCACTGACTCCCACAGATGTTATTAAAAGCGAAATGGCCTATAATTAACAGGGCAGTAATTCACCTACAAGAAAAGATTTTTAAATGGGAACTTATTTGTGCAGTTGATAATAAATTACCTTTCAATATCAAGAGATCTCAAAGAGTTTTATGTCTATTAATTAGTTGTGCTCCTCTCCAGGGGAAGGTGTTCATTTGCCCCATCTGCAGTTTATCCACCTGCTTAATGCCAAAGGGCTAATCAAGAAAAAAGTGCCTGCCCCAGCGTTACACAGGGGTCTTCCCTTATAATAAAATAGCCATCCTCTGGATCCTGTAGGATTCATCTCAATAGAAACCCAACATCTCAAAAGAAGGAAAAAGGAAGTCTGAGAGTTTCATGATAATTATCCTTAATGATTTGGCCAAAATATGACAAGGAGACTCCCTGAAAACTCTATTAGCTCAAAACAGTACCTGTCACACCCACTAGGCACATCTGCATCCTAAGAGAAATGGACAGCAAAGGCTTACAGTAGGATCAAGAACTGCAGGGAATGTGCAACAAGTGGAACTTCTTCAGTCTCATGTCAAACCAGTGCCCAGAGCTGTCAATTGTAAAGAGAGAAGGGTATTTTTTTTCTCCGTGGGTTTTGTTTCTGTAAATAGAAGCATCTGTCTTATCTCCCCAAATAGATTACAAAGTCCTTTAGTGTTGAAATCATCTAAGTTCTGGAGAAGCATAAGAAAATAATAAATATTTGACTGGTTAAGGGTCAGGAGATTCTCATTTCAAGGTCAGATTCCTTCACAGTATGTCATAAGGAAGTTACCCTGGTCTTACTCACTTCAGTCTATGTGGAAAGTTATTTCTCTCATTGGGGAGGGAGTAATCACCAGTCCTGTTCCAAAAGAGGCAACATAACATAGGGATTGCAAACAAGGGCTTTGGAATCAGGAAGACATGGGTTCAAGCCTCAGCTCAGCCAGTTGCAAGTTGTGTGACCTTGAGCAAGTTATTTATCCTTTTCTGAGCCCCAGTATCTTTGTTTGAAAAATGAAGACAATATTCTCTGCCTCATGGAGTTTTTGTGGGAATTAAACAAGATAATAAGTTTATAGATTTGGAATATTAGACCTTTGTCAGGTGCATAAGATGCAGCTGGAGGCCATTATCCTAGCAAATCAGTACAGGAGCAGAAAACCAAATACCACATATTCTCACATATAAGTGGGAGCTAAACATTGGGTACTCTGGAACATAATGATGACAACAATAGACACTGGGGACTACTAGAAGGGGGAAGAAGGGGAGAAACGATTGAAAAACTATTGGGTGCTATGCTCACTATCTGGGCAATGGGATTATTCATATCCCAAAGCTCAATGACAAGCAGTATACCCATGTAATAAACCTTCACATATACCCATGGAATATGAAATAAAAATTGAAATTATTTTTAAGGAGATAATATATATAAAATGCTTAATGCAGAGCCTAGCACACAATAAGATTTCAATAAATTGTAGCTTAAAAACATCTTGCCTTTGAGACCAAAGGTCACACTACAACATGACTGCATTTAAGCTGCAAAACACACTGAAAAATAATTTTTTAAAATAGTGTAGGTCCTCATGAAATTTATAAATGTTAATGAAGAAACAGGATACCCATAATTGACTTCTCCATTTTCCACAGAGAAAGACTGAGAAGCACAAATTCTGAGGCCTTTATCGAATATCTGAATAGAGCAATGTTTAAATATTACCTCTAAAGCCACTGTTAACCTTAAGATTGGCATGACAGAATCTCAGAATGCCAACACCAAAATAAAGCTCCAACCCTCTCCTTTTACAGATAAAGAAACAAAGGTCACATTTCATGATTCCTTCAAAGGTGTTTTATTTCAATCCCAGTGGCATTGAAAGTTCTTTAAGGACAAAGACTACATTTTATCTCAGTGCCCACAAAAGGGCGCCCTCTGTATGGTCACAAATACTAATTGATTAACTGATTGGCTGATCAACATAGTTCTCTGCCTATTCTATCGGAGTGTATTAAGTGTTAAATGAATGCACACATAGCGGATCCTACTCTTAAGAACATAATCTTTCTCTCACTGCAACATCAAACAAACAGAACTGCCTGTCTAACCAAAAGAAACAGTTGCTAGAGAGCCATGGAACACGCCAAGAGAAAGGGGACACAGCATTGTTGTTCTGTTTCCTGATGGCTATTGTCTTCAACCCCTGCCCATCCCACCCCTACTCCTCTTATTTGCCTCTGGGGACAACCAAATCTTCTCTAGGTCTTTTATTCTAACAGGTGAGAAGAGACATAACTGAAGAGCACTAAGTAGAGATGCAAAAGTATAAGGAGAACCTTAATGTGACCCAGCCCTCAGAATTTATGAATAGACTTAAGAAAGTCCTGACTTGTGCTGGGAGACCCCAAACAGCCAAGGATGCAAGCTGGAGGGATGATAACAAGACTACAAAAGGCAGAGACCCTGGGAAATGCCAATAGAAGCACTAGATCTTAGACCCAGCAGTCCCCCTTCAGAAGTTACATTTCTTCAGTGTACCATAGTTCTACTAGTTATCTAGACTTAAAGACTTGGAATCTCACCTAATGTTCCCACTTTCCCTGCCCCTCTTCTAATCTGTCCCCAGACCTCATCCCTTTATCCCTGCTATTATCCATCTACCTTCCTATAGTTTTGAACTACTGCGTCCAGGTCGAAGTCCTTGTCACTTCTCACCCATGCCATATAATAGACTCCTAACTGGTCTCACTGCCCAGTACTCCTCTGTCCAATTTATCTTGTACACCACAGTTTAGGGTGACCAACTCGGTCCAGATTGCCCAGAATTATCCCACTGAAAGTCTCATGTCCTGGGAAACTCCTTAGTGCCAGACAAACTGAGACATCTGACCAACTACAACAGAGCCATTAGATTCTTCCTCTAAATAATGCTTTGATTATGTCACTTTTCCTAGCCAAAACCCTACTTCTGCTTTCTCATTAAAATAAACCCTAAAGTAGGCCCCAAATCTGCCTCAGAGAATGTCTCAGAAAGCATATCGGTCTGGAGTGAGGAAACAAGTAAACCAGGCCTGGCTTTAGTCATAGCCCGTGAAACCCTTGGCAAATACAGTCAATCTAGCTGAACCTCAGTTTCCTCATCTGTAAAATTAAGAGGCTAGATTTCCCTTTCAGTTCCAAAATTTTCTAAGTCTACTCTTTTAAATCCCTCTGCTCTTTTAAATCCCTCTGCTCAACACAGACTTACCAGCTCACTCGAATCCAAACTCTCACCTTAGTACCTTTGATTCTTCCCTTCTCCCCACTCAGAAGTTCTTTGCTTTCTTCTCTGCCCACCTGAATCCTTTCAGGAACAACATGAAGCTCACCTCCTAAGGGACGTCCAGGCCCAGCCATGAGGACTCCACATGCGCCTAGGTTTCTAATACTCAGCACTTAGCATGTCCTATCCCTGGAGTTCAAAATATTTTTCTATGTGAAGCTTCTTTATTCCAACTAAACTAAAATCTTTCTGCACTGTTGTGATTCCCTTGTAGAATCCTGAACACATAGTAAGTAATAGTTAGTGTTATTAATAATAATGGATTGGCTGATGGATACATAGGAAAAAGTCCAAACAGGGATCTAGATGTGAGACAAACGTAGAAATACAGGTGAGTCTACAGCTTTTTGCACCTTACATACAATTCTTCAGTGCTTCCATAATCCAATAATTCCTTTACCCCAAAAATATTCACTAAGAATTTCCCATGCTCAAGACACTGTGCTGGCATCCAAGGGCACGGAGATGGGAAGTGAACAGAAGCTGGGGTCTCTAGCAGCATTTCTCTCTCACAGATATCATAAACTTCCATGATGTCCCTCAATTCAAACTTTTTAGTAGTAAGTCTTAGAAGGCTTAAGTGGTAGAAGTTGCACCATTGGAGCCCCTCATCCCCAAAACTGACCATGTATCTACTTCTCCCAACTAGCCTGTGGAGCTGTTAAATGAAAAAATAATAGTAATTCAAAATAAGTTAATAGGTTAATAGCCAAATATCTACCAGCACAAGAAAAAGGTTAGTCTAAAAGAAACCTCTTCCAGGAACTATATTCTGGCCAAATAAATAGAATCTCTAGTTCCAACTTTGACATATGTTTGTAAGTGACCACATAGATAGCATTCTTCAGTATGAGCTGACTGTTGCCCTCTATTAGTATTGGCAAGTGACATATATTAAGGATGAACTCAGCCAACACCTCTGTCTTTTGGGACCCTCACAGCACAAATACATACACATACACACACATTCTCTTAATTAAATGGGACTGGGACTTAAACAGCGTCACCTACTGTAGTGACAAACAGGTTCATGAGCAAGTGGGGGAAGTAAATAAACCAAACAGTTTGCAGAGGGAGAGGTCAAGCTGGGCTGAGCTGGGCTGGGACCAGAGTGATTCAGGCTTTGCCACAGAATGGGTGTCTCCTGGGATGGCCTGGTAGGATAATTAAAACCCCTATAAATAGGATGAGTTTTTAGGTCCCCAGTATCCTCTCTGACTCCTGAATCTTCTGCTCCTTCCTCCTCAAGCAGGTAAGACATGCATAGGGGAGCATTGGTAGTATCTACAAGGCTCTCAAGAGCCCTATAATGCACCAGGCTGGGGAGGTCTGAGACTTAATTCCTGTGGGTAACAGCTTTGGTTACCTTCTGCTTCCTTTTTCTGGCTCTATCTGAGAATATGACAATAGCTGGGGTGGACTACTTCTGTGTCTGTAAAATGCAAATGCCTTCACTTCAATGTGTCCTAGGCATCCCAAAACTGAGGGCTAGAACAATTGATGAATAGCTTAGTCTCCCATAGTGGAGCATTTACTTTTTGTGCAAGTTAGGAAAGACCGAATAGTTTAGGGCCAAGGCTCTGGACCATGGGCCCAGCAATGCTCAAGTCTCATTGCATTGAATTACAACAAGGGACTCAGCTTGTCCCATGTGATCCATTATTTGTCACTTATTTTCTTATAGACATCACTGTTTGTATGCTTTTGGCAATTCAACATGCTCTGCAGATAGGGCTTCAGTTTGGAGGCCTATAAACCCACTAACTGGAATTTTCATTCCACAAGAAAAAAAATGTAATTGAGATTTAGATCCCAAAAGACCCAAGTCTCCCAGCATGGCCAATGTGGACCTAACTGATTATATATACCTCCTATAATCTGTGCCCTTAATTTGGCTATGTACCCACTTGCTATTTTTATCTGTAACAGCTTTTATATTCATTGATTTCATTTTATAAGCATGTCCCAAAACCATCCAGGCCAGAAGCATTTGCTGGAATTTAGCCTCCCAGAAAGCTTCCTTAGACCGTGAAGAGAGACTTTCAGCCTTCTTCCTTGCTTAAGAAAGGCTCATTACAAGACTGAAACCTGTTCAGTGGGATCTATTTAGTGCCCCCTCCAGTTTGCTAGTTGTTAGTCGAAAATTATGCCCTACTATGCTGGCTTCTATTCCTGCCTCTATTGGGCTTCCTGGCCTCCCCTCCTTTTGTTCTAATATGAGATTTTCAATCAGGTGAATCCTGTCTGGAGTAGAGGATGGGATATGTAAAACACCTGCAATGCATTTTTTGTTTTTTAAGAAATTGTCTCTTTTTATAGCAAGGGAACCAAGTTTGCACCATCTCCCACTATAGCAATGAGATTTGGTCCCCGACTGTGAGTCAGGGCAAGGAAGGGGTACAGCTAAGAAGGGGCTCTCTCACTTCTTAAACTTTCTCCCAGATCCAGAGGGGTCACTTTCCCTCTGGAAATGCTGTCTCGTGGTCATTATCCTAACGGCAGGAGAAATCTTGTTTCTTCTTTTAGGTTCACCCGTACTTGTCAAAATGGCTCAACTCCTGAATAGCATACTCAGTGTGATTGACGTATTCCACAAATATGCCAAAGGGAATGGGGACTGTGCCTTACTATGCAAGGAAGAGTTGAAACAACTGCTCTTGGCTGAGTTTGGAGACATCCTCCAGGTAAGATACACAGACACACAGCCCCATGAGATCAAGTGTGAATGACTCTGACACCTGCACCAGGGTTGGATGCTTTGTTTTATTTGGGCTTGCTCTGCCCTGTAAGAAAAGGAATTTCAGGCAGCTCCTTAGTAGTTCTCTCCCAGCATACACACACACACACACACACACACACACACACACACACACACACCTCCTTGTATCTGAATTTGAACAGGAGAGAGTATAACTTCAAGGTAACAGGGAATAATTTCTCAGAAGAAAACCTAAGATTCATACTTTGATTTCTATATTTAGTGCTATCCACACATCTTTTAATGTATTCATTTAGTGCTATCCACACATCTTTTCATGTATTCATTCATTCAACCAATAAAGAGTCACTGAGCACCTGCTCTATGCCCCTAGGCACAAGGGATACAAACATGAATAAAATCAGCTCCCCCTCCCTCTAGGATCTCACAGTGCAGTGAAAAACAAAAGGGGCTAAACAACTAGGATATAGCCTGTGATGGAATGGGATAACTTTGAAATGAATCAAATTAATTACTAATGGAGATGATTTTAAATAAATGTATCTACTCCCTATGGTCATGCTCCCATTGATCCAGCAAGGTTCTGAGAACCAGCTGATCAAAGACTAGCGCCAAGTCCACACCACTTCAGATTAATGGTTTTTCAACCTAGGAAGGTCCGTGCAGCACCGAATGGATTGGGGCATGAACACTGATACACATCTTAGTATGCACAAGACAGCATCTGATTTTGCTCTTTGTTTTATCTCCTAACAGAGACCAAATGACCCAGAGACTGTGGAAACCATCTTGAACCTCTTAGATCAAGACCGAGATGGACATATTGATTTTCATGAGTACCTCTTGTTGGTGTTCCAGTTGGTCCAAGCCTGCTATCATAAGCTAGACAATAAGTCACATGGAGGCAGGACCTCACAGCAAGAAAGGGGGCAGGAAGGAGCACAAGACTGTAAGTTCCCAGGAAACACAGGCAGACAACACAGACAGAGGCACGAGGAAGAAAGGCAGAACTCCCACCACAGTCAGCCTGAGAGACAAGACGGAGATTCCCACCATGGTCAGCCTGAGAGACAAGACAGAGATTCCCACCATGGTCAGTCTGAGAAACAAGACAGAGATTCCCACCACAGTCAGCCTGAGAGACAAGACAGAGATTCTCACCACAATCAGTCTGAGAGACAAGACAAGGATTTCAGCTTTGATCAGTCAGAGAGACAAAGTCAAGACTCCAGCTCTGGTAAAAAAGTGAGTCACAAATCTACCAGTGGCCAGGCTAAATGGCAGGGACATATCTTTGCCTTAAATCGGTGTGAAAAACCAATTCAGGATTCTCATTATGGTCAGTCTGAAAGACATACACAACAATCTGAAACACTTGGACAAGCCTCTCACTTTAACCAGACAAATCAACAGAAATCAGGCTCTTATTGTGGACAGTCTGAGAGGCTAGGTCAGGAATTAGGCTGTGGTCAGACAGACAGACAAGGCCAGAGTTCCCACTACGGTCAGACGGACAGACAAGACCAGAGTTATCATTATGGTCAGACAGACAGACAAGGCCAGAGTTCCCACTACAGTCAGACGGACAGACAAGGCCAGAGTTCCCACTACAGTCAGCCAGACAGACAAGGTCAGAGTTCCCACTATGGTCAAATGGACAGAAAAGGCCAGTGTTATCATTATGATCAGACAAACAGACAAGGCCAGGGTTCCCACTACAGTCAACCAAACAGACAAGGTCAGAGTTCCCACTATGGTCAGCCAGACACACAAGATCAGAGTTCTCACTATGGTCAGACAGACAGACAAGACCAAAGTTCTCACTATGGTCAGACAGAGAGACAAGGCCAGAGTTCCCACTACAGTCAGATGGACCGACAAGGCCAGGGTTCTCACTACGGTCAGACAGACAGACAAGGCCAGAGTTCCCACTATGGTCAGCCAGACAGACAAGGCCAGAATTCCCACTATGGTCAGACAGACAGACAAGGCCAGAGTTCCCACTATGGTCAGACAGACAGACAAGGCCAGAGTTCCCACTACAGTCAGCCAGACAAACAAGGCCAGAGTTCCCACTATGGTAAGATAGACAGACAAGACCAGAGTTATCATTATGGTCAGCCAGACGGACAAGGCCAAAGTTCCCACTATGGTCAGACAGACAGACAAGGCCAGAGTTTCCACTATGGTCAGCCAGACAGACAAGGCCAGAGTTCCCACTACAGTCAGATGGACAGACAAGGCCAGAGTTCCCACTATGGTCAGACAGACAGACAAGGCCAGAGTTCCCACTACGGTCAGACAGACAGACAAGGCCAGAGCTATCATTATGGTCAGACAGACAGACAAGGCCAGAGTTCCCACTATATTCAATCACAGACTGGGGAAATACAAGGGCAAAATAAGTACTTCCAAGGGACTGAAGGAACAAGAAAAGCCTCTTATGTTGAACAATCAGGAAGATCAGGGAGGCTAAGTCAACAGACTCCAGGACAGGAAGGGTACCAAAACCAGGGACAGGGATTCCAGTCTAGGGACTCACAGCAGAACGGCCACCAGGTATGGGAGCCTGAAGAGGATAGCCAACATCACCAACACAAACTCTTAGCACAAATCCAACAAGAAAGACCACTTTGTCACAAAGGGAGAGACTGGCAATCATGCAGTAGTGAGCAGGGCCACAGACAGGCCCAGACCAGGCAGAGTCATGGTGAGGGGCTGAGCCACTGGGCAGAGGAAGAGCAGGGCCATCAAACTTGGGATAGACACAGCCATGAGAGTCAGGAAGGTCCATGTGGGACACAGGACAGGCGAACCCATAAAGATGAGCAGAACCATCAGAGACGAGACAGACAAACCCATGAACATGAGCAGAGCCATCAGAGACGAGACAGGCAAACCCATGAAGACAAGCAGAACCGTCAGAGACGAGACAGGCAAACCCATGAAGACGAGCAGAACCATCAGAGATGAGACAGGCAAACTCATGAAGAGGATCAAAACCATCAGCAACAACATAATAGACAAAACTATGAGGAGAAAGAGAGGTATCAAGGATCTCAGAATCAAAAATCCCAAGTGACCCACAGAAGCTGTCCTAACAGAGAAAAATTCCACATGAAAGAGGATGACCAGAGCCAAGGCTCACAGAAAAGACACACTGAACCATCCTTCTATCCAACCCAGAGCAGTGGGAGGCCCCAAACCAGAGAACAGCGTGGTCACCCTGCCAAGGGAGCTACTGTTCCCAACCCCCCCTATGACTATGTGCAAGAGCAGAAATCCTACCCATACTAGGCTATGTGAGCACCAGAGGTAAAGCAACACAAAGCCAAAAAAGAAACCTATATGTCGAGTTCACCTTTAATTCGATTTAAGAGATTGAGAATGTATTTCTTCCCTCTATCCTCTGCTGTATCTCCCTGCAAGGATGTTTTTGAGTACTAGCATTCACGTAAGGGCTTTTGGTTCTTTGAGCAGCAATTCTAGGGTTTTCTGATTCAGTGAAATCTAGGTGGTAAATTGGGTGAAATAATCATATCTTAATG
Source organism: Homo sapiens (assembly GCF_000001405.40). Classification (NCBI taxonomy): domain Eukaryota; kingdom Metazoa; phylum Chordata; class Mammalia; order Primates; family Hominidae; genus Homo; species Homo sapiens. Next base: position 152,154,168 of record NC_000001.11, on the reverse strand, counting down.
TTGATCAGTTTGGGTATTTAAATCATTTCCTGCTTTGCCCTCTGTGTAGATGAGACCTGGTTGAATCATTGAAAGGTAGAACACTTCTCCCTAAAGTTCAGAAACAGAAAAGATATTCTGAAGATTTACATTACATCCAAGGATTATACTACATCTCCACTCCTCAAGGAACCCTAGATTTGGTGAGCTTTGGCTCCTGTGGATAAAACATCAGGAATTTCAAGCCTCATAGTCTAGACTAGAATGAAACTCAGTTCAAGGCTGCTACAAGAGCCGAGAACATAGAGTGCATCTCTGATGTTTACTACATCTCCCATGCCAGGCTCTTATTCCACACCAGAGGGACTGTCCATTAGTGCCTATCACTAGAGCTGAATGGACCCATTCCAATTCAATACCTTTCTAGTTTCTGATTATATAAAATAAAGAGAAAGTATATGTCATATGTTTGCAAATTCCAGGGGATCAAGACTATTGATTCATAGCTCCTAAGACCTGAAAACTCTTCTCAAGAAAATCTATGTGCAGATTATGAATTGTATTAAAATATCTAATAAATAATTGATGAGCAATAACTGTCATGACTCCTTTCTTCACTGTGGGGTTGTACTATTTTCACTTTTGAGCCATTTTCCAAAAATAACACCTTATTTCTTGACTTCTAAAATGTCTTTGTTCCCTGAGTTCCTGGGCACTGAAAAAAAATAAGAATCAATACAAAACAAATAATAAAGAGTCTAAATGAAACTTATCTAAATATAATTTTCAGCTCCTCCTCCCTCTACTGAGTCATATTTTACCTTTACCACTCCCTCACCACCACATTCAAATTGTCATTGAGTCTTCCCAACTCTACATCCCCATAACTTTTGAATCTCTTCTCACGTCTCCATCTCCACTGCCTTAATGGCCCTTCTCCTCAGTGGCTCCCCAGTGACTTGAGAAAAAAATTTACATCCCTCAGTGTGGCACATAGGCCTCACTATCTGATCAGATGACCTACCCAGCCTACTCACATGACAGGCCCCTCCCAGGAGCATCCAATGCTCCAGCCACACCAAGGACTTGGCCTTTTCTTGGTACACTTGATCTTTCATGAATTCATATCTTTGAATATGCCATCCCATCAGCATGGAATACCTCCCCGCTGTTTTCTGCCTGACAAAAACCTAGGCATCCTCTGGATCCCAACTAAAACATCACCTCTTCTAAGCAGCCTTTCTGGACACTCCAAACTCTGCTTTCTCTAAGTTCACACTCACTTCTGTTATATCATTTGGCCCACACTCTATGGTAATTTTCTCTCCTGGAAAACTAGGAATAAGACCATATCTTACTCAACCTTGTACTGCTCAGCACTTAATACAGCCAGTGATGTCTAGTGGTACCCATTGTTTTTGAATAAGTGGACAGATGGAGGAAATAAGTCTGGCTTTGTAATAAATTCAACTGGACATTAATTGGACATCTACTGCATATAAAACAAAGGGACAAACAAGAGAGACTGAATTAACGCCTCATTTAGTTATGGCTCAAGGAATGAAACAGTAACATTTTTAGGTCTTTTAAACAATAAGGGCTTTACTGCCTAGAACAATAAGGGCTGAATTATTAGAAATTAGAAATCAATCCCTGGGACTATTGAGTTCAATACATCACCAGACTTGCAATCCAAAAATCAGAAACATGTGATTCAGAAGTCTCTGACATTGCTGCCAAAATTGTCTATCAACATGTCTCTATAACCTTATCTGCAAAAAAAAAAAATAGCCAAAATCTTGGTATGATTGTCTCTAACTCACTTTCACCTTCCAAATATCATGCAAATATGCCTAATTTGAAAAACTTTAATTCACATCTAGAACTCTAGCTGCAAAGAAGTCTAGGAAATATAGAAGGAGACAGGAATGGATGCTGAGGGCCATCAGATTGTATTTACCATAGGAAGAATATAATAACTCATAACAACAGCTGCTTTCCTGAAGGAAATAAAAATACAGTAAGACAAATATATACAGCAAACAACCATTATGCAAGGCACAAAGTCATAAGTACAAAAAAATTACTGTTATGACACCAAGGGAGTAAGTAGCTATACCTAGAAGGACTGAGAAAGAGTCCTAAGACGGACTTAGAAGAAAGGCATCTAAGCTAGGACTGTGATCCTGGGGGAGAGAGAAATGCAAAGGGCCATGGCTTGTCCTGGGCCTCAAGATCAACAGGAACGCCCATATGTTGGCTGCTGTTTATATGACATATGTGTTCATGTGTAAGATGAGTCTCCTTCACAAATATTCTCTATAATTTAAACTCTCTCCAGCAAACTAAATGAGAAGGTGGAGAATCAGGGTGAAAGAATTCAAAATCTGGAAGCTGCTCAACATTCAGTGCATCATCTACATGCTAAATCCTTTTTTTTTTTTTCTATCTCAAAATACAAAACAGCCCAAATCCATGATTCTTTTCATCTCTACTCCTGTCATCCCAGTCCAGGTCACCTCTCCTAGAACACAGCTTCCTGATGGGACTCCCCATCCCTTTCAAAAAGGTAGACCACATTGTGCCACTCCCTACATGAAATTCCCAGTAGTTTCCCTCCACATTGAGAATAAAATCCAGCTTTGTTCTCAGGACCTTCCTATAGGATGGGGCCCTGCAAAGTCTCATCTTTCACCATTGTCCTCTGCATCACTGTTTTCTAATCACTCTGGCCTTCTTTCCATGATTCTAGCAGGACAAGCTGATCCCCACCGGGAGACCTTTGAACCAGCTATTTCTTTTGATCAGAATAGTCTTCTTCTCGATCTTGGTGTGGCTCAATCCTTATTTCATTCAGGTCTCAGTTAAAAAGTCACCTCGTGACAGAAGCTTTCTCTGGCATTTATTTTAAAAAAGTATCACCCCAATCAGCCTCTACCATATATTCCTCATTTGTGCTGCCAATGTTCTTAACACTTTTCATGTTTGATACCTTGTTTTTATGCTACTCATTTATTATCTTTTTCTCCCTACTGGAATGTAAGGCCCATAAGAACAAGGATTTTGTTTGTCTTGTTTGCTGCTGTTCTCTTGCATTTCGGACAATAGCTTGTCATGATGTACATCCAATAAATAAGTGTTGGTTGAATGCTCATAGAAGCCCTCCATGATCTGGCTTCAGTGTACATTTCCAACTCAGTTTCCAACAATGCCCCTAGACTCCAACTTAACAGGACAACTTCCTAGCCTCCACGTCATTGCTTATACAATTTCTTCCACTTAAACGCTGTCCTGATCTTTGTCTGCCAAAATCCTACCCATTCTTGGGACTGGCACCACCTTCTGCACCTATCATCAGCATACAGCTTATCAGATTGCATTGAAGTAAATTTTAAACCCATGTGTTTCCCACCAAGCAGTAAGGTCCCAGAAGTCAGAAATTGCATCTTATTCACAGTTGTATATTTCACATCGAGCACAGTGACTGACCAATTACATACATGAAGCTGAGATTTAAAATTTTTAAAAGACTTATATTTAAAACCTGCCTTCACCACTTACCAATTTTATGATCTTAAAAAAAATTGTCTCTTTAAGTCTCAGTTTTTGCATCTGTAAAATGGGGTTTAAAAATCCAGTTTAAAAAACAAAAATTAACAAGTGGAACCTAATCAAACTAAAGAGCTTCTGCACAGCAAAAGAAGCCACAGACAGAGTAAATGGAAAACCTACAAAATGGGAGAAAATGTTTGCAAACTATTAATCCAACAAAGGTCCAATATTCAATATCTATAAGGAACTTAAATCAACAAGAGAAAAACAAATAACCCTATTAAAAAATGGGCAAAGGACTTGAGAAACACTTTTCAAAAGAAAACATACAAGCAGCCAGCCAACAAACATGAAAAAATGCTCATCATTAATCATCAGAGAAATGCAAATCAAAACCACAATAAGATACAATCTCACACCAGTCAGAATGGCTATTATTAAAAAGTCAACAAATAACTGATGCTGGCAAGGCTGTGGAGAAAAGAGAATACTTATACACTGTTGTTGGAATATAAATTAATTCAACCACCATGGTAAGCAGTTTGAAGATTTCTCAAAGAACTTAAAACAGAGCTATATCCCATTACTGGGTACATACCCAAAAGAAAATAAAGACTTCTACCAAAAAGACACATGCACTTATATGTTTATTGCAGCATTATTCACAATAGCAAAGACATGGAATCAACCTAGATTCCTATCAATGGTGGATTGGATAAAGAAAATATAGTACATATACACCATGGAATACTACACAGCCATAAAAAACGAACAAAATCATGTCCTTTGCAGCAATATGGATGCAGCTACAGGCCATTATTCTAAGCAAATTAATGCAGAAACAGAAAACAAAATACCACATGTTCTCACTTATAAGTGGGAGCTAAACACTGAGTACACATGGACATAAAGATGGGAACAATATACACTGGGGACCACTAGAGTGGGGAAGGAGGGAAATGAGTGTACATTGAAAAACTTCCTATTGGGTACTAAGCTCAACACCTGGATGATGGGATTCATACCCCAAACCTCACTGTCACGCAATATGTCTATGTAACAAACTTACACATGTACCCTCTAAAGCTAAAAATAAAAGCTGAAGAAAAAATTCCAAAGTTTAAAAATTCTAAAGTTTCTTAGAGATAAATACAGATGATATATACAAAAGTGATTTATAATCTGATCTCTCCTTGTTCATTTACTTGGTATGCATTATCTTTTCTTCTCCTACATTATTTTAATAGAAGCTTAACAAATACATTTTGATATGATTTGGGTATGTGTCTCTTCCAAATCTCACATTAAAGTGTGATCCCCAATGTTGGAGGTGGGGCCTAGTGGGCGGTATTTGGGTCATAGGGGCAGATTCTTCATGAATGTCTTGGTGATGTCCTTGTGGTAATGAGTGAGTTCTCACTCCATGAGGTCATGTGAGATCTGGTTGTTTAAAAGAGCCTGGGACCTCTTCCTTCTCTCTTTTGCTCTCTCTCCTGCCATGTGACATGCCTGTTTGCCCTTCACTTTCCACCATGACTAAAAGCTTCCTAATGCTTTCACCAGAAGTAGATGCTGGCATCACACTTCTTGTACAATCTGAAGAGCTATGATCCAAAATAAACCTCCTTTCTTTATAAATTACCCAGTCTTTTATTATTTCTTATAACAATGCAAAATGTACTAATACAGAAAATTGGTACTGAGAGTAGGGTGTTGCTATAAAGATACCTGAAGATGTGGAAACAGCTTTGGAACTGGGTAATGGGCAGATACTGGAAGAATTTGGAGGTCTCAGAAAAAGACAGGAAGATAAGGGAAAGTTTGGAACTTCTCCAAGACTTGCTAAGTGGTTGTGACCAAAATACTGATTGAAATATGAACAGTGAAGCCCAGGCTGATGAGGTCTCAGATGGAAATGAGAAACTTTTTGGGAACTGGAGCAAAGGTCACCCTTGTTACACTGTTACAAAGAGCTTGGCTGCTAGGGATCTAAGGAAGCATGAACTTAAGAGTGATGACATAGGGTATCTGGTAGAAGAAATTTCTAAGCAGCAAAGCATTCAAGATATGGTGTGGCTGCTTCTAACAGGCTATGATCAGATATGGGAGCAAAGAAGTGACTTAAAGTAGGAACTTGTAATTAAAAGGAAATCAGAGCATAAAAAATCAGAAAATTTGCTAGCTGGCCCTGTAGTACAGAAGGAAAGAGGCTTTTCAGGAGAGGAATCCGAGCAGGCTGCAGAGCAACCACTTGCTAAACAGATTTGAATGCCTAAATGGAAATAAATTGCTAATAGTCAACACCATGAGAAAAAAAGTCCCAAAGGCATCTGAGAAGTCTTCAGGACAGCTCCTCCCATCACAGGCCCAGAGGCCTAGGAGGAAAGAATGGTTTCAAAGGCCAGGCCCAGGACACTGCTGTGCCATGAAGCCTCAGGACACTGCTCCCTGCGTTCAGGCTGCTCTGGCTCCAACTGGGGCTCTAAGGGCCCCAGGTACAGCTTGGGCCCTGCTCCCGAGAGTGCAAGCCATAAGTCTTGGAGGTGTCCACATGGTGTTAAGCCTGCAGGTGCACAGAATGCAAGCATTAAGGAGGCTTGGCAGCTTCCACCTAGATTTCAGAGGATGTATGGGAAAGCCCAAGTGCCCAGGCAGAAGCTTGCCAGAGGTGCAGAGTCCCCACAGAGACACTCTACTAGAGAATATCCAAGGAGAAATATTGGGCTGGAGATCCCCAACATAGAGTCTGCACTGGGGCACTGCCTAGTGGAGCTGTGGGAAATGGGGCCACTGTCCTCCAGACCTGAAAGTGGTGGAGCCACCAGAAGCTTCCATTCTGAGCCTGGAAAAGCCACAGGCACTCAATTCTAACCCACAAGAGCAGTCACAGGGGCTGCACTCTGCAAAGCCACAGGTGCAGAGCTGCCCCAGGCCTTGGGAGCCTACCCTTTGCATCAGTGTGCCCTGGATGTAGGGCATGGAGTTAAGGATTATTTTGAAGTTTTAGGGTTTAATGCCTGCCCTACTGGGTTTCAGACTTTTGTGGGACCTATTGCCCCTTTTTTGGGCCAATTTCTCCCTTTTGGAGTGGGAATTTTTATTTATCTATTTATTTATTTATTTATTTATTTATTTGTTTATTTGTTTATTTTGAGATGGAGTCTCACCCTGTCACCCAGGCTGGAGTGCGGTGGCATGATCTTGGCTCACTGCAACCTCCACCTCCTGGGTTCAAGCAATTCTCCTGCCTCAGCCTCCTGAATTGCTGGGATTAAAGGCAAGCGCTACCACATCCAACTAATTTTTTATATCTTTAGTAGAGACAGAGTTTCATCATGTTGGCCAGGCTGGTCTCAAACTCCTGACCTTGTGATCCGCCTGTCTTGGCCTCCCAAAGTGCTGGGATTACAGACATGAGCCACCACACCCAGCCAAGGAGTGGGAATGTTTACCCAATGCCTATGCCACCATTATATCTTGGAAGTAAATAACTTGTTTTGTATCTTACAAGCTCATAGGTGAAACGAACTTGTCTTGAGTCTCATGAGAGACTTTGGACTTTGGACTTGATATTGGAATGAGTTAAGACTTTCTGGGGCTGTTGGGAAGAGAAGATTATATTTTTCAATGTGAGAAGAACACAAGATTTGGTGGGCTAGGGGTAAAATGGTATGATTTGGATGTCTGTCCCCTCCAAATTTCATGCTGAAATGTGATCCCCAATGTTGGAGGTGAAGCCTAGTGGGAGGTGTTTGGGTCACAGGAGCATATCCTTCATAAATGGCTTGGTGCCCTCCCAGGTAATGAATGAGTTCTCATTCTGTTACTTCATGTGAGAGCTGTTGTTTAAAGGAGACTGGCACCTCCTCCTCTTTCTCTTGCTCTCTCTCTTGCTATGTGGTGCACCTGTTCTCCCTTTGCCTTCTGCCATGATTGTAAGCTTCCTGAGGGTCTCACCAGAAAGAGAGTAGATGCTGGCACCATGCTGCTTGTACAGCCTGCAGAACCATGAGCCAAATAAGCCTCTTTTTTAAAATGAATTACCCAGTCTCAGGCACTCCTTTACAGCAACACAAAACTAATACACGTTTCTTCAAGAAAAGGTTCATGCCTTATTCATTGTATCACCTAGAATATTTCAGGTAAATATTTGGTGGATGCTTGCCAAATCAAATTCAACTGAACAGACTCTCTCCATCACATCATGACTCTTTTCCTCCATGCCCGGCACCACCATTCTATGCCCATTGTCATATCCTACGGGTAATGTTGCTTTCATTCACCTCACTTTCTCCCAAAACACAGTACCCAACATTTTTCTCTCTCAGATTTCCTGTGCACTGCATACCAACAAGCCCCTAAACACCCCTAAATGGTAGCTAGGTTCCCCTCAGCACCACCAATGCCCTCCCTGAATTGTAGGATCCCAGGTTGTGACCATTCTATTTTCTCACTCCTTAGACACTTCCTTACTTCTTCTTCTCCCTTGGAGTTCAAACCCAACAATTCCTAACCATCAACTCCTTGAAAGGCCAATTTAAAACTTATCTTCTCTAATCATCCCTCAATGACAAACCCTTCTTTCTACTGTTGATTTTCATCAGTGTGAATCACTGGCTGAACTGTATGCATTTTGCTTGCTGATGTCAGCATATACAAGTGTTCTTCCGTTGTTCCTGTTATGTATTTCATTGTTCCTTAAAAAAAGCTATAAGGTCATTAAGAAGCTGACATGTCTCCTGATTTCTTTGAGAACCAAGCCGAAAACGAATTTACACCATTTTTATTAGGTAACTTATTACGAGACTTACTAAGGCAGTAGGAGCCTAACTTGAATTGAGCATTTACTGAGTACCTGCTGTTAAAATACAATATCTGGCTCTTGCTCTCGCTCTCCCTCTCCCTCTCCCTCTCCCTCTCCCTCTCCCTCTCCCTCTCCTCTCCGTCTCCCTCGTCTCCCCACGGTCTCCCTCTCCCTCTCTCTCCACAGTCTCCCTCTCCCTCTCTCTCCACGGTCTCCCTCTGATGCCCAGCCGAAGCTGGACTGTACTGCCACCATCTCGGCTCACTGCAACCTCCCTGCCTGATTCTCCTGCCTCAGCCTGCCAAGTGCCTGGGATGGCAGGCGCGCGCCACCACGCCTGACTGGTTTTCGTATTTTTTTGGTGGAGACGGGGTTTCGCTGTGTTGGCCGGGCTGGTCTCCAGCTCCTAACCACGAGTGATCCGCCAGCCTTGGCCTCCCAAGGTGCCAGGATTGCAGACAGAGTCTCGTTCACTCAGTGCTCAATGTTGCCCAGGCTGGAGTGCAGTGGCGTGATCTCGGCTCGCTACAACCCCCACCTCCCAGCCGCCTGCCTTGGCCTCCCAAAGTGCCGAGATTGCAGCCTCTGCCCGGCCGCCACCCCATCTGGGAAGTGAGGAGCGTCTCTACCTGGCTGCCCATCATCTGGGATGTAAGGAGCCCCTCTGCCCAGCTGCCCAGTCTGGGAAGTAAGGAGCGCCTCTTCCCAGCCGCCATCCCATCTAGGAAGTGAGGAGCGTCTCTGCCCAGCCACCCATCGTCTGAGATGTGGGGAGCACCTCTGCCCTGCTGCCCCGTCTGGGATGTGAGGAGCGCCTCTGCCCTGCCGTGACCCCATCTGGGAGGTGAGGAATGTCTCTGTCTGGCCGCCCCGTCTGGGAAGTGAGGAGCCCCTCTGCCCAGCAGCCACCCCGTCTGGGAAGTGAGGAGCATCTCCGCCCGGCAGCCGCCCCGTCCGGGAGGTTGGGGGCAGCCCCCACCTGGCCAGCCGCCCCGTCCGGGAGGGAGGTGGGGGGCAGCCCCCGCCTGGCCAGCACCCCGTCCTGGAGGGAGGTGGGGGGAAGCCCCCACCCGGCCAGCCGCCCCGTCCAGGAGGGAGGTGGGGGGCGCCTCTGCCCGGCTGCCCCTTCTGGGAAGTGAGGAGCCCCTCTGCCCAGCCACCACCCTGTCTGGGAGGTGTACCCAACAGCTCATTGAGAACGGGCCATGATGACGATGGCAGTTTTGTCAAATAGAAAAGGGGGAAATGTGGGGAAAAGATAGAGAGATCAGATTGTTGCTGTGTCTGTGTAGAAAGAAGTAGACATAGGAGACTCCATTTTGTTCTGTACTAAGAGAAATTCTTCTGCCTTGGGATGCTGTTAATCTACAACCTTACCCCCAACCCCCTGCTCTCTGAAACATGTGCTGTGTCCACTCAGGGTTAAATGGATTAAGGGCGGTGCAAGATGTGCTTTGTTAAACAGATGCTTGAAGGCAGCATGCTTGTTAAGAGTCATCACCCCTCCCTAATCTCAAGTACCCAAGGACACAAACACTGCGGAAGGCCACAGGGTCCTCTGCCTAGGAAAACCAGAGACCCTTGTTCACTTGTTTATCTGCTGACCTTCCCTCCACTATTGTCCTATGACCCTGCCAAATCCCCCTCTGTGAGAAACACCCAAGAATGATCAATAAATACTAAAAAAAAAAAGAAAAGAAAAAGAAAAAGAAAAAAAATACAATATCTTAAAAAGTAACTTGCATTCCTAAGAGGAAAAGGCACTAAAAGCAATGATTAAACAAATACCAAAACCCCTCTGTCACACCACTCACAAAAATTAACTTGAACCAGATAATAAACTTAAATGTAAGACTGAAACCATAGAACTTCTAGAAGAATGCAAATCAAAACTACAATGAGCTAGCACCTGTTAGGATGGCTACTGTCAAAGAAACAGGAGATAACAAGTGTTGGGGAGGATATGGACAAAAAGGAATCCTTGTACACTGTTGGTGGGAATGTAAACTAGTAAAGCCATTATGTAAAACAGTATGGAATTTCCTCAAAAATTAAAAATAGAACTACCATACTGCAGCAATACCATTTCTGGGTGTATATCTCAAGGAAATGAAATCAGTATCTCCCAAGAGATGTCTGCCCTCTCATGTTCATTGCAGCCCTATTCACAATAGCCAAGAAATGGAAACAATCTAAGTGTAAGTCAATGCATGAATGGATAAAAAAAAAATTGTGGGGGGTGTGTGTGTGAGAGAGAGAGAGTATGTGTGTATGTGAGAGAGAGAGAGTGTGTGTGTGTGTGTTCTGTAATTGGCCATAAAAAAGGATATCTTGCCATTTGCAGCAACATGGATGAAGCTTGAGGGTATTATGCTAAGGGAAATAAGTCAGTTAGAGAAAGACGAATACTGTATGACTCACTTATATGTAAAATCTGAAAAAGTCAGACTCATAGAAACAGAGAGTAGAATGGTGGCTGCTGGGGGCTGGGGAGTGGAGAAATAGAGAGATATTGGTCAAAGAATACAAACTTTCAGTTCTAAGATTAATAAGTTCTGGAGATCTAAATGTAGAACATAGCAACTGTACTTAGCAATACTGTATTGTGTACTCGAAATGTGCTGATATTCTGATAAAAAAAGAAATTTGCTAAGAGAATAAATCTGAAATGTTCCCACCACAAAAGAAAAAGATAACTTTTAACAATTTTTATTTCTAATATTTATGGGTACGTAGTAGGCATATATATTTATGCGGTACATTAAATACTTGAGTACAGACATGCAACACTTAATAATCACATCATGGAAAATAGGGTATCCATCCCCTCAGGCATTTATTCTTTGTGTTACAAACCATTTAATTATACTCTTTTAGTTATTTTTAAATGTACAATCAAATTATTTTGACTATAGTCATTTGGATGTATTATAAAATACTAGGTATTATTCATTCTTTAAAATATCTTTGTACCCATTAACCATCTCCACCTCCCCCCAACCCCCCCCACTACCCTTCTCAGCCTCTAGTCACCATCCTTATACTCTTATACACATGGAGATGTGTTCAATCGTTTTGATTTTTATATCCCACAAATAAGAGAATATGCGATATGCCTGGCTTATTTCACTTAACATAGTGATCTCCAGTTCCATCCGTGTTGCTGCAAGTGACAGTGTCCAATTCTAAAAAAGGTAACTATGCTTTAATTAACTTGATAATGACAATCATTTCACAATACATATGTATATCAAGTCATCAGGTTGTACACCTTAAATTTATATAATTTTGTTTATCAATTATACTTCAGTGAAGGAGGAAAAATTAAATTTAAGATACAATTTAAAAGATTTTTTAAGTAGCATCATTCAAAGAGAGAGACAGAGCCCTGGACTGGGAGTAAGGAAACTTGAATTCTAGTTCTGGCACTGTTACCAATACCACATCCAATCTTGGGTCATGTGTGTCACCAGACTGTGCTCCAGTTTTCTCATCCTTAAAATGAAGAGCTGAAACAATGCAATCTATAATGTCTCTTTCAAGACTGTAATGCTATGATTTCATAACTAAATGTCTAGATCAATCAGCTAGCCTGGTTAAGTAAATATTCCAGAGGCTGAAAACACCCTGGATGCAAACTGGAGGAAACTATTCCATGCAGTTCTAGTGCCGCCTGCTGGTCAATGGATTCCTTAAGACATTCCCTCCTTAAGAGATAGATATCTAAGCAAAGTGACAAATACTGTTGCAAAAACAACAGGTCACAATTTGGCACTCTCTGCCCAGTGAACAAGTAATACTTTTGTTGTATAGTCTGGTCACCAGTTTCTGCTGAAACAGTTAATTTGTGTGAAAAGGGACACGTGCTGGTGGCTGCCTGATTGGGTGTCCCTGGCAACTGTTTTTGTTTGTCTTTTTGGTTTTTTATATCACTACCCCAAGCCCAATTATTGTAGGGCTTTGCTCTAGTTTTGCTTGCCACTGAATGAGACACATTCAGTTCATTCAGTAAATTCAATCCCAAATAGCTATTGAGCATTTTACTAGATTCCCTAACTGTGCAAACAGATGTAGTGTGCTACGAAGTTACTAGCAGAGGTTTTGAGTCCAGTAGAAATAGATTCCAATCTTGGCCCACCTACTTAACATCCTGTGTGACTTCAGCCTTGGTTTCCTGACTTTAAATTTTCAATGATATCTTCTTTATCAATTGCCTGTAAGGATTTGTGGGGTGCCTGGCATGGAACCTGGTGTGTTGTAGGCACTAGAGAACTGTGAAGACACAACTCATGCCCTGAAAGAGCTTGCAATTAGGCAGGGATAGAGGCAGGTGCTTAGCTATGCAATGTAACAATGATTCAATGTAACAATATTTGCTGATCACTTCATGTACACCCAGGGCTGTAACAGACGATGGTAAGACCCTAAGAAAGAAAATGCCATGGAGGTTCAAAAAAGGGGCAGATCACTTGAGGTGGGGCAAAACAAGTGTCTTCATTGTAGAGAAGGCATCTGTCCAGGATTTTAATAAGTGATAAGAATTTAAATAGACAGATTAATATTGTCCTTGTCCTTAAAATCTCACTTCATACTTCATCTCCATAAAGTCATTCCCTACTCCTACCTTAGTCATCAACTTTTCCACTCCACCTTTCTGTTCCTATTATTCTCAATCCTCTATTGTGGAATTCTAATTCATTCTGCTTATTTTAAAGTTCATAATGCACTAAAAGCAACAATTAAACAAATATCAAAACCCCTCTCTCACACCACTCACAAAAATTAACTTGAAATGGATAATAGACTTAAATGTAAGACTGAAACCATAGAACTCCTAGAAAAATGCAAATCAAAACTACCTAACATGTAGGCTAGCACCTACATGTCTCCTGTTTTCTTTGAGAACCAAGCAGAAAATGAATTTGCACCATTTTTATTAGCTAACTTATTACAAGACTTACTAAGGCAGTAGGAGCCTAACTTGAATTGAGCACTTACTGAGTACTAGTGTTAAAATACAATCTCTTAAAAAGTAACTTGCAGTGTGCCTTTCATACTGGATCATAATCTCCCTAAAGCCAAGGAAAGCATTGGTCTTATTCATTTTTAAGGCTCAGCAACGCAATGCCTGCTAATAACAGCAACATCTTACATATGTACCTTCGGGCTGCAGTTCAAAAGCCTTAGATTCATGCATTCATTCAACAAACGCTGATGACAACAATTTTCTGGACACTGTGCTGGGCACTAGGGGTACAGATGCCGGATGTCTTCTATCAAGGACTCACAATCTATGAGCAGGAAGACAATCACAATTCCATGTGATTAATCCAAAAGAATAAAACAATTATTTATAAATAGGAGTAAAAAAAATAACCACTACTAGCTTTCCCTGAGCACCGAAGTGTGTGGCAGGCACAATACTGAGTGCCAGGTATATCCTTATTCCATATAATCCTCTCATGAACTCTAGTAAGTTAGGTGCTTCTTATCATGTCCATTTAACAGATGAGAAAGCTGAGGCTTACAGAGATTAATAACTTACCCAAAGTCAAATATCTTCTAAGTGGAGAGAAAAATCATTCAAATCCATGTCTGACTTCAGGAGTCTATGTTTCTAAATCCCTTCTTTGCCTCCCAAACCAATGAAAAGAGCCTACATGATGGGTCCTGCAATCCGTGGAGTAGAGTCTTGTATGTAACTAAATCAAGCCAAGTCTTTGATAGAACAGCCACACATAAGACATGATGCACAAACATGAATCATGCCATCCCTGCCCTCAGAGTTCACAGCCCACTAAGAGATGTAGTATATTTAAATCACACATTTAATTCAAAGAATACTGTGCTAGGCTTATAATCAAGCACAAGGGCCAGGGGAGCACAGGTAAAGAGAAAATTACATCTGGTTGGGGAATACTAGTGGGACGCTTGCTGGAAGAAGAATTTGACCTGAGCCTTTGAGAATGAATAGGCTTTAGAGAAGCAAATATGAGTGAGGAGGAAAAATGGTCATCAGCTTTAACAACAATAGGTATGAGAGATTTGGCTGGGGCTTTCATTGATTCTAATCATAATAGGAAGACAGCAAACTATAATTGCAATGCCATTCAGGACATAGGCATGGGCAAGGACTTCATGTCTAAAACACCAAAAGCAACGGCAACAAAAGCCAAAATTGACAAACGGGATCTAATTAAACTAAAGAGCTTCTGCACAGCAAAAGAAACTACCATCAGAGTGAATAGGCAACCTACAGAATGGGAGAAAATTTTTGCAATCTATTCATCTGACAAAGAGCTAATATCCAGAATCTACAAAGAACTCAAACAAATTTGCAAGAAAAAAACAAACAACCCCATCAAAAAGTGGGTGAAGGATATGAACAGACACTTCTCAAAAGAAGACATTTATGCAGCCAACAGACACATGAAAAAAATGCTCATCATCACTGGCCATCAGAGAAATGCAAATCAAAACCACAATGAGATACCATCTCATGCCAGTTAGAATGGGGATCATTAAAAAGTCAGGAAACAACAGGTGCTGGAGAGGATGTGGAGAAATAGAAACACTTTTACACTGTTGGTGGGACTGTAAACTAGTTCAACCATTGTGGAAGACAGTGTGGCGATTCCTCAAGGATCTAGAACTAGAAATACCATTTGACCCAGCCATCCCATTACTGGGTGTATACCCAAAGGATTATAAATCATGCTGCTATAAAGACACATGCACACGTATGTTTATTGTGGCACTATTCACAATAGCAAAGACTTGGAACCAACCCAAATGTCCATCAATGATAGACTGGATTAAGAAAATGTGGCATATATACACCATGGAATACTATGCAGCCATAAAAAAGGATGAGTTCATGTCCTTTGTAGGGATATGGATGAAGCTGGAAACTATCATTCTCAGCAAACTATCGCAAGGACAAAAAACCAAACACCACATATTCTCACTCATAGGTGGGAACTGAACAATGAGAACACTTGGACACAGGAAGGGGAACATCACACACCGGGGCCCGTCATGAGGTGGGGGAATAGGGGAGGATAGCATTAGCAGATATACCTAATGTAAATGACGAGTTAATGGGTGCAGCACACCAGCATGTATACATATGTAACAAAACTGCACGTTGTGCACATGAGTTAGATGATTTCTAAGTTAAACTAGATGATCCAACTCCATGATTCAATGATTTAAAGGGGTCATCTAGTGCAACCTCCCACATAACCAGGAAATCTCTGCCTTGACATCATTGCCAAATGGTCTGCCAGCTTCTGCCAGAACGTAGTTTTAAAATAATAAAGCTATGGGATATTTTCACTATGTATCTTACTCCCACTTATGGTATAGCCAGATGAGTTTGTGGTGAGTAGTTGAGAAATAGAAGCAGTCACACTTGATACCTAATCCCTCCACGTGTCTGAGCAGAGCACTGAGGGGCTTGTAAATCACACCACGGATGCTGTCCTAGTAGGTCCAATGGTCTATGCAGCCACTGCCCATATGCTTGCTCTGAAAAAATTCAGCCAAGCTCTTTTGGGAAACATCTATACTTCCAATGCTGCCAACCTCTTCAAAGAGTTATTTCCCCACATTTACAAGCTAAAATGGTCTAATTCTTCTCCCTTCATTTGTCTTTGAAGTTCAAAGAAAGGGTCCTCTATTTTTATAAAATTTGCTCCCAAGAAAGATAGGAATTTCCAGAAGACTAGGAGTCACATTCAGCAGCTTGAAATAAGATTCAGTGAACTACTAAACACTCCTCTTCTTTATAGTTTGTTTCCTTTGAGAGGAAAAAAAAAGCCAGAAAGCTGAAGAGCCATCTCTCCATGGAAATTAAGAAGACTTTTCACCACAATTTGATGAAATAAAACTCTATAAAGAAACCAACAGGAAACTAGTATAAGGAAAGGAGTCAGACTCCTCGACAACCTACTGGGTCTTTACCAGCTTGAAATATCCTGGCCATTGATACGTATACTTTATTCAGCATTTATTTGTTAAGTTATTCATTCAATAAATATTGAGTGCCTACTATGTTCCAAGAACCATGGCACCAGGGATACAACAATTTTTAAAAAGAGACAAAAAACATGGTCCATATAGAGTTTACATCCTAATGAAGAGATAGAAGGAAATAAATAAGTAAAATACATATTATGTCAGATAATGATAAATGCTACAGAAAAAATAATAAAGCAATGAAGGAAAATAAGGACTGTTGAGGGTCACAACTTTAAGATGGCCAGTGAAGGTCTTCTGAGAAAGTAACATTGGAGCAAAGATCTGAAGAAGGTAAGAGAAAGAACCAAAGGAATATCTGGCAGAACATTCCAGGGAGAAGGGAGAGCAGCTGCAAAGGCCCCAAGGCAGTAGCATGCCAGATGTGTTCAGAGAACAGCAAAGAGGCAAGTGAATATAAAGGGAGTGAGGGTGTAGTCACAGGACATGAGGTAAGAAAAGTAACTCTGCAGGCCCACTAATTGTTCAGGGTCTGGTTGGCTTAAGAGCTTCAGATTTTCCTCAAAGCAAGGGGAAAAGTCATCAGGTGGTTTTGCCTCAAACCTTTTCCATTTCCTGCACCTAGGATTTTCCCTTATGTGTTTGAAGCCTACAGATCTGGACGAGTTGATACTGACTCAAGTGACATCTCATGCCTCTGCAGGCTGTCATCTGACCCTTGGTTCTGCTCAAAGGTCCAGAGGTCCCGTCACCTAGGAGCAACATCATCAGGGATGCAGCACTTGGTTAACCAGCATGAGCCAGCCAATGTTATGTGGCTACCTAAGAATCACAAGGGACCACTAAGCTAAACAGGGTCAGAAAAGGAACAAAATATAATTTCTGTCTTCAAGGAGTTTATAATCCAATTGGAAAAATCAAACAAATACACACATACAAACACACACACACACACACACTTTGGAATGCTTGCAAACAACCAATTACAGGTGTAAAATTTAATAACATGACTCTACAGAATATCACATGTACAACATGATGTTTTGTTATATGTATATTTTGTTAAATGGTCACCACCCATCAAGCTAATTAATAGATCTATCACTTCACGTAGTTACCTTTTTTCTAGTGAGAACATTTAAGACCTACTCTCTTAGCAAATTTTAAATATACAATACAGTATTATTAACTATGTTCGAACCATGCTGTACATTAGATTTTCAGAACTTATTCATCCTGCATAACTGAAACTTTGTACCTTTTGACAAATACCTCCTCATTTCCCATAGTTCATTGTTAGTATACAGAGATGCAACTGATTTTTGTATGTTGATTTTGTATCCTGCAACTTTACTGAATTCATTTATTAGTTCTCACAGTTTTTTTTTTTTTTTTGGTGGAATCTTTTGGGTTTTCTATACATAAAATTATATCATCTGCAGAGACAATTTTACTTCATCCTTTCCAATTTGGATTACTCTTATTTCCTTTTTCTTGCCTAATGTATCTAGATAGGACCCCAATACTATGTTCAATAGAAGTAGCGAGAGTAAGCACATTTGTCTTGTTCCTGATCAGAGAGAAAACGCTTTCAACTTTTCACCATTAAGTATGATATTAGCTGAATGCTTGTCTTATACGGTCCTTATTGTGTTGAGGTACATTTCTTCTATACCTAGTTTTGTTGAGAGTTTTTACCATGAAAGGATGTTGAATTTTTTTCAAATGCTTTTTCTGCAGCTATTGAGATGATTGTGTGATTTTTTTCCTTCACTCTGTTAATCTGGTGTATCACATTCATTGATTTGCATATATTGAATCATCCTTACATCCAAAGAAAAATCTCACTTAATCATGGTGTATCATCCTTTTAATGTGTTAGCAAATTTGGGTTTTTAGTATTTTCTTGAGGATTTTTACCTCTATGTTCATCAGAAATTTTGGCATGTAATTTTCTCTTCTTGCAGTGTCCTTATCCGGTTTGGTATTAAGATAATACTGGTCTCATAAAAGATGTTGGAAGTGTTCCCTTTCCTTCAATTTTTGGGAAGAGTTTGAGAAGGATTGCATTAATTCTTCTTTAAATGTTTGTTATAATTCACCAGTGAGGCAATCAGGTCCTTGGCTTTTCTCTATGCTAGGTTTTTTAAATTACTGATTCAATCTCCTCACTTCTTGACCAGTTCAGATTTTCTATTTCTTGGTGTGTGTTTTCAGAAATGTATCCATTTCTTCAAGGTGTCTAATTTGCTAGCTTATAATTGTTCATAGTAGTCTCTTCTAATCCTATGTATTTCTGTGGCACCAGTTGTAATGTCTCCTCTTTCATTTTCAATTTTATTTATCTGAGTCTTCTCTCTTTTTTTCTTAGCCTAGCTAAAGGTTTGTCAGTTTTGTTTATCTTTTCAAAAAAAAACCATCTCTTGTTTTTGCTAATCTTTTCTACTATTTTTCTAGTCTTGAGTTTATTTATTTCTGCTCTGGTCTTTGTTTTTTCCTTCTTTTTTCTAACATTTTCTTCTTTTCCCACTTCTTTGAGGTGCAAAGTGAAGTTTTTTGAGATCTTTCTTTATTGTTAATGAAGAAGTGTATCACTATAAACTTCCCTCTTAGAATAGCTTTTGCTGTATGCAATAAGTTTTGGTATGTTGTGTTTTTATTTGTCATTTGTCTAAAGATTTTAAAAATTTTCTCTTTGATTTCTTATTTGACCCATTAATTGTTTAGGAGTATGCTGTTTAATTTTCACATATTTGTGAATTTTTCAGTTTTTGCCCTGTTATTGATTTCTGGTTTCATTCCACCGTGGCCTGAAAAGATACTTGATATTATTTTAGTCTTCTTAAATTTGTTAGACTTGTTTTGTGGCCTGACATATGAGCTTTATTGGAGAATGCTCCATTTGCTGCTGTTAGATGAATGTTTTATATGATGTTTGTTAGGTCCATTTTGCTCCATTGCGCTGTTTAAGTCCACTGTTTTCTTACTGATTTTCTGTCTGGATGATCTTCCCATTGTTGAAAGTGGGGGATTGAGGTTTCCTCCTTTGATTGTATTGTTATCTATTTCTCCCTTCAGTTATGTTAATATTTGCTCACTCTCTCTCTCTCTCTGATATTGGATATATATAAATTATTATATCCTCTTTATTAATTGACCCATTTATTATTATATAATGACCTTTGTTTCTTGTGACAATTTTTGACTGAAATTCTATTTTATCTGATATAAGTA
This sequence comes from Homo sapiens, assembly GCF_000001405.40. Taxonomy (NCBI): domain Eukaryota; kingdom Metazoa; phylum Chordata; class Mammalia; order Primates; family Hominidae; genus Homo; species Homo sapiens. The sequence continues at coordinate 152,134,619 of NC_000001.11, read as the reverse complement.
TAGTCACTTCTGTTCTCTTCTGGCTACAATTTGCATGAAATAGCTTTTTTCATCCCTTTGCTTTCACCGTATGCATATCCTTAAAACTAAAATGAGTTTCTGGTAGGCAGCATATAGTTGGATCTTGTTTTAAAAAAAAAAATTCTTTCAGCCAGTCTACATATATTAATTGGAGAATTTAAAGTAAGTGTTGACAGGTAATGACTTACTCTTGCCACTTGTTCATTGTTTTCTGTCTGTTTTGTAGTTATCTTATTTCTCCCTTCTCTCTTCTTGTCTTCTTTTGTGATTTGATAGTGTTTTATAGTAGTATGCTTGATTCCTTTATTTTTACCATTTGTGTATCTACTGTATGTTTTCTGTAATTATCATGAAGCTTACATAAAATATCTTATAGTCATAACATTCTATTTTAAGTTACAACAGCAACTTTGACCATACACAACAACACTTTAACTTCTTTTCCCTCAAAATTGTATGTTATTGATATCACAATTAACACATTTTTCATATTGTGTATCCATTAAAAATTATTGTAGTTATTTTTAATACTTTTGTCTTTTACTTTTTATACTAGAGTTAAAAGTGATTTATGCACCACCAATACTGTATTAAAGTATTCTGAATTTCACTATATTCTTACCTTTATAATAAGTTTTACACTTTCATATGTTTTCCTATTGTTAGTTAGTGTCCTTTAATTTCAACTTGAAGAACTCCCTTAAACTTTTTTGTAAGGTAAGTCTAGTGGTAATAAAGTTCCTCAAATTTGTTTGTCTGAGAAAGTATTTTCTGCTTCTTCCTTTCTGAAGGACAGCTTTTTTTGGGCATGATATTCTTGGTTAGTAATTTTTTTTCTTTCTTCACATTGAATATATCATCATATTCTCTCATGGTCAATAAGATTTCTGCTGAGAAATGTACTGATAGTCTTAAGGAAGTTCCTTTGTAAGTTGCTTTCTCTTGCTGCTTTCAAAAGTCTATTTGCCTAACTTTTGAGGATTTTATTACAATGTGTTTTAGTGAAGATCTGTTTATGTTTAATCTGTTTGGAGTTGTTTGGGCTTCATATATGTGAATAGTCATTTCCCTACCCAGATTTGGGAAGTTTTCTGTTGTTATTTCTTTTTTTTTTTTTTTTTTTTGAGATGAGGTCTCACTCTGTCACCCAGGTTGGAGTACAGTGCTGTGATCCTGGCTCACTGCAGCCTCCACCTCTCAGGCTGAAGTGATCTTCCCACCTCAGCCTCCCAAGTAGCTGGGACTACAGGTCCATGCCACCACACCCAGCTAATTTTTTGTATGTTTGATAGAGACTGGGTTTCACCACATTTCCCAGGCTGGTCTCAAACTCCTGAGCTCAGGCAATCCCCCTACCTTGGCCTCCCAAAATGCTGGGATTACAGGCATCAGCCACTGTGCCTGGCTTGTTGTTATTTCTTTAAATAGGCTTTCTTCTCCCATTCTCTTTATCTGCTCCTTCTGGGAATCCTATGATGGATAAATTGCCTCACTTGATAGTGTCCTATAAGTTGCACAGGATTTCTTCACCATTTTTTATTAATTTTTCTTTTTGTTCCTCTGATTATGTAATTTCAAATAACTTGTCTTCAGGCTTGCTAATTCTTCTGCTTGATTGACTCTACTTTTGAAATTTCCTATTGAATTTTTTAGCTCAATCATTGTGTTCCTTAGCTCCAGAATTTCTGTTTGGGTCTTATACATGGTTTCTATCTCTTTGCTAAAATTTTCACTTTGTTAATGTGTTACTTTTCTAATTTCATTTAGTTGTCCATCTGTGTTCTTTTGTAGCTCACTGAGCTTAAGATAATCATTTTTTAATTCTCATGGTTATTTTTAAATCTATGAACTGTCTGGCAGTTAATAGATTTCCATTTCTTTGGGATTATTTGTTAGTGCCTTATTTTGTTCCTGTTGTTGTGTCATGTTTCCCCAATTATTCATGATCTCTGTGGACTTTGCGTCAATGTCCACACATTTGAAGAATTAGGCACCTTTTTCAGTCTTTGCAGACTGGATTTTGCAGAGAAAGCTCTTCATCAGTCAGCCCATCTAGAAATTTGGGGTGACCCAGCTGGCAGGGTCCTTGGGTAGGCTTAATGCTGGAGTCCTCTGGTGGGCTACGCTGGTGTGTGGGTCAGTGGGCATGTGGGTCCTGGTGCCTGCATCCACTAGGGCATGACTAGAGTTTGGATACACATGGGCAAGTCTGGCACCTATGTTTGCAGAAGCCAGCCTGGAACCTGGATCCTTTGCGTCTGACTTGGTGCCGGCATAGGTCTTTGACCTGAGTCCACAGGGATAGGACTGAAGCCTGGGTTCCTGGGGACCAGCCTGGAACCTGAGTCTGTAGGTGCTTAGCCGAGAGTCTGGGACCATGAGGGCTGGCCTAGCACTGGGGTGCATCTGGTGCCTGGGTATAAAGGAGCATGTCTGGAGCCTGGTTCCATAAGCAGTGACCTGGCACTGGGCAGGCCTGGAGCTTGGGTTTGCAAGAGCCAGCCTGGAGTTTATGTCTGCAGGGGCTAAACTTCTCCTTGGGCCCATGGAGGTTGCCCTGGTACTGAGGTCCATGGCAAAGTCAATTCCTCCTTTCATTCTCCTTCCCTCATACGAAGGGTATCTCTCCATACAGTGCTGCACAGGCTTGGGTAAGGGATGACATGATTAATGTGAAACTGTCCCTTCTACCCTCTCCAATGTGTCTTTTCTTATTTCTGCACTGCATCCAAGTGTTATAATCTCTAATTTGGATTCCTTAGCTTTTAAGAAGTTATCTTCATGTGTGGATGATTGTTCAATGGGTGTCTGTGAGAAGATGAGTGCTGGAAGCTCTTATTCTTCCATCTTGCTGATGTCATTCTCCCACATATGTAGCTTTTTACATTCTCAAAACTCATATCAATCCTTAAAAGTTGTTATTGCTATGAACATCTTATAGATACAGAAACTAATGCACTTTAGTGACTTCCTCAAGATGTTCCAGCTTATTAACATGTAGCAGAACCAGGACTTGAACTCAAATCTTCAGAGTCTAAGTCCAGGACTCTTGGCACTGTCTCACAGCTGGGCCATTTTTTACATAGAACTAAATGCATAAGGGAGTATCTAAAGGAGAGTAATTAGAATTGGGTAAAATTGATCAGATATTTCTTAGAGGAGGAGATTTTGAGCCAAACCTTAAGTATGGGCTAAATGTGGATTGACATCCTCAAGAAGGGCAGGAATCCTAAGCATCAGGAGTAGTTTGAGCAGAGACACAGATGAGCATCTACCAAGTTAAAGGCAGGAAAAAGCAAACAGAATAGGTGGCTACAGGAAAGAGCCATGTTAAGGAGTAACTGAAGATTGATTAGAAGAGCACTGCTCATTGCTTTCTTCTTGACTTCTCACACCCTTAGTGTCAGTAATGCTACCTTCTCTCTAGGCTCTCCTATCCCTCTGGAAATGTCTTATGCTTCTCCCTCATTTAGTCACCTTTAATGAGGCATTTCCTGCTCCTTTCAATCGAGTGCTTCTCAACTCTCACTGCCACTTTATCATCTGGAGAGTTCTGAAACACTGGTGCTTGGGTTCTATTCCTAGAAATTCTAATTTTATAGGTCGGTGGTGTGACCTTGGAAATCTGGATTTTTAGAAGTTCCCCAGGTGGTTCTAACACACAGCTAAAGGTGAGAACCACTGACCTACACACTTCCTCTGGTCAATCTCATCTTCTTATCACATTCCTCCTAATGGCTTCCAAATCTATATCTCCAGCCCAGATTTCTCTCCTTAGTTTCAGATCTAGATATCCTACTACCTCCTGGATCCCTTTACCAAAGTGTCTCACAAGCATCTTAAACTCAATATGCACAAAATTGAACACCTCCTTCTATATCCTTCTACCTGTATACAATCCTACTGTCTTCCCAGCTGCTCGAGCCAAAACCCCAGACTTCCCAATTATTTCCTCTTCGTTACCTTCTATATCCAATATGTCAGCAATCCCTGTGGGTTTCTATTTCTTAAAGATTTCCAATTCAAATGCTTTTTTCTCAGCCCAACTGCAAATATCTTAGTTCAACCCTCCATTTCTCACCTATTTTACTACAAAGGATTCCTAAGTGACTTCACTGTACCCTACCTTGCCCTCCATCAACCCATTCTCAATGCTACTGCTACAAAGACCTTTCTAAAATGCAAATCTGATTATGTCATCATCTCCTGCCTAATATCCTATAATTGTTCTCCATAGCCTGTGGGATAAAATCTACCTTCTTTACCTTTGCTCATAAAGTCCTTCATGATCTCCCCTCCTTAGTTCTCCCAACTTCAGCTCTCATCCCATTCTACCTCACACCATATACCCAACTTGTCCAACAGGATTTGTCACAAGCACCACCTTCTCTAAGCTACCTTCCTTAAGCCCAATATATGGGTGAAGTGTCCCTTCAGTGAGCTCCCATAATGCCCTCTATCATAGCCTTTATTATCCTGGGTTAAAATAATGCCTTGACCTGGATGACTCCCTGACCACACTGTAATCTCCCAAAAGGTTAGGATCACATATTATTCCTCTTTATATATCTGATTCTTTGCACATTACAAGTGCTTAATTAAGGCTTGTTGAACAAATGAGTGATTGAGTAATGGCTGAGGATGGCCAGCTGTTAAGGAAAGTTTACAACTGACTGACAATTGTACATTTAGCAATAGAAGGTCACTGTAAGCTTTTTTATCAGAAGAATGACATAAATGAAAATAATTAAGGAAGAATGATTTGATAATAGAGAATATGGTACAAATTTGTCACCACATGAGGGACACTGTATAAATCACTAAACTTCATGAGCGTCAGTAGAATGGAGGGCTCATTTAAAAGAGTTGGAATATCATTATCTGTGGTGCCTACTTCATACAGTGTTGCAAACATAAAATAAAATAAAATTTTTGAAAATGTTCTAAATCCATAAATCACTACACAAGTGTAAGAAATTATAATTATGCAAATAAGAGGTGTAGCCACCAAACAGTTTTTAGTAAAACCCAAAACAGCACGGCATAGTGAAAAAGAGCATGGGTCAAATAACAGCTCACCCCTTCATTATCATGTAACTTTCAGCAGATCATTTGGCCTTTCTATGCCTCAGTGTCTTCATCTACAAAATATGAATACTACACTCATAGGTTTATTATGTTATTTTTGTATCTTGTGTATAGCATGACAAATGGAAGGCATTCAATAAATTATAGTTTTCCTTACATCATTTTTTTTCCTTTTTTTTCTTTTTTTTCTTTTATTATTATTATATTTAAGTTTTAGGGTACATGTGCACAATGTGCAGGTTAGTTACATATGTATACATGTGCCATGCTGGTGTTCTGCACCCATTACTCGTCATTTAGCATTAGGTATACCTCCTAATGCTATCCCTCCCCCTCCCCCCACCCCACAACAGTCCCCAGAGTGTGATGTTCCCCTTTCTGTGTCCATGTGTTCTCATTGTTCAATTCCCATCTATGAGTGAGAACATGCGGTGTTTGGTTTTTTGTCCTTGCGATAGTTTACTGAGAATGATGATTTCCAATTTCATCCATGTCCCTACAAAGGACATGAACTCATCATTTTTTATGGCTGAGCAACCACTCTACACTTGTTCTTATGAGATATTATCCCAAGCCTCTGACACAGGGACCAGAGCCCAGAGAAATTGGGGTAGGTAAAAGAGTTGCACCTACTGAAACTCGTATTAGTACTTAAGTAGGAAGAGAAGTGGGAAACTCTTGGCAACTAAGTGAGAACTACAAGGAGATAATGGGGTAAATGGTGCTTTAGATAAATGAATTACATCAAAGATTAACAATGGTTGGGAGAAGGTAACAAAACAACCTTGGAAACTGATTTCCAAGCAGGTAGGTCCATGGGAAGGAATTGACAAAAGGCGTGGGGTCTGGGAGTGAGGTCAGGTGGGAAGAATCTCTCACTCACATCCCTCTTTCTCTCTTGTGCTTATGGGTCACCCTGTGGCCTCAGGCAAGTCCTTCCAATCTCTGCCTCCATCTTATGCTCTGAAAATGGGCATTGTGTTAGCCAAGCACAGTAGAAAACTAAATGGCTTGTCTTCCTGACAGCACAAAGCTGCTGAGATGTCAGATCCTGATGGTCTGAGATAAAGAATATCCTAAGGTGCCAGTCCTGGAGTTCCTGGGCACATGGTAAGAAAAGGCCAATGGAAAAACAAATCTCCAGCAATATTTCTGAATTTCAGCAAGTGGGTATTTACTAAAGTTTAATGAAGAGACATTATCCCAAATCCTAACACTTAGTAGGAAAAAGATTTAATGCAAAAAATGTAAAATAATCAGACCGAATACCTCAGAGTCACAGAAACTGATTATCAATTGACAGACAATGGAAAGAGAACACAAAATTCACAGCATTCACAGTGGTTTCAAGGAAGGAAATGTTCCACATGAAGACTTGTGAAAGTAAAAAGGCTCTACCAATTACACACATAGGAATCTCTTCTTGACCTCACCTCTCTCTTCATGGATCTGTTCCCAGGATTCTGCATTTAGAGACTAGAGAAAGAAAAAGAACATGAAGAAACTTAACATTTCTCCTCTTGCTTTTTTCCTATAAATTCAAAAGTACCTTAGTTCAGCCCTCTATCAGTTTATGATCTCATTCCTTCTAGCACACCCCACTCTCCACCCCAGAGAGGAAGCCAGAGTCATTATTGTAATTTTATAGACAGACATCTGGGGCCCAAAGGGTTTAAGTGACTCATGTAAGGTCACAGAGAATAGCAATTTCTCAGCCAGACCTATATCCAAGACCCCTGGGCTCTCAATTTACCACATGGCCAGCTAGAATATATTTAAAAATTAACAATTGCTGAAAAACAAATTTTTACATCCTGATGCCATCTTGTACAAAAAAAGTACACAAAGACCATTCTTGTTATTTTGAATTATTGATAAAAATGATTTCAAGACATTGTCCATAATATAGTACAATATATATCACTTGATATATGCTCCTAAGGTCTCCATGGTAACATATGTCCTAACACATACCCTATAGTCAAAACTCACTTATTACGTCACAGTTGGTGTAATAGGACAGGGCCAAAAAGAAAAGTTCAGTTCAGAAGACATCTAGTTTATTTTCTGGGTTTGCTTACAAATTCATATCTAAATAGTTTATGCAGTAAGGAAAATATTTCACCTGTGCTTCCTATGAGAATTTTGGAGACAGCATTTTCTCCTGTTCTATGACTCCAAGGAACAGAACGAAGCCCAGGAAGGAGCCACAGAAACAAGGAAGTGTACTGCATGCTGCCTGTCTGAAAAAGGCATGCTCAGTTGCATTTTCTCAGGGTGTTCTACAGAATGTCACTATCAGAAGATAGGTCGGGGATGGGGAGGGGAGAGACAGTCAGTGGTCCACGAGTTTCAGAAATGCTTTATCTATAGACCCCCTTTGGAAACTCACCACATACACCCTATACATGCACAATAAACAAATAAATAAATAAATAACTTGTTTCAATTTGCTTAATCCCGAGTTCCCAAATTTAGATAAAACTAGAGCCTGAAGTACCTGAATACCTAGGAAGATCCCATGAAACTAGTGTCTTAACCAGAAACCTATGAAGTATAAGACGTTATTATGATACCACATCCAAGCAAAATAGAGTTACCTTGAGCTCCTCCAATGGCCTCTAATGAGTATTACCAGAACCACCCACCACCTGTGCCCTTCTCTAATTCTGGAGAAGGGAACTTGGAATCACTTGTTCAGGACCAATTCCTTCTTTTGGAAAGTAGAGGAAAAGAGGGTATGTAAAAAAGGGAGAACCAAGAAGAGAGAGAGGAATGACAGAACCCATCTACTTTTGATTCACTGAATTCTTGACAGCAAAAACAAAATTCATATTGGAAGACAAAACACAAATTTCAAACCACAAAATCTACTACCTTCCATATCTGTAAGGTACCATTTCATTAGCTCTAAATCTCCATGGCTCCTATATCAACTAATTGATTGGCCTAAAGGAGCAGATCTGATCTGTCCAATCCAGCAAGTTAGAACCAAAGCTCAGCCGCTAGGTGACCTCTGACAGGCAACTTAACCTCAGAGTGGCCCCATTTCCACACCTGAAAGCAGAGGAAGTAGCCCTTCTGTCAGACTGGGCTGGATAGGGAACAACTAATAAAAAGAGGTTCGTAAAACCCTTTGAAATACAATCAGTGTCCTGTAAAAACTTAATAATTATAATTAAGCTGTAGCTAGAAGTCTGCGAGGTCCACACATGACAGTCAGCAGTCACTGTGCTGGTATCTGATAAGAGGACACCCTCTGCTCCGGTGCCATCAGCTGCACAAACTGGTCTTGGCTGTGTCTGATTTCTTCACACAAAGTTGTCAGAGGAAAAATATTGCTGCAGTCAAGTTGTCTTGATCTAATCATCACCATGTTTCATTAGAGATAAAATCCTGCCAGCCTCCTAAAGATCATGAACCTCCGTTCCCTGTGGCTGGGGGGACCTCCTTCACGAAAGTAGCACCTGCTGCAGAAGCCACGCCACTGTAGAGCATAGGTTTGTTCTAACCACATCAGAAGGGGCAAAAGCACTCACCAAACTACAGTGGGGGTGGTAAAGACAATATCTTCTAACTGGTACTTTCCATAGCAAATTATTATTATCTCCATGCAGGCAACAAGGAATTAAAGTAGTAGTATTGAATAATGGTAGAGTGTGGGTTTTAGAGGCTGACAGATCTGGATTCAAATTCCAGCTCTGCAACTTGCCGACTTAATTGGCCTTAGGTAAGTTACTTAGCATCACAAAGACTCAGTTTCTCCATCTACAAAATGAGACTATTCATGCTTACTATACAGGATTGGTGTAAGAATTAAATAACAGAGACAATAGTTACTTTTGTTTCTGGCTTATAGTGATTGATGAAGATAATAATGATCACAACAAAAAATAGAGTCCCCATCACCACGTCTCATAGGCCAAAACTTCCCTCACTAAACTGGAGATGCAAGGCAGAGGTATATTTGGCCATATTTGAGTTCTCAGAACCTGAACCAATGTCCATTAAATTTGATTAGACTGAATTGATCATATAATGCTCAGTGCAGAAGATCAGGATGAAATATATCAGATGCTTGGATTAGAAAGGTGAGGTCTCCAACCCAGTTAACACGGTGAAACCCCATCTCTACTAAAAACACAAAAAGTTAGCCTGGTGTGGTGGCACACACCTGCAGTCCCGGCTACTCAGGAGGCTGAGGCAGAAGAATCGCTTGAACCTGGGAGGCGGAGGTTGCAGTGAACCGAGATCATGCCACTGCACTCCAGCCTGGGTGACAGAGCAAGACTCTGTCTCAAAGAAAAAAAAAAAAAGAAAGAAAGAAAGATGAGGTCTCTTTGCTCCTCACCCCCACCCAGACGGAGAAGGCAGCACCATGGGAGCACCCCCACCCCCCACCGCAGCCCATCACCCACCTCATCTTTGACATGGATGGCCTTCTTCTGGATACTGAATGGCTATATTCAGTGCTGTTTCAAGAAATATGTGATTTCTATGAAAAGAAATACAGCTGGGTTGTAAAGTCCCTGGTAATGGGTAAGTAGGCATTAGAGGCAGCACAGATTATAATAGACATCTTGCAGCTCCTGATGTCCAAGGAGGAACTGGTGGAAGAAAGCCAAACGAAGTTAAAGGAAGTGTTCCCTACAGCTGTGCTCATGCCAGGGGCTGAGAATCTCATCGTCCACCTGCAGAAACACAGCATTCCCTTTGCCATGGCCACCAGCTCAGGGTCTGCCTCATTGGAGATGAAGGTGAGCTGACACAAGGAGTTCTTCAGCCTGTTTTCTCACATTATGCAGGGAGATGACCCCGAAGTACAGCACAGCAAGCCAGACCCCAACATCCTCCCAGCTTGTGCCAACAGGTTCTCTCCCTGTCCTCCTATGGAGAGGTGCCTTGTTTGAAGATGCTCTCAATGAGGTGGAGGCAACCCTGGCAACTGGGATGCAAGTGGTCTTCATTCTAGACAGAACCTTGAACTGAGACTTGAGGAGAAAGGCCACCCCGGTGCTGAATTCCCTGCAGGACTTCCAGCCTGAGCTGTTTGGTTTGCTCCCCTATGAGTGAGAGGGAGGGCCGCCCCCAGCCCACTCTCATGGTCCACACTGCTGGGGGAAAGGGAAAGGAAATCAACAACTCCCAAATCCCAGACTGCACAGTAATTTTAGCTTCCTAAGGTTTGCCTTTCCATCCTGTGTTGGCTTGCCCCACTCTAAAGTGTTGATGAAATGTGGCTTGACAGTTGAGAGAAACTTAGTAGAGACGAAAACAAAGCCCGGAACAAAAATCGAACTTGAATTACCATCTCAAAAACCAAGCTGATGGAGTATGTGATAAAGTGAATGTATATGCATATATATATATACACATATAGATACATATACATATATATATCTCAGTATGTTCATATGCATATAGGCATTACATGTATATGTATGTAGATATATGCATATCTGTATATGTGAGATGTATACTTTTCCAAGACAAAATGGAACATGATTTCTCTTTTGTTCTAGTTTTTCTGAAACCCCAGCTGGAAAAATGTAAACTATGTATGCATATAAGTATATGCTTCATGTGTACATACATATGTATTATATATATATTTATATCGATCATCTGCATCACTCTCCTCAGTGTTGATGTCAACATGCAATGGCAACTGACAAAGTGAGATGGTAGTTCTGGCTGGTCTGCAATCTGAGTGGGAAAGCCATGTTTCTGGTGAGCACTAAGAAATAATTATCCTTATTAGTTAACATTAAAATTCTTTTTGTGACCTCAGAATATCTCTGGATTTTCACTCATCGACTGACTCTGAGCCACATCATCTATAATTTGTTGTTAGTGTGAACACAACTGTAGCATTTATCTGGTATCTACATCGTTATCCACATTGGAGAATGTTTTCTACCTCATAATAACCATTTGCCTCATTTAAGAACACTGATTGCCTACACTTTTTGTAAAGAAATAGAATTTGATTTCAGAATGTATACTTAGTGAGACTGAGTGCCCAGGAACACTTTTGGAATCATTGATCAGACATTGCACTTCTGTGATTATTCACTTTTATAGATTTACTCAGTCTTTAGAATTTGTCTATGATTTGTCAGAGAAAAATGGTGATAGCCATGGAAATGGGGAGTGAAGAAGTGCTGCTCAGTTGTGGCTCAGCCATTCCCTGTGGCCTCTGCCCTTTGACGTCCTTGAGCTACTCTTCAGCTCTGGAAGTTGTGGACAAACCATAGGAATGCATGTGTGTGTCTGGTGGAGTGACTGTGGATGACAGGCCCTGGCTATTGATTGATTGTGCATCAATTTAGCAAATTCGCTTTCTCATTCCTTTTTTTTTTTTTTTTTTCTGAGATGGAGTCTCGCTCTGTCACCCACGCTGGAGTGCAGTGGCATGATCTCGGCTCACTGCAACCTCCGTCTCCTGGGTTCAAGCAATTATCCTGCCTCAGCGTAGCTGGGACTACAGGCATGCGCTACCACACCTGGCTAATTTTTGTATTTTTAGTAGAGACGGGGTTTCACCACCTTGGCCAGGCTAATCTCGAACTCCTGACCTCAAGTGATCCACCCGCCTGGGTCTCCCAGGAGTGCTGAGATTACAGGCATGAGCAACTGTACCCAGCCCATTTCCTCATTCCTGATGGCCTGTATACATGTCTGCACTTTGAATTCTCCTTCAAACCAGTTGTAATGTCTCACAGTTTCCCTCACAAATTGAATTAGTTTAATAACATTTTTAAACACATGTTTAAAAAAAAAAGAAGAAGAAGAAAAGATGAGTTTTCTTTCATAAGCCATTGAATACATGTGGGCAAAACCAGTTCACTTACCCTCTCCTAGGCTGATGCCCCAGGCAGTTTCCTCACTGAAGCAAATTCTGCTTATTCAAATCCTTATTTGAATAATAGTAGCAGAGGAAGTTCAGGCTGGCTCAGATGATACTCTTGGAATTGCTTTTAAGATACAGATATGAAATCAATCCCACGGCAAAAATCATTTCTCCAACCTCTATTTTTAATCTCTAAAAAACCGCACTGATCAGGCCAGTGTAGGAAGAAGTAGGATATTAATTTTAATATCAATATCCTACCAAATATTAATAGACTGCTCTTGCCTTCCTCATCCTCACTCCCACCTGTTTTGCCCCAACAATCTAGCCAATCATTCAGTACTTTCAGAAAGATTTTTAAAAATAAAATTGTACCCTCTCTCCATCTTATGGCTTATTGCTACTTCTCTCAAGTGTTCCTTTTCTACTCCATCTCTTCTTCCCAATCCTGCTATCAAAAACTGACTTCTTCTGAACTCTTACAGGGCTACTTTCTAGTCATGGCATTTGCATATAGTCTTGTATATGATAAATAAATGCAATTCATTCGCTCTTTCAATTAACAAATATTTGCTGAGGGCCTGTTCTCTGCCACTGGGAACACAACAACAAACAAAACAGAAGTGGAACCTGCTTTCGTGGAACCTGCTTTCATGGAACCTGCATCTTACTATATTCAATTTCTTTCTTCCTGAATGGATGGATGGTTGAAATCAACTTTCTCTTCTGCAAGGTCAACCCTTGAAAGGATCAAGGCAACATGGCCCTTTGCGAAAGAGTGATAAAGTCTCCACTATAGTCTGATGGTTCAACTATCTTTTTCTCAAAATATGCTTTGCCCATTCCTACTCCCCATCTTTCCTCACACTGCCTGGAATGCCTCCGTTTCACTTGGCCTGCCTGAAATCCACTCACCCTATCCAGAACAACTCCCATCTCCTCCTTGAAGACTTCCTACACCACTTCACCAAGGAGTAGTCTCTTTCTCCTTGTAGAGCACTTGCGGATTATAACTGAAAGTCACAACTACATCATACCTTCTGAATGCCTTGAATGGGTCTTTTCCAATGCTCTATACTCTTTCACCTTCCATTTATCAGGTTCTTAATGAAAGTTTTTAATTAGCTAAGTAGCAAGGCAGTGTGAACATTCATGGAACAGATGAGGATAAACTATCTAGAATGATGAACTCAGTATCTAGGGCTTGTATTCAGAGACTTTCAAAGAGTTTTGCACCTTGAAAAACACAACAAAAGAGACTTTAAAGACTAATTTTGAAATGTTGGCCCTGAAAGTATGGATTACATTTATATTAGAATAACTGAATTTTGACTTTGAGAAGTTGTAATTATTCCCCATTTGTCATATCTATAGGATGTGGTTCACTTCAAAGATCAAATTTGTGCTGCCAAAAGCATGTTTTTTCTAATTTAGGAAATACTCTCAAAGAGCTGGTTGTAGATGAGCTATTAGTGGTTCACCCTCTGCCCAGAGCTAACAGTGAGCCCACCGAGAGCCCAGAGCCAGGCTGGGTTTAGACACCCAGAGAAGAAGTACCCACAGCACTCTTTATCTGCAGATAAGCAAGAGCCTCAGAAAAAATCTGTAAAGTTCTAATCATACATCTGACAAAATAGCCAAAAGACTAACACTTATTGTACAACCACTTTAGTGACTGTTAAGGTTTTTTAAGGGTCATTTAACTTTATCACACTTAAAAAATTTTATTAAAAATGTATTAAGTGCCGAGTATCCTGCCAGGTACAATATAAGCTGAGTAAATAAAATACATTATTGTCTTCTCTTTATTTCATCTCCTTTCTCTTGGAATCAAACTTTTATTTTAAATGATTCTATGTATTTAATTTGTAATAGGTAACATATTCACATGGTTTAAATATTAAAAAGTATAAGAAAGTATACAGTAAAAAGGCACTTCCCCACCCCTCTCCCTACAGGTAACCACTGTTGTTAGGTTTGTTTGTTTGTCTAATTCTTACAAAATATTATAGCATGTACAAGGAAATACCAATATACAGTCTTATTTTTGGAATTAAACCTTTCTTACCATAACATATCCCACTTCAAATCATTGGGAGGTAGGGTGGGGTGCCTCCTGCTACCATGAACAATGCCTACAGTAGAACAGAGGGCTCAGTAAATGCTTATGGACCAAGACAGACTCACTGAGAGAAGAACCAAGAAGGACACAGCCTATTTTCTGCTTCTTTACCAATACTACTATGAACTCAATCAGATCCTCACTTGAGGGAAAGGGACACAGACCTTGACTGGTTCCCCTTGAGGTCTCTTCATCCCTGTCCTATTTCCCTACCTGAGATTAAATGGTTTTGAGAGTGGGATGGGAAAAGAGAAATTTAAAAAGAGAAGAGAAGAGGAAATAAGGAAAGGAAAGAAACTGAAAGAAAGATGCTAAGGGAGATGGGGAAGGCAGAGCTCCAGAGAAGCATGCACCACTCTGAGAGGAAGGATCAGAAGGAGGGAGACTCAACACTGCCATCCACCCTACTGCCTTGTTCCACTGCCATCCTTACTTCAGGGACAGAGTAGGATTCATGGTGCTGAAACACCCAAGATTAGGACTGAATAATTATATCATGACATGAAGCAGTTATAGGATGCCTGGACCTGAAGAAAACATTTCAAGCTAGATTGGGACAGGCCTGCCTGTGCTCTTTTCCATATTTGGGAGGCCATGGCCTTTATTCCCACACCCAAAGTATGTATTATGTGTGAAGCCTCAGTTCCAACCTTTTTATGGTATGCCTTTTTGTCAGAAGTAAAATCTCTTCAAAAACATTTTTTTTCAGTTCTTCACACAAATCCTCTTATCCCAAAGAGTAACTTACAATTCTATTAGAACCACATCTAAGTCCAAGAAAAATCTGGAATGTCACACAGCACCTCTACACTTGAGGAGCTATGGCCCTTCTTTCATATTGCAGTTGAAAACCTCTTTATAATAGACACCATAAAGCCTCTATGGCCCAGTGAAAGATACCTGCTTCCTTAATTCACAGTATTAGACAAATGATAAAAATTCATTTGTACCATTTAGTGTGTCTCCGTGAAACTGAGGAGCTGCTGGTTAGGATAAAGACACTGTTATAGAACAAAGAATACAAATCACTTGAAATCTATAACCAGTTTAACAACAAAGACAGCCAGAAGCCCTCTGCTACTCTGGGTGAGAGCAGGACCAGGCAGATGGTAGAAATGCCCTCCCTGGCACCCATGCCCAGTCACCCTGCATGGCATGATGTAAGATGAAAGCATCTGCTGACTCTCAGAGGTATAATTACCACCAGGGTGGGGGTGTAATTAAAGTAAAGGTAATTTACCTTAAAGAAGATAAAAATTAAGGATTATTAATGATCATAATAATTAGCTCTTTTATATCTAAGAATCACAAAATGCTGTACAAGCCACAATTATCACAGCTCCCCTCTGAGGAAGAGATTTGTATCTTACAGTTCCTCATTTAACAGTGGGATGAAGCAATGGGCATCAGGGAAGGCAGAGGGAGGTGGAGTACTGCCTCCTCTGTCATCTGTCCTGTAAGTGGTGAAACTAGAAAGAGGCCCCAGAAGGGCTGACTCTTATCAAGGTGAGTACCTTCATCCCAAGCCATCACGCAAACAGATAGTCCATCCCAGAACAAGTGATTCATCTCATTCTGGCCTGTTGGCCATTTAAACTGCCACAATGCAATAAAATTATATATCAGCAAGCATTTTTTAAAACATGTAGTAGAAATAAAAGATATAGCACCACCTTCAAGGAACTTAAAACCTAATTGAGAAGACAAAACAAGCTCCCATTAAACTAGAGAAGAATATGAAAATTACACATTAACTAGTACTAGATGGTATGATGCTGACTATGTATGCTGTGAGGGAAAAATTTTAATTGAAAGATCATTGCATGTAAAGGTCAAAGAAGGTTTTGGAGAGGAGATGGAACTTCTCTGGGGCCTAAAAGAAATTAGGTTTTAGACTGACAGAAGTGAGGTCCAGGAGGTGGGTCAATGAATAAAAATAAACAATAGGAAAACTTGAAAGATTTAACACATAATTTTTTTAAGAAGTCTTTGATGGTGAGGTGTTTGAAGTACCTTACATTTTTTCAAAGCCATGTAGAATCAACCTACTTTGAACATTTTCCCAGAGTGTCAACATCGTAGTTCACGTTGGGTTCTGGAGAAGTCCATTAGGCTAAAGATGACAATAGAACCTTCTCTGCTTTCTCTAAATTTTCATTCTGGAAGTTATCCAGTTGAGCTGAGTCAGGGCCTGGGCCAGGTAAATGCCACAGGATGTCAAATCTATTCTCTTCTTTTCCTGGGTTCTAACAGGAAGAAATAGGAAATGGGCCCTTGAATGAGATAAAGACCAGGAAAATCTAATACTCTTAGTCCTTTATGTGTTTGTTTGTTAATCCAGCAAAGCCCCACCCCTAAAGATTTCAAAAGTGACAAGCCTTCATATTGATATAATATTAAAGCATCTAAGTGATATAAATTTTATTTTCTTTTTTCAATTCTTCTGTAATAAAGAACTCAAGTCTCAACGTCTAGTGCCAGGATAATACTATAGCTATGCTCTGGACTGATAAAGAAGGGCATTCTTGTAGAAATGGAGCAGGGGCACCTGGGTCATTCCTGGGCCAGTCAGTAGTATTCTCTGACCTTTCAGTGTCTCAGTCTCCAGTCTTAAAAAACAGTGATATTGGAGCTTTTTTAATGGAGCTATTTCAGATTATAATAATATTTTTATTTTTTAATGGTCCACAGTAAAGGAACACTACTACATTACAAGAATTCCCAGTTGGTCTTAACTAAAAATAGACTGAACCAATTTGTTAGGATTTGATATAATTTTCTACATTCTTTAGCATTTACCAACATTTTGAAACACTAGAAAGCTATGGAAACTATTTCCCTGTCCAAACCTTATGTCACAGACTCCTTTTAAAATGATATTCTCAAATAATGACAGTGTGTAAAATAAAAGAACATTATGTAGCAATGAAGCTACTTCACCAGGAGAATTTCAAACTTGATTTTGGATTTAGCATATGAATCTACTTTACAATCTTTCTGATGATGGACCAAGAGCAGGAAGGGAGGCCAATTCTCTTAGGTTTATGCAGGTTTTTAAATATTTTCCCTTATACTGAACTGACTTTAAATAAAAGTGGGTAGGAGAACCATCACTGAATTTAAGATCTAGCTTCATTCAGAGAGGAGAAAGGGTTTTTCTGTTATAATAAATGCAATTTGGGGTATTTTTTCAAGGCTGTTCAAAAGCATGGTGATGGGGGGAATTGCCATTCTAACTATAATTTTAGAATGGTTAATGCTACTTTTCCCTTTATTTTCATGGAACCTAAAAATTTCCAGTTCCCTTTAGGGTTTATTCACTATAGGAAAGTAATGGAGTCATGTAAATGCATCCCATCACCTGAACTGAGGTTTCCCAATAGATCACACACAGGAGGATACAAACAAAAGCAGACATAAGGCAGTCCTTGCCCAGGTTATTCCTTGAAGAACACTCATACAAAAGGCTAGTGCCCTCTGTGAGAGAGTGAGCTTCCATGATCACATGATTGCAGTGTGGTCAGTGCTTATGATGGTCCTATCTCAGAATCCAAAGAGTAAGAGAGCTGCATAAAACCCTAAAAAGAAGGGGAAAAATGAGAAGTCTTCACCCTTCACCAAGGAATTGCCACATCAAGTTTGTTAACTGAGCCCAAGAAATAGTGACAGTTCTGACAGTCCTAGGAAAACCACTAAATTGTAGACTTCAGTGTTGAAGTCCTTAAGAGGCAGAAATTAGCATTGCTTATAATTGTCTTCCCATTCCCTGTCACTTCTACCTTCCTCTGTACCCCACATCTAGGATGGCAGCAAGTGAGGGGGCAAATAGAGTTCAACTCCATTATCATTTAGACCAATCTGCACATAAAGAAATAGCCATCAAGATTTAGATTCCAAATTTTCACTCATGCCATTGAAGGACGTTCAGTTGCCTCAAAATTCAGAAAACCAACACTTGCCTCTGTTGGACAAAGGAGGAGACAAAAGTGCAGAGAAGCCATTGAATCATTTAATAGTCTTCATAAATTATGAACCAAAGTTTCATATAGTCTGAAATGTAAGGAAGGAAGTCACTGACAACCATGGATAAAATCCAATTCCTTACAATAAAACAGCACTGAAATTTGCAAATGATCAACCAGATTGAGAAAGCCCTGATGGATATAATGGGCTAGAATGACCAATTACCTCAATGTACTTCCAGGAGAAGCAGACTCAAGTGTTTAGGTGTCATAATCATTAGTAACTTAGGCTGAGCAGGATGATTATATCTACAATAATACATTACACCAGCTCTTTTTCCCCAGGGGCATCAATATGCTAATGAGAAAACTAATGAACAAACTTCATTTAGGTTTAATGTCTCTAAGAATGAAATTTCACAGATTTCAAGTTTTCTTATGAACGGTTTAATAAAAATATATTTCCAAGGTACCCTTCCAAACTTTACTGAGGAGGCAGTCCCCAATCTGTAGGAAAACCATCATAAGACCCGGGAGACAAATGTAAAAATTTTTCCCACCTGCATTTTTAGAGAAGAAACTAACCAATTCTTTACAGCTCTCTCATTGCCCTAGAATTGAAGCAACTGCTTCTGGCAGGGCTTATGAGCAGCTCACCATGGACTGTCACATCCCATGGAGAAATTAATTGGTTTTCATCACTTTATTTCAAAGTTTCTGCTTAATCCCAAACTAGAGATTGTATCTTTTATAAAGCAAATGGCTTAGAGTTTACTCCTTTGTAATGAAGTAATAATCAATTAAGATTGTGAACATTTAATACCTTTGTTTTATTATTTAATTTACTTTTAACAATTTAAGAAAATTGGAGATTCTGCCAAATATTCTACCCTCCCATGTTAGGTGGGGCTGGTACCCTGACTGTCAGGAGGCAAGGTCTGTGAACCTCGTGCCAAATAGCTACGTGAGCAAATAGTGAGATAAACAAGCCATTTGTGGAGACAGAGGTGGAGCTGGGCTTGGTTAGGAATGAATCAGGCCATCCCACAGAGTGGGTGTCTCCTTCCCAAGTTGCTTTCCAGGGCACAATTAAAACCCCTATAAAAGGCCCAGCTCCCAGTTACCCAGTACACTTGCCTGTGGTGTCAGCAAGCACTGTCGACTTCTTCCTCTGGTGAAGTGGGTAAGTCCCATTCTGTGGGATCGTGGTCTTCTTTATGATTCTCCATTTTTATAGCTATTTCAGATGTTGGGATATGGGGGGAGGTTCCATGTGCCAGAAGGTATCAGTATTTTGCAGGGATAAATAAACTATCACTAACTCTATCCCATCTTCTTATGGTTGGAGCCATCACTTGAACTGAAGCATGACCCTTCTCCTTGGGCTCTGAACTCTATACTTCTGCACATCAAGGATGATCATGTGTGGCTCTGATAGGGTTCATCTTCCTAAAAACTGCTATCTCAAAAGTTTGCCAGCCTTCTGTTCTCTTTTACATTGGTTCTACCTAATATGGGCCATCTTCATACAGTCACAGCATTTAAGGTACTGGAGTTGAGAAGTACATAAAGAAGTCAGCTAGATGAACGACTACACTTATCCCACCAGCAAAGCCATTCCATGTATTCTTATAACATTGATCTACTGCTGGCTAATGTTTTATAAAAAGCCAAGATTCCAATGATGCATTTGGGTTTAACAAAACCAATATCATTCACAGTTTTCTGGATTCCGTTTGGTTTAGAAAGGACCTCTCAGAAGCTTTCAATACTTCAATATCCGAATATCTTACTATATCTGAGTTGAGGCAGGTAATATACAGTCTCTGTTTTCTGCATTTGTGTATCTGAATGTTACAATGCCATCTTTTGACTAGGAAGAAGTACTATTTAATCTTAGAATTGCTGACTTACAAATTATATTCTATAAGAGTTCCTAAATCCTTTATGGACTGTAATGTTGAGGAATCATTCATATTCCCTTTTCATTGTTCTATTTTCTACCAACTGTTTTGCTGACATGGCCTCTATCCACTTTAAGATACTCTCAAGTCTTCCTTCACCTTTTGGCTTTTACCTGTCCTCTTCGCTCAACTTTAAAGGAAGGTGTGTAGACATATATAAAATTTTAATTTCTGCACTCTTCTCTTAATTTTCTACTCTGAAATACGGTGGAGAGCTGGAAGAAAGACAGAAGAAAAGGGCATAGATAATCCACATTGGGTGGACAATCAAAAGCTGACAACAGGATAGTCTGAAGATGATTCCCTGGCTTGGAATTTCTCAGGATCGCTCTTTCTCTTTCTGATACAATATTCAAATATTAAAGTGCTCTGAAAGTCCAGGTTGAAATTACCGCTATAAATTCAAATTATTTAGGGATCTGCCTGAAATAGTGTGAATGAAGCCTTCCCAAAAGCAGAAACGGGATTTTGATTCTGGATCTTATTTTATTGTTCTAGGTTTACTTGAACTTGAAGGAAAGAAAAAAAAATGTCTCCACTTCTGAGAAGCATCTGTGACATCACTGAAATTTTCAATCAGTATGTCTCTCATGATTGTGATGGAGCAGCATTAACTAAGAAAGACCTGAAGAACCTCCTTGAAAGGGAATTTGGAGCTGTGCTTCGGGTAAGAACTAACAAGAAAATGAGATCTATTGACTTGAGGCTATGAGATTTATTCTCAGAGGAGACCAGAGCAAGGAATGGTGGTTTTATATTCATTTTACACCACAACAGGTCTACACTACATCCCCCATTCATTTCTGAGTCAAAAGGTACTTACTTGACATTGTAGTCTGAATAATAAAGTATTTCATGTACTTGATGGCATGGCCATGTGAATGAGCTCTTCATGGGACATTACCACAAAAGATGTCAAATCACACTAGACTTGGAGGAACTTAAATTTGTTTCCAAATTTCAAAACTGAGATCAGCCTGATCTCTATTAAAATGGTGCTACCCGTAAATGTTTTGTTCTGTTTTCTAATATGGAATAGAAACCAAATCAAGAATACTGGCTGCTTCAGACAGAAATGGCTACTGCAAATCCTCATAAATTTCTATTGTATCTCTCTCAAGGATGAGTTCATTCTTTCTCAATTAAAGCGAACTTGTGTTATTCTTTCTTGATGTTGAGTAGCTTTGTTAATTTTACACACAAGTTCACGATGCTGTTTTGAATCTTCACCTCAGGCTCTGCCTCTAAGGTGCGTAGGCTTACCTGCTATTCTACTTTGTGTCTCTCTTCCTGCTTCCTTAGGTTTGATCAGCACTAAATTACGAGATGTAAAAATTTCAAACGAATATATGCTTTAAAGTGAGGGTTCACATTTTACATGGGGACAAAACTTGATACACACTGGACATTTTTCTAATTGCTCTGAATGTCTCTTGAATGTCAGCATAGCATAAAATATATCATGTGTGAATATAATTTTACCACCTGTAAATAGTGCATTGTAAAATTTTTGTTTTCACCATTTTTATAGAGACCACATGACCCTAAGACGGTAGATCTGATCCTGGAACTTCTGGATCTTGACAGTAATGGGCGTGTCGATTTCAACGAATTCCTCCTATTTATTTTCAAAGTGGCTCAAGCTTGTTACTATGCTCTCGGCCAGGCCACGGGACTGGATGAGGAGAAGCGAGCCCGGTGTGACGGAAAGGAGAGCCTGTTACAAGATCGCAGGCAAGAAGAAGACCAAAGGAGATTCGAGCCCCGGGACAGACAACTGGAAGAAGAACCTGGGCAACGACGCAGGCAGAAGAGGCAGGAACAGGAGAGGGAGCTAGCTGAGGGAGAGGAGCAAAGTGAGAAACAAGAGCGACTTGAACAGCGCGACAGGCAGCGCCGCGACGAGGAGCTGTGGCGGCAAAGGCAAGAATGGCAAGAACGGGAAGAGCGCCGTGCAGAGGAAGAGCAGCTGCAGAGTTGCAAAGGTCACGAAACTGAGGAGTTTCCAGACGAAGAGCAACTGCGAAGGCGGGAGCTGCTGGAGCTGAGGAGGAAGGGCCGCGAGGAGAAACAGCAGCAAAGGCGAGAGCGGCAAGACAGAGTGTTCCAGGAGGAAGAAGAGAAAGAGTGGAGGAAGCGCGAGACAGTGCTCCGGAAGGAAGAAGAGAAGTTGCAGGAAGAGGAGCCGCAGCGGCAAAGAGAGCTCCAGGAGGAAGAAGAGCAGCTACGGAAGCTGGAGCGGCAAGAGCTGAGGAGGGAGCGCCAGGAGGAAGAGCAGCAGCAGCAAAGGCTGAGGCGCGAGCAGCAACTAAGGCGCAAGCAGGAGGAGGAGAGGCGCGAGCAGCAGGAGGAGAGGCGCGAGCAGCAGGAGAGGCGCGAGCAGCAGGAGGAGAGGCGCGAGCAGCAGCTGAGGCGCGAGCAGGAGGAGAGGCGCGAGCAGCAGCTGAGGCGCGAGCAGGAGGAGGAGAGGCGCGAGCAGCAGCTGAGGCGCGAGCAGGAGGAGGAGAGGCGCGAGCAGCAGCTGAGGCGCGAGCAGCAGCTGAGGCGCGAGCAGCAGCTGAGGCGCGAGCAGCAGCTGAGGCGCGAGCAGCAGCTGAGGCGCGAGCAGCAGCTGAGGCGCGAGCAGCAGCTGAGGCGCGAGCAGCAGCTGAGGCGCGAGCAGCAGCTGAGGCGCGAGCAGGAGGAGGAGAGGCACGAGCAGAAGCACGAGCAGGAGAGGCGCGAGCAGCGGCTGAAGCGCGAGCAGGAGGAGAGGCGCGATTGGCTGAAGCGCGAGGAGGAGACGGAGAGGCACGAGCAGGAGAGGCGCAAGCAGCAGCTGAAGCGCGACCAGGAGGAGGAGAGGCGCGAACGTTGGCTGAAGCTCGAGGAGGAGGAGAGGCGCGAGCAGCAGGAGAGGCGCGAGCAGCAACTAAGGCGGGAGCAAGAGGAGAGGCGCGAGCAGCGGCTGAAGCGCCAGGAGGAGGAAGAGAGGCTCCAGCAGCGGTTGAGGAGCGAGCAACAACTAAGACGCGAGCAGGAGGAGAGGCGCGAGCAGCTGCTGAAGCGCGAGGAGGAGAAGAGGCTCGAGCAGGAGAGGCGAGAGCAGCGGCTGAAGCGCGAGCAGGAGGAGAGGCGCGATCAGCTGCTGAAGCGCGAGGAGGAGAGGCGCCAGCAGCGGCTGAAGCGCGAGCAGGAAGAGAGGCTCGAGCAGCGACTGAAGCGCGAGGAGGTGGAGAGACTCGAGCAGGAGGAGAGGCGCGAGCAGCGGCTGAAGCGCGAGGAGCCGGAGGAAGAGAGGCGCCAGCAGCTGCTGAAGAGCGAGGAGCAGGAGGAGAGGCGCCAGCAGCAACTAAGGCGCGAGCAGCAGGAAAGGCGCGAGCAGCGGCTGAAGCGCGAGGAGGAGGAAGAGAGGCTCGAGCAGCGGCTGAAGCGCGAGCATGAGGAAGAGAGGCGCGAGCAGGAGCTAGCTGAGGAGGAGCAGGAACAGGCCCGGGAGCGGATTAAGAGCCGCATCCCGAAGTGGCAGTGGCAGCTAGAAAGCGAGGCCGACGCACGGCAAAGCAAAGTCTACTCGAGGCCCCGCAAGCAGGAAGGGCAGAGGCGCCGCCAAGAGCAGGAGGAAAAGAGGCGGCGCCGGGAGAGTGAGCTGCAATGGCAGGAGGAGGAACGGGCTCACCGGCAGCAGCAGGAAGAGGAGCAGCGCCGGGACTTCACATGGCAGTGGCAGGCGGAGGAAAAGAGCGAGAGGGGCCGTCAGAGGCTGTCGGCCAGGCCCCCATTGCGGGAGCAGCGGGAGAGGCAGCTGAGGGCCGAGGAGCGCCAGCAGCGGGAACAACGGTTTCTCCCGGAGGAGGAGGAGAAGGAGCAGCGGCGCCGCCAGCGACGCGAGAGGGAGAAAGAGCTGCAGTTCCTGGAGGAAGAGGAGCAGCTCCAGCGGCGGGAGCGTGCCCAACAGCTCCAGGAGGAGGAGGACGGCCTCCAGGAGGATCAGGAGAGGAGGCGAAGCCAGGAGCAGCGCCGCGACCAAAAATGGAGGTGGCAACTAGAAGAAGAAAGGAAGAGACGCCGCCACACGCTGTACGCCAAGCCAGCCCTACAAGAGCAGCTGAGGAAGGAACAGCAGCTGCTGCAGGAGGAGGAGGAGGAGCTACAGAGAGAGGAGCGCGAGAAGAGAAGGCGCCAAGAACAGGAGAGACAATACCGCGAGGAAGAGCAGCTGCAGCAGGAGGAAGAGCAGCTGCTGAGAGAGGAACGGGAGAAAAGAAGACGCCAGGAGCGGGAAAGGCAATATCGGAAGGATAAGAAGCTGCAGCAGAAGGAAGAGCAGCTGCTGGGAGAGGAACCGGAGAAGAGAAGGCGCCAGGAGCGGGAGAAAAAATACCGCGAGGAAGAGGAGTTGCAGCAGGAGGAAGAGCAGCTGCTGAGAGAGGAACGGGAGAAGAGAAGGCGCCAGGAGTGGGAGAGGCAGTACCGCAAAAAAGACGAGCTGCAGCAGGAAGAAGAGCAGCTGCTGAGAGAGGAACGGGAGAAAAGAAGACTCCAGGAGCGGGAGAGGCAATATCGGGAGGAAGAGGAGCTGCAGCAGGAGGAAGAGCAGCTGCTGGGAGAGGAACGGGAGACGAGAAGGCGCCAGGAGCTGGAGAGGCAATATCGGAAGGAAGAGGAGCTGCAGCAGGAGGAAGAGCAGCTGCTGAGAGAGGAACCGGAGAAGAGAAGGCGCCAGGAGCGGGAGAGGCAATGTCGGGAGGAAGAGGAGCTGCAGCAGGAGGAAGAGCAGCTGCTGAGAGAGGAACGGGAGAAGAGAAGGCGCCAGGAGCTGGAGAGGCAATATCGGGAGGAAGAGGAGGTGCAGCAGGAGGAAGAGCAGCTGCTGAGAGAGGAACCGGAGAAGAGAAGGCGCCAGGAGCTGGAGAGGCAATACCGCGAGGAAGAGGAGCTGCAGCAGGAGGAAGAGCAGCTGCTGAGAGAGGAACAGGAGAAAAGGCGCCAGGAGCGGGAGAGGCAGTATCGGGAGGAGGAAGAGCTTCAGCGCCAGAAAAGGAAGCAGCGATACCGGGATGAGGATCAGCGCAGTGATCTGAAATGGCAGTGGGAACCAGAAAAAGAAAATGCAGTTCGTGATAACAAGGTTTACTGCAAAGGCAGAGAGAATGAACAGTTCCGGCAGTTGGAAGATTCCCAGCTGCGCGACAGACAATCCCAGCAAGATCTGCAGCACCTGCTGGGTGAACAGCAAGAGCGAGATCGTGAGCAAGAGAGGAGGCGCTGGCAGCAGCGCGACAGGCATTTCCCAGAGGAAGAACAGCTGGAGCGAGAAGAGCAAAAGGAAGCCAAAAGGCGCGACAGGAAGTCCCAAGAGGAAAAGCAGTTGCTGAGAGAGGAAAGAGAAGAGAAGAGACGCCGTCAAGAGACAGACAGAAAATTCCGCGAGGAGGAACAGCTGCTCCAGGAAAGGGAGGAACAGCCGCTGCGCCGCCAAGAGCGTGACAGAAAATTCCGCGAAGAGGAACTGCGCCATCAGGAACAAGGGAGAAAATTCCTCGAGGAGGAACAGCGGCTGCGCCGCCAGGAACGGGAGAGAAAATTCCTTAAGGAGGAACAGCAGCTGCGCTGCCAGGAGCGCGAGCAACAGCTGCGTCAGGACCGCGACAGAAAATTCCGCGAGGAGGAACAGCAGCTGAGCCGCCAAGAGCGTGACAGAAAATTCCGTGAAGAGGAACAGCAGGTGCGCCGCCAGGAACGAGAGAGAAAATTCCTGGAGGAGGAACAGCAGCTGCGCCAGGAGCGTCACAGAAAATTCCGCGAAGAGGAACAGCTGCTCCAGGAAAGGGAAGAACAGCAGCTGCACCGCCAAGAGCGTGACAGAAAATTCCTGGAGGAGGAACAACAGCTGCGCCGCCAAGAGCGTGACAGAAAATTCCGCGAACAGGAACTGCGCAGTCAGGAACCAGAGAGAAAATTCCTCGAGGAGGAACAGCAGCTGCACCGCCAGCAACGGCAGAGAAAATTCCTCCAGGAGGAACAGCAGCTGCGCCGCCAGGAGCGCGGGCAACAGCGGCGTCAGGACCGTGACAGAAAATTCCGCGAGGAGGAACAGCTGCGCCAGGAGAGGGAGGAACAGCAGCTGAGCCGCCAAGAGCGTGACAGAAAATTCCGTTTAGAGGAACAGAAAGTGCGCCGCCAGGAACAAGAGAGAAAATTCATGGAGGACGAACAGCAGCTGCGCCGCCAGGAGGGCCAACAACAGCTGCGCCAGGAGCGCGACAGAAAATTCCGCGAAGACGAACAGCTGCTCCAGGAAAGGGAAGAACAGCAGCTGCACCGCCAAGAGCGTGACAGAAAATTCCTCGAGGAGGAACCGCAGCTGCGCCGCCAGGAGCGCGAACAACAGCTGCGTCACGACCGCGACAGAAAATTCCGTGAAGAGGAACAGCTGCTCCAGGAAGGGGAGGAACAGCAGCTGCGCCGCCAAGAGCGTGACAGAAAATTCCGCGAAGAGGAACAGCAGCTCCGCCGTCAGGAACGAGAGAGAAAATTCCTCCAGGAGGAACAGCAGCTGCGCCGCCAGGAACTGGAGAGAAAATTCCGTGAGGAGGAACAGCTGCGCCAAGAAACGGAGCAAGAGCAGCTGCGCCGCCAAGAACGCTACAGAAAAATCCTAGAGGAAGAGCAGCTCCGTCCGGAAAGGGAAGAACAGCAGCTGCGCCGCCAGGAGCGCGACAGAAAATTCCGCGAGGAGGAACAGCTCCGCCAGGAGAGGGAGGAACAGCAGCTGCGCAGCCAAGAGTCTGACAGAAAATTCCGCGAGGAGGAACAGCTACGCCAGGAGAGGGAAGAACAGCAGCTGCGCCCCCAACAGCGTGACGGAAAGTATCGCTGGGAAGAAGAGCAGCTCCAACTTGAGGAACAAGAGCAGAGGCTGCGGCAGGAGCGAGACCGGCAGTACCGGGCGGAGGAGCAGTTTGCCACGCAGGAGAAGAGTCGTCGTGAGGAACAAGAACTATGGCAAGAAGAGGAGCAGAAACGTCGCCAGGAACGGGAAAGGAAATTACGGGAAGAACACATCCGCCGCCAGCAGAAGGAGGAACAGAGGCACCGCCAAGTCGGGGAGATAAAATCCCAAGAAGGGAAGGGCCATGGGCGGCTTCTGGAGCCCGGCACTCATCAGTTTGCCAGTGTCCCAGTGCGCTCCAGCCCTCTCTATGAGTACATCCAAGAGCAGAGATCTCAATACCGCCCTTAAGTGATGTTGCCAATATCTTGACACCTGCCAAAGCTTCGAGCACGGGAAAATGAGAAACACTGGGTACCAAGTGATAACTCAGATGTTTCTGGTTGTGGGAAAACTCTCTGATATTAGAATGTCTTTTCTTCCAAAATCTTAAACTACGCTCATTTTACGCACTTTGTACTTCTGCTTTTTATTCTTCCTCAAGTAGTTCTTTACTGCAAGATGTCTTTCTTTTGCTCTTTGATGCAGATGTGGTGTGCATTTAAAAAAAATATAAATCATTTAATTTGTTTAAGAAATTTTGTTTGAGGAACATGTTCATTTATTGCTTTCAGAAGTAACAAGAGTAATAGGATGATTTGAGATTCTAAACAATGGGTCGGTTTGTTTAATGACTGACCCATCTTGTGGAAAGTGCAGATACTTTTAATGTTCAAGTTGCTATTTCTTCTTGAACCTAAATTGATCATTGCCTCCAAACAGCATTTCATCTTTTGTGGCATAGTTAGCACAAATTCCAGGTAACTAAATTTTTATAACCCTTGAATAGTGCAGGGGGAGTGACCTCTGCATAAAAACTTCCTGTAAAATCAGCCCATTACTGGAAGAAATATCTGTTAAGAATAGGTTTAGCTTTGAAGATTTAGAATTTAAATTAGATTTTTTTTAAACTCAACTCCACTTAAACACATAATCTCATGAAGAAATAATGAGGTGTTTCTCAACTTCAGAGTTCAAATTTTAAAACTGTGTCTGTTGTAGTCTATAGTGTTCATTCTACTTCCCCAAGTTTTGATGAGTTTCAGAATATTATGAACCTTTGTTAATTTTAGCTTGTTAGAAGGAAGCTGCTCAGAATCCCATAAACATCTGTCTTACTCTAGGGCCAATAAGAGATCACATAGAGCATGTTGGGGGTGTAAAAGGGAAAAATGTGTGAACATAGGGGCAAATTTCTAGAGGCCCTTTGACAAGACCCATTTGCCCACAATCATTTGAGGCCTATTGATAATACCTTAGATATATTCTTGTTGAAATAATTGGACTGTGAAAAATTAATAATAAATGTTTGGCAAGTAACTACTTTTGTCTGTTTTAACTCTGCGTCAATCATAACAAGATCTCATTGTCTGGAAACTAACACAAGTTCCCAATCACATAAGGGCATTTTGTTACTTATCTATGTCCAAATACGAAAAAAGAGGGGAGAGAATTCTTTGTTTTTCCCCAACCTTTTTTTTTTTTTTTTTTTTTTTTTTTTTTGCAGTTAGGCTGAACTCTATTTCCATCCCCACACTGAGATTGCCTTCCAGAGTGTTTTTGTTCTTGACCCCACAGCTTTCTATGCCATTTCTTGCAGCGACTCACTGGTCATGACAAATACTGGTGCTCCCAATATTTGTTAATATTTCCTTTAGAGAATGCAGCAGCTTCTTAGTCTCTGATGTCTGATGAGCCAATGATAGAAAATGGCCTGAAACTTCAGATCAGCACTATAAAAACTGTAGATGTCCTGTTAATTTAAGCAACATAATCCATGAGGTGACTGAGTCAGAAGGTACTTAATAGTAATCAGGCTGAAGTATCAAATTATTATCTTGTTAGATAATAATTTATTAGATAATAACAAACACGCCTGTGCTGCCTGCTGGATTCTTATTTTTAGTATTCATAGTTTACTAACTAGAAATAAGCCCAAGAAGGCCCTGATCAAAACAATGTCATTTCTAAGATCATGATGAGAAGATGCCCTAAAGTTATAGTCACTCAACATTTTGATCAGTGGTGGAGACAAGCTAGGCTTATGGCTCCTGAGTATCATTCTGATAGAGTAAGATGGCATTTTCTTCAAGAAGCACAGCTTCTCTCTCTCTCACTTTAACAAATGGCAGATGCCCACCAAAGACATAACCTGGGAATCCCCTGACATTGTCTTGGAATTTCATCTCTTTCAAATGATTTCTAACTGCAAAACTATTTTTCCCCTAAAGTATACTCTTTTTCTTACTTAAGCACCTTCAAAGAAATTCTGGAAGAGCTTCACTGACTTTCCTCAGGACCCTCTATGGGTACTCATTCAAGAGCCTCCTTATAAATGCCCAACCTCAGGATACCACTGAAATATACACTTCATCAGCTAAGCTACAGTTTAACAATGATAATTATGGTAAAAATAAGCAAAGCCCTGGGGACTTGTAGCACTTTACAAGAAGGTAAAGCCAATTTCCAAAGAAGAAAGTATTGTTTCATCACAGTTATAATAACATGTAGTTTAAAAAAAAATGTGTCAGCCAGCCCGTGCCCTCTAGCTGTTATTTTAGCATGCTGGCAGGAGAACATGCAGGCCAAGCCTCCTGCTCCACCTGAATGATACACATGCATTTGCAGAACCTGGAGGCTGTTGGGCAATTGCCTACTTAATTATAAACTGGGAACTCTATTAGCATCACTTAGGCTGCTGCTGGGGAACGCAATCAAGAGTTTAATATGCAGTGATAGAAAAGCTGGTCTCTATGTGTTGTGACCTCCCAACCCCCACAGAGGTTCACGTGTTGAAGTCTTAACCCTCAGTACCTCAGAATGTAATCATATTTGAAGATATGGTATTTATAGAGGTAATTAAATTAAAATGAGGTTATTAGTTTGGGCCCTAATCCAATATGACTGATGTCCTTATAAGAAGATGAAATTTGGACACAAACATGGACAGAGAGAAGATGATGTTAAGATACAGGGAGAAGATGGCCATCGACAAGCTAAGGATATAATCCTAGAACAGGTCCTTCCCTCATGGCCCTCTCAAGAAACCAGCTCAGGCAACACCTTGATCTTGGACTTCTAGATCCCAGAATTGTGAGAAAATAAATTTCTGTTGTTCAAGCCACCTAGTCTATGGTACCTTGCTATGACAGCCCTAGCAAACTAATACAATATGTATCAGTAAGATGGCATTATGTTGCTAGGTAAGCCTATCTGTATCATGATGATCATTATCCTTTGACATTGTGCAAGCAGGTTCTGGTTGCTCAAATATAAATCGTTTTCCCATTAAATCTGCCATAATTTATATGGTAGAGTAGAAAGAATGCTACAAGGAATCAAAAGCCTTGGGTTTATTCATTTATTCACTCAATAAGTATTTATTGAGCTCCTGCTATGTGCCAGGCATTGTTCCAGGCAGTATACATACAGTGGCTTGTTTCTTCACTTTACTATCTGTATGTCCTTGTCCAAGCCACTTAAGGTTTCTGGGCCTTCATTATTTTGTATTTAAAACTATGAGGCTGGAATAGCTATCACCAAGGTTATTCTCAGGACTGAAAATAAAATTATTTTAATACCAGCATTCAGCTTGTTCAATAGAAACTCTCAAAGAAACTCAAATAATGCCTAACATCAACTTCTACCTTTAGCTAACACACACAAAAAAAGGAAAAAATAAATGACTGATGAAAGTGATTATCAGAGCCTAGTTCCGGCTTCAAAGATCTTCCCTTCCTGCCCAATCACCTTTGAACTTCCCTCCATTTGTCTCCCAAACCCCTTCCCAGAGCCCCCTCCTATCATCCCACATTTATTCACTGAGGGAAAATACCCTAAACCTACCCCATTTTCTTTGACCCTGGTACTACCAAAGATCATTGTCCCTCTATTTATGAACTTGACATATACATTTAATTATTCTCTTTCTTTTCTGAAGAGAAAACTAAACTGAGTTCTAGAATTGGGTCCCACTCAAACTAAAATTCAGTAGTCAGTACTTAAGTACTGTAAGCACCCACCTCTGCTCCATCTTCTGCACTAATTGCACATTGCTAATATTTGCATTGTCATGGTAATTATAAGTTTTTTCAGCAAGTATACTCTGTCAAATATTATAATCTATGCAATATGTAATAAGCACTTTTCCCTTGTTAGTAAAGAGCTGACAGTCACATGCCATGATCTGAAACTAACCCAAAAGATAGATTTTTGAGCAGGTTATCATTTTCTGAACCCTTAAAACATCCATGACAGGAATTCAAATAACAAAAGATTTTAAAAATCTGATTTGTCACCACTCTTCTTTTAAAAAAAATTGTGTGGCAATTTCTGCAAGATAAAATCCAAGATTTTCAGTTTGGAATTTAAGGCCCTCCACTATTTAGTGTCAATTCACCTTTTAAACCCTGGCTCCCATGATAACTTCTGCAGCCAAGAATGTGCTCAAACCAGACTAGTCTATTTGTTGTCATTATGATGCCTTATGATTGTCTTTACTTCAAGGACATATTGGCATACTTTTATCTATTTGAAGTGCTTCTCTCCTTCCTGGCTATCTGGACAATTTCTATGCAGTTTATAAGACCTAGGCTGAGTCCCACCTCCTCCCTAAAATCTTTCCCTAATCACTCTGACACACAATGATCTCTCTCTTCATTGAGATTCTAAGACAAACATCTATTATCTTCACTACTCATTAATTGGTTACAATATTTTGCCTTAGTTGGCTTTATACTTTTTTTTATTTCAATAAGTTTTTGGGAAACAGTTGGTGTTACTAGTTGGAGTTTTGTTCTTGCTGCCCAGGCTGGAATGCAACGGCATGGTCTGCGTTCACTGCAACCTCCGCCTCCCAGGTTCAAGCGATTCTCCTGTCTCAGCCTCTCGAGTAGCTGAGATTACAGGAGCCCACCAGGCCCAGCTAATTTTTGTATTTTTAGTAGAGATGGGGTTTCGTCATATTGATCAGGCTGGTCTGAAACACCTGACCTCAGGTGATCCGCCTGCCTCAGCCTCCCAATGTGCTGGGATTACAGGCGTGAGCCACCATGCCTGGCTGAAGCTTTCCTAACTTCATGCTAAAATATGACTCAAGGACTCATGAGAATTAGATGCACAATGCAGACACTCAATAGATACATATTAAATGAGTGAACTAATATATCCTTTATAGCTCTTTTCTGTTGAGGGCCTCTATTGCCTATCTGTGAAATATGCAGCCCTCCCTTCTGAATATTGAATCCCTAAGTCCTTTCTTGTATCTTGAAAATTCCTCAACCTTGGGCATTACTGAGGCATTATTTCTTCTCCATCTATTTAAGTTCTACCTGGGAATTACAGTGAGCACTGGTCTTAGCATCTGTCAGTGCCCCTTAGTGGGATGAGAATGCAGGCATAGGTGGAGGGAAAGATGAGTTCTTGTCCCATGTATTGTTGGGGTGTGGGTGAAGTGAGAAACAGAAGTGAGATTTTAACTCCAGGTTGTGGCTGGTTTTCTCATGCACTTGAGTTCAAATGCAATTCATTACTATGAGGATTATTTTCCTTATGAAAGCCTCCTTTTCTGGTATATATATGTCAATTTTATTCCTCCTATTAACATTACTTTGACCCTATTTCTTATGAAATAATAACCTTGGTCTTATGCTAAGAGTACACTTGCCTCCCTTTTTCCCTGGAGCACCTTACAAAATGTCTTCACATTTGCTTTTTTTTTTTCTTTTACAGGGTCTCGCTTTGTCACCCAGGCTGGAGTGCAGTGGCATGATCTCAGCTCACTGCAAACTCCGCCTCCCGGGTTCAACAGATTCTTGTGCCTCAGCTTCCCGAGTAGCTGGGATTACACCTGGCTAATTTTTGTATTTTTAGTAGAGACAGATTTTGCCATGTTAGCCAGGCTGGTCTCGAACTCCTGGCCTCAAGTGATATGCCCACCTCGGCCTCCCAAAGTGTTGGGATTACAGGCATGAGCCACTGCACCTGGCCACATTAGCTTTAACATGTGGACCATGACCAAGTCAATCCCCAGGTTTCATCCCTGACCATATGTAAAGAGGAGATGGGTAGAAGTAGGCTAGTGAGATGAATTTCACACCATCTTGCTACGAATGCAATGGTCAGAGAAGCTCAGAGTTAATAACAACAGAAATATCTAACTCAGTTTAGCGGGGTCAACAAAGGCTTCCCTAAGGTAACTGGTGTTAAAGCTGAAACCTGAGGATAGGGAGGAAGTTACCCTGGTGAACAGGAAAAGAAAGAGTGAAATTAAGTCCGGAGGCAAGAGAAAGCACATTGGGTTCAAGGAAGTAAGCATTAAATCTGACTAGAACCTAGAATACCAAGAGATACATGGAAAACATGAAGTTAGCAAGGTTTATGAGGGCCTTGCAAACCATATTAAGTTTATCTTGAGGGCAACAAAAAATCATTGTCATTTTAAGCAGCGAAGTGATTAACCAGATTGACAGTTTATGAGGATCACTCAGGCTGCAGTGTGGAGAATGGGTTGGAGAGGGTCACAACGGAAACAAGGAAAACATTAGAAGGCTATTACAGTAGTTCCATAAGAGACAATGATGGCCCAGCTAGGATAGTGGGGGTGGGGAAAGAGAGCAATGAATATATTCGAGAATTAAAATCAGTAGAAGTTGGTAATATATTGAAGAGATGATGGAGAGAAGGAGATAAAAGATGATATTAGATTTATAGTTGGGGAAACTGAGTGGATAGTGGTGTCATCACTGAGATGAAAGCACAAAGGAGGCTCACTGTAGTGAGAGGAGATGACAAATTCAGTTTTACCTACACTGAGTTGGAGGTGCCTTTGAGGCTTCAAAAACTGATATCTTTTTGGCAATTGGTTTCATGGGTCTGGAGTTCAGGTGATAGGTTCAGATTTTATATGTAAATGGAAAATATCAACATATCAATAGTAATCAAAGCCATAGAGTAGATGAGATTATTCTTCAGGACATACGGGAAGAAGAAGATGGAAAACTGGCCGGGTGCAGTGGCTCATGCCTGTAATCCTAGCACTTTGGGAGGCCAAGGTGGGCAGATTACCTGAGGTCAGGGGACCGAGACCAGCCTGGCCAACATGGTGAAACCCCGTCTCTACAAAAAATACAAAAACAATTAGCCGGGCCTGGTGGCGTGTGCCTGTAGTCCTGGCTACTGAGGAGGCTGAGGCAGGAGAATCACTTGAACTCAGGAGGCGGAGGTTGCAGTGAGCCGAGATCACACCACTGCACTTCAGCCTGGGCGACAGAAAGAAACTCCGTATCAGAAAAAAAAAAAGATGGAGAACTAGTCTAGGACAGACCCTGAGGAACAGCAACATTTTTTAAAATGGCAAAAGTTAAAAAAAAAAAACTAACTAAAAAGGAGAATCGAAAGAAGCAGTCAGAGAGGTAGATCGAAAACCAGGTATGTATGGTGTCACAAAAGCTAGGAAAGAACATGCTGCAAGAAAGAGGAGGTAATTATCGTCAAGTATTTCTGAGAAGCCCAGTAAGATAAGTGCTGAAAAGCACCTGATGATTTGGTAACATGGTGGTCAGTGACGGTCAATGGAATGGGTTGAGGAATATAAGGAAAATAAGTAGAAACATAAAAAGATAAATTTTTCAAGAATACTAACTATGGCCGGGAATGATGGCTCATGCCTGTAATCTCCACACTTTGGGAGGCCGAGGCGGGCAGATCACCTGACAATAAGGATGCTACCTGACAACAATAATGTCCTCCTGCTAAGAAGAATGTCAGCAGTTTGAGACCAGCCTGGCCAACGTGGTAAAACCCCATCTTTACTAAAAATACCAAAAAAAATTACCTGGGCATGGGAGCAGGTGCCTGTAATCCCAGCTACTTGGGAGGCTGAGGCAGGAGCATCACTTGAACCCAGGAGGCAGAGGTTGCAGTGAGCCAAGACCATGCCACTGCACTCCAGCCTGGGTGACAGAAAGAGACTCCATCTCAAAAAAAAAAAAGAATAGTAACTATGAAGGGGAGCAGAAATGTCAAGTGGGGTTGTGTGCACAAGGCAGGATTTAGCAAAATGAGCAAGACTTGAGTATGTGTAAATGTTAACAGGAAAGAACCAATAAAGAAAGACTGAAGTATAGAAAAGTGAGGGAATGATCAACATAGCAAGTTTCCCAAGAAGGCAGGAGAAGATAACATCCAGGGAGACAGATTATGCTTAGATGAACACTTTTCTATGTAACAGAAAGAAAACATGAATGCAAATAAATGCCAGCAAGTTTGTGATTCCATGAAAGTTTAGGAATTTTGACTTGTTGATTTTTCTTTTCTTTGTTAATTTTTTATGTCAATAGCTTTAGGGATACAAGTGGTTTTTTGTTACAGGGATGAATTACATAGTGCTAAAGTCTAGAATGTTAATGCACCAGCCACCTGAGTAGTATATGTTATACCAAGTAGGTAGTTTTTCATTCCTCACCCTCCTTACTTCCTCCCTGCTTCTGAGTTTTCAGTGTCCATTATACTACTCTGTATGCTTTTGTGTACCCATAGATTAGCTCCCACTCATGAGTGGGAACATGCGGCATTTGGTTTTCAATTCCTGAGTTAACTCACCCAGAATAATGTCCTCCAGTTCCATCCAAGTTGCTGCAAAAGACATTATTTCATTCTTACTTATGGCTGAGTAGTATTCCATGGTATGATTTTTATTTTCTTTATAAAATAAAGAGACAAGACCACGTTTTAAGAGTGAGAAGGGAAAGGAAGGGGTCAAATAATTAAAGAGAGTAGAGATGGTTTAAAATAACTGTTGTAGAACACAGAAAACTAACCATAGAAGCTCTATAATCACCAAAAAGTGAGTTTCCATTTGAAGTTAGAAATTATGAATTTGTCATGGCACCAACGTATTCAGCTGTGGGACTTTTCTCCAGCCATGCTCAGTAGCACAGATGCAAAAAACAGAGTGAGACCCAACCAGGGCTGAGATTTTTTCCTGGCAGGTGTGACTGAAAGATAAACAGGGAGAGGGAACTGAGGATACCAGCAAGAAATGGGTTTGTTGAAGTAATGGACCATGAAATCTGTATCAGTCAGTGTTCTCTAGAGAAACAGAATCGCTTTCATATAAATAGTGTGTACATTTATTTTAAGGAATTTGTTTACCCAATAAAAAAGGCTGGCAAGTCCAAAATCTGCAGGGTGGGCTGGCAAACTTAAGACCGAGGGAAGAGCCAATACTGCAGTTCAAGCCCAATAGTCATCTGGTCGCAAAATTTCCTCCTACTAACAAGTATGTTAGTCTTTTATTGTTTTTTCTATTCAAGCCTTAAACTGACTATATAAGGCCTACCCACATTATGGAGGCAATCCTCATTATTCAAAGTCCAGATATTTAAATGTTAATATCATCCAAAAACACCCCCACAGAAACATCCAGAATAATGTTTGACCACATATCTGGGCACTGTGGCCCAGCCAAATTGACATATAAAATTGACCATTACAGAATCTAAGCATGGAAAAAAAAGTGAATACAGTCAGAGACTGAAAGATAAATGTGTGGACTATGGGTTCCAAAGAGACAGAAAGTGCAATGTATTGAGAATCAGCAAATGGGAGAGCTTTAAGGAGAGGAGGCAGTGGAAAACAATTGTGAAAACTAAAGGTATTATTCCAGTCACTAGATGGTCTGCTCAGCATCTCTGGAGAGCTG
Source organism: Homo sapiens (assembly GCF_000001405.40). Lineage (NCBI taxonomy): Eukaryota > Metazoa > Chordata > Mammalia > Primates > Hominidae > Homo > Homo sapiens. The sequence goes on along the minus strand of NC_000001.11, from coordinate 152,097,933 downwards.
ACAGTGAAAGGCTTTCCCAGACAAAGCCAGTCTCCAAAGACTGGAATAGTACTCACTTCTTCAAATGCATAGACCACCACATAGACACAAGGATCAAGAACATTCAAGGAAACATGACATCACCAAAGGGAGAAAATAAAGCACCAGTCACTGATCCTAAAGAAATGGAGATGTATGAACTACCTGACAAAGAATTCAAAATAATTTTTAAGGAGGCTTGGTGAACTTCAAGAAAATACAGTGAAACAATTAAATGAAATGAGAAAAGCAATAAGTGACCAAAACAAGAAATCTAACAGACAGATTGGCATTATAATCTTATTATTACAGAGATGGAGGGGATTCCAAGTAATGATAAGTTCCAGGGTAACATATAACAAAATAATACTTCTTTACAAGATGGTTAGACCAATATTTTTCCCTGCCATTTTTTCCAGACATTTAAAATACTGATTGGCCCAGTAAATATATTTGTAACCAGTGTAGAGTAAAACAGATTCATGAGCTTTTAGAGCTTGGAGGGGACTTGTTATTAACTGAATGCTTGTATCCCTTCAAAACTCATCCCTAACCCCCAGTGTGAAAGTATTAGGAGCTGTGGCCTTTGGGGGTGATTAAGTTATGAGTGTGGAGCCCTCACGAATAGAATTTATGCAGTCATAATAAGGATCCCAGAGAGCTCTTCCACCATGTGAGGGTACAGGGAGAAGATGGTCATCTATGAACCAGGAAGCATACCAGGTTCATAGGTGGACATCTACGAACCAGAATTTAACCATGCTGGCACCCTGATCTCAGATTTCCAGTTGCCAGAACTGTGAGAAATAAATTTCTGTTATTTGTAAGCCATCCAGTCTTTGGTACTTTGTTATAGCAGCCTGGGCTGACTAAGCGAGGATTCTGGTTATTAACAGGGAGGTAACAGTATAACAGGAAGAATTCAGTTGTTGGAGTCATGAAAACCCAGTCAGTTTACATAATATCTTTAAGCTGCAATTTCCTTATAATAATCCATAATTATCAGGATTATGAAGAGTAGAAATAATGTATGCAAAATATAAGGTAAGTAGTCAATAAATGAGATTACTATTATCTAGCCCATCCACTTCAGTTTTCATGAGGATACTACATCTACAGAAGTAAAGACTCAAATTTATAGAACTAGAAATAGGAATAAGTCTAGTTCTTTTAATTCTGGTATCTTTCATTTTAGTACACTTCTCTCAAACTTTTTTCACTAAACAAATATTTACTGAGCACTTCATATGTTTCAGGCACCGGGCTGGTGATATAACTGTGATCAAGGTAGACATAGTCCCAGCCTTCCCATGGTTGTTAATTCAGCGGAATGCACTACAAACCAAACATTTTTGCTAAATGTCTTTACAGATGTTACTTCATGTAATTAACATTACAATTCTGGAATTCTGGACAATGTTATCCCCCTTCCCCATTTCTGAATAAGGAAATCAAACTCAGAATAGTTAGAAACTTGTGTAAGATTAGATAATTACTGAAGTTCAGAGGTAGATCCATATGGACTTCCTCATTTGTTCATTCAACAGTTATTTCTTGGTCATCTAACAGGCATTGAAAGAATTCCTGCAATATGGACATAAATACACTGTGCATGTTGATTATACAAGGGCCTCAATACGCTATTAAGTGCTTGCACAACTCTTGAAAACATTTTTTCTACTTACACACAAAATGATATGGTAGCTATAATAAACATCAGCCATTTCATTTTCAAAACTGTGCTTGTTAAAAAGGGCCTTTTAAGAAGGGATAATTTGGAGGAGACTATGGCTCTTTAAAAGTTTGATTACAGTGTGCACAAAGATTTAACTACAAGATATTCATCATACCATGACTCATAATAGTGAAAAACTGGAAACAAGATATCAAAAAAAGGATGGTTACATATTCTGTAGTATATTCATAGAATGAACTGCTATGTACATATCAAAACATGTAGAAAGATACTTAATGTACTAAAAATCTGTTCATCTTATAAAACAAAGAAAATTACAAAATGGTATGAACAGAATGATTTCAGTTTTGTAATAGCAATTTGAGAGAAAATGAGAAAAAATATATACACAAAATGTAAACACTGGTGATATATGGATGATAAGTGGTAGAGGTGGGTTTTGAAACAAGATTGTCTAATTCTAACTCAAGTGGTTTTTTTTATTATATTTCTTCTAGAAAAGCTAATTACCACAAATAATCTATAATTCAGTCTCTACCTCCAGGTATTTAAAATGCAGTTGGGAAGATAAGGTTTGCACACATAAAATGCTTATTAAGTAAGGATAGTTGATAAATGTTAATTTCTCCTCTGTATATTCTGTAATAGGTATTCATAAAATCAAAAAATTATTATATTAAACTAATTCAGAATATAAATGATAACATATCAAATAGTATAGAAAAGCTTACCATAAAAATGAATAAATAAATAAGTGTCCTGCTCCACATTTCTTCAACCCCAGTCCCATTCCCCAGAGGAAAAGTTCTCTTTAAATGTTTTATGTTTATTCTTCTGGCAGCAACCTCTGAGAGTAAAAATTACCAATTTTAAGTGATATCTCCAGTATGGCAGGCAAGGATTTAAATCACTTGTACACTACCTCGCTTCTCTTTATCTCAAGGTTTGATGTTTTTATTTTTCAATTTTGTTACTTATCTAATTCTAAATAATATACTTATTTTGCTTTTTCCCTCAACTTTTGACAGTATCATTTACATTTTTACATTTCTAATACAAGCAAATATGCCATATTTTTTCCATGGACAGATGCTAATATTTGATGATATGGGTTGGCTGTGTCCCCACCCAAATCTCATCTTGAATTGTAGCTCCCATAATCCCCATGTATAGTGGGAGGGACCTGGTGAGAAGCAATTGAATCATGGGGGTGGGTTTTCATATGCTGTTCTTGTGATAGTGAATAAGTCTCATGAGATCTGATGGTTTTATAAAGGGCAGCTGCCTTGCACATGTGCTCTTACCTGCCTCCATGTAAAATGTGCCTTTGCTCCTCCTTTGCCTTCCGCCATGATTGTGAGGTCTCCCTAGCCATGTGGAACTGTGAGTCCATTAAATCTCTTTTTTTTTTTTTTTCATAAATTACCCAGTCTTGGGTATTTCTTCATAGCAGTATGAAAACGGACTAATACACTAGGTAACCAATAAATATCTATATTGTGATATTGAGCATATAGGCATAGAAGTAAGACTGCCTGAGAGCAAAAACTGGGTTTACCACTTAATAAATTTATAGCCTTGAGCAAGATAATTGACCATTCTTTTCCTCATTCTTGGTGTTCTAAAATGTCCAAGGATAAATCTAGTGAACACTTTGTGGAAGTCTCTAAGAAATATTCACCAATTCTTTGATAAATGTATTTCCTTTTTTCCCATTTTATCTTTCCAAGTTTCTTATTACTTGAAAGTGGGATCTCTTAAGTTGATTATATATGTTTCTTCTTTTCTCCCACCTCTTACATTTCTTTCTCTTTTTGTTGTACATTCTAAACTATATTGTCCAATAAGGTAGTCACTAGCCACATGTGGCTGCTTACATTTAAATTTTAATTAATAAATATTAACTAATATTAAAAATTTGGTTCCTCAGTCACACTAGTCCCATTTCAAGTGCTTAGTAGCCATATATAGCTAGTGGCTACCATACTGGACAGTGCAAATATATAAAGTTCTATTGGATAACACCATTGCAAAAGATTTTGTCAACTTTGTTTTTTTTTATTTTAGAAGTTATTTTGAATCTAAAAATACTTTTTTGTTCTCCAGTTGCCTCTTTTGCCTTTTGGTCTTGTCTCATTTAAACTCTTTGGAATACATTAATTAGAATTGTTTTTATTTATTTTTAAATTGATAAACCAAAGTTGCACAAAAAAGTATTGTACTTGGAGGATGGACACCCTAAATACCCTAACTTGACCACTATATGAATTTTGTTATATACATGTAACAAAATTTCACATGTACCCCATAAATTTGTACAAATGTTTTACAAAGAAGAAAAGACCTATTTAAATGAAAATAATAAGAAAAGTTTCATATATTTATGATGTACAATGTGATGTTTTGATACATGTATAGATTGTGAAATGATTACATCAAGCTAATTAACACACCCATCACCTCACATGCTTATCTCATTTAAAATCTACTCTGTATGCAATGTTCAAGTATACAATACATTATTATTAACTATAGTCATCATACTGTAAAATAGATCTCCAGACATAATTCTCCTGTCTAACAGAAATTTTGTATCTTTTGGCCAACATCTCCTCATTTGCCCTTTCCACGCAGTCCCTGGTCACCACCATTTTACTCTCTGCATCTATCAGTTCAACCTATGAGATATGCAGTATTTATCTTTCTGTGCGTGGCTTATTTCACTTAGCATAATGTCCTTTAAGTTCATCAATGTTGTCATAAATGATAGCATTTCCTTTCTTTTAAAGGCTGAATAGTATTCTATTGTGTGTGTGTGTGTGTGTGTGTATATATATATCACATATATATATCACATTTTCTTTATCTATTCATCCATTGATGGACACTTAGGTTGTGTCCATATCTTGGCTATTGTGAATACTGTGCTGCAGTGAACATGAGAATGCAGATATCTCTTTGACATACTGATTACATTTCCTTAGGATACATAGCCAGAAGTAGAATGCTAGGGGTTAATATACAAAATATATAAGGAACTCAAATAATAGCAAGTAAACAATCCAATTTAAAAATGGGCAAAGGACCTGAATAGACATCTCTCAAAAGAAGATATACAAATAGCTAACATGTTATTTGAAAAATGCTCAGCATCACCAATCATCAGGTAAATGCAAATTAAAACCACAATAAGATATCACCTCACACCTTTTTAAATGGCTAGTATCAAAAAGACAAAAGACAACAAGTTTTGGCAAGGCAGTGAAGAAAAGGGAACCCTCGTACACATTGGTAAATATGTAAAGTGGTACCATCATTATGGAAAACAGTATGGAAGCTCCTCAAAAAATTAAAAATATTAATTAGAATTTTTAACTTTTCTTCTGTTATCTGAATTATTTCTATTTCCTCTAGGGTCAGTTTTTTTAAGTGCAATATTGTTCTTTCTCTTTCCAGCTGTTGACTTATTCATATGTTTAAATAGTCTTAGTTGCCCATTTATATCAATAAAAAGATCTGGTTTTTCCTGATTTGCATAAATAGGGCCATTTTTACACTAAGTAGGAATTTTGTGGCAGGTTTGGGGAAAAGGTCTTTCAATTTGCAAGTAAATGGCTATCAGGCTACAAATTTCCCCTACCTCTAAATGCTATCATAAAGCAGGTTTTCCTGTAGCAACAATATTAATACTAGATGTCTTTCAGACAGTCTATTAGTTGGTCAACAAATACTGACAGAGCACCTACTACAGTCCAGGTACTCTCCTAACTTCTGAAGATAAAGTGGAAAATAAAGCACACAGAGTCCTGCCCTCAAGGAACTTACATTTAGTATTTGTAAGAAGTTTGTCCAATTTCTTTAGGAAACAGTCATGTGGAATTTTGCTGGCGAGATTAGAAAGTAGATGCCCATATGTCTATGTTCCATACTGTAAAGTGGAGGAGAGAGATGGGAATGACCACGGAGAGAGAGTCCCTTATACAAACCTTCAACTACTGTGCCTGTTTACAGCCCCACTTCTCATTCATACTTCCATCATACCTGCTAATTCTGAGTGCAGTGCTTTTCTAGGTTCAGATTTGCCTTCACCTCTGCCATGCCCTCATAATACATTCTGGGCTGAGGCCTTTCTCCAATTATTTCAGTCATGAACATTCTACCATCCACTTTCCATTTTCCATAAATTTATTGAAATCTCTTACTCAGTTATGGTTCTCCTTTATTTCTGTTTATAATTCCAGTTTATTTTTTTCTTTTTGTATATTGATCCTTTTAGAAGTTTAGGGACTTTAGAATATACATTTTTTTAGTCCATCATCATCTTGAACAAACTCCTGTTACTTCTGTAAGTAAAAAAGATACTGAAAATATAAATATAAGCTGAAGCCCTTTTTTGCTTGCCAAATTTTCCAGTATTACAATCATTAAAAATTGTTTTATTAGCCATTTCTTTTCAAAGTAGCCATCATAGGTTTTATCTAAAGTCCTCACTCAAGATTTCAGTTGTGGCCTTTGAAGAGTAATTGGCTCTTAAAGATAGTTCTATATTAATCAATATATTTTCGTTGTGTTCTTCTCCCTCAGCCTCCAACTCCACCTTGCCTCTTCCTTTCTATACTATCCCCATATAAAATTAGACAGGGCTGTTAGAGGGATTTGTTTTGAAGGAGAAGAAAGGGCAAACAAGATCTTCTCTTTGGTAATGGTTGATTTGTTTGTGGCTTTTTGTACAGCAATCCAAATACTTTTTTTTAGCACTGGACAGAGAGCAATCTCTTTCCTCCTGTGGCCATCCCTCTTAGTCACCACCCACCCAGAGTATGGATATTAATTAAATGGTCTTGAGTAAGCACTAAAAAAGCAGGAATGCCTATAAAAGAGTTACAGAGCCACTGTTTAGAGACAAGGCAAGATCCAACTCTAACTTTCTAAATAGAAACAATAACATAAAACTATAGACATTTAAAGTTGAAAGAGTTCTGTACCATTCACTGTAAGCCACTCCTCTCTTACGTCTTCCCATGGCAAGACTTCTCCCAAAACCTAGCCAACAGATCATGATTCAGCCTGTATAGGAACAGTTCATTGCTCTAGTAGTGGCCCAAGTCATTGTCAGACAACTCTGCTCCTTAGAAAGTTCTTAAGAGCTGGAGTCTGCTTTTTAGAAAGTTTTAAGCATTGATTCCAGCTGTATTACCGGGCATTACACAAATAAGAAACTCAAGGTAATGAAAACACTATGACTTCAGAGACATACTTTCTTTTTTTTTTTTTTTTTGAGACAGAGTCTTGCTCTGTCACCCAGGCTGGAGTGCAGTGGCATGATCTCGGCTCACTGCAACCTCTGCCTCCCGGGTTCAAGCAATTCTCCTGCCTCAGCCTCCCGAGTAGCTGGGATTACAGGTATGTGACACCATGCCCAGCTAATTTTTGTATTTTTAGTAGAGATGGGGTTTCACCGTGTTAGCCAGGCTGATCTAGAACTCCTGACCTAAGGTGATCCACCCGCCTCAGCCTCGCAAAGTGCTGGGATTACAGGCGTGAGCCACCACGCCTGGCCCAGAGACATACTTTCTTGAAACCTTTCATTTCTGAATCCTGACTCTGCCATTACCTAGTAAAGGTACATATCTGTAGGCAAATTGCTTAACAGCCTTAACTTCCTTATCTGTTAAAAGAGGATAATAACTACCTAAAAGGGCTGTGAGGATTAAGATAGCCCATGTAAAGCTCCTGACATGTCATAAGTTTTCAATAAACATTAATTCTTTTCTCTTCCACACCCATAAAAATCCTTCAAGTATTTGAAGACAGTTATTATGTCTCCCATAAGTGTTTCTTTCCAATCCAGCCTTGAATATACCCAGTTCTTCATGAGACTGGCCCATGAGCTCCAGAGCAGGAAGATATAACTTACTCAACTCTAAACACTCCAGTTCCTGGCATAGTGTTGAGAAATAGCTGGTACTCTGGGGATATTAACTAATCAGAACTAAGATGACCTTCACATGCCAATTCCAATTCCCAGAAGTCTTCTCCCTTTGGGAGGATGCTGAGAAATTGTTTGTAGGTGTAAAGTATCAGTATGAATGTTTTTCCCCAAAATTTAGTTCCCTTGTATGTTCCTCGATAATCAGGAAATTCAGAATAAGGTTTTTGCTCAATAGCAATGCATCCCTTAGCTTCAGCTTTCTCATATAATTACCCCCATTCCCACCCCATCTTTAACTTGGTCTGTGTCTTTTATATTTGTTTGCATTGATCTGTCTATTTCTTCCATCCTTTGACAAGGAGTGTTTTAAAACATACTCTATTTTTTAAAAATATCTAAGAAAACCATTGAATCTAATTCTTATTTTATTAAATATTCTCTACTAAGAAGGACCCAGATCTAGGAGACAATTAAAATGTTTGCCAGTTCAGCATCTCAGACTCACTTCTGTTCTCAGCTTGATGATTTCAACATCTCCCTTTCCCCTTTACAGGGAGAACACAGTAATATAGATTATTGGTTTCAAGCTCCTTGTATAGTAAAAATGTCTTTAGAAAGCAAATATCAATCACGTTTTTAAAATAGCACAACATAGGTAAGCAAGGCTTTGCACACCAAGCAAGAATTTTTTTTTTTTTCTAACTCTGCCTCTGGGCAAGGAGAGCAAAGCATTGAAACATCTGAATCAACTGGTATCTCCACTTTTGTCACATGGCTAAATGGGGGCCTTTATTTTTAAACACATGATTGACACCCATCTCTCAGGTTTGGGTCAAATACGGGCCATCTTGTGGGCAGACAGAGGAATCAGATGACTTATGAGGTCCCTGCCAGCACTATGATTTGTCAGACAGAAATGTAATTATGTCCTTAGGTTAAAAAATGGGGGAGGGAAGCCAACACTACCTTGAAGAGCCTTCAAAACTATAATCTGCAAAAGTCAGTAAATGAATCAAGAAACCCCCTCCCCTTTCTTTTGATGCATCTGAAGCTAAGATTTAATTGAAACTGCCTAAAGAAGGAAATAAAATTAAGACAACTGACAACAGAGCAGGGGAGACTGGATTTGGTGGTGATGTCAGGTCATTAGACCCAGAGGGTGTCTCCTTCTTAACTGTGCAATTAGGACCTCAATAAAAGGTTCCAGCTCCTGCTGTCAGCTCACAGCCCGCTGCCCCACGTTCTACCTGCTCTCGCTTGTGAACTAGGTAAGTCCATCTGCTTGAGCATACTTGGGATTTCAGTTGCTGTTTTGCTTATATGTGAGATTGCAAGAGGATTTCAAAGGAAACACACTTTAAGTCTATGTCAACCCCTATTAATAATAATAAACTGGGAGCGCCAACCACCCAAATGCATTCCTTGATTATGGAACTTCTTTGATCATTTTCTTTTTAAAAAAAACATAAATTGTTTAGAAGTCATAGGCATGAATATTATTCAACAAGGCACAGGATCAGATCTCTATTGCAATGAAAATGTAGAAGCATTTAAAGGATGGGAAATGAATGAATAAGGGGTCGGGACATGGAATCATGTCTTCTTGGTTAAAGCATGTTGTTACCACCTGCAAACATAGGGGTTAATTTTCTTGGTGTGACTTATCTTTCCACTAGAAGCTTTGCTAACTTTAAAGGTTATACCCTCCTAACCGCAGGAGGCTAGACTGAGCCAAAGGGAGAGGAGAGCAGATAGACACTCTTGGATGAGGCTGGAAGAATGGGTCCAACTCTATTGGCTTCATTTATGCATTTCAATCCTTATGCTTGAGTTCTCTTATCACCTTCCTTTTGCAATGAAGCTTTCTCTGAGCACATGAATGTTGCTGTTTACTGAAGAGTGGGGTGAATTGTCTCTTCTAATACTTACCTATGCTGGGTCTGATTTCACCACAATGTCTGGTACAATACTAAATCACCCCTGGAGTTCAGATATAATATTTTAAGATACAGAATAGAGCAGGGGTTGCAGTGGAGATGGGGGAGGAACAAAAAGGATAATCTTGGTATCTCCTCCCTGAAGGACCCATCCTGGAAAATGAGCTTTGTTTATTCTTTCTCACAGCCTCTCCTGAGTTTGTAAAGATGCCTCAGCTCCTGAGAAATGTCCTCTGTGTAATTGAGACATTCCACAAATATGCCAGTGAGGACAGTAACGGGGCAACACTGACTGGCAGAGAGCTGAAACAACTCATCCAGGGCGAGTTTGGGGACTTTTTTCAGGTGAGCTTCTCACAGAGCTGTGTAAATTCTTTCCAACTCACCCTTTCTTTATAATCCAAGCAAGATGAGCATATGTGATCCCCATCCATTTTACACCTAGCTAACAGTTCTCAGCACTCACTGTCTCTTGAACAACTATTTTCAGTCTCAGTTCCATACTCTGTGCAATTACTTAGAGAAAAAGAGGTTTTCGTCACTGGGATTATTGCTTCTGCAAAGCTGACTTCTGAAAGGAGTCATAAACCATTATGCATCAAAATGCAACTCACAAGTGTTGTAAATGCTCTTTCTCAGGCATAGCTCTCTGATGAAAAATGGCTTGCAGAACCAATAAGTTCTTGCTGTTCTGGGAAAGTTAACCAGTTACTGAGGAATGAGGTCAGAAAAATAGGATTCTTGGGAGACACTTAGGACACTGGACCACATATAAATAAGCTGATTTCTCACTGTGTTTTCATGCAGCCCTGTGTCCTTCATGCTGTGGAAAAAAATTCAAATCTTCTGAATATTGACAGTAATGGCATCATCAGTTTTGATGAATTTGTTCTTGCAATCTTCAACTTGTTGAACCTCTGTTATCTTGACATAAAATCATTACTAAGTTCTGAACTAAGACAGGTGACTAAACCAGAGAAGGAGAAGCTAGATGATGTGGATGTTCAGGCAACCACCGGAGATGGTCAGTGGACAGTGGGAACTTCACCAACTCAAGAAAAGAGGATGCTTCCTTCAGGAATGGCATCATCATCTCAGCTCATCCCTGAAGAAAGTGGAGCAGTTGGAAATAACAGAGTGGACCCATGGAGAGAAGCCAAGACTCACAACTTTCCAGGAGAAGCATCTGAACACAATGATCCTAAGAACAAACACCTGGAAGGAGATGAACAAAGTCAGGAAGTGGCTCAAGATATACAAACAACAGAAGACAATGAAGGCCAACTTAAGACAAATAAGCCAATGGCAGGATCAAAAAAGACCAGCAGTCCCACAGAGAGGAAGGGACAAGATAAGGAGATCTCCCAGGAAGGAGATGAACCAGCCAGAGAGCAAAGTGTTTCCAAGATAAGAGACCAGTTTGGAGAACAGGAAGGAAACTTGGCAACCCAAAGTTCACCACCAAAAGAAGCAACACAAAGACCATGTGAAGATCAGGAAGTTAGAACAGAAAAGGAAAAACACTCTAATATACAAGAACCACCCCTACAAAGAGAAGATGAGCCCAGTTCACAGCATGCTGACCTGCCAGAACAAGCTGCTGCCAGGTCACCATCTCAGACACAGAAATCAACTGATTCCAAGGATGTCTGTAGAATGTTTGACACTCAAGAACCAGGAAAGGATGCTGACCAGACACCAGCTAAAACAAAGAATTTGGGTGAACCTGAGGATTATGGCAGAACATCTGAGACCCAAGAAAAAGAATGTGAAACAAAGGACCTGCCAGTCCAATATGGTAGCAGAAATGGTTCAGAAACATCTGACATGAGAGATGAAAGGAAAGAGAGGAGAGGTCCTGAGGCCCATGGAACAGCAGGGCAGAAAGAACGTGACAGAAAAACTCGGCCACTAGTCCTGGAAACCCAAACACAGGATGGGAAGTATCAGGAACTCCAAGGATTATCAAAATCAAAAGATGCTGAAAAAGGTTCTGAGACACAATATCTAAGCTCAGAAGGAGGAGATCAGACTCACCCTGAACTTGAAGGAACAGCAGTCTCAGGAGAAGAGGCAGAACACACCAAAGAAGGCACAGCAGAAGCATTTGTGAACAGCAAAAACGCACCTGCAGCAGAAAGGACACTGGGGGCAAGAGAAAGAACACAAGATTTAGCACCACTTGAGAAGCAGTCTGTAGGAGAAAATACTAGGGTCACCAAGACTCATGACCAACCAGTTGAGGAGGAGGATGGTTACCAGGGGGAGGACCCTGAGTCACCATTCACACAGAGTGATGAGGGGTCTTCTGAAACTCCCAACAGCCTGGCTTCAGAGGAAGGCAATAGCAGCTCAGAGACAGGTGAACTGCCTGTGCAAGGGGACTCCCAGAGTCAAGGGGACCAACATGGAGAGTCTGTGCAAGGAGGTCACAATAATAACCCAGATACCCAGAGGCAGGGAACACCTGGTGAGAAAAACAGAGCTCTGGAGGCAGTGGTACCAGCAGTCAGAGGAGAGGATGTACAGCTCACAGAGGACCAGGAACAGCCTGCCAGAGGAGAACACAAGAATCAAGGCCCAGGGACCAAAGGCCCAGGTGCAGCTGTGGAGCCCAATGGACACCCAGAAGCACAGGAATCCACAGCAGGAGATGAAAATAGAAAGTCCCTGGAAATAGAGATCACAGGTGCCCTGGATGAAGACTTCACTGACCAGCTTTCCCTAATGCAGCTCCCTGGAAAGGGAGATAGCAGAAATGAATTAAAGGTCCAAGGCCCAAGTAGCAAAGAAGAGAAAGGAAGAGCAACAGAGGCCCAGAATACTCTGTTAGAAAGTCTAGATGAGGACAATTCAGCCTCCCTCAAGATACAACTTGAAACAAAGGAACCTGTAACATCAGAGGAGGAAGATGAAAGTCCCCAAGAGCTGGCAGGAGAAGGTGGTGACCAAAAAAGTCCAGCCAAGAAAGAGCACAATTCTTCAGTCCCCTGGTCAAGTCTTGAAAAGCAGATGCAGAGAGACCAAGAGCCCTGTTCTGTGGAGAGGGGTGCAGTCTATTCCAGTCCACTATACCAGTACCTACAGGAGAAGATACTGCAGCAAACAAATGTAACCCAAGAGGAGCATCAAAAGCAAGTTCAGATAGCCCAGGCATCAGGCCCAGAGCTTTGCAGTGTATCCCTCACCAGTGAGATCTCAGATTGTTCTGTCTTTTTCAACTACAGCCAAGCATCACAACCATATACCAGGGGACTTCCACTTGATGAGAGTCCTGCTGGTGCACAGGAAACACCAGCTCCCCAGGCCTTGGAAGATAAGCAAGGTCACCCTCAGAGAGAGAGGCTGGTACTACAAAGGGAGGCAAGCACCACAAAGCAATGAATCATTATCATCTCAACATGCCCCCAATTTCTCTCCCAATCACCCTCAATACTCACGTGTACACATTCAGATGCAGATTAACAATCTTTTAAATTCTCTTCCTAAATTTCTACAAAAACAAATAATAAAATATTCAGCAGTGGGGGACACCACTAAAGAAACATCTGAGCAAACAAATACAGTCAGTAAAACTCCTACCAAACAATGCTACTTCCAAATGCCAAAATGGGCTTTGTCATGAGACAGTTTATCTCAATGTACCTGTCATTAAAAATGGAAAAATTCCTTCCATATCTTTAGCAGGTGCCAGTTTTTCCAACTGATTCATTGAATTTAAAATAGAGCAGTAGGAAATTATAAGACTCTGCAATAATATCTCATAATCATAAAATATTAATTCATATATATAGATTACTCTGCTTCATGACATTTCCTAGAAGTATTTCAAGTTCATCCTAAAATTTTATCCTTCAAAATAATTTTAGACAATGCCATAACTTAATTATGATTTTCTAGCACTTGATTAAAGTAAATTTATGACTCTGCTCATGTTCAGGTGCAGCTGAATCTATCGCCATGGATTCATTCTTTCAATTACTCATCCAACAAATTTTTATTAAATCCCACTCCTTACACAAACTTTTCATAGCTTTTGGCTCAAATAAACAATCAAGAATAATTATGAGAGAAAACACAAATCTAAAGTATGTTTGATTTTATAAGAAGCTCTTGTAACCAACCATCCAGTGAGTCTACTAAGTGTTTACCTATATGGTTTGATGAGGGTATTAAATTAAAATTGATAATTAAACAACCTGATGATCAATTTCTTTTGTTGGGTCATTTTTTTCCCCTCATTCTCCGTCTTGCCTTGGAGACACTGATCAAAAACGAAAACAATCTTAGTTATTTGTGTTTTTTCAAAAGACTATAATTAAAGTATGATGCTCTTCAAGCTTAGTCATGACCCAGGAAAGGAATAAAATTGTTATCATACAATGTTTCCTGAAGCCAAAAAGCAGTCCAATACTCCATCTCCCATTGCATTCTGCCTTCGAGGTTCAGTATTCTTCCACTTCAACCTTCACATTTTCCAGAGCCTAAAATCCAAGTATATAACCTCCCCCTCCAATATTTTCAGCTCTTTTCATTCTACACTCAAATATGAATTATATCCCTATCTGAAAAAAATATTACTTTAAATGAGCAAGAAACATGAGACAATTCATAAAAAAGAAAAATATATATATTTCTTTTAGTTTGTCCATGCTCTAATATACATACACATACACAAACATACATATGTACTACACTAGAGCATAGACTTACTAAAGGAAAAAATTATATACATAATTTTTAGTTTATAAAATTATATACATAATTTTTAGTTTATAAAATTATATACATAATTTTTAGTTTATAAAATTATATACATAACTTTTAGTTTATAAAATTATATACATAACTTTTAGTTTATAAAATTATATACATAATTTTCAGTTTATAAAATTATACACTAATTTTTAGTTTATAAAATATACATAATTTTTAGTTTATAAAATTATATATAATTTTTATTTATATATAATTATAGATAATTTTAGTATAAATAAATATATACATACTAGAGCATAAACTCGTCATCCCTTTTGGCAAGCAATGTGGCAATAAGTATCTGAGTCCATAAAAATGAAAAACTTCATTATTAATAAATTCACAAAAGAAGCTATACAGATGGCCAATAAACATTCGAAATCCTCACTAGAATTGAAGAAAATGTGAATGACAAAACAGCTCCAGTGGCAGTGGTGCTGGCAGTCATAGAAAAGGATGCACAACTCACAGAGGAACAAGAACAGCCAAAAAGCAGAAACGTTTACCTATATGGTTTGCTGACGGCATTAAATAAATGGGCAGTGGCTCATGCCTGTAATCCCAGCACTTTGGGAAGCCAAGGCAGGAGGATCACTTGAGCTCAGGAGTTTGAGACAAGCCTGGACAACATAGTGAGACCTAATCTCTACTAAAATAGAAAAAGAAATCAAAATTTTCTGTACTAAGCATATTTTATTTTCTTAACTGAAAAAATTAAAAACTTAATAGCAACAATTTTTAAACACTCTCTTAGCATTCCAGCAATCAGCACTAATAGAATGGTGGGCAGAAAGAAGAAAAGTTTGCTGAATATATATATATATATATATATATATGTTTTTGCCATCATCCTTCAAGAAGTATTCCTTTGAAGGTGATGTTGCCCTCCATCCAACAAGCCTAAAGACCTCCAGCTTCCACAGTTTTGGACATCGGGCATTGATGACTGTCTTTCATGAAATACTCCCTTCAGTGGTCTTTCCCCATCTCCCTAGTTAATTCCTCTCATCCAGTGCCCAAGACTGTGCCCCCTTTCCAAGGACTCTTCTTTTTATGAACTTTCTCCTCGTGAGAACCCATGCTTGGTCCAACTTACTATTATCTCTTTCACACTGATGAGTCTCAATTCACCTTGTTCAAACCTGACTGTGCACTTCAATCCAGTCTCTACAAATGCTCACAGATATGACGCCTTCTATTGTCAACCACTTCCAGACAAACTGGCTTGTCTTCTCAATTTCCTTCCTACTGTCATTCTCTCAATCTTCATTCTATCATGCTTCAAAGGCACAAACTTTGGAATCATCATTTACCTTGTCTTATTCTTCATATCTAATCCACTTTGTTATCTCAATAGTTTTTCTTTTTTTTTAACTTCTTGCCTTTTAATAATATCTTTGAATATAGATGGTTTCAATTCTCCAATAACAAGATGTAGAGTGGTCAAATGGTTTTTCATACATGTTTTCCTAGTCCAGACACCCAAAAGTATGTCCCTCTCTTGGGCATAAGAAAACCTAGAGTTATATTTAGGGCATCATGTGTGGTGAATAGTTGACCGAGCTGGCATGCTCACAATGACCAAATTATGTTTGTCATATTTTAATCCAATACATTGATCTACTATGAACTTGTAAATAATGTATTTGCTTTCTAGACACATTCCAGGAAGACCAGAGAAACTGACTTTTATCCATATGGAATAATCCACTGGCAAATTTCTTTTAGGACAGACCAAAGCTGATCTAGAACATAATCTTTACATACTTGGATCCTTCCCATCAAACAAGAAAGAACATCTGGGGTGAAAGGCTCCATTAGAAGAGTAATGTGGGATGGTGCTGTGCTGACAACTGGTAGTTCCTGCCCTACATCTTTGTAGAGGACTGGAGCCCAGAGCATGCCATGGTCAACTTGTATGCTGAAGTGAAGAACTCCTTCAAGGTGTGCATGTGCTTATTACAGATATGCCATGGTGCTAAGTACCCCAGGACTACAGGAAAAAATAAGAATAGATGCTGTATCCATGATCATGAGGCACACAGGCCAGAGCGCCAGCTGTGGAATCACACAGCCCAGGTTCAAAGCCTGGCTGGGCCATGACCACCTGAATGACCTGAGGAATGGTCTCAGGCAAATTTGTAAAAAGTGGAGACACTGCCTGCCAGGGAGGCATGTGGTAAGAGGCGCATCCAGTCAGGTCAGGGCACCGCGTCCTCTCTTTGGAAACCTGCGGAGCGGGGCTGGTGGCCCTTGAGGCCACAGCAGCCATGGAGAAGGCGGGCCTGGCTCCAGGCGGCACAGAGGCACTGGAGAGGACCCGGGGGAGCCTAGCGGGATCTGGCTGGTCCTGCGCTCTGCTTCCAGGTTCTGGCCCTGTAACCCGGGAGACAGGGCCGGCCAAGACAGGGCCACTGGGTGCCAGCCAGCACCTGGGCCGGGCGCCAGGCGGAAGGGCTCTGGCAGATCAGCCCCGCACCCCCAACAGCCCCACAGGGGGGCCCATCCAGGGCCACACACCTGCCCCCAGGAGCAGGACGTCCCTGAGGCTAGAGTCCAGCTGGACCGGTGGAAGGGTCTCACCCTTTGCCCTTTTACCCCTCTTGTAGGCACCCTCGCTGGGCTCCTAAGCACTCCTCCACAACCCTGGCTCTGTCACCAGCCCCATGGTGATGTCATAAACTCCCAGATGCCCAGTGTGCACCCGGCCACAGAGAAGTGGGTGACTTAGGAGTATCCTCTCTGCTTCTGACCCTTAGTTTCGTCTGTGCACAACTCGCTCAAAATGGGCAACTCACTAAGCGTATTTTGTTCCTGGTTCCGCCGCAGGTCCTGGCCATGCCATCGGCAACCTGCTTGTCTTGTCCGTGAGGCCTTCCCAGCTGGCCGGGCTCACCCAGCGGCTCCTGCACCTGTGCCTGCCCGGGGAATCGTGGGCCGTTTCCCACTCCTCTTCAACCGTCAGCGACATCTTGGGCCTTCTTTTCCAGTCAGGTGGGATGGCGCCCCTATGAGGCTGTGTCTTATCCCTCAGAACACGGGCACCCCACAGAGGGTCCTGCCTCCTGTGGTCTGGAGCCCCCCTTCAAGGAAGAAACCCATGCTGTCTGCTTGCAACTCCATGATGTTTGGACACCTCAGCCCCGTGAGGATCCCTCATCTGAGAGGCAAGTTTAACCTTCAACTTCCTTCATTAGATGAGCAGGTGATCCCAGCCAGGCTCCCGAAGATGGAGGTGAGGGCAGAAGAGCCCAAAGAAGCAACGGAGGTGAAAGACCAGGTAGAGACCCAGGGGCAGGAGGACAATAAAAGGGGCCCCTGTAGCAATGGGGAAGCAGCCTCCACCTCTAGTCTCCTGGAGACTCAGGGAAACCTCACTTCCTCCTGGTACAATCCCAGGCCCTTGGAGGGAAATGTCCACCTCAAGAGCTTGATAGAAAAGAACCAGACTGACAAGGCCCAGGTGCATGCAGTGAGTTTCTACTCCAAGGACCATGAAGTCGCCAGTTCACACAGCCCTGCTGGAGGCATCCTTTCTTTTGGGAAGCCTGACCCACTTCCAACAGTGCTCCCTGCCCCAGTTCCGGGCTGCTCCCTGTGGCCAGAGAAGGCGGCCTTGAAGGTGCTGGGTAAAGACCACCTGCCCAGCTCTCCAGGCTTGCTGATGGTGGGGGAGGACATGCAGCCCAAGGATCCTGCAGCTCTTGGATCAAGTAGGTCTTCTCCATCCAGAGCTGCCAGCCACAGTTCCCACAAAAGAAAACTGTCGGAGCCACCGCTGCAGCTGCAACCGACCCCTCCCCTGCAACTGAAGTGGGATAGAGACGAGGGGCCCCCACCGGCTAAGTTTCCATGTCTATCTCCTGAGGCCCTGTTGGTGAGTCAGGCTTCCCAAAGAGAAGGACGCCTCCAGCAGGGCAACATGTGTAAGAACATGAGGGTGTTAAGTAGAACATCAAAATTCAGGAGACTAAGAGAGCTGCTTAGGAGGAGAAAGAAGAGACGGCAGGGCAGGTGTGGTAGCTCACACCTGTAATCCAGCACTTCGGGAGGCCCAGGCAGGTGGATCAGGAGGTCAAGAGATTGAGACCTGAGAAGCATCTCTGCCTGCACCATCTGGGAAGTGAGAAGCGCCTCTGCCCGGCTGCTCCACCGTCTGGGAAGTGAGGAGCGCCTCTGCCCAGCCACCCCACCATCTGGGAAGTGAGGAGTGCCTCGGCCCAGCCCCCGCCCTGTCTGGGAAGTGACGAGCGCCTCTGCCTGGCTGCCTCACAGTCTGGGAAGTGAGGAGCACCTCTGCCTGGGCCCTGCCCCATCTGGGCAGTGAGGAGTGCCTCTGCCAGGCCGCCACCCTGTCTGGGAAGTTAGGAGAGCCTCTGCCCGGCCCCCTTACACTCTGGGAAGTGAGGAGTGCCTCTGCCTGGCCACTGCCCTGTCTGGGAAGTGAGGAGCGCCTCTGCCCAGCCACCCACCATCTGGGAATTGAGGAGGAGCACCACCTCTGCCCAGCCTCCACCCCATCTGGGAAGTGACGAGCACCTCTGCCTGGCCGCCTCACGGTATGGGAAGTGAGGAGCGCCTCTGCCCAGCCACCACCCTGTCTGGGAAGTAAGGAGCGCCTCTGCCTCGCTGCCGTCCTGTCTGCAAAGCGACGAGTGCCTCTGCCTGGCCTCCTCACCATCTGGGAAATGAGGAGCGCCTCTGCCCCGCTGCCATCCCATCTGCGAAGAGACGAGTGCCTCTGCCCGGCCTCCTCACCGTCTGGGAAATGAGGAGCGCCTCTGCCTCGCCGCCGTCCTGTCTGCGAAGTGAGGAGTGCCTCTGCCCTGCCTCCTCAACATCTGGGAAATGAGGAGTGCCTCTGCCTGGCCACCATCCCATCTGGGAAGTGAGGAGTGCTTCTGCCCAGCCGCGGCGCTGTCTGGAAAGTGAGGAGCACCTCTGCCCGGCCCCCTCACCGTTTGTAAGGGAGGAGCACCTCTGCCCAGCCCCTGCACCGTCTGGGAAGTGAGGAGCTCCTCTGCCCGGCCCCCTCACCATCTGGGAAGTGAGGAGCGTCTCTGCCCGGCTGCTGTGCAACCTTCCAAGTGTGAAGTGACAGCCTTGTGTGTGATCTTTCTGCCCTCCCCAAGTTTGCATTTTCGACATTAAAGTTTACTTTTTAATTAAAAAAAAGGAGATCGAGATCATTCTGGCCAACATAGTGAAACTCCATCTCTACTGAAAATACAAAAATTAGGTGGGCATGGTGGCTTGTGCCTGTAGTCCCGGCTACTCAGGAGGCTGAGGCAGGAGAATGGCTTGAACCCGGGAGGTGGAGGTTGCAGTGAGCCGAGATCGCACCATTGCACTCCAGCCTGGTGACAGAGCAAGACTCCGTCCTGAAACGATGTTGTAGTTGAGAGCAGGATGGTCTTTTGGGACAGGAGGAACAAGAGGTTCTGGTTGCCACTCTTCAATTAGTTCTTCTTTTTCCTTGACTGTTAAGATCAGATCGTTCTTGTAATTTGTAAGTCTTAGAGAAAAGAAGTCTGATTATCCAGAGTATCAGAATCCCTTCCAAAATAAAATGGTAAGCAGGAGCCTCGTAAAGCGCCTGTACCATCTCCACCAGAACCCACTGCTCAGTGGCAGTCGCCATAGTTAGCCGCTTCCTCTATAGTTTTTCTTAAGTCTATATTCTAGATCCATCTTTCATTCTCCATTCCCTGTAGGACTTCATGTACCCTTCACCTAAAATGATATCTTTCCCTGCAACTTTTCCTGAATGACCAATCCCGTTTGTCTTATGGGATCTGATGCCAATGACACTTTATTCATTCATTCCAAATTTTCTTTAAAAAAAAAATCCATGTTAGTGCCAGATATTAGGTGAAGCATTAGGGATACAGCAGTGTCCAAAACAAGTTAGCTCGTCATCTTGGAGCTTGTATTCTACTGAAGGAAGGGAGAGACAAACAATAATAAATAAACCAGACAATTCCAGGTAATAATGGAAGATAATGTGATAGAGAGGAGGCAGGGGAGCAGGGAGGCAGAGGCAGGCAGGACGCAGCTCTAGAGTACTACTTGAACCTTTCCTGATGCCCTGGCCAGAGGAGATCTTATCCTCCTCTGAACTCCATAGTCTTTATTTGCGCTATTTTAAAAAATCATTCTGTATTGAGTTATAATTATTTGTGTGCTTGTCTAAGCTCTCCTTTTAGACTATAAACTCCTTGATGGCAAGGCTCACAACTTACGCATCTTGCTATTCTTCAGTAGCATGAAGTTTAGCGCCAGATTTTTTTTTTTTTTTTTTGGAAGTGGGAGTTTCGCTCTTTTTCCCCAGGCTGGAGTGCAATGGCACGATCTCAGCTCACTACAACCTCCGCCTGCCAGGTTCAAGCGATTCTCCTGCCTCAGCCTCCCAAGTAGCTGGGATTACAGGTGCCTGCCACCATGCCCAGCTAATTTTTTGTATTTTTAGTAGAGACGGGGTTTCACCATGTTAGCCAGGATGGTCTTGATCTCTTGACCTCGTGATCCACCCGCCTCAGCCTCCAAAAGTGCTGGGATTACAGGCATGAGCCACCACACCCGGCCGCGCCAGATGTATTCTATGGTTTCAATAAATGTTTGTTGAATACATAAGTGAGTGCCTATATCATTGCAACAGCCTCTTCTTAGCTGTCCCCCCATTCCTGTCCAGTCCCCATTCAATCACTCATGAATTTTGCAAAACACTGTTTGCACCTTTTCACCTCCCTCTGTTCAAGACCTCTCAGTGACACTTTATGCTTTCCTACATGCTACATCAAGTTTAAACTGATCAGACTCTCTATAATCTATCTCTCTAATTACAATTTACCACTAGTTTCTGTAGAAATCTTTCAGAAGCCATAGATTGGTCATCTAATTGTCTTTTAACTTTCAACCCTCACCTTAATCATTTAAATTCTATCCTATTAGGTTTACAGGTACATTGTTGGGATTGAATTCACTCATTCATTCATTTTATTTGAACATATTTGTTAAGCATTGGTCATGTGCCAGGCACCATGGTGTACACTGGACATGCCTGAGTGAATGGAACAGTCATGGTCCCTGCACTCATGTCCCTGCATAAGAGAGGTGGTCTTAAGACAAAAAGTTCTGCAAAGAGCTATTCAAAGGCAACTTGTTAGTAGTAGTATTACTTCCAGCTCCATGCCTCTGCTCTTGTGGTCACCCTCGCTGAAATGTTTTTTTAATTTCCTCTCTACTTCCTCAGTTATACCTATCCTTCAAGTCCTAGACTAAATCTGACCTCCACTAGAAAGCTCACACTGATCTTTTAACTGTTATATCATTCATAGCCTGCACCATCCAGATTAATACTTTAATATTTATTACCTAATATTACTCACTAATTGTTCTCAGCAGTATTTCCCCAAACAAGTAGATTACAAGCCACTGAAGAGAAGGGATAATTCTTATACCCTAATACCCCAAGTGTCCTTGAGTAAATTACTTAACTTCTGTGACCTCAGTATCTGCCTGTATAAAATGTTATTATAACTCACAGTTATTGTGAAGAATTAAAAAGAAAGAGCTAGTATGCAGAAGATACAAAGTATGCCTATAAGTCAATGAGTAAAAGGCAATCTCTTTTCTTAAAAAAAAAAAAGGAAAAGACACAAAATGAGATATTTTTAAAGCCAATAAAAAGATACTGGCTCAACCTCATCAGATATCAGATAATTGCAAATTAAATCATGTTGAGAACCACTCATACCTATCAAATGTCTGAAATTTACAAGCAATAATGTCAAGTGTGTGCAAAGATGTAGAGCAATTAGAACTCTCACACTAGTAGTAGAGAAATAAATTGATACAATAATCATTTAGGAGAACTGTAGGGCAATATCTCTAAAGCTAAACATATGCAAACTCCATAACTAAGTAACTCCAGCCCAGGCAGATAACCCAACAGAAATGCACCAAAAGACATGTTGAAAAGTATTCATTGCAGCACGGTTTGTTACACCCCAAAGGAGAAGACAATCCAAAGATCTATTAACTGAAAATGGACAACAACAAATTGTGCTATATTCATACAATGCACTATTATACAGCAATGAGACTGAAAGAATTAAAGCCGTATGCCACAACATAGAAGAACTTCACAAGCATAATGTTGACAAAATTAAGCCAGACACAAAAGCCTTCATACTGAGTGGCTGCATTTACATAAAGTTCAAAACCAACAACCAAAAGAAAACCCTAATCTATGGCATTAGAAGTCAGGATAATGGTACCACTAGGGAGGAGGGAAGGGGAAGAACATGGGGACTTTCAGAGTCCTGATTAATGTTCTATTTCTTGATTTGGGCAGTGGTTACATGGAAGTGTTTACTTTGTAATAATTCATTGCTGTACACTTATGATCTGAATATTCTTCAATAAGAAAATGTGTTTAAAGAGAATAAGTGGAACAATACATATGAAAGTGCCCAGCAAACCACCTGGAATTAGTAGATGCTTAATATGTATCTGTTTACTATTTAACATTGAAGCTGGAATAGTACCAAATATGAGAGACACTTTATTCATCTATTAACTTAACAATTGACCACCTATTAAACTATGTATACAGGGTATATGGTGATTAACAAAATAGACAATTCATAATAGCTTTCACCGAGTTACATATTGAAGTCAGATCCTTAATTTTTTTATGCCCACTGAATAAAACCTCCTCATTCATGTGCTCAATTTTTGCCAAAACTATAAGAAATACATATGTGAAACTTACCACTTCTTTGGCTGTCAAAATGCTGTTGAGAACTTTATCCATTTTATCATGCAGTACTCACCTTTATAAAGTCCCCATGAGATATTCTTTTTAGAATTCAGTCCTGAGAAATGCTCTCTTTTGCCACAAAAAGCGTACATAGTTATCTTACTTTCTGATTGTGAAGGCCATAAAACTGATGGTGTTTTCCTTTGGGAATTGCTGTCAGAAATCCCTGAGCCAAGAATGAAGAGTAATAACAGCAATTGTGTTGACCCTCATGGTTGACAAATTTGAATTTTCCTTTTTCCTAGTTCTTATTTTCTACCTTTTTTATTTAACCACTTTACTGTATATGATAAGCTGCTTCAAATCTATATGAAGAGGCTGTAAATGAATAACACTAAAAAGGGAAAATTAAGTCTCTCTGAAAGACTATAAGTAGTGGATAAAGACATACTTTGGTTTATATACAGTGATATATGTTTCTAGTTTTACAACCACTCTTAATGCCAGGAATATATTTGTCAGAATCTAGGTTAGGAAGGTGGAAGAAAGAGCCACGGACATTCAGACACCAGTCAGAGATATCACACCCTGCAAGGAGAACCCAGAATTTTACATAAGGACCCAAATGCATCTTCCAACAGCCACATCCACTCTGTCCTTAGAGTCAATCTACCTCATCAGGATTTGCCATCACTAATCAATCAGTCAATAAGCAGTTAATGACCACACACTGTGACTCCCCCATTGGCAACCTTTAGTTCTTTTTTGGAACAATAAACAAATAATCACTAATGGAACCCAGACGCATTTCAAGTGTTAAGTAGTTAAGAAGAAGAACAAAATTTGATTTCTACCCCCAAGTAGCTCACAATATAATTAAGACAAGACCTGCTCATGAAACAACTGGAGAGCACACAACTCAGGGCATGTATAAAGCTTCATCATCCAACTCCTGCCAAATGCCTCAGTGCAGGCCTGGCTGGGCATGGCACCCATAATCAGTGTAGAAACTTTTTTTTCAGGGGGGCAAAATATGGTAGTTAGAGTTGTTGATTTGTTTTTCAACAAATATTTACTACATGACTACCACCTGGTAAGCAATTTCTAGGTGTTGGGAATAAAGCGGTGAACAAAGCAGACCAAGTTCCCGCCCTCATGTTTCTACATTCTAATGGGGAAAATAGAAAATAAACAGATAGACAAACAATTGTATACTAACTCATGTGGGATAAATGTTAGGGAGAGTAAAAAGCAGAGTAGGAGGGTAGGGAGGGAGTCAGGGGAAGTGGGAGTGTTGCTGTTTAAGAGAGGAAGGTCAGATGACACCCGAACAGAGACCTGCAGAAGGTGAGAAAGGAAACCATGCACTTCAGAAAAGAGCACTTCACAGAGGAAACGGCACGTACTAAGGCCTGGAGATGGGCATGCCTAGCACATTCAAGGAACAACAAGGAGGATAGTATGGTAGGAATGTCATAAGCAATGATGGTGACAGTGGGAAAAGAGGAGGTCAGCGAAGTGTGGACCCAACCAAGTCACCAGGGAAGGCTCCCAGGAGAAGATGGAGCTTGGCCAGCAGGGATGGGCCTGGTTCCTCTCAGGCCGAAAGGACCAGCATTAACAAAGGCATGGAGGCAGGCGAGAGGGTGTGGTGCTCAGAGAGCCAGGAGTACAGTCAGTCCTATTCCAGATATGGGCAAACAGGAGAGAAGCCTGGATGGTGAGGAGGGCCTGTGATGGAGTCTCCTAAAAACAGCCATAAACCTTATTTCTTGAGGGCTTGTCAAAGCACTGAGATAGGAGTTGCAACCCCAGCACTGTCCTTTCCACAAGGACCCATCCTAGGCACCATTTTAAGGAAAGAAAGTAAAAATAGAGAAGAGAATTTGAAGAAAAGATGGAATTCTTCCATCACTATCGATATATGTCTGGGTGTGTATGTTGCCTAAAGGGGCCAGCAGGCTTCATGACAACATTAGGATTGTCCAGAACCTTCAGAAAATATCACATGCATTTCTTCCTGACCTCCACAAACCACTGAAGGAGAAACCGGGGAATGTTTCAGAGCCAACTCTGAGGGTGGCTGATGACACACAACTACCCCTGAAGGGACCCCCAAGAAGGTGGACAGGAGTTTCTTTGAGGTCCATGTCTGGGCAAGTGGAGCATGAGGATGAGGCTACCTGGAGGCTGAGACAGGGAGCTTGAGGCAGACAGGAAGCCTCTCAGGAGCAATGCTTCTTTGCTGAGCCCTTTAGATCAAGCTTAAAGCTCAGGCGTTTTTGTAAAGCCATGAGAATATTCTGGTTTCCACTGGGTGGGTTGAGGTGGTTTTGAAACACAGAATCTGAAACTTGCCCAGCCGAGTTACTAGCTCTATTTGAGTAAACTGCAGGACAATAATTTTTCTCAAACAAGCGTTTAGTTAACTGTTCCTCACCATTCCCCTCACTTCTCCATGATTCTATTCCAGGCCTGGGAGTGGTGTGGAATCAGATCAAGGAGTTCATGTGGTTTCTGGTCTCAAGAAGCATATGATCTGGCCCAGGAGATGAGGCTAAACCACAGAAGAAAACCATGTGGAGACTTGCGTACCATGTCCACCTTGGTTTTCTCTACTTCTAAAGACGGAAAAGCTCAGAAAGAAAAACACCAAACTGATAATGGTCATTGCCTCTGAGAAAAGTAAAAGGGAATCAGGAGAGACAGTAGTAGTCAAAGAAGTCTTAGATGTCATCAAGTAATGTTTCAATTTTTTCAAGGATCAGGAACGTATGTATTATTTGTGTATAAATAAAAATTACTTTGAGATCTATAATTACTTCCATATGTTTTAATCACAAACAAGAAAATCATACCCCATACTGATTTGGGTCTTACTTAAAATCCTTAACAATCATAGTTTCAGAAAAAGGTCCTGATACATAAGGAAAATCAGTTAAATGTTAACATTCTTTGGCCACTGGGTTTATTATCTTCTTCTAAGAAAGACACAAGGGATGAGAATTTTCTGCTTTTTTCCATTTTCTGATCAAGAAAAGCTTGACTGAGCTGACCAAGAACATGTCAAGGATCTGAGAGTCCCCCGCCATGCCCCAGTTCATTCAGTTACATCCCTTCCTAATTGGGAACATGTTTAGGGGAGCCTACATTTCTGTAATTACTGGCCCCAGTGTATTTTTAAAAGCCTCATTCAGATGGAACAAATTCTTTGCATTTAATCATGCTGAACCTCATAATAAACATAATAACTGGGATTTGCACGGTGCTTTTCTTCAGAATGAGCTTAAAACACATTATAATCCAGTGCTTCCCTGAGCCACACCGTATCCTTATGACACATCCAAGAAATGGTGACCACTAGATCCCACTGCTGAGGCTCAGAGGGATTTGGTAAGATGCCTGAGGTCACAGAGCAGGCAAAGTCCAAATGTGCACTCAGGATAGCCACCCCAGCAGCAACTCCTCCAATCACCAAGCTTCTCCTACAGACAACTTGATGCCTTCAAATGACTCTGGCAGTCTCCTCTTATCTGTAATCATGGCTGTGGACACTTTCCAGGAAACTCCTCCCAGGCAGTGTCAAGACAAACCTTGACGCTGAGGGGCAAAGACCACGTCATCAGAAGAGTGTCACCACAGAAGTCATTCTGTCACCATTGCACATGGACTCTGGGTCAGAAAATGTCCTGTTTGTACAGGCAGTGTGGGTGGTAAGCATGGGCCCTGGCACCAAGCAGGCCTCCCCATTGTGTGACTATGGCAGGCTATCGCCTGGTGTGGACACACAGTAAGCGTCTCTTTCCCTTCTCATAGCAAGAACTGGATGCATTCATTTTCAATCTACTTGTCTTTTATTTTCCCTGATAGAAACTAATAAATTTTTAGGTAAAAGAACGAAAGGGAAGATCAAACTGAATGGAGACTTCAGGTCTGAAACAAATGGGGTGGGAATAGAGAGGTAGAAGAGACAGAGGTAAGAAAAGGCACACAAAGAAAGGGACAATGAGAAACAGAAAGAGATTGAAATGTTGAAAGGGGGGAAGACAAAAGGAAGACGGAAAAGAGAACAGAGAGAGACCATCAGAAAATGAGAAAGAGTGGAGAAAAGCAAGAAGGCCCAGGAATCAGATGAGCCAAACTCAGGAGAGACGGGCAGCAGACCAGGTGTGTCAGCAACAGCAGCCCGGAGACCACAGGCAAACCCAGAAGCTACAGGTCTGGCTGCCAAAGACGATTTACCAAGAGGGTGGGGAGACATTTGCACAAGGATAATTCCTCTCAAAAGCAAGGCTTTTCAAAGCAAGAATTATAATTATCTCTGTTACTCTTATTAATCACTCTAACGGCAACTAATGACCACACGGAGCCAGTTCATCAGGCTCCTGCCCTTTAGACACACAGGGAGAAAGACCTGCCTCCTCCTCCTTCAGTAGTCACCCATGCCTTGGGCTGTCTGAATACGGGCAAGAAAGAGTTTCCTACACAAATTCAAAAATAATGAAATATTATTGAGTCAAGTATCTAGAATATTTCCTCATAGAAACTATTTTGTTTTGTTTTGTTTTGTTTTGAATAAATAATACACTTTAGACATTCTAGAAAAATAAACTCCCCAGGGCCATGGGGATGTTCAGGAGAGAAACTGAAGAGAAGACATTTTATATTTTTATTACAGACATCAGGAAAAGCTCAAAGTGTCTTTATTACATACAATTTTAGAAGTCATGTGGGAGACTTAAAAACAAACAAACCAAATTAGATGTAAAAAAGATTTAGGATCCAGGCTTGTTTTGCTTTGGGAAATAGCAGTAGCCTATGGCCCCAGTATCCCCCCACACAGGAAAGGTGTCTCCTTGTGGAGCTATTCTCAAAATCAGGGTGAGCAGCAAAAAAAAAAGAGCTACCATGCTCCTCAGGAAATACATTTGCCTGTATTCACTTATCTGATTTTATAGCTCTTCAAACTCTTTGTCATATCCACAGGCTATTAAAGATTTCTCCAGTACTGCTCACCTCATAGCCATTAACAAGATGATAGAACCGGCTATCTCTAAGAGAATCCTACAGAATGTCTGCAGTAAACGTGGGTGGAGGGGGAGCTGTGGGAGGGAGAGCATCAGGAAGAGTAGCCAATGGGTGCTGGGCTTAATATCTCGGTGATGGGTTGATCTGTGCAGCCAACCACCATGGCACACGTTTACCTATGTAACAAACCTGCACATCCTGCACATGTACCCCAGAACTTAAAATAAAAATTGATAAATTTTTAAAAGGTGAGTGGGAATTATTTTTAGTATCATAAAGGATTATGTTAGAGTACATCCACCCATACATAATTTCTTCAGAAACAAAGAAACTATTTATAAGCTGGTGAAATTGAAAATGGTTTTTAACTTTCAAGCAGTGACGTTTCAACAGACCGCCAACTCTGCAGCCCACAGATCCTCTCCTGTGTCCAACATTTTGCTGCTATCACCATCAAATACGAAAAGTTGTTGTCTCTCACACAGGGCAAACAACTTATGCTTTGACAGCAGATAGACACAGGGAGATGGGTCGTGAGGCACAGAACCACCCGCCGAAGGAATAGGCCAGGTGGGGATTAAGACAGACTCATGTTTGTGTTTTACATCACAGTATAGCAAGCATCTAATGCAACTGGGCACTTCAGCCTCAACATATCCAAATAAAATGTGCAATTACAGACAGTGAAAGAGATCTTGTTCATGACTAAAATGGCTCAGGTTAAGAACTCATTTTACTTGCAGGAGATGAGGCCACTATTGGTTCACAAGGTTTTTCTTGAGAGTACTTCAGCACACTGTCAAGACATCCTGGTGGCACTATGGCCCCACAGGGATGTGAGAAGTAGCTGTCCCTCAGGAGCCAGGCTGCAGACACAGAACAAATGCAAAATAGGGGTGGCATTCAAGGAAATGCTGAGTTTAAAAGCCCCGCTTAGAGGAGAAACAGGTGGAATGGGGTTTGGTTGGCAATGATTCAGTCCATTATACACCAAGGGTGTTGTCTGCAAAAGATGTCAGGTTAAAGGGTGTAATTAAAACCCCTATATAAGCACCAGGATCCCCAAGCCCATTATTCCATGAGCTCTCAGGCCTGAGTCCTCCATTTCTCTTGGCAATTTAAGTAAGTTCTTTAAAAAAATTATATTTCTGTTTTTGTAAATGTTTTCCTTCCTTAGTATTCTTACATAGACAATTAGACTGCGCAGATATAGCTTTGGCTTTCTGGAAAATTCTATGAAAGTTCTAACACTGACAAGTTGTAATTAGAATGACAGGAGCAATACCCTAGTGGACTTTGCCCATGTTTTAAAAGTACTGCTCTATAATCTTCAAGAATGGCATCATCTAAGAAGAGCTCCTGTCTTAGTCCCCAGCCACCGCTACGTGTAAATTATCAGACTGTACTGAGATAACTGCATCTCCTCCTCCAAGCTTTGAATTCCTTGAGGAAAGGAGCTATTTCTTATTCATCTCCCATTCCCAGAACACAACACAGCATTGGCACAAAGGAAATTAAGAAATGCTTGCTAAGTCAGTTAATTCATTATTATTGCCATTGCAAAACTTTCTAGCTGCAAAGGATCTCAGAGGTCAGGTGGCCAGTAGTTCTTGCGGCTGCAAAGGAATCAGTGGGGAGCTTTTTAAATGCAGAGTCTAGGACTCTACCCCAGAGCTATTGAGCCACTCTCTCTGGAGGTGGGGCCTGGAGTCTTTATTTCTTTAAAGCTCCTCCTGGTGACTCTATAGTACAGCAAAGTTTGGGAACCACAGACCTATTCCAACATATCACTCAAATCAGGGTTCACTCATTTGTTTCTGCACCCATTCATCAGGCATTTATTGAACTTCTACTATATTTGAGGCACTAGGATAAATAAAAAATAGATAAGACATGGTCCTGGCCCTCAAAGAAAAATCTCTAAAGGAGTCAGATAAACAATCAAATAAGCCGGATCTTTACACTGTAATTTACCTCCAAGAGATGAAGAAAGAAGGGATGATAGAGATTCAGAAAAATTAAACAAGTTGGGTATTCCTTGGTGCATTCCAGGTGCACTCCAGTTGGCAAAACAAGATGCTTCCCTATCTTCTGAGGAGCAGCATCAGTATCATCGACATTTTCCACAAGCACGCAGAGTGATGGAGACTGGCAGAGGCTGAACAAGACAAAACTCAAGACACTTCTCAGACAAGAGTTTGGAATGGCCTTGGAGGTAAGAAGGACAGGGGCTCACTCCTTGCACATTTACTGTGTTACTTGGAACTGTCTTCTTGGCTCCAGTGACACTACCCTCTCCTAGGTTTCCTCTTATGTCTCCAGCTGTTTCCTCTCAGAGTCATTTCAAGTTCCTCTTCCTCTGCTCATCACTTAAGGGTTGATATGCTCTGGAATTCTCTTCTCACTTTATGCATGTCTCCTGGGGATTTCATAGACTCTGCTTGCCTCAACCACTGTATGCTGAAACCACTCTCTGTATGCTGAAACTTTCAGTCAACTTATCAACCAGATCACTTTCCTGAGCTTCAGACCCATGGAGCATCTCCATCAGATATGGCACAAGCATTTCAAATTCAACCTGTACAAACCTCATCTTCCTTTTACATCCTATATTCAAACAAATACAGCAGCACTAGCCATTCATTTGTCCAAGTCAATAACTTGGGTGCTAGCCTTGACACCTCCATCTATTTTACTTCTCACATCTAATCTCATCACCAAGCCCTCCTGATTCTGACTTCTAAATAAATATCTCTCAGACCTGGCCACTTCTCTCCTCAACCACTGCCCCTGAAGTGTTCTAGGCCACCAGTATCTCTGACTTGAATTGTTGCAATAACCTCCTAATTGGTCTCTTCCCCTCTATTCTTGTCCCTCCCTATCAATACTATCCACCATCTATTACCTACATGCAGCCAAAGTGACCCTATTTAGCTATTTGTCATATAGGCTCCCATTTCACCCCTGTGGCACTTATTACAGTGTGTTATAATTACCTGTTTACTTGTCTATGAAGGCAGAGACCATGTCCTTTTGTGCTTTTATTTGTTTCTCTAGCCTGGGATCATTCCTGTCATATATCTATTAATTCATTTATGCAACTGATATTTACTTAGCATCACATATGTTCCAGGTAACTTTGTAGGCTCTGGGAAGAGTAGCCAGCAAAATAGACATGGTTCCTGCCTTCAAAAAACTTATAGACAATAAACCAAGTAAACATAACAATATATAGTTAAAAACAATATGGCCAGGCATGGTGGCTCATGCCTGTAATCCTAGCACTTTGGGAGGCCAAAGCGGGTGGATCACTTGAGGTCAGGATTTGGAGACCAGCCTGGCCAACATGGTGAAACCCCATCTCTACTAAAAATACAAAAATCTTAGCGAGGCATGGTGGTGGACGCCTGTAGTCCCAGCTACTCGGGAGGCTGAGGCAGGAGAATGGCATGAACCCAGGAGGCGGAGCTTGCAGTGAGCCGAGATCATGCCACTGCACTCCAGCCTGGGTGACAGAGCGAGACTCCATCTCAAAAAAAAAAAAAAAAAAAACCAGCCAGGAGTGGTGACACGTACCTATAGTCCCAGTTACTCTGGAGGCCAACGTAGGAGAATCACTTGAACCCGGGAGATGGAGGTTGCAGTGAGCAAGATCACGTCACTGCATTGCAGCCTGGGCAACAGAGCGAGACTCCATCTGAAAAAAATAAAAACAAAAAAAACAAACAAAACCAATAATAAGAGTTATGTTCTGCTAGGAAGTCAGAGGAGATTCTTTAAGGAAATTACATTTAAGTCAAGACTTGAAGGACGTGTAGGAGTTGACTAGATGAAGAATAGGAAGTGTTCCAGGAAAAAAAAAAAAAGGAGTACTAATAAAGTCCTTGAGTAAGGAAATAGCTTTTGTGCTCAAGGAACTGGAAGTTCGGTGTGGCTGGGCAGAAAGAATGGCAGGAGATGAAAGTGGAGAGCCAGGCAGGGACTAAATCATGCGGAGCTTTTTCAACCATGTTAAGTAATTTATATATGTAATAGGAAGGCATTAAAGAGTTCTGAGCAGAGGAATAATTAAATCTAAATCACAAATTTTTAAATTCACTTGGTGTTTGGATGGGCAAATTTTTAAATTCACTTGCTGTTTGGATGGGCAAAAGAAGAAGCAAAGAAACCACTTAGAACACTACACACTACTGCAGAGCCAGGCATGGTGGCTTGCACCTGTAATTCCAGCTACTTGGGAAGTTGGGGCAGAAGGATCGCTTGAGCCCAGGAGTTTGAGGCTATAGTGAGCTATGATCATGCCACTGCACTCCAGTCTGGGTGACAGAGTAAGACCCTGACTCAAAAAAAAAAAAAAAAAAAGGGCTACTGCAACAGTATTGGCAAAAGATGATGGTAGCTTGGATTGAGGAAGTCCAAACAATGGAGAAGGAAAGAAGTGGATGGATTGACAGTACATTTTGGAGATAGAAACAAAAGGCTTTATTATGGACTGGACTGTAGGGGTAAATGAGAGGAAAGAATCAAATACAGCTACCATGCTTCTGGCTTGAGAAACTGGAAGGACGGTGGTGCCATTTACTGAGATGGAGTGGACTTGATGAGAAATAGACATAAGAAGAAAATCAAGAGTTGGACATGTTGAATTTCTTCTACCTGTGATATATCACAGAAAAGATGTCACCAAAGCAGTTAGACATACATGTCTGGAACTCAGAAGAGAGATCTGGCTTGCACAAAGACAAAAATCTGATTATCATCAGCTAATTGATGGTATGAAGCTACGGGAATAGATGAGAATGTAAAAACATAGGATAGGAAGAGTGTCCTATACTAAATCCTGAGTAACTCCAACATTTAGAGGCTAAGTAGAAAAGGTGAAACGAGGATAGAAAATGAAAACATGGGGCCAAAGATATAGAATGAAAACCAGGAGAGTGGGATGTCATGAAATACAAGATAAGAAAATGTTTCGAAAGGAAGGATTAGTCAGTTGTGTCAACTGAGGTCCAGTAAAGAAAAGATTGTGTCCACTGTATTTGGTACCAAGGAAACCACTTGGTGTGGTGGTGAATATGGATGCCAAAATGACACATATTAAGGGAGAATGAAGAGTAAGGAAGCGGAGACATTTACAGATAACTCTTTCAAGAAGCTTGGCAATAAATGGTGAGAAGAGATATTGGCTGGTAGAAAGAAAGAGATGTGAGATGTGAGAATGTGGTGCACAGGACTTTTTTTTTTTTTTTTTTTTTGAGATGGAGTCTTGCTCTGTCACCCAGGCTGGAGTGTAGTGGCATGATCTCCGTTCACTGCAACTTCTGCCTCCCGGGTTCAAGAGATTCTCCTGCATCAGCCTGCTGAGTAGCTGGGATTACAGGCACCTGCCACCACGCCTGGCTAATTTTTTAATTTTTAGGAGATATGAGGTTTCACCATGTTGGCCAGGCTGGTCTTGAACTCCTGACCTCAGGTGATCCACCTGCCTCCACAGCCTCCCAAAGTGCTAGGATTACAGGCATGAACCACTGTGCCCAGACCACAGGAAATTTTTTAAAGTATGATAGCTAATAAAGCATACTGTTTCTCTGTCTGGAATGATCCAGTAGAGACTAAAGCATCAAAAAGTCAAGAGAAAGAGAAATTATCAGAAGTAACTCAGTCTTTTATAAAGTAAAGGGCATGAACTCGAGGGCACAAACAGATGGATTTGCTTTGGATAGAAAGAGAAAAACTTCCTCTACTGTCTCAGGAAAGAGTACACATTAAAGAAAGTTTGTTCCTTTGCTTGGATAAATGAGAGAGTTCCAGTTTGGTGACTTGGATTTCATTATAAAGCAGAGTCATCATTGAGAGTTGGGGGAAAACAGGGTGTGTTAGTGGTTAATAAATATGTAATAAAATAATGCTATATTTTATTAATACTAGGAATATACATTTCAGTTACTGTGATCTCAAAATATAAAAATATACATAATACTGCCATAGAAAATAATATGCAGTGAAATAGCTATAAATAGAACTAGAAAACAGACCTCTTAAATGTCCCCTAAGGAATTTTCTTGGTAACAAAACATAAGAGAAGGAAAAAAATAACAAATGATTAATAAACTACTTTCTTGATTTTTTTCTCATAGAAAACAACTAATTCTGAGACAATAGAAAAATCCTCCAACAGCTGGATCAAGATGGTCACAAAACAGTTGATTTCAGTGAATTCATTTTGCTGGTGCTTACAGTGACAAAAGCCTATCATGCATGCATAAAAGCTCTTCTCTGTCCTGAATTAAAGGAAATGGAGAGAAGATCCGAAATGCAAGGACGACAAGCAAAAGGACTCAAAGGCAGGCAACCAGACAAAGAAAAAACGTCAGCAGACAGATCAGAGCCGAGAGTCCCAGGATATTTGGAGACATAAAGTGAGAGACCAAATCCCAACACCCAGTGATGATGAGAGTCATGGAGTTAAAGCTCATAACCAAGAATCACAGCATATTAGAAGACACCAAGTGAGAGACTTGAGCCCTGAACCACAAAATATTGGAAGACACCAGGTGACAGGCCAAGCCCAAATACCAAGCAATGATGGGGGGGCCAAGGGAGAAACCTGAGCCTAAGATACCAGGATGCTGGGAGACACCAAATGAGAGACCAGATGCCAACATCAAGGCATGACAGAAGGCATCAAATGAGAGACTAGAACCCAGCATCCCAGGACGTTCAAAGACACCACATAAGAAACCAGATCCCAACCCTAAGGGATAATGCGACTCATGGAATGAGAAATCAGACCTTAGAATCTCAGAATGTTGGAAGACACCAAGTCAGAGAGAAGATTACAGCACTGGGACCTGAGGGAAGTCATCGAGTAAGAGACCATAGGCAAGAGTTGCAGGATGTTCCACAATGTAAGGCAAAACACCTGGGCCCTGAAACCCAGGATAGTGAAAGGCTCCAAAGGAGAGACTTGGTCCCGATACTAAGGCATGACAGAAGGCATCAAGTGAGAGACCAGAGTGTAGAACCCCAGAATGCTGACAGACTTCAAATAAGAGACATAAGCCCTAAACCTCAGGATTTGGGGCAACACCAAGTGAGAGACCTAAATTCTAAGATCTGTGATGTGAGAAGAAATCAAGTAAAAAACCAGGTCCCACCACTACGGAATGATGGCAGTCTTCAAGTGAGAGATCAGAGGCAAGATTCCCAGGATGTACAGAGACACCAAGTGAGAAACCAAATCCCAAAGCAAATAGTGATGGGCAATGACAAGTGAGGGACCAAAGCCTAGAATCCCAGGACTCTGTAAGATACCAAGAGAGAGGTCATTTGTCAACACAAAGTGATTACAGAAGTGTTCAAGTGAGAGACAGGAGGCTAGAACTCCAAGGTTATCTAAGACAATCTGGTAGAGAGCAGATCTTAGAACCAAGAGTTGATGAGCATCACCAAGTAAGAATCCAGAACCCAACACCAAGGGATACTGGGAGGCATCAAGTGAGAGAAGACAAGATTCTTGTATCTCAGGATGTTGGCAGCAAACAAGTGAGAAACCAGGATCCAGCTCCAAGCAATTATGGAAAACATCCAGTACAAGACCACAGGCCAGAACCACAAGATCAGTCAGGTCAACAAGAGTGAGAGACAACAGATGAGTGCTCAGACCTCAGCACCAATGGATGAAGAGAGACATCTAGTGAGAGAACTGAGCTCATATACTCAAAATAGTGGAAGACAGCAAATTAGAGAGCAGAGACTATCTCCAAGAGAAGATGAAAGACTGGGAGTCAGTGATCAGACACCAATGCTACAGGAAAATGGGAAACACAAGATAAAGATTCAGTCCCTAGGGACAAAGAATAATGAGAAATGCCAAGTGAGAGACCTGAGCCCACAGCCCAGGAAGTATGAGAGACATCAAGTTAGGAAGCAGACACCAGAACCCAGAAATGATGGGAGACAACAAGTCAGAGATATGAGCCCAGAACCCAGAAATGATGGGACATGTCAATTTAGGGAGCAGAGATCAGTTCCAAGACAACATGACAGACTCCAAGATAGTAACCGGGCCCCAATGCCAAGGGATGATGGAAGACATCAAGTGAGAGACCTGAGCCCACAACCTGGGAATGATGGGAGACACCAAGTTAGAAAACAGACATCAGCTCCAACAGAAAGTGAGAGACACCAAGTGAGATATGAAAACCCAGCATCAAGGGATGATGAGAGTTATCCAGTGAGTGACCTGAGCCTACAAACCATGAATGATGTGAGATGCCAAGGGAGAGATGGAAGCCTGGCATCCAGAGATAACAGGAGATGTCCAGTGAGAGACTTGAGCCCAAAACCCAGGAATGATAGGAGATACCAAGTTAGGGATCAGAGATCAGCTCTAACAAAAAATAAGAGACACAAAGTGAGAGATGAAAGCCCAACATCAAGAGATGATGGGAGATATCCAGTGAGAGACCTGGGCCCACAGACCAGAAGTGATGGGAGATGCCAAGTTGGGGATCAGAGATCAGCTCCAACAGAAGATGAAAGACACCAAGTAAGAGATAAAAGCCCAGCACCAAGAGATAATGGGAGATATCCAGTAAGAGGTAAGAGACATGAGCCCGCAACCCAGGAATGATGGGTGACACCAAGTTAGAGATCGGAGATCAGCTCCAACAGAAGATGAGAGACACCAACAAGAGATGAAAGCCCAACATCAAGAGATGATGGGAGATATCCAGCGAGAGACCTGAGCCCACAACCGAGGAATGAAGGGACGCACCAAGCAAGAGATGGAAGCTCAACATCAAGGGATGATGAGAGACATTAAGTGAGAGACCTGAGCCCACAGACCAGGAATAAAGGGAGACACCAAGCAAGACATGAACAACAAGCATCTAGAGATGATGAGAAATATCCGGTGAGAGACCTGAGCCCTCAACCCAGGAATGAAGGGAGATTTTATTTTAGCCAACAGAGATTAGCTCTAACTGAAAGTGAGAGACATCAAGTGACTGATGAAAGCCTAGAATCAAGGGATAATGAGAAAAGTCAAGTTAGAGAGCAGAGACCAGTTCCAAGGCCATATGAAAGATTCCAACATAGAGACCAGATCTCCAGATCAAGGGATGAAAGAAGACAAGTGAGAGACCTGAGCCCTGAGCCCAGAAATAATGGGGAACATCAAATTAGGGAGGAGAGACCAGAACCCAGGTATGATAGGAGGAGTCAAGGTAGAAAGCAGAGACCAGATCCAAGATGTGATGAGAGAAGTCAAGTTAGAGAGCAGAGATCAGCTCCAAGGCAATATGAAAGGTTCCACCATAGAGACAAGATCTCCACACAAAAGGGTGATGAGAGAAGACAAGAGGGAGACCTAAGCCCTGAACCTGAGAACCATGGGAGATGTCATGTGAGAGACCTGGGCCAAGAACTCAATAATGATGGGAAATGCTAGGTTCAACAGAAACAAGGTCTAACACAAAATCAGAGACACCAAGTGAGAGAGAGAACCCCAGCACCAAGGAATGATGGATAAGTCAGATGAGAGACCTGAGCCCAGGAATGATGGAAACAGACACCAAGTTAGGGGACAGAGACCAGCTGAAGGAGAATATCGAGGATTCCAGCATACAGACCAGATCCCCTCAACAAGGGAAAGGGAGAGATGCCAAATGAGAGACCTAAGTCCTAATACCAGGAACGATGTGAGATACCAACTGAGAGACATGAGACCAGAACCCAGAAGTGATGACAAAAGTCCTGTTAGGGAGCAGAGACCAGCTGCAAGACAATATGAGAGATCCCAACATAGGGTCCAGAAGCTCACACCAAGGGGTGATGAGAGAAGCCAAGTGAGAGACCCGAATCCTGATCCCAGCAATTATGCGGAACACCAAATTAAAGAGCAGAAACCAAATCCCAGGTATGATGGGAGAAGTCGGGTTAGAGAACAGAGACCAGCTCCAAGGTAAA
This sequence comes from Homo sapiens, assembly GCF_000001405.40. Lineage (NCBI taxonomy): Eukaryota > Metazoa > Chordata > Mammalia > Primates > Hominidae > Homo > Homo sapiens. The sequence continues at coordinate 152,059,828 of NC_000001.11, read as the reverse complement.
ATGAAAAATTCCAACATAGAGACTAGATCTCCACACCAAGGGATGATAGAAGAAGCCAAGTGAGAGACCTGAGTCCTGAACCTGAGATTGATAGGAGATGCCATATGACAGACCTGAGCCTAGAACTCGATAATGACGGGGAACACCACATTCAAAATCAAATACCAGCTCCAACAGAAAATCAGGGGTGCCAAGTGAGATCTCAAATCCCAGCACCAAAGGAATGATGGGAGAAAACAAGTGAGAGACCTGAGCCCTGGACTCAGGAATGATGGAGGACACCAAATTAGAGAGCAGAGAACAACTACAAGAGAATATGAAGGATTCCAACATAGAGACCAGATCTTTGCACTAAGAGATGTTGAGAGAAGACAAGTGGGAGATCTGAGCCTCGAGTCCAGGAATGATAGGAGATATCAAGTGAGAGACATGAGACCAGAACCCAGGCATGATGAAAGAAACCAAGAGAGATCTGAGGCCAGACTCTAGGAATTATGGAAGACACCAGGTAACAGACATGAGACCAGAACCAAGGTATGATGAAAGACAAGAGGTTAGAGAGCAAAAACCACCTTCTAAAAAGGATGAGGGTCATCTTAGGGGCAAAAATGAGAGAAACTCTGGAAAAGGCATATCTGTGAGAGAATTTGACCATGAAACAAAAGAGCAGCTGTGGAGAGAAAAAGATCAAAAGTATTTCCCCAAGCAGGAGGAAGCTGAGCTTAGAGATTTAGATCCTTAGGAATTAGCATCCACCAGAAAAATTGGGCCAATAACTTGTGAGGTATACTTTTTTCCCAAGAAGAAAGGTAACTGGTTATGCTATTGTCTTCATGATCCATCTGAAACAACAAATACAGAAAATAGGCTCAATTATACAGGTTTGGAGATGTGTAAGAATCACAAGAATGGGCAAGTTATTGCTGCTACCTAATTTGGGATCCAGAAGAAGACTATGTATACCAGGATGAGGAAGGAACATAGGAAGATTATGCTCACGACCAGCAGGATGATGTCTATCATATTTGGAAATCTAACAAGCACACTAGATCCTCTGAGGATGAGTTCTAAAGTGATATCCAGATGCTACAAAAAATTTTCACCTCCCCAGTTGGCTGAGCTGATTGTCTTAGGCATTCTTGGCTTTTTCTTCCTCCATAAACCTCAGACTCTATCTATCACAGGTCCAATTCTTCAACTTTTGGTTTCTGGGACTCTAACAGTTTTTAGGAATGGCTTATGGTGAAAAGAAAAATTAAATGTTGTGTAATATCCTTCAGTAACCTGTGATTTTAATATCAATAAACTATAACTCTCTCTAGGCTCTTCTGAAAGACATTTCAAATTGTAAAGCCAAATTATAAACCTTATAAAAAGTACAAGAAATAGTTACTAAGCATTAATTTCCCCTTGGTCTTCTTCTAGTCTCAGATTGAAAACTGAGATAAAGCATCATTGTCATGGCCTCTAGAATGAGGCTTATCTTTCACTCATAAAACACATATTTTTATCCGTCCATTCAATAATATTCATATTCACATTTACCTATTGGAGCCCACAAAAAGCAAAAACAAGTCCTGGTTTGTGCTTCTGTGAAAGATACCTCTAAAACAAAATCTCTCCAGTTAAAAGTCAAAGGAGGGACAAAATAGATTGCACAAATGCAAGCAAACAAATACAGCAGAGGTTGCAATATTAAGATCTAACCAATAGAATTCAACATAAAAGCAATAAGTGAATCCATTCTTATTATCAAACAGTACAATCCACCAGAAAGATAAAACTTAAAACTGTCATTCAATCATTCTACAGCTATTTATTGAGCAACTATTATGTGTCAGGCACTATCCTAGGTGTTGAGGATAAGCTACAAACAGGACAAAGCCTTCCCACCATGGAGTTTACAGTTAGGGGGACAGTAATGTGTCAAACATGCCCAACAATCTGGGATCCAAATGAAAAGAAAACCAAGCTAGAAATACAAGGAGAGACTCACAGAAAAACAATAGAAGAGGGGACATATGTCTCCATCTTTAGCAGGAACATAAAATAAGTTCATAGAAAATTTGTTTAAAATTGTCATGAAGAACATGGGCTTTGTGGGCAAACCAACCCAGCTTGGATTTGTGGCTCCATGACACTCCTTTTATGAGGCTGGGCACGAAATCATTTTAAATACTAGTTTCCTCATCTGTAAATGGAAGTGATAAAAATAATATTACCTACTGAGATAATGCATTAAATGCTTCATACAATGCCTACCATACAGAAAGATAACTCTAAATATATGTTAGCTAATATCTTTTTAAATATTTTTATGTAATATATATGAACTCTATTCACTTTAGAAAACACACATATTTTTAAGTAGCATGAAAGATTCTAAAAACTGATCATGACACAATTAAAACTTCAATAAATTCCAAAAAGCATGCCGGGCATGGTGGCACACGCCTGTAATCCCAGCACTTTGGGAGGCTGAGGTGGGCAGATCACTTGAGGCCAGGAGTTTGAGACCAGCCTGGCCAACATAGTAAAACCCCGTCCCTATTAAAAATACAAAAATTAGCCAAGATCACACCACTGAATGCCAGCCTAAGTAGTGGAGCAAGACTTCATCTCAAAAACAAACAACAACAATTTTTTTAATTCCAAAAGCATACATAATGCAAGTAACATGTTTGATAATAATGCAATAAAACTAGAAATTAATAATAGATGAATATATCAAAAATACTTGAAATTTTTAAAACACTCCTAAATAACTCAAGTTTAAAAAGAAAGCAAAACTGCAAAAAAGACTGCATTTTTTAAATAACAATTAAAAGTCACTAAATATTAAAGTCTAGAGCTGCAGCCTTAAACACTTTATTTACTAAACAAGAGGGAGTAAATAAGGAATAAACTAAGTATTCAATTCAATAAGTTAGAAAACTAAGACACAAAACAGACCTAAGAAAAGCAGGAAAATGGAGTATTAGTTAGCTTTTGGAAAGAAGGAAATCTGGCTGGGCTCAGTGGCTCACACCTGTAATCCCAGCAATTTGGGAGGCTGAGGCAGGAGGATCACTTGAGGCCAAGAATCTGAGACCAGCCTGGGCAACATAGGAAGACCCTGTCTCTATATAAATAAATAAGAAAAGAAGGAAATCCTGCCATTTGCAACAACATGGATACAGCTAGAGAACATTACAAATACTGTGTGATTCCACCTATCTGAAGTATCTAAAATAATCAAACTCACAGAGGCAGAGAATAGAATGACGGTTGCCAGGGGCTGGGAAGAGGAAAAAATGAGGAATTATTTTCAATGTGTATGAAGTCTCTGTTATGCAAGATAAGTAAGTTCTACAGATCTAGGTAAAATATAGTACTTATAGTGAACAATATGGTATTGTACACTTTAAAATACATTAAAAGAACATTTCTCATGTTAAGTGTTCTTACCAAAAATAAAACACAAAAGAAAGCAAGGAAATTTTTGGAGGTGATGGATATGTTCAGTGTGGTTGTGGTGATGGTAATCACGGTGTATGCATATGTCCAAACTCATCAAGATGTACACATTAAATATGTGTGTTTTTAATATGCCAATTATACTTCAATAAAATTTGTTTAAAAGAAAAGCAGGAAAAAGAAGATTTTTTTTAAGTAGAAATTCAAGAACTAGAAAACAAGATATTGTGGCCAAGTCGTTAAGGCAATGGACTAAAACACAGAATAGCCATGGAATCGATGAACAAGCCAAAGAACTCAAGACATTTAATAAACAATTGAAATAATTAACAAAGAGGAAAAGACTAGCTAGTTAGATAGATAAGTAGGTAGATATAGATGATAGATAGACAGATAGATAGATAGATACATAGATACATAGATAGATACATAGATAGATGTCTATATATCTACAGATAGACACATAGATACCAAAAACATTTAGCTATAGGTACAGAAGAATAGACTTGTAAAAATTATTCTTAGAAAGATAGAACAAACACAAGGAAAGAAAAAGTCTGGGGGGAAATGGATGATTTTTTTAGAAAAATTAATTCAAAAGAAGTATAATCATAACCAATTTTAAAAAATTGTCAAATAACTACCCTCTTACCCTTTAAGCAAGACAGTTTCACAGGTGAATGTTTTCAAACATCCACGGAACAAATCATTCCTACACTATTTAAACCACATCAAAGAATACAAATGTCAAGAAAGATTTACAGTTTTTTCCAAAGGTAGCACAGCCCTAACATCAAAATTCCAAAGCTCCCCAAAACTATAGATCAGTCCTACATATAAAGATAGATGAAAACCCCTGAACAAAATACCCAAGAGCAGTTTTTCTTTTCACTTGGATTCCATGAGCAAACACTCCATGCTACCACATATGGTTCATTTCAGAAAACCCCAGTTCTCTAAAAGAAACCCATTCATGCAACTCATTCTGAACTTAGCAGAGGAGAAAGCCTGTGCAATTATCTCTATGGAGACATGGAATTTTAAAAACACGTTATATGTTTTAATTTAAAATTATGAAAGCACCAGGTGTGGCAGCTCACACCTCTAATCCTAACACTTTGCGAGGCCAAAGCAAGCAGATGGCTTGAGCCCAGGAGTTTGAGAACAACCTGGGCAACATGGTGGAAATCTGTCTCTACAAAAAGTACAAAATTTAGCTGGGCATGCTGGCACGAACCTGTGGTTCTAGCTACTCAGGAGGCTGAGGTGGGAAGATTACCTGAGCCTGGGAAGGTCGAGGCTGCAGTGAGCCATGGTCGCACCACTGCACTCTAGCCTGGGCAACAGAGTGAGACCCTGTCTCAAAAATAAATAAATAAAATTATGAAAAGAGAACTCTACCTAAAATCAACAATGGTAAAACATAGCACTAATTTTAAAATTAAGAAATTTCCTTCATTCCACAAATATTTATGCAGCACCTACCATGTGGCAGACAATGGCAGGGCACAGGATACACAATGATGAAAGAAACAGCTTTGCAGCTCACAGACTAGTGAGGATTGCCATTAAGATTATAAACTATAAGAGTTATGCAGGAAAAGAGTGGGCACTATAAAACAGAAAAACAAGGAGAACAAAATTCAGACTGGAAAAGGGGATAAGAGAAAGCCTGTCTGAGGATGTAATATAAGAACAAGGATATGCTCCGTATCCACAGGATTTTTCACTAATGCTGAAAGAACAGAAAAGAAATAAATTAGGTACACAAATTAGAAAGGAAGAGGCAAAATGGTCATTGTTTAAGACACCAGTATTTCTACCTAGGGCATCTAAGAGAATTGACTGAAAAGGTATGAGATCCACAAAGTTTAGTAACAGGTAGTTATAGAACAAACTTCCCTCAGAAAAGTAACTTTCTTATATATCCATAAAAACCTAATAACTAATATCAGGGAAAGATTCTGCTTATCACAATAGTAACAACAACAATATAATATGCCCTTAGGAGTAATTAATGTGAAATGTGCCTCTGATATAAAACTGGTTTGAAGAACATAAAGGAAACCTGATTTATGTTTCCTTGTTCTGTTCACAGAGCCACCTTCTTCTTTGATGGGAGAATTCACCATCATAAGGATATCAGTTATCCCCTTATTGGTCTATACCTTGAACAGGAACTGTATAGAAATGAAGTGTTTGGAACTGTATAAAAATGATTCTAAAATTTATCAGGAAGACTACATAGGCAAGAGTAGTCGGGACAATTTGGGGAAAGGTGTCAATAAAAGGGCTCATCCTATTGTATATTAAAAGTATCCTAAGCTAAAGTCATTAACATACTGTGATACCGGTGGTAATAGGAACGAGAGGAAAAGTCAGTGGAACAATTAAAAGGCCAGAAACATATCCAAGTCCAGCTGTGAGAATTTAGTATTTAATGAAGGAAATATTTCCAAATCTGGAGGCTCACTCTTTGCAGAAGCTTGGCTGGAAAAGAAGCGGGAGACCCCACACAGCTAAACAGAGTCAGGGTAGGGGGAAGGCTGGCGGGCTGGCTTAGGGCTATTTGGTGAGAAGAATGCAATACAGAGCAGAAAGCGGAAGATGCAGGAAACCAAGAGGATCATTGACGAATGAAGAATGAGGAGCTAGGTGGGAGGGCGTGGGGTCCAAGGCCCCGGGGAGGAGCAGGTCCCCTCTGCAGTGGGAGAGGGAGTGCAGATGGCGAAGGTGCGGACAAGGTTGGATAAATGTGCTGCGCAGGGGCAGGGAAGAGCTGGAGGAGTCGGCGCCTAACAGCTGTCTTCCCTGTGGTAGAGCAAACAAGGCCATCTGCCGAGAGACGGAGCAGTGAGGAACATGCTGAATCCTGAGGAGAAAAACACCCGAGTCGCCCTGAGACTTGAAACCACACTGGATGGCAGCTTTATTCCCCCCTCACCCAGCCCTCTCATGCCTCCATCTGAGGACAAGCCCAGCTTCAGACTTTTTAAGTCTCCTCCAAGTTACATGTGTGACAACGGAGTAAAATATATCAACCTGCATTGAACAGAACCCAAGAATAAGAATCTATTCTATGTCCGTCATTGCAATAATCTTCTGTAGAAGCTGAGGGAATGACATTAAACCTCAACTCGTTGAAGGAGTTTCTGGGGGTTTGGGGTTGGTTTAGTTTGGTTTTTGAAACAGGGTCTTGCTCTGTCGCCCAGGCTGGAGAGTAGTGGTGCTCTCTAGGCTCACTGCAGCCTCCACCAGGGCTCAAGGAATTCTCACACCTCAGCCTCCCGAGTAGCTGGGACCACTGTCACCCACCACCACCCCTGGCCAGGAGTTTCTAAAACACAAGATCACTTCAGGTGCGATCTTGTTCTCTCCTGTATTGCAGGAGAGTTGCAAGCATTCGTTCCGTAGATATCGTTACTCTAGCTAATGTATCCTAACTTCTGTCCCTGTCCGTGCTATGCAAACCTTTTCCCAGATGCTCCACGAAATCTGTCTTCACCAGGCCCAGCCAGCTCACCTGCCATGTAAGTAGCCACTCAATTCCTCATTAGTAGCCATCCGGAAAGAACCCGGTGTTGAAGATGTGCGGCCCTCAGAACTTCTTTTTCATGGCTTGTGCGCCACCTGGTGGTGACTGACTGCAATGTCTCATGTAGACCCCGCATTAGGCAACAGGGAGTGGAGAAGAAACCTCACTTCACCGCCCTGGCCTGGACTGATGGTGAGGGGAAAACACAAGGTCTTGGAATTTCTTTATTTTTTTTTTAATTGAGGCAGGATCTCACTGCGTTGGCCAGGCTGGTCTTGAGTTCCTAGGCTCAGGCGATCCTCTTGCCTTGGCCTCCTAAAGTGTTGGGATTACAGACATGAGCCACCACACCTAGCCGCTTCTTGGAATTTCAAATAGACAGGAGATTCTGTCATTCTCATGTTCATCTGTAACTTAGATTTTAAGGCAAAGAATGCTGCACAATCCCCGAACTCAGTTCCTTTGGGGATACAGGGTGGTGTTCCTACTGCATTGTTAGATTGTAAAATTGTAAGAGGCATCATCAATTAAAAAGAAGCAGTTGAGGGCAGGGGGTGACTATTACGTTAAATGAACACTTCAATTTTAAGACACGCCTGGATTTCAGAAATGGTAAAACATATGAATAAATGGGTATTAGAATATGGCTTTCATCTGTGAAATCTGGATAGGAGTGCAGTGTCTGCTACATGTTTATTTCAGCATCAATGATTCTATATTATAGCTAGCTTTGGTGAGCAACTATTTCAAAAATCGCTACCCAGAGGAGTCCTGCCAGCCATCCTGCTGAAAAAAAAAACAGAAAGACCAAGAGAGAAACTGTAAGAATAGGCTGGGCGTGGTGCCTCACACTTGTAATCCCAACACTTTGAGAGGCTGAAGTGGGAGAATCACTTGAGCCCAGGAATTCAAGACCAGCTTGGGCAACATAGTAAGATCTCATCTCTACAAATAATAATAATAATAAATTAGCCAGGCATGGTGGTGCACACCTGTAGTCTCAGCTACTCAGGAAGTGGTGGAATCGCTTGAGTCCAGGAGGTCAAGTTTGCAGTGAGCCATTATCGTGCCGCTGCACTTCAGGCTGAGAAACAAAGCGAGACCCCCATCTCAAAAAAGCTGTAAAAATAATTTGACCTTCCATTAATGGAGTTGTGCAGAGCCGACAGTTGGCAGTTCATTTGCTAGCGACCAAGATTGTAGACTGAGAATGGGCTACCAACTCCAGCCTTTGCTGAGCGGGAACCCACGAGCCAAGAATGAATGCCCCTCCCCACCCCTCCCCTGCCACAGGCACAGGCTCAGGCGTGTGCTTAAGAAAGGAGGAAATGTTACTATAATAACAAACTGTCTCTTCTTACAGAGTAGGACTGCCCAGAAAAATGTCTTGACATGAGTTCAGGGTGGAGGGTGACACCCAGAGGACTCACACAAGCAGTGAAAGATGACTGATAAACTGCTAGTCATGGGAAGAGAGGAATCTGGGTTGCTGGACAGGGGAGGAAAAAAAATAAGGAGGAGTCCACAGGTGGTGGAAGGCTGTGTGAGGTGTGATGTGACCCTGCCCAAGACTCCCAAGTCTTTAACACACACACATACATACATATTTGCATGGTTTTTTTTTGGTGGGAATCTAAGAGAAGAGGCTTAATTACCCATGTCAAGCAGGCAGATAGACCTCACTGGAAGGAGACAGCCGTGAGAATGTGAACCCTGGGGACCCACTGAGATCACCCAGAAGGACTTGGAACTTCTATTGGCATGGATTTAGTGTGGGGATGATTCACATTAATTTATTTACTCTTGAGAGCCAGAGAATCTCTGGATCACACATGGGTGATATATAGCATGGGCTTTTGCAAACTCTCATCCCCCTTTGACTTGACACCTTTAAGCCAAAACTGACCTGCCCATGGATCAAGCACTCAACAGCACTGCTGATACTAATTGACAGATATGGCTGGGACCTTCCTCCCTGCTTTCATCCTATTCCAGTTCCTCCTGTCTGTTGGCCCTCAGTTTGATCTCCTTGTTCCAAACACATTTCTGCCTCTTTGATCTGGTGTGGTATTTTCCCCAGCTCTGACTCCAGTAGTCCCCTATACCAACTGAAGCTCAACCCTCTGATCCATTCTCTAAAGGCCTAGTGTAGCTAAAACCACCTTACCCTGAGGGGGCTCTAACTCCCAAAGCCCCCATGAAGTGGAGCAGGGAGTTGTGACCCTATAAAGTACTATTCTATCAGTCATACCAAAGAGCCTCACCATGGGCTCTGGTGACCACCTCCCTCATAATCCCCTGTTGGTTAGTGAGAATTATTAACATGCAGACTCTTGACCTCCTGAATCAGAGTCTCTGAGTGTGGTGTCCAGGGACCTGAACTGTTAACAAGCTCCCAAGGTGAGACTTGTGCACACTAAAGTTTGACAACCACTACCCTAAACAAGCATGATATTTTTTAATGTTGACACTTGCACAGTGAGGTACGGGATGCTCTTGGTCAATTTAACACTCTGATAAAATAGATTCCAATTACACCATGAAACCATTAAAAATGACAAGACAGAAGAATATTTAATGACATAAAAAGGTATTTATAACAAATAGTTATGTTAAAATAATCAAGTCTTATCCCACTTTAGAGTAAAATCTGAATGTTTATATGCACATAGAATGCAAGTCAGGAAGAACGTAGCTGGAAAATTAACCTGCATAATAAAATTGTCGGTGCTTTATTTTTTTTTTCTATCTACATTTTCTACATTTTTGCAACATGTACACAAGTACATGTGCATATTGTAATGTCCACGGGAGCGAGACTTTGTTTTACCGCTGTTGTTGTTATTGTTTTCCGTTTACTGCAGCACTTTATTTTTCCTTATATTACAACGTGTTGCTGAGGCTTCATGATCTCACATAACAGTAAAAACCAAAATCTGTTCTCATGTTTAGTTGTGCAACAGGAAGAACTGCATCACAGAATATTTTGCAAGAACCTGAATCATCCCATTTGGCTAAAAAGGTATGATATTATTCTTCATCTCTTATAATGTTTATGCACTAAAATTTGCTTGATAACAGTTTATAAGTGGACTAATGCTAAAGACAGGTGTGTGTAACAGGGTGATTAGAAAAAAATAGATAACACAGACATAAAAGCATTCACTGGATCGGCCATTTTAATTAATATTTGTAAATCCACAAATGAAATATTTCGCAATTATGGAACAAAGAAGGTGGTCATCATCTCTTTAACAAAATTATAAGCCATCAAAGTTTTTTAAAGTATTGCATTTGAACAACGCAGATGCAAGAAGAAACAGAAGCAATGCTGAACTAGAACCTATTACAGGTGTATTTGAAATCTGGAGTCAGCTATTTACAAAATGGATATGTGCCAGGTTCATGCATGACAGTTGATGAGCAGTTAACTGCATCAAAATACACACACACACACACACACACACAAAATAAGCAAATATGTGTGTAGCTTCAAATCTAGGAAAATATGGAGTAAAAATTTGGGTTTGCTATATCTAAATTCTTATTATTTCTTTTTTTATTTTCTTTCTTTGGTTTTTTTTTTTTTTTTTTTTTTTTTGAGATGGAGTCTTGCTCTGTCTTCCAGGCTGGAATGCAGTGGCGTGACCTCAGCACACTGCAACCTCCACCTTCTAAGTTCAAGCGATTCTCCTGCCTCTGCCTCCTGAGTAGCTGGGATTACAGACGTGTACCACCATGCCTACCTAATTTTTGTATTTTTAGTAGAGCTGGGATTTCACCATGTTGGCCAGGCTGGTCTTGAACTCCTGACCTCAAGTGATATACCCACTTCAGCATCCCAAATTTCTGGGATTACAGGCGTGAGCCACCACACCCAGCCTATTATTTCTAATACAGTTTTTTTTTTGTTTTTTTTTTTACTATTCTTACTTCTACAAGTTATTTACAAGATGAATCAAAAGATAGATGATAGATAAATAGACAGATACAGATAGATAATTAAAAGCGTCCATTGGACCTAAATGGTAAAAGGTGATTATTTTTCCTGGTATTCTGAGGGTTAAGGCCTCACATGATTCCTGTAACTCTACAAGTTACTTATTAGTTGAGTAAACCTGAAAGAGATTAAGAATTCGGTGGCCTTTGTGAGGCACTGCCCCACCCTGCCCACCAGGCTCTGCCGCTCCATGGCAACTCCAGCCAGCTCCTCCCTCCCCCTGCCACCAGCTGGTGAAGTCACCAGAACTGCCACCCTCGGGCATTGTGGGGCAATGAAGGTGGGTGGAGGGAATGAGGCACCACAACAGTATTTCCCTCTAGCAGCTCCTGGGACTGGGTTTTCTGGCATTTCTATCTCCCCCAAATATCTGTAACAGGCGGTGTTCATATCTCTAAATCAGAGTTCTGGCTGCTGAGGTAGCAGGACTGAGACCGGGGCTGGACCCTGACTGAGACCCAGGAGCCAGCAGCCTCTAGCCACTCCAGTCACAGGCACAGCCCAGGGACCCACCGCCACGCCCTCCTGCAAGATAAAGGAAGCAGCAACTCAGACATCAGGGTGGGTGAGTCACTTCCTGGGCCGTGGCTCAGGGCCTCCACTCTGCTCCAGGCCTAAAACGCCCTTTCTGCTCAGATCACAAAAACCACTCGTTTCCTGTCCACAGCTAGATTTCTTTACTGGCCAGCCTGGCTTGGAGGGAGGTGCAGAGCAGCCAGTCTTAGAGAGGGTACGTCAGGACTCCTCCCTACTCCCACACAGGCGACCAGATCCCGAGGCTGCAGGCAGAGTGTGCCTTTCTGCTGCCCAGCGCCCCCACAGGCCCAGCAGCACACACTGTGATCTTCAACCTGCTTTATTTGTTTCAAGTTTGCCGTTTAAAAGGCAACTTGCTCTAGAAGGGCATTTGCTTTCCTCTCTTCCTCTAGACACACCCACCAAAACACAAGGAGAGGCCCTGAAAAGTAACTGGAAAGTCACAGACCGTTCTGGCAAGTGGAGTTGATGAGAAACAGGTAATTCCTGCTCGTGGGGCTGACTGGTTTTCTGCTTTGGCTCCCAATCAAGAGGTGACTAAACACAGAGGGGAATTTTACCAGGCCCCAGAGACTCGGATTGGAGCGAGAGAGTTCCATGGGCTCAGCTGGGAAATGAGGCACAAGGAGCCAGCCCCAGAACAGAGACCCCTCCAAAGCCAACAGCTCCAGAACCGCCTCTTGCCACAACATTCAATGCCCTGGCTTTGATGTTTTGTGTCTCTTGCTGACTCACAAACTTGGGAGGTAACTGGCTTTCCCTATCAAAAATTACTAACCCTTGAGGGGCAATTTCGCGATAGCTGTCAACATTTTCAATGTTCATAATCTGGACACCATTGATTCTGCCTACTTTCAGGGGTTTTTCCTCAGATATGCCCAGACATACACAGGATTTCTGGATCATTGATTAGGGAAAAAATGATGCCATCTAATTGTCTTTCATCAAGAACCCACTATTTGGCTGGGTGCAGTGGCTCACACCTGTAATCCCAGCACTTTAAGAGGCTGAGGCGGGCGGATCACTTGAGCTCAGGAATTTGAGACCAGCCTGGACAACATGGGGAAACCCTGTCTCTACTAAAAATACAAAAAATTAGCCAGGTATTGTGGCACACACCTATGGTCTCAGCTACTCGTAGGCTGAGATGGGAGGATCACTTGAGCCTAGGAGGCAGAGGTTGCAGTGACCCGAGATCGTGCCACTGCACTCCAGCCTAGGTGAGAGAGTGAGACCCCACCTCAAAAAAAAAAAAAACCTACTATTAGATATTTGATATTCCACCTGTATTATAGAATACTATGTAGTCGTTAAGAAGGTAGAGGCTGAGCACAGTGGCTCCCGCCTGTAATCCCAGCACTTTGGGAGGCTGAGGCGGACGGATCACAAGGCCAGGAGATCGAGACCATCCTGGCCAACGTGGTGAAACTCTGTCTCTATTAAAAATACAAAGAAAATAAGCTGGGCGTGGTGACACACGCCTGTAGTCCAAGCTACTCAGCAGTCTGAGGCAGGAGAATCGCTTGAACCCGGGAAGTGGAGGTTGCAGTGAGCTGAGATCATGCCACTACACTCCAGCGCGATACTCCAGAGCGATACTCCGTCTCAAAAAAAAAAAAAGGAAGAAGAAGAAAGTAGAAAGATATGCACTGGTATACAGATCACTAAGTGAAAACAAAGCAAGTGGCAGATGAGTGTATACAGTGTGACTCCATACTGTGTACATACTCAAACAAAACAACAGTCTTTTAACAACAGAGACACTTTCTGAGAAATTTTGTCATTGTGGAAACATCATAGAAACCTAAATAGTATAGCCTACTACACGCCCAGGCTATATAGTATAGTCTGTGGCTCCTAGGCTCCAAAGCTGTGCAGCATGTGACTGTACTGAATACTGTAGGCAATTATAACACAATGGTAGGTATTTGTGTATCTAAACATAGAAAGGTACAGTAAAAATATGGTATAAAAGATTAAAAATGCTATACCTGGCATCACATGGCATCAGCTGGACTAGCTCCCCTGAGGCTGGAGGATCCACTTCCAAGATAGCTCACTCATGTGGCTGTCACTTTGGTGCTGGCTCTTGATTCTCTTCTACTTGAGCTTCCTCACAGCATGGTGGATGGCTTCCATGAGTGAGTGTCCCAAGGGAGAACCAGGGAGACATCATCTCACCTTTTAACATCAAGTCTGAGAAATCATGTAGCATTATTTCTGAAACAGTCACAAGCCTACCTAGGTTCAAGGGGGAAAAATATAGAACCTACCTTTTGATAGAAAGAGTGTGAAGGTCACTTTGTAAGAGCGTGTGGGAGGCAGATATTGTTTTGCCCATTTGGGGAAAATACAATCTACCAAGCTCCCACCCCAAACAATTCATCTTAGCTAATTAAGGTAATTTCATCCCTTTGGCCAACAATTGGTTCAGGGCTAGGCAGGACTGAACAGTTTTGGGCAGTGAGACTCAAGAGAAGCTTGCTCAGGGTTTTTGAGAAAAAGAAGTTTCTCCCACTTGAACAAGGAAATACATGCTCCTTATGTGCCACCTGCTTCTGGTGGCCATCCTATGATTACAAGGGAAATGTGGATCACGGGATAAAAAGACTGAAGAGCCTTGTCCCTGATGACATCACTAAGATGCTGAATCAATCAGCCCTGGAGACTGCTCTGTCCTGGGACCTACTTTTATGGAGAAAATAAATAATAATTTTATGAATACTGAACCCTATTTGAGTCAAGTTTCTATCCCTTTCATCCAAAATCTCCTTAACTTACCCAGTTTCTTCCTAACATTCTTAACATTGCTGAGCTAACCTGCCCATCCTCAGGCCTTCCAAGAGCAGGAGGTGAGGTATGGGAGCCAGGGAAAGGTGAAACTAGAGGAAGTCTTATCGCACAAAAATGATAAACCATCTAAAAAGACCACAAGAACCTTTGAATTCTTCATTTGTCACATGAAAGTCCTCATGCCTGGTACTAACCCATCATGTCCTTGCCCTACACCCAAAGTATGAATAAGAAGAAGGTCGTTAAATGCCCTCTAGAAGGTGGGTGGTGCCACTAACAAAAGGTAGGATGGAGATGCTGGAGCCTGTCGTTAATGAGCTGACAGCCTAACAGAAAAAAAAAAAAAGGCTATAATTCAAGATTCACTGTATTACACATCAAAAGAAAAGTACAGATACAGTGCTATGTATCAATGAAGGATATCAATGAAGAGACAGATGTTTTTAGTTGGAAGAGATGACTGAAAGCCCCACGAGAAGATGCTTTTTGAGTTGAGTCTTCATAGAGCTAGAATTTGGATATAAGAAGATGGGGAGAACATTCCAGATGGAAGGAAGGAATCACAAGAACAAAAACCAATATATGGGAAACTGTGAGATTCCTAAAGGCTGGAAGATATTCAAAATGTGACCCAGCACTGGCCAATTAGAACAGTTACCAGTCTGCAAGGCTGAAGAAAGTCCTAGAGACCCTCTGTCAAGCCATGCATTAACCCTTATGTTACCTGGTTATGGGAATTGGGTGGACCAGGAGAGGGACTGGAGTGGCTGGAGCTTCAGGTGGGTGGCACTCAGGGGTTTAAGCAAGAGGCTATTTAGCAAGTGATAGAGAAGAATTTCAATATTTTAACAACCAGCGTGTGGCACCAGTTCTTACTAGTGAGAACCGGCTAAAAAAATCAACCCTGCCTACAGGAAACAGTGAAAAGTTCCACTTCACTAGAGTTCACAGTGAATGAAAGGAAATAATGAAAAAATAGCTGGAATTAGGCCACGAAGGAGTTTGAATTCCAAGATGAAGAATTTGGACAAAAAAATTAAGCAATACAGATCCACTGAGAATATTTTGATGACACATTCAGATCACAATGGATTGAACATGGATCTGACATGGTGTGGCTTCCTCAGAGTAGAAATTTAGCATATATGTGACAATTTGCTGTGGGTCATTGTGAAAGAGAAAATTTCTCAGGTCTCCCTAACTACAGTGAAGACCTAAAAAAACTATAAGGGAATACTTTAATGACTTCCAACCATCAGCATGAAAGATGTCTAGAAGAAAATGAAGAGAAATGTAAATGTGTGCTGACAATGGCAGAAAGCAAACAGTTAACTCCCATCAGCAATCACAGGGACTCGGCTGCTCCAAGATGCCATCCCACAGAACACCTGAGAGAGCTGAGGGCCAGGAATTAGAGCAGAGGCAACAGGAAGTGAGAGGCGCTTGAAGGGATAACAATAATGACCCTCCACATTTGCAAAGTGCAATTTACAAGGCACCCTTTCTTTTAATCCACACGGCAATACTGCGAGTAGTAATTAACATTTGTATAACACTATACCATTGAAAGAGCCCTTTTATATTCATTATTTCCTTAATTCTCCCCGTCTTACACCTGAGAAAACTGAGGCCATTAGAAAACAGCTTATCTACTAGGGGAGAAAACTGGAACTCAAACTCAGGCCTTTAGATTCCTTGTCCAGCATTTCCATTTACGCTAGTGTGGCCTCAGGGACTCTGGGGTTATTTCTTAATCTTACAAATGTGGCCTCAGTGCTCCAGGCAGCAGCTGTAGGTTGTAAGAGAAACCTAAGTATCTCCCCTTACCGTTCTCCAAGGGGTAAACCTTCTATCCCAGGACCTAAATAGAAATAGGCTCACCCTAGAGACCAGGTGCACACCTCCTGGTGCAGAGGGCTCAAGCAGTTTCTGGAAGGATCCCATCCCATCCCTGTTTTGTTCATCAAATTAGATCTGGGAATCCTTAAAGGCAAGAATCATGACTTTTTGAAATCTTCATATCTTCAGACCAGGATGTGGTACTTAACAAATACTTGTTGAATAAAAATGAATATATACTCCAGCCTGGGCAACAGAGCGAGACTCCGTCTCAAAAAAAAAATGAATATATAAGTGAATATGCATATAATACCCTTGGAAATATCTTGAGATTCCCCCTCTGTCCAGAAAAAGAAAAACAATACAAAGAGCCAAACAATTCTTGAAGCAACAAGTTATTTAATATTAAGTCATAAGTTTTTATTTTGTTTTGTTTTTCCAGACAGGGTTTCCCTCTGTTGCCCGGGTACAGTGGCACAATCAAAGCTCTCTGCAGCCTCGACCTCCACTGCTCAAGTAATCCTCCCACCTCAGCCTCCTGAGGAGCTGGGACTGCAGGCACACTCCACCACATCTGACTAATTTTTTTAATTTTTGTAGAGAAGAGGTCTCGCCACGTTGCCCAGACTGGTCTTGAACTACTGGGCTCAAGCGATCTGTCCACCTCGGCCTCCCAAAGTGCAGGGATTACAGGCATGAGCCAGCGCACCCAGCCCCTCACAGCTTGTTAACCTCCTTCATGTCCACTCCACTTAAACTGGAATCAGTTTAGCACTCATCATGCTTAGATTTTGTCATCATTTATAAAGGCTCTGCCTACAACATGTTAAACTCACTGAAAAATTAGACTATACCAATAACTTCTTACATGCCAGCTCTCTCCATCCCTCTTTTCCACTTACCTTGCTCCTTGATTTTGTGGAGCCTTCCCACCATCCACCTTCTGTGTCCTTGCTCCTTCCTTCTTTGTCCAGCATGCAGTGCCAATCAAGTGAATTCCTTTCTCACCCATGCCCTCAACTCCTTCACCCCTTTATCCTTTGTTTACACCCATACACACACACCTAACCCTAAATTCATTCCACAGCCCGTTCTCTTGGATCTGATGACTAAACTTCGAAGCACACCTGGAAGAAGCCATACAGCCACACAATCACACAACCATGTGGATTGAAGTCACCACAAAATGATAGGTCCCTAAACTTTCACACCACTCAGCCATTCTGGTTCAGCTCCTCTTTCCATTTCCTCTGAGACCACAGGACCTCCTCAAGTCCCCTACCCAATGCCTATGCCCTCTGTGCCCCCTACCCAATGCCTATGCTCACAGATGCCTTACTTCCTGCCTCATAGCATCAAAAAGGCCATGGGAAAGGATAACCCTGTACAGCCCAAACCTACAAGCTATCTACAGCCTCCCTCCCACTCTTCTCCTTCTCCACCTCTCTGAAGTAATTCCAGTCACCCACGGCTCCTCTGGGGTCTTGTTTCATTGTTCACATTCTTTCAACCTGGAATCTTTGACTTCTCATTCTGATAACTCCTTCTCCACAGCTTGTAAAACTGTATATTTTTAAATATACCCTTAATCCTAGATCCCCTCTGGCTGCCACTTTCTCCTTTTCTTCATATTCAATTTGATCAAATGAGTAATCCATAACCCCATCTCTACTCTTCATCTCTCTTCCTCAGTCCACTGCCATCTGTGTTTCTTCCTACCACCACACTAAAACTGCTCTGGCAAAGGTATCCAAGGATATGATTGCCAATCAGGTGGACACATCTCAGCCTCCACCATACTCTGCCTCGCTGAAGTCTTTCACCTTGTTGACCACTCCCTGTATCTTGGAAGTCTCTCTTCATGAGCTTTGATGACACCAGAGAAGCCTCCTCCTGCTTCCCTGATCATCTCTCTTCTTTCTTCTATGTTGGATCATCTTCCTCCACTTGCTCTATAAATATTGTTTATTCACCTAAGTTGAGCTGGTCGAGCAGCATCTGAACAGAGACTTCATCTGTCTTGTTAACCACTACAGCCTCCATGCTTAGATAGCTCTGCACACATGAAGATTCTTCTTATATATCTGCTGAATGAATGAGTGAATGTTGGAAATACTGGAGTGAACAGTGCACCATCTCTGCCCTCAAGCATCTTGGAATCCAGTGAGGAAGATGATTAAGTAAACATAAAATGACAGTAGAGTATGATGGGATTATGATACAAGGAGCTATGAGAGAACATAAGATAGATACTGGACATGCTTAATTCCTCCAGCATCAAATTGTCCCACTTACCTCAGACTCAATTTGATCAATATCGAATCGAACCATCATCTTCCCTTAAGCCCCCGAAAATGTTATTCAGTTTATGTTCTCTATCTTGGGGATGGTACTGGTACCACAGGGCTATCAAGCTAGAGTCCTAGGATTCACGCTTGATGCCTCCTTCCTCTAATGCTCCACAGCTGAACAGTGGTGAAGTTAGGTTGGTTTTGCCTTCTCAGTATTTGGTAATTCCCTCTCCCCATCTCCATGGCCATCTCACCCTGGTTATTGCAACAATATTCTAATATTCTTTGCCTCTAGTCTTTCTTCTTTCTAGAACATGTTTTCTACAGTTCCAAAAGTGAAGGGGATCACGTCACTGTCCTGCTTAAAAATCTTCAATGTTCCTTGATACATAACCCTAAGGTTACAATCCAAACTTCCAAGTATATCTCCTAATGAGCTGACCCTTGTCTCTCCCATCTCACATCCCACAGCTTCTGCCTCACATTTACCATCACCCCATACCCTAAGTCTGGTTCTACTGAACCACCTGCAAGTACTGAGAACACGAACAATGTTTCATCCCGAACCTTAATTCTGCACAAGCCACTATGTAAAACTTCCTCTGAAGACACTGCTGTAAGTCCTAAGCATTAAACATGAATTAACTCTTAATCCTCACAACAACTACTATTCTCTCCACTTTACAGATGAGGAAACTGAGACACAGAGCCAACAAATAACTTGCTAGATTTCATATAGCTAATACGTTGTGACACTGGGATTTGAACCCCAGTCTTGTGGCAGAGCCTGTGGCTGTAAATACTGTGCTATCTTGCCTGAGTTCACCTTTTTTCACTACCATGTTCATCCACCTGGTGAATTCTTATTTATATTTCAATACCCACCTCAAGCAGCACTTTTCCAGGATACTTTCCCTCCTCTCCCAGAGTTAACCTCTCATTTCTTTCCTGGCATTTGTCATTGTGTCTTGGTCACACCCCTGTTATTGCATTTGTCACTGTACTGTGTCCATTTCAGAATCAACCCAATGCTACACAGAGATCAGACTGCACATAAGAATTACCTTGAGCCATGGAAGTTCCTACATTTATTTCCTGATAAGCCCTTTTACCCATCTGTATATTATTTTTGTCTCTTGCTGTCAGTTTACCAGCTCTCACTCATCCTCAGCTCCTTGCTGGCTCCAGCCCTTCAGTTTGATTCATTGTTTGCCTGCTTTGACAAATCTACCTTGCCTGCTACCTTTCCTGAACTCTCCCTCCTTTGACTGATAACCTAGAAATGAACCCCTTTCAGCGTGACCCTGGGGAGCAGCTGTCAAGCAGGCAGCCCTAACTGGGTGGGGCTGATCCCCCAACCTGGCTCTGAACAAGTCATACTTATTTGGTTTAGCTTTTTCCTTTGGTTTCATTCAAGCTACTTCATGGGGCTGAAGAGTTATTGAAAGAATAAATGTCATAGAGAAAGTAAGAAAAACTAACAACTAGGTTTAGGAAGAACAAAAACGCTAATGAAGTCAGACTGCAGGCTCTTCACTCCCAGTGGTTCACCATTTTCACAATTCAGCGAACACCCAAGTAGCCTTTTCTTTAATTTACAGTTAGCAATTGGCTTACATTCCCCTCTGTCTATTTCTTCCAAATTTCATAGCTTCCACTTACTCATGATGTCTTCTCCATAAGTTTTATTTGCCATGACTTCATGGTTCTGTCTATGCAAATGTTCAGCTTCAGCTCTTCTAAATGCCTAATTTTCTATGTGCTTCTAATTTCAGTTTCCCAAAAACAAGAAGCTTTTTGGCCCTAGTTCATCTTTCCATGTTATGTCATGAAACATCCACTACCAGCCATCCTATAGATTGGCAGTGCTGGTGTCCAGACTAACTTCAACCCAGTCCACTCTAACAGGGTCACAGTGTGTCAAATCATGCAAAACTTGGCCACCTGGGCTGCCCCTTGAGCACAGGTTCTAAGTGAGGCATTTTCTCTTAAAAAGAACTATAGTGGCCGGGCGCAGTGGCTCTCACCTGTAATCCCAGCACTTTGGGAGGCTGAGGAGGGCAGATCACGAGGTCAGGAGTTCCAGACCAGCATAACCAACATGGTGAAACCCCGTCTCTACTAAAAATACACAAAAAATTAGCAGGGTGTGGTGGCGCACACCTGTAATTCCAGCTACTCAGGAGGCTGAGGCAGGAGAATCGCTTTAACCCGGGAGGCGGAGGTTGCAGTGAGCTGAGATCACCCCGTTGCACTCCAGCCGCCTAGGCAACAAGAGTGAAACAACGTCTCAAAAAAGAAAAAAAAGAAAAGAACTGTGGTGTGTAAGGCCTCATGATTGAGTTATGGAGTAATTTAGACAAATGATTCCTTAATATGTTGGGATCATAAATTTTTCTGAGAATCAGATGAAAGATGTGGACTCTTCGCCAGAAAAATTTCTCTTATGCAAAAAATTTACATGTAACTTTAAGGTATTAAGGAACCCCAGCAGCCGTTCATGTAACACCCCCCACCACCAAAGGTTTGAAGTCTATTACCTGGCACTTGATAAGAACTGTGAGTCAAAAAGGCATTTAGACTCAGTGGCTCCAATGCTTTCAAGCAGGGAAAATGGTAGAGTGATAGTACCCTTAGCAGAGAAGACAGAAACAGGTTTGGGGAAAACTAGTTATTCCTGAATTATTGAGTCTGAAGTGCAGGTGGGACTCTCAAGTGGATTCATAAACAAGTAACTGAAAATGTGGGTCTGGAGTAGCTGAGAACTGAGATGGAGATTTGTCTCACGTGCTCAGGGCACCTGTGAGAGCAGGTGCAGGGAAGCAGTTCACACAATGCCTATAGCCCATTATCTTTCATTTGCGTCTACTCTGCAGTTTTTGGAGACCTTTCTAAGCCCTCACTTTACTTGACAGTCCTAACAATCTTATGAAACAGGAAAGGCCTATCTCAAGACCTATTACAAATAAGGAAGTGGAAGCTCAAAGGAGTGACAAGTCTGGTCAAAAGTATTGCAATGAAGTAACAGACACAAGACTGGAACCCAAGTCTTCTGATTCTTAATACAACTCCTAATTTCATTGCAAACTGCACACAGATAAATGCCTTACTAGCACGGATCAATTTTTAAGTGCAGTAGTTTGGTTTTCGGATTTTGTCTTTGTGGCTGTCCTCAGTTTACAGAAAAGTTTGAGAGAGAGGGGTGGCAATTGTCCCTTGACAATAATCCCCAGTAATCCCGTGGCAATTGATTTGGCAATACTCACCACTGTTTACTGTTAAATATCTTCCCTGTGGAGCAATAGAGAGCCCCAACTCCTAGGAACTTGTCTACAATTCTGACCCGCACTCTGTCCTAACTAACACTCTTGGTTTTGTTTTTTGTTTGTTTGTTTTTGAGATGGAGTCTTGCTCTGTCGCCCAGGCTAGAGTGCAGTGGCGCGATCTCGGCTCACTGCAAGCTCTGCCTCCGGGGTTCACGCCATTCTCCTGCCTCAGCCTCCCGAGTAGCTGGAACTACAGGCGCCCGCCACCACGTCCGGCTAATTTTTTGTATTTTTAGTAGAGACGGGGTTTTGCCGCGTTAGCCAGGATGGTCCCGATCTCCTGACCTCGTGATCCACCCGCCTCGGCCTCCCAAAGTGCTGGGATTACAGGAGTGAGCCGCTGCGCCCGGCCTGTTTTTGTTTGTTTTTTGAGACATTGTTCCGCTCTTGTTGCCCAGGCGGCTGGAGTGCAACGGCGCGATCTCAGCTCGCTGCAAACTCCACCTCCCGGGTTCAATCGATATTTCTGCCTCAGCCTCCCAAGTAGTTGGTATTACAGGCGTGTGCCACCACGCCAGGCTAATTTTGTATTTTTAGTAGAGACAGGGGTTTCACCATGTTAGTCAGGCTGATCTCAAACTCCTGACCTCATGTGATCTACCCGCCTCGGCCTCCCAAAGTGCTGGGATTACAGGCCTGAGCCACCGCGCCCGGCCCACTGCTGTTTCCAAAAGAGACCTTTTTTGCCTATCTAACCTAAATGCCCAGAATGAGCTCATACATGGGAAAGACCCACGGACATGGACAGACTTCCCGAAGACTACTGTGCAAAACTTATAATTCTAAAAAGTCAAAAATCTTCAGGAATCACAGGACGGGGTGGAGGGGGCCGGGGGGAAAGAGGAGGGAAAAGAGGGAAAGGAGGGAGAGTGAGACTGCTTAAATCGCTGGAGAGGACGGTGGGTTTATTTGAGTCTTAAAGCTCAGTTCTGTGGTTAGCGCCGGCCGCGGTCCCAGGCCCAGCCCGGGAGGCGGGGAGGGGCGGGGCAGGCGCGGAAGCTGTCTGAGTAAGGCTTGGGCAAGGCTGGGCCGGGAAGGGCGTGGGTTGAGGAGAGGCTCCAGACCCGCACGCCGCGCGCACAGAGCTCTCAGCGCCGCTCCCAGCCACAGCCTCCCGCGCCTCGCTCAGCTCCAACATGGTAAGCCTCACTTTTCTTCTTCTTCTTCTTACATGAAAAGAAAAAGAAAAGAAAAAAAACCCACATACTTCCCAGCAGACTTTATCTTTGACTTATGTGTGGACGTGGCAGGAAACAGCAGGAAAAATCAGCCTCGTGGGAGGGAACTGGGGAAGAAGGGATGGAAGGATGAAGCCCTAAAATCATCCTTGGGGTGGCCGCCTAGGGTAGCAGCGGAGGTTCTTTAGCCTTCCCAGTCACGACAAGGCCCAGGGCTGGGGAAGAGGAAGTGCTGGCCGC
The DNA here is from genome assembly GCF_000001405.40 of Homo sapiens. NCBI lineage: Eukaryota > Metazoa > Chordata > Mammalia > Primates > Hominidae > Homo > Homo sapiens. Next base: position 152,036,633 of record NC_000001.11, on the reverse strand, counting down.
TCACCGCGCGGGGGGGGGACCCGTCGTGGGTCACTGCCTCCAGCCCCTCGCCCGCGGTCTCCCGGGAGCCCAGAGACGCCTAGGAGCAAGTTTAAGGCAGGGGGCTGGAAAGCTGCGAGGGGTCACTAGTTATTTCTGTACACCAGAAAAGGGACATTTTAGAACTTGGTCGTCTAGCCCCAGGGAAAATCAAAGTTTCAGTAAGCACCCGGCAGACGGCCAAGACCCAACGGGACTGAAACTTTAGCCCGTCGCCGCCCGCAGCGCCGCGGCCAAGAATGTGGGAGGAACCCGGTCCCAGCTGAGCCCTCTCCTCCTTCCTCTTCCTTTTACCCCACCATCTATTTAGGCACTCACTCCGTAACTTATTTTTCTCTTCTTATCTCCTTTCATCTCCCAGTTGAACTCATATTTTCCATAATTCCACCTCCAAAATCTCTTTCTTTACCTCTCCTTAGTGGAGAGTCAGCAAACTGGCCCGCGGGCCAAGTCGGGTTTTCTGTTCTGCCCACAAGCTAAGAATAAAGTTTACATTTGTAAATGATTGAAAGAAATCAAAAGAAGAAAAATACTTTCTGACATGTGAAAATTATGTGGAAATCAAACTTCAGCGTCCATAAATGAAGTATTGGAACAGAGCCACGCCCATTCCCTTCCATACTGTCTGGGGTTGCAGTCCTGCTACAGCAGGGACAGAAAGCTCCGGAGGGTGTTGGTTAAGAATGAGAAGACAATAGTTGAGGTTTTTAAAATTGCTACGTCTTTTTCATCGTATTTTTTTCTTTCCTCAAATGTTGAGCGCTTAGCATGCATTTTTAAAAATTATTTCACAGTATCCGTTTATCATAATGTTTGCTCCTTGCTATCGCCATCCCCACCAAGTAAGACTCCAAGAGTGCCATGAGGTGTGGAGAGCGCCGGTTCTCCTCTCCTTCAGCCACTGCGCCACCCTGGGCAGAGCTTTCCGGTTTCTGGGCGTCCTCAGGACCCATCTCCAAAGTGCCCTGGAGCTCTACAAATTATGCCGTTCCATTTTAGTAATTTGATAATTGTGTCTCTTTCTTTCACTTTGGAGAATTACCTCTGGGAGGAAATGCAAAGAGGTTTTAATTTTCTCCTTGTGGCTGATAGCAACAGCAACAGTTTTCAAAAGAAAATAATCTCTAAATTACACCAAGACTGATGTTAAGGAGAGAAAAATGTGAAGCAGAAAGGCACTGTGAAACTGGAAAAGCAAAACTGTCTGCATTCTGGAAGGAAAAGGGGCAGGGGGAGAATCTGTAGTTCCAGAGAAAGGTGACAAAGCCCATGCTCCTCAGCCTGGTGTGGCCTCCCAGCCAGTCTCCTTCCTGTCATCTGATACCTTAGTAAGACAGGGAGATTTTAGGCCTGATATGAAGGGCATGTTGTAACAGAACAAACACATCTGTTTCTAGGCTGTGGTATTTTGTTTCTCCCCTAAAGGCCCCTGAACCTACCAACACTTTTCTTAATGAAAAGTTCAATTTAGAGCAAAACAAAAACAATCATCCTCCAACAATGTGATTCTTGGGAAAAAGTCCACCTCTCTTAGGGTTCAGGGGTTCTAACGCTGTAAGATGCAATGGGAGGCAAGACTCAGCTAGGATCTCTGCAGCATAAAGGCTGTACAGGAAGGAGGAATCAATCTGCAGCTGTGTAGCTAAGGGCTCAGATCAGTTCTTAGCACGTGTTAATTACGGAGTGAGAAAGCCTCTAGCTCTGGCCTCCAGGAAGTCCATCCTAAGAACAAACGAAAGGCTAAATGCTAAGTTGCAAATGTCACCATCCAAACATAAATCATTGTTAACGCTAGTAGGTAAAGTCTCAGAGGAAGGGTGTGGCCAGGCCGGTTTCCCAGAAAGTCTGTAATTGCGGCTTCTACCCACCAGAGGGAGGCCAACAGCTCCTCACTTTTGGGACCCTAAGTCCCCTTGGGGAACCGGATGACTGGGCCCTATAGAATTTCCTTGAAAAATTCTGCTGTGAGGAAAGAGCCCAGTACAGGATTTAAATCTCTTACATTGTAGATGCTGTGTAAGCAGCAACCTGAGAGCTTCCTGGTTTGGAGTGACCTCCAGAGAAGCTCCACCTTCTCTGTCACTATTTCCCACCAGGAAGTGGAAGCCTGCAAGGCTAAGGACTGCAGAAAGGGACTGGGAGGCCCAGATTCCAGGGCTGGCTCTGCCATATCCATTCCCTTCTCCTGTCCGTTTCCTCACATCTAAGATTAATGGTTCCTAACTCTTAAATATGAAAGCCATTTTCAAACATCTAAAAAGTTCTATCTCCCACTGCATACACAATGATAGCTATGCTTTTAGTTTTCTCTAAGGAAATGTGTGAGTCCCAGGAATTCGGTATTGCTTTAAAAAGAACTGACATTTCATTAATCACAAAAGCCTCCATACACTCTTGGAAAATAAGAAATTATTAACCTATAGACAATGTTTGGTGTGCATATGGATTTGTGGATATAGAGTTACACATGTATTTATCCACACATTTTAAAAATATGAGTAAACCTTGTCACCGTCACTCTCATCTAGGCAGTCTACTGCTTTTAAACGTGCCAGCAATGCTCCACATTTACCTTCCATATATTTCACCTGGAATAAACATGTGGCGAGGGGTAGGACGGAAGGTCACAGAGTGTGACTTTTTGTGGTTGTCTTGAACCCCTCAGCCCCTTGAAAAAATGACTCAGTCTTTTAGGAAACTGCTTTGACCTGAAATAAGAGTCCCTGGAGTTTTCTCCAGTATCCAGCCTTGACATCTTCCCTTGTCTGAGCCCTGCAATTTTTTTTCTCCAAAGGCAAAAATCTCCAGCCCTACAGAGACTGAGCGGTGCATCGAGTCCCTGATTGCTGTCTTCCAGAAGTATGCTGGAAAGGATGGTTATAACTACACTCTCTCCAAGACAGAGTTCCTAAGCTTCATGAATACAGAACTAGCTGCCTTCACAAAGGTACTGGTCCCTGTCTCCCCCACTTCCCCAAACTACCCACAACATGAAACAAGACCCTGGCAGAATGGCCAGGAATGAAGGAGCAGCAACTGACACCCCACACTCTTGCTTCATTTTAACTCACTCTAAGCCAGGAGTTTTTCCATTTAGGAAGAGAGATATATGAAATGGTATATGACGTAATGGAATTATTTTCAAATTTCATTATTCTACCCCAGAGGTTCTATGGCAGCCCTGTCCAGTAGAACTTTCTGCAGTGGTGGAAATACATTCTATATCTGCTCTATCCAACATGGTAGCCACCAGCCACATGTGTCTGCTGAGTGCTTGAAATGTGGCTAGTGTGACTAACAGACTGACTTTCTAAATTAGTTAATGTAAATGTAAATGTAAATAGCCATTTGTAACCAGTGGCTCTAAGTCTGTATCTGTGTTGGCAGCTTGGGCAAGTGGAGGATGAGACTGATTAGGCAGGGCCTGTGGCCTTTTTCCACCTGAACCCGCTGTACTTTTATATAGTTTATCTATTGGAGTTGCATGCAACACTTGAAAGAAGTGTTCCACTGGCTTTACAAAACTGAATAGCCCCTAATATCATAGAAAGAGCCCTGGACTAGGAGTGGGAAAACCTTTGGTTCAAGGCCCAGGTCTGCCCCTTAGGCAGGTCACTTCACCTCTTTTAGTCTGTTTCTGCATCTGGCAAATGGGAATATTAATAATCCCTATCCTGTACCTTATACTCCTGTGAGAATAAAATGTGGCAGCATATTTGAAAGCACATTAGAAGATGCGATATAAAGGTGTAATTATTATTTTCTCTGCAGAACCAGAAGGACCCTGGTGTCCTTGACCGCATGATGAAGAAACTGGACACCAACAGTGATGGTCAGCTAGATTTCTCAGAATTTCTTAATCTGATTGGTGGCCTAGCTATGGCTTGCCATGACTCCTTCCTCAAGGCTGTCCCTTCCCAGAAGCGGACCTGAGGACCCCTTGGCCCTGGCCTTCAAACCCACCCCCTTTCCTTCCAGCCTTTCTGTCATCATCTCCACAGCCCACCCATCCCCTGAGCACACTAACCACCTCATGCAGGCCCCACCTGCCAATAGTAATAAAGCAATGTCACTTTTTTAAAACATGAACTAGAGAGTTGGTGAATTTGTGCATGGGAGGGTGGAAAGTGGGAGGAATATAAATTAGATTGATAGAAGCTGCATAGTAAATAAGAAAAAATGCATCTTGGGTGTACACATAATCATGACTAATAGTACAACCAGATTCATCTCTAAATTATTGACTGATGGAGAGTTGTCACTTATTGTTATTGTTTACTCACTGCTACCCGTTGGCACTGTCATAGATCCTGAGAATACAACCAGCAAGACAGACAAGGTCATGCCTTCACTGAGTATAACTTCTCGTTGGGGGAGAGAACAATGACTAAATAAACAAAGGACTATCAGAGTATGATAAATCCTAGGAAGGACAGATTACAATTATGTTACAGATTCATGGGGACTAAGAGGGCACTATTCTGAGGACATGACATTTGTGCTGAGATATGAAGAACTAGAAAGAGCAAACATTTGAAAAGAAGAAGAGGGCATTTCAAGAGAAGAAATGGGAAGGGCAGAGGTCCTCCAAAGATAAGAAGGATCTAGGATGTTTGTGGAATAGAAAGGAGGCTCGTGTTGCCAAGGTCTTCATGTTTGGCTTAAGCTAGTGTTAACACTAGTTTTAATTTTCTAAGCCCTCTGATAAAGCAGCAGGGAAAGAGAGCCTAGAAAGAAGGTAAGAAGACTGATCCAGGGTTAAAGATGACAGATTAGAGGAGAGAGAGAGAAAGAGGGGCAGGTTTCCGCAATGTGCAATTATTCCTAAGAAGCACAGCGAAAAAGTGATGTGTATCCAGAAAACCTCTGATTCCTTATCCATTTATGTGAGTTTTAACTAATTAGCAAAAATCTCTCTAGATTATGGTTTATTCCTTCATAAATTCAGTGAGATGGATTAGACCATATCTGAGGTCATTTTTGGCTCTGACATTCCAAAATGAAGGCCAGCACCTTAGGGTGAGCCACTGCCTCAGCCGTTTACAGTTGTCTCAGCTATACCTGTAGCAACTGCAATTATCTTCAGTACATTTGAATCATCCAGTCTTTGAAAAGAATTCAATTTGACTTTCATAAAGATAAAAACTATCTCTTCACATACATATTTTATTGGTTTATGGGATATTTAATTAAATTATACCTTACAAGAAAAACGGGCCAGGCGCGGTAGCTCACGCCTGTAATCCAAGCACTTTGGGAGGCTGAGGCAGGCAGATCACGAGGTCAAGAGATCGAGACCATCCTGGCCAACTTGGTGAAACCCTGTCTCTACTAAAAATACAAAAATTAGCCGGGTGTGGTGGCGGGCGCCTGTAATCCCGGCTACTTGGGAGGCTGAAGCAGGAGAATCACTTGAACGCGGGAGGTGGAGGTTGCGGTGAGCTCAGATCACACCACTGCACTCCAGCCTAGCAACAGAGCAAGCTCCGTCTCAAAAAAAAAGAAAGAAAAAAAAGAATATAAACAGGTTTGGGACCGATCACAAATACACTCTTAGTGAACACATGATCCCACTGTTGGGTTGGTGCCCAAGTGTGTGGGCTATTAGAATTATCCATAGGCCTTGGACATTCATCGTTCTACGGCCACAAGTCAACATTTTTTTTTAAGAGAGAGAGAATGGAGAGATGGTAAAATGGGTCAGTTAAGAATCTGAAATAAGGCAATGAAGCGGGAAGGGAGGGGAAGAGTATGTAAGAGGTAAAACCCAAGAGATGATGATTATCTGAATGTAGTGGTGAGAAAGAGAAGCCTAGGATTATTCCCAGCTTCCCAGCATGGACAATTGGTTGGATGATGATACAATTCACTGAAATCAGGAATGAAGCAAGGGGGTTAAGCTTTAGGAGCAAAATATAGAGTCTGGTTTAAAACACATTATATTTGGCCAGGCGCGGTGGCTCACATCTGTAATCCCAGCACTTTGGGAGGCCGAGGTGGGAGGATCACTTGAAGTCAGGAGTTTGAAACCAGCCTAGCCAATATGGTGAAACCCTGTCTCTACTAAAAATACAAAAATGAGTCACACGTGGTGGCGCATGTCTGTAATCCCAGCTACTTGGGAGGCTGAGGCAGGAGAATCGCTTGAACCCAGGAATCAGAGGTTGCAGTGAGCCAAGATCATGCCATTGCACTCCAGCCTGGGCATCGCAATGAGACTCTGTCTCAAATAAATAAATAAATAAATAAATAAACCAACCATGTTGTATTTGAGATGTGTTCCTTGTGTGTGCCTATTCCTTGTTTTTGCAGCATCCATCTCCCCTTCTTCCTCAATCAAGCCCTGCTCTGCACTCCCCATCTCTTGGTGTTCTTAGTTTAGGTAGGGTTCTTCCCCAGTTCCAAGATTCAAGGACACACCTGTGCCGAAGCTAATGAGTGCCCCGCATTCCTTTGGACACAGTGATTGGCCTAGGGTGGTCAACGTGATCTAAGCTGTTCAAAATAAAGGGAATCTCAGTACCTTTGCTGAAAATTCTGGGATAAAGGCAATTGCTTATTCCTCCTTCTCGGTGGATTCTAACCTGAGAGTTTGTAGCCTTAGACAGGCCAATAGCCATCTCAAGACAACAGGGAAGGGATCTGAGAGTGGAGCCAATGTTGGAGAAACAGAGCCAAGAAATTTTAAAAAGATACCAGCTCCTAGTGCTATGCTAAGACCCTTGACCCACAGAAACTGTGAGACAGTGAAATTGTGTTGAGTAATTAAGTTTGTGGTAATTTGTTACACAATAATAGATAGCTAACACACAGTTGTAATTCTTAAAATACATTCCCACTGATTCCCTAACAATTCGTGTATGAATGTTATATTCCTTTACATTTTTAATCGTCTTAAATTTATACTCTTCCTTAAAGGATTATCTGCTCTCTGCTACCAAAAAAGTGAAACAAAAGACTCCTCAACACTTCCACACCCTCGAGTTGCTGCCTTAGATATTTCCCTTTGGTCAGAATTATTGCTTTTTTGTATGTGTCTACACCAAAGGCTTCTATTTCCTTTATTACCACTCAATCCTGAACCCCTTGAGTTCTAACACTTGCCCTCAGCATTCTACTGAAACTTCTCCCCTACTAGTCACTGGCCCAGCAGGCTTTGTTCATCCTTCCTGACGATTGCATCATGCAATGCATATTTGAGTCTCTATAATGTTCCAGACACTGTGCCGGGGGGGCAAAGCGAAAAGAATACGAACATCAGGAAACTGCCGCAGTATCCAGATCAGAGGAGGTGGTGGCCTGGACAGTGGGTGGTTGGGGATGGATTCAAGGGATATTTGGGTGGAGCATCAAATGGGCTTGGGGATTTGGTTGGATATGAGTCATGAGAGAAAAAAGTCTGATGCCCAAAGGCAGGAGGAATGGAAGGAAGCATCCAGCATGGAGAAAGATGAAAGCCAGAAGACTCAGCAAGCCAGCTTCTTCGGCCTGCTTTGTTCTAGCCACGCTGGCAGCCGATTGGATGATGCCAACCAACACTGAGGGTGGGTCTTCCTCTCCCAGTCTACTGACTCAAATGTGAATGTCCTCTGGCAACACCCTCATGGTCACATCCAGAAACAATACTTTACCAGCTATCTCGGCATCCTTCAATCCAATCAAGTTGACACCTAATATTAACCGTCACACCACCCCATCTCCCTAATGTGGGCACATTCCCCGGCCCTCATCTCTCTCTTTCTCTCTCTCTCTCTACTTCTCAAGCTAGATCTTCTCTCCAAACTCAAATTGTGAATGCCCACTGGGCATTACCAACAAGACCAATACAAAATGCCCTCACTGGGCTCATTATCTCCTCCCCAAACCAACCCTTCCTGCTAGTGTCTCTCTCTACCACTCACTTTGCTTATAGGAAGTACTCCATAGGGGTTTGTTGATCTGAATCTTGAGTTAGAAGCTTGGTACCAATTAGATCTTACTTATCAAAACCTAAGGGCCCAAGCAAGCAAAGGCTTTCTGGTTAGTTCCCTTTAGCCTGGTGTCTTAAAGCCATGGCCAGTGATTTCTTTCTTTTTTTTTTTTTTTTTTTTTTTCCGAGATGGAGTCTCGCTCTGTCACCCAGGCTGGAGTGCAGTGGTATAATCTCAGGTCACTGCAACCTCTGCCTCCCGGATTCAAGCATTTCTCCTGCCTCAGCCTCCCGAGTAGCTGGGATTACAGGCATGCGCCACCATGCCCGACTAATTTTTGTATTCTTAATAGAGACGGGGTTTCACCTTGTTGCCCAGGCTGGTCTCGAACTCTTGACCTCGTGATCCGCCCTTCTTGGCCTCCCAAAGTTCTGGAATTACAGGCATGAGCCACCGTGCCCGGCCCGATTTCTTGGTAAAGTAGCAAATAGACCAGTAGGGTGCCTGATATTTTTCCATCTCTTCCCTAGCTCACTGTTTTTTGGGGATAGTGACACTTTTTAAAAAAAAATACAGGGTGCACCTGCTAAAGGAATAATATGGAGACTTAATGACTACTGATTTTTTCCTTCTTGTGCCACTAATGAATTAAGGGACACATCTGAGAGGTAGCTACAATTGTACTAAAATCCACTGTGAGTGTGATTTATGCAAGAAAGATAATATAGCAAAATTTTGATAAATATACATGTTTTAAGTTAAAGCAAATATTTTAAATATCCTTTTTATAAATATCCATTTTCACCAATTTTTTTAAGTTAGCCAAACCAACTACAGGTCCCTACCCTTTAGAAAAGAGGACCTCTACCATTTTGCAATAAACTCTCTTAAGCTTCTCCCTGTCCAGTTGGACCTCTTCCATCCCTTTCTCCACCGTGTGATCAAAGAGAGTTTTTAAAGGCAAATGTTCTGGTATCGCTCCCATGTGTAAAACCAGGCATTGGACCTTCTGAATATACAGGATTCCCTGGAGCACTCAAGAGCCTTTGTGGTCTGCTCCCTGCCCACCTTGCCAACCAAGGCTAGAACTGATGTCACAGTGATGTGCCTCTTTGCTTTGACACACGCTCTTCTTGCTGCCCTGAAAGGCCTTGGCCGCCTTTCCACCTGTTTCTACTTGCCCTGTAGAGCAGTGTAAGTATCATCTCCCCAAGAAGGCCTTTCCTAAGACCCCTATCCAAAGCTGATTTTAATGCTCTTATTCTATGCTCCAGAGCACTCCATTCTTGCCTCTATCATAGCACTTGCCACTCTACTTACAGTGTTCTTACTTGTCTGTCTTTTCTAACTTGACTTTGAGCTCAAGAACAGAGACCTAATTAAAGGCATCTTTGTATTGCTAGGACTTAATGTGGTACCCAGCATATAGTAGCAAAAAAAAATTGTTGAATGAAAAAAATATATGATACATGAATAAGCGATAAGAGAATGCTATACCAGATGTGGGACATACCATGTATATCAGTCTGGGTTCCCACAGGAAACACATGCACACTCAAACGGGTCACTGAAGAGAATTTAAGGAATGCACTATTTATGAAGATGTAAGAGATAAGATAAATAACAAGAGATGGCAAAGCACCAGGACTAGCAAAATTAGGATGCTGTTCCCACCTCTCAGCCTGACTGGCAAGGGAGAAATTATTGGAATTCAAGAGCCATATAGCCCAGGAAGAGGGGCCACTCACGGATGCTGTGGCCTTAGATGTAGAAATACAGCCACTGTCAAACCACAGCCTGGCAGGAGGGACCCCGGGGAATAAATATTGATTTCTCTCTCTTCCCACCTTCTGATCGCCTGCAAGTGCCTCCTGTTGGTCCACCCTACTGGAAGTCTGAGCTGGGCAGAGAAGCACCAAAAGTGGAGCTGGAGGAGCAAACAGAATATCCAGCACACTGCAGAAAGCTGAGATTGGTATTCTTCTACCGCATGGCTACTCCTGCCACCAAGGGGAACACAGAGTAAAGTGACAACACTAATTCAGGTAGACTTTTTTTGTGTGTGTATTTTCTTGAGTTATTGAAAATTTTAAATTTTTTTATTATGGTTAAATATACAGAACATAAAAATTTAACACTGTTACCATTTTTTAAGTGTACATTTTAGTAGCATTAAGTATATTCACATTGTATAAACATCACCACCAATACCTCCATAACGTTTCCATCTTCCCAAACTGAAAGTCTGCATCCATTAAACAATAACTTCCCTCTCTCCCCTCACCTACCTCCTGGTCACCATCATTCTACTTTCTGTCTCTATTCATCTGACTACTCTAGGTACCTCCTGTCAGTGGAATTATACAACATTTGTCTTTTTGTGTCTGACTTATTTCACTTAGCATAATGTCTTCAAGATTCATTTATGTTGTTGCATATGTCAAAATTTCCTTCCATTTCAGGGCTGAATAATAGTCCATTGTGTGTATATTTGTGTGTATGTGTGTGTGTGTGCCACATTTTGTTTATCCATTCATCTATTGATGGACACTTGGGTTGCTTCCACCTTTTGTTATTGTGCATAGTGCTACAATGAATGCAGGTGTATAAATAATGATTTAAGTCTCCGGGAATACAACCCAGAAATAGAATTGCTGGATCATATGGTAATTCTATTTTTAGTTTTTGAGGAACCACCATACATCTTTCCACAGTGGCAGCACCACTTTATATTCCCACCAGCAATGCTTACAAGGTTTCCAAAGTCTCCACATACTCACCAACACTTGCTATTTTCTTCTTTTTAAAATAATAGCCATCCTAATGAATGTGAAATAGTATCTCATTTTGGTTTCCTTTCACATTTTCCTAAAGATTGGTGATGTTAAGCATCTTTTCAATGTGCTTATTGGCCATTTGTATATCTTCTTTGGAAAAATGTCTATTTGATTCTTTTGCCCATTTTGTATTGGGTTGTTTGGTTTTTGTTGAGTTGTAGGAGTTCTTTTTATATTCTGGGTATTAAGCCCTTATTAGATATGTGATTTGCAAATATTTTCTACCATTCTGTGGGTCGCCTTTTCACTCTATTCATAGTGTCCTTTGATGCACAAAAGTTTTTCGTTGTGATGAAGTCCAATTTATATGTTTTTTTCTTACATTTCCTGTGGCTTTGGTGTCATATCCAAGAAATCATAGCTAAATCCAATGTACATTTTTTTAATGAAGAAAAACAAGAAGAAAAAAATCAAGCAAATATCTATCTCTTTTGATGGAGATTTGGGCCATGGTGGTAGGACTTCTGCCAAAATTTAGTATGCAGCAGATATAGAAAGCCCCTTTCCTACCGCAAATAATGCTGGATAACATAGAATCTTCCCCTTCCCCTCAAAAAGTTAAAATACTTGGTCAATTAAAAGGCAGAAAGAGAATTATTCAGGTGCCGGAAGCACAAAGGGAACTGATAGCTGTCACGGTGCCCCAGAGCGGAGGCCACGTGGCCCAGGCCATGGTGGAGAACTAGAACTGAACTCTTAGTGAAAAGAGAGAGCTGCTAAAGAGCTGCCCTGTCACTGATGGAGACTGGAAAGCTCAGTCCACCACCTCTCAAGACACAGAATGAGCCCTGGAGCGAGGCAAAGTCATCTGAGAGAAATCAGAGCACTGCACCTGTGTTCCCAGAAGGCATGGGGTTCAAACACATGCTATTAAAGAAATAAAACAAAAACTACCCCAGAGTTGTAAGCGCCATAAAACCCTAGACAAATGCAAAACCACCTCGTGGAGATGCCTCCAGACATTTGGAGGATGTCCACAGGAGATAAATACACTTAGAATAGGCTCACAGGCACACGAGGGATGACAAGTACATACAACAGACTAGAGACTTCACACTGAGTAACAAGAGGGAGAGCAATCTGGAAGGATGTTAGCATGAGTGTGTTTAAAATGGTCAAATAAATCAATAGATCAAATGCATAAAACAAGAACAAAAGTATATATATATAAAAAAAGAACCAAGTGTATAATTGAAATATACAGCCGTGCAAATGGACCCTGAAGCTGGGCATTCCACCACCAATTTGTGACCCAGCTCCGGCTATAGGGGAGAGGATCCCTCCCTGCCCCCCTGCACCTCAGGAAGACTTCATTGACTCACTGCACCCACCCACCTTACAATGACCCTATTGTACCATCCAGCAACCTGGTGAGAGATGTGTTGGGAATTCAGGCAGAGAGACTGAGAGGACCACACCTGTGCAGCAACCGTGATAATTCATGCTTTGTTTCTTGGCCCTCCCTAATCTCCTAAATCTCTCCCAGTCACCACCAAGAAAGAAGACTGGGAGGGAGAGGCAAGTCTGCACTGGCCGCAAACTGGATTCTGAGTGATTTGAGCTGCCTGTAAAGTTAGACAGTGGGGGCAGAGAGAAGCATCAGTAGTCCTGGTTCCCGGCCCCACCTCTCTCCACCGAGAAAAACGTTTCTGTTACCAGATTCATATTTTACCCTCACAATGACTTAGTGTCAACATTATCATTAAACATGATCCGCAGAGTCACTAGGGATTCTGGTAGGAATGCAAGCAAAGACAATGACTCCGGAAAGTTGCAAGTCCAGTCTGTAAAGAGACTAACTTCTGGCAAGGGAAGAAACACAAATCTGAAAGTTGGGAAAAGTGTAATTATCACATAGGAAGCAAAGGTTGCTTCATAAATGCTAGCTCACCGTTCTCCTCATCTCCTCACTACTAAGCATCCTCAGCTCCCTGCAACAAGGCTGCTTTCTCCTCCCCATTGCTGAAATTGCTTTCCCCAGAATCAAACAAGTCCTTACCTACCATATAGCCAAATCCAGCAGGCTATTCTCAGCCTTCATTGTCCTTGATGCTTAGCACTGGTAGATGTGGTTGACGGCCCCACCCTCTTGATGCCTGCAGAGGTGGGCTCCATGTGGCAATGAACTGAGGATTGCTCACAATGGAGCCCCTAGCCCAGAGCAGGGCCTGGCACCTAATAGGCACCCTGTGAATGCTCAGTGAAAGAAGGCATCCACTGCAAGGTCCTGGGGAACAAGGAATTCCAATGTGGCCCATATATTTTAAGTCATAGAGGATCCTAGATGTAAAAGGCCTTCAAAAGTGGCCACTCTTTTAAAGCATTATACTGGCAGCTGAGCCATGTTTCCCCATCATGGACACATCTAGAGGGCACTGCCTAAAACCATACACATCTACGCCCCTCCCCAGGAATGTGCAGGGGACTTAGCCTGGGGCATATGGGTGGGCAGAGGGGGGTGAACGATGAAAGCTGAAGAAAAGAAAACAGGTGGAAGGGGCCAGCAGGGTGGGAACAGAGAGAAAAAACAAAGCGGGGCAGGGAACGGAGGGCAGATGGGAGAAGAGAGAGAGAGATACAGATCTAGCCACTGAGGAAAAGGTCAGAAGAGAACACTGTCCTCTACTGAAGTAAAATGACTTCCACCTGACCATGGCACTGCAGGTCGTGGGCAGCACACGCTGGTCATGCTGCGATGTTTAGGACCCATGGCATCTTCCCTTCAAATCCAAATCATAATAGAGAGAGGACTCTGTCCTCATTGAGCCGGCAATATCATGGGATATTGATGCAATATGTATATTGCATAGATATATGCAATATACATATCTGTATGATCATTTCATCAATTCCTTCTCTTCAGGCTTCGCACCTCCCTGATGAGCCAGGTGACACAGACATAACAGAAGATTAAACAGAGAGGGATTGGACCTCAGGGAGTCCTAGCTAGTTTTGACAGGAAGCATAAGAGAGTGGTCCCAGAAAGCAAACAGGAGGTTCCCTTTAAGAGGGAACAGGCACTCCTCCACTCTCTGCAACAGAGCATGGCTGCTATGGGAGCCAAAGAGGAAGACAGCAGCTGGTGTTCATTGCACTGGGCAGATAGGAGCTGAGGAGGATGGAGACTCAGCTATCCCTGTATGGTACAGACATGACACTCAGCACACACAGAGAACCATAACAGCTGCCACACCCTGTGTCTAAGCTGGGTTGAATTTAACATATTGTGGCCAGGGGAATGCAGGCTTTTGGCCCAATGTAGACGCCAGAGAGAGTGTGCCTCCTAGATCTTTTTCATATGTTACCACCCATTATTGCTCCTGATTATTCAGTGTTACCTGGGGGCACGTGATTCCCGCACTTTCTCAGCCTCCTCAACGTAAACATCGTCATCCACATCTTCATCATTTTCTGTAAATACAGGAATGTTCATTCAGATATTTCTCACTTCACATTCTGCAAGCATAGTCAGCCCAATGTGTGCAGACACATGAACATCTAGGCATGGGTCACCATTCAACTGAAAGCTCTCATGTTTTATCTTTAACAAAATGCCCTGGCACAGTTTCCTAATCCATCAGGCAATGCATTTCTGATCTGGAGGGCCACCATCAAGATGTGGCCAAATATTGAAAACATCTTTTGGTCCCCATATCCCTGGAGACTTGTCCAGCCTCTCTCTGGACTTTGGCAGCTGTCTCCGCCATCCTGCCACAGATCTGATTCCCAGGCACAGGCTTGGTGTCCTGTCACAGTTCACATTTCGAAACTAATTCTTTCTCTTAGGAGAGGACAAACTTGTCCCACAGTCCTCTGTCCATCAGGGGACTTCACAGGCCCACCAAGTGGCTTCTGCTGTGTTATTCAGGGACATTCTCTCCATGGAGAGTACTCCAGTCTGAAGCACTCCTACCACCAAATGCCCCCACATCAAGTGCCTTCTCCAACACCACACGGCAAGGAGCTTCATCTCATTTTGAAAAGCAGTCGTTAAGTGTTCCCACATTTGAATGCTAAAGACACTTGCAAGAGACAATTTGCCGGCCTTTGCAGATGGAGAGAGAGAAACCCAGGAAGGATAAATCAATCACTCACCGACAGTTACGAAGGACGTTGCTGAAGATAGAGCCTGGGAACCTCCATGCTTAGTCCAGAGCTCTTTTCACTCTAACAAGCGCCCTCCTGTCACAGCCTCCTTCTTGTCCTTTAAAACTGGAGAGATGCTGCCTCCTGTTCCAAAGACCACCTTCCATCAAGGAAGGAGGGACATTTACAATACTGTGACCACCAATCCCATGGGTTTCCCATCTCTGTTGTTACCCAGGAAGTCCTGGTCATGTCATGGCCACATATGTTTAGTGGAAAAAAACACCACCAATACAACTGTCATTGTGGAGGTATGGAGGTCTGGAGTCTCTCATAAGCCTGGGGTTTTGTGTCATCAGGGCCTGTGGCCACCTTACCTGGGCTGAGTTTGTGGATGAGGTTCTCTGTCAGCCTGCAGCCCTCAGCCAGCTGCTCTCAGATATCCTGCCCCTGGGAGTTGTCAGGCTCATCCGGAGTGAGGAGGGCCTGGAGATGCTGATTCAATGAGCGGGAGGCATCTCTCCCTTCCTGTAATCTCTTCCTTAACCAGGCCAGCTCTCGTGCCTGAGAGTGAACTAGGACTTTATATTGCCTAAGGTGAGACAGTAGAGAAAATTTAATAATGGAAAGGGATGAGTGATCAGTTCTAATATTGCAACAGAGATCTCTGAGACAATGTCCTCAAGGAGACCTCCAAGCAGAAGGTCAGCACATGTTTGGGGAAATGCCTGTGGCCAAGACAAAAAGAATTTTTTTTACAGGCTTCCTCTATATCAGAGAGTGCAACTGAAATATCCTCGACAATGTTGCATTCATATTTCTCTTCTGTAAACAAAAGTAGGTCTTTCTAAATCAGTTTCAAAAAGACATCCTTTCAATTCCTCACTTTGGCCATCGACATTTCCATGTGAAAATACACATAAGGTATTTTGTGGTGACTAGATACAAAGCCAGGTACAGAAATGAGGCTAGGTGCAGATGGGGCAAATTGAAAAGACGAAAGAAGAAAAGAATGACAGGGTCGAGAAGGCAACACTGATTGAGTGAAAGAATGAGAAGCCGCAGTCCGTCAGGAGGTGATTCTGACTAAGGGTAAGTGGGGTGATGATGGCACACCATTTTGAGTATACTGAATGCTGCTGGGTGGTTTCCACTCCTTTGGTTAATTTTGCATTATGCAAGTTTCACCTCAACAGTTACTTGTTTGAAAAAGAGAAAACAAGGTTCTGAGAAACAACTGCAACTCATAACTTATTATTATCCTTGTTCTCTGTTTGATAAATATTTGGGTGTCGTGAGCCTGCCATGGCAATTCCTGCCCTTCCCCTGGCCCAGCTTAGCTCTTATTTCTCCCGGCTGAGCTGCTGTACTTCAGAGATTCACATACCTGCCCACCTGCCTGCCCCCACGGGGCCGCCTCACCTGAGCTCCTCAGCTTGCCCAAGCTGCTCTGCAAGCTTCTCGTCCTTGAATTGCAGCTCATCCCTCAGCATAGATTTTATGAGGTCTTTGAATTCTTCATACTCTGAGAAAAGACAGACGCGCCTGCCTCAGTGGAAGGCTAGACATGCTGCTGTGGTCATTGCCTACAGGGCAGGAGACAGGTCCATCCCAAGGACAAAACTGTCCCCAGTACCAGGCTCTAGGCAGGGATTTCCATATTTTTACTCTTTGGTCTCCCAACTTTCTGGCATCTAATCCTCCAAAATTTAGAGATGAAGAAAGAGAAACTCAAGGGCACACCAACTAAGTTGACAAGATGATTCAATCACAACGAAGTGGAGTCCGAATTCACAACCCCTGAGGTCTGACTCTGAATCCTGGGCCATTTTCCCAAGGCTTGCAGCCTCTCCTGTAAACACTGCACTGGGCCATGAAGTGATTTTCCGTAGAGTTGGTAAGGCCCCTAGGACAATGAGACTGACAGTTTCCCTTTTACTGAGAATTTCAAGCACAACTATGTCAAAGATTTTAAAAATACTATCTGGATAAACTGCATAAAATATGAGGCATAAGACCATAAGGCCATGAAGGAAATATGCCGAAATACTAATCAAGTTTCTGTTAAGTTAGAAACAGTAGAATGAAGAACTAATAGTGTTTACTCTGTGCCAACAACTGTTCCAGGAGGTTTACAAGAAATAGGTCATGTAATTCATTGCAGCAATTTGCAGAGGTAGGTATTATTATAGTACCCTATGGACAGATGAAGAAGCAGAGGAACAGAGAAGACAAGCAACTTGGGTGGAGCCCAGGACACTGGCCCAGGGTCCCTGCTCTACACATGCTACCTCCACAAAGTCTTGGGTGCCGTCTTTCTTCCTTTTTAGGAACAAGAGCCAGTGCCCTAGGAAGCAGGACTTCCCTCTCACCAGGGTACTCCCTGCTCTTGATGCTGTCACTCATAGATACCACAGGTTCTATTAGGAGCAGAGTTCTCTTTAAGCTCCTCAGTGCGGGTACTGTGTACTAACACCATGTTTCCTCCAGGGTCTCCAGAACAGAGCTTTGCCTATTGGGCCTCAACAGAGACTTGAACTGAATGGAAGTTCATGAGTCCCACATATTTAGACCAACAGACTAGATGCTACTTGTCTGCAGAATCTTTTATGGTACAGAGAGGATTCTAGTAACATGATTTAGCCTCTTGCTGAGAAAACAGGTGGTGCTGTGCCTGTGTCAGAAATCAAGAACTGGGATTTTTAACTCTAATCCCACCGCCACCTGACTGCAAACATGGAAAAGTTGCTAAATACTTTCTGCCTCTGTCTTCCATTTCTAACAAAATGTTAAAATACCCATTTCTATTTTCCTAGAAGCACGGGAAAGATGAAATTATTTTTGATGGAGAGAGCATTTAGTTTCTCAGAGAGAAGACAGGACATCATTCCTCACTTTTGTGATGGTGAGCCTATCGAACTTACGGTATTTCTTCTGCTGGTTGGCCAGGAATTAGGCCACTTGAGTTACAAGAAATTTCTCTTTATGTTTCTGAACTGCTGTTTGTTCTCTGCCGGCTGGGGGCGCAATTTCTTGTTGATTTCTCCAGTGTTCATCTCTGTCTTCTCACACTGGATGAAGGGCTGGCAGACACCACCATGCTGATGTTTGTGGCAGAAGAGGTGGAGCCAGGGACTGGGGAGAAGAAACCCAAACACATGATGGGTTAAAAACTGGTGAAATCAAATAGGTTTAATCAGGACTGAGGGATGTCAGTAAAATTCTTAGCTTACTGTTGAGAAAAACGTGATCACTCCCCACAGCACTTGAGAGTCCTTAATCGCAAAAACAAGGTTTGAGACGCCTGAGCTCAGAGCTGAAGGCACTGCCTGTAGCTCAGACTCTGACAAGAGTGAGGGAGGTGGCAGCCAGCATGCCAGGTAACGGTCTGCAGTTGCAATAACAGAATTAGAAGGTGGGGGTGTCATGGAATCTTAGGAGCCCTGCGTTCCAATTGCCCAGGCTTTGCTGAAACACAGGCGCCCTGGTCACACGAGAGGTCACCACCGATGGGGGCCTTCCCTTCAGCATTCACTCTCAGTATATGTGTACCCTTGTACCCTTGTGACAATGCCACAGACCCATCTCTTTCCCAATACATCTAAGCATCTTCCTCATTGTTCATTTCTTGTGTGTACAAAATCATCAAGGCAGAAATAGTTTCCCAACAGGTTATATTTTCTAAATGGTAGTCATGAAGTCAGTCACTCCACCTTCTCTCACGTTAAAATAGAATTTAAGGCTTTTCCACGGTGTAAGATATCAAACTTTTAGACTGCCATGATATCCTGTGGGTCTTCTGCAGTTTTTTCTGTATCCACCAGAAAGTGAATGAATAATTAATTTTTTAAAAATGTTTTCTTTCCTGTCTCAGTATTCTTCTTGGGGCATCCCATTGTTATGTTGATTTCTTTTTTCTTACTGGGGCACCATCTTGGCTTTTCATTACATTTAAGACCAGTTTGACATTCCTACATCCAAAGCTCTTCCTCTATGTGGGATGATTTGTTTTTTAATGTGACTGAACACTACATTTCATACTTGTCACTTATGGATGTCATTCTGGGCCCATAAGAGCTCTTTTCAAGGTATCAAGTGATCAAAATCATTTACATAGGGAGCTCCTGAAAACACGTGTGACCATCGATCTTGGGAAGTCTTGCAAACCTGATACTATTTTGTTGTTTTCCTTTAGTTTTCCCATATATTGAAAAGAACAGGGCCATGAGCAGTTCTTATGGAATATTGCTTGATAAGTATTTTTCTGAGTTGGACTAACACAACTGATGTGTGGTTGCTTTCCACTAACAGAACATGGCAACATCAAGGTCATGGTCTTGGTGTTAGTAGTTGGTATTTGGTGATCCTCAGTGTTGCTGTGCAGTAGAAGGTGAGTTTGACGTGAGAGGAATGAGTAGGGGAGAGAGATCCCCTGAACCACCTCCTCACTTTCTCGGCATTCATTCCCACCTAGGTTTTGTGAGCCTGGAACTTGAGAGACTGTTCTGTAGCCCAGGTCTCCTCAGTTTGGCTGTTGGACTTGCCCGAGTTGAGGGTGCAGTGGGTGTGACCCTGGGCTGCCCAGCATTCATGTGGAAGTGAAGGAAGGAGGACTGGATCAATCCCATTTGAAAGCATCCCTCTCTACAGCGCCCACCATCTTCCAACTATACTGCGTAGGGATACTGCTTTGAGATGTATCAAAGGCTTTTTAAGTCAATGTATTTTCTGGTGTCTGGGAGACCTGACATTCTGTGGCAGAATGAAAATCTGTCAAGTTTTTTCCTGTTAAATATGATGAAACTGCAGGATCACAAAGTTATGTGGCTTACTTGAGGTCACACAGGGATGAATTTTGAGCACTGCCAATAAAAGCAATCACAACAATTATTCAGTAATTATTCATAGGATCCATATTCAGTAAATATTCATATAATTATTCAGTAATTATTCATTGACCAATTCATACCAGGCATTTTGCTCAAAACTGTCCACATATTTGGACATCATATCTTCATCATAATCCTTAAGGTAATGCTATTATCCATAAGAATCAGCTAAGAAACCTGAACAAGAGGGATAGCTAATCATGTATTTGGCCATATTTCTACTTTTTGGTTTTTGTGATGCTGGAAGAATGACCAGAATGAGTCACGGGAAGAGTATTCCTTCCTGTATTATTTTCCAGGACAGAGGTGTGCCCTTCCAGAGTACTGGGACCAAAATTCAGAAGTGTCTGCAACCTTGCTTTAACAGTATGGGAAATAACCTCTATCACCTGGAATTTCCCTGGAACTTTGGAATATGCAAGAGAAGTATGAGACCTGGGTCTTCCCTTTGCTGTGTTTAATTCACTCTTCTATGGAATACCAATGATTCTCACTAAGACTTTTGCCTCTTTATAATCACAATTTATGTTTCATGAAGAAGATTTTACTGTTAGCTCTATTTAGAAAGAATAAATATAAGCTATGGTTTAGGTTTTATGCCCTGGACTTAATATTTTTATGATTTCTGTTTTGAGATTAAATCCTCATGTAAATAGAAAAATACTTGTTATTACTTATAAGAGCAAATTAGTTATTGGTTTGAGTTTTTGAAGTCAAAGCACAAACTTTTGATTTTATCTTTGTTTGTTGTCATCAGCGCTGCTCATTGTCTGACCTGGCCATGCCCCCGCACTTACCCTTGTCCTGCTGAACCGTCTCCACGCACTGTTCAATTCCATCAGTGATTCGGGCTCCTCCCAATGCTCCCTGAAATAGGCACAGGGATCAGGACGTCAGACACATTCCAGACACAAAGGCAACCCATACTGTAGAGTGAGCAGCTGTTTTCCCACTTCCCTGAAGTTGGCAGTGGTGTCCTAAGACAGGAAGGAATTATTTCCCTTTTACTAGGGGGTCTGTTCTTCATGTCTCAGTGCCTCTGATCTAGTGAACACAACTGTCCTGAACATCAATGAACTTGCTAAATTTCTGGTTTCTTGCTAGGAGGCTAGAATAGATTTATAAGACTTCCTTACTTACCCATGTCTGCTGAAGTCTGAATTCTTAGCAGTATGATTCCTTTTCTTTTAAGGAGCAGCTTAAGGAAGATTGGCCCCATTGCCATGCAAAAAGAGGTAAAGTTAATTTCTACTCAAAGCAAACTTGAATTTGAAACTAGGTCTTCCACTGTTTCAAAGTTAGACTGTCATTGCCTCAGGCATGTGTCCTAAAGGGCTTGTGTCGCTGCTCTACTCAGGATAAAGTTATTTATCATTATGGCAAGTTATAATTAATTTGCCATAATATAATTAATTGTCAAGATAAAGTTATTTATCACAATGGCAAGGACAAATTTAGAAGACTTATTAAACTTACTTCTTTATTTCCCCAGCTGGCCAGGAAATAGTCAGTAGCTACTGTTATCATTAGTGTCCTCTGAATACCTTGGCTGTGTTAACTGCTTTGACTCAACATGGAGCTGAGGTGTTGGCATACTGTACCTTGAGATGCTGAAATATGGCTGAAGTCCAGGGTCACTGGCCCAGGACAGGTCATCCAGCTGTTGGAGACAACCAGAAGGGGAACCAGGCCATCCACTGAGGTCATCTCATGTGGCATGGGCCACTGGTTCCAATGAACCCACCATCACTACAATTCTCATGACTCACCAGTCACTAGACTGAGAATTCTATGAGAGTTGAGATCCTATTTTACTCATCTCTGTGTTCATGGTTCTTAGCTAAGGGCCCAGCACAGAGGGACCTCTCAGCAGTGTTCATCAATGATTGAATAAAAGCGATTGCAAACTTCCAATCCCCTCACCTACATTTCTGTCCCAAATGTCTTGTAAGGATGCTCTTTCTCTCAGGATGCTGCAAATACCCTTCCCTGGAGAGGCGCCTGCTTTACACCATCCATGCCCCAGGATCCTCCCCTGTGGAAGCTTAGAGGAAGACTGGTCTGTCCTAAAAATTTTCTCTTATGGTTCCCCCTGTCATTAGGAGCAATGTCCTTTGACATACCCTCCCATCCTCTGGGCTGCCACAACACCTCAGTTTGGTAGAACTACCATATTTTTTGAAATGATCTGTTTGTGTTCTCCCCCTCACTGGCTTGAGTTCTTTTGGAGGGACATTAAATATCTGAATCCCAAGTGCTTAGCACAATATAAAGAAAATTAAATACCCAATAAATATTTATGAGAAACCTTCCTCAACTGTAAGGACAGAAGAAGATTATTAGTATCACTGCTTCATATACAAGCAAGGGACACTTACTCTGGCACGTGACCTAGGGCAGACCTGTTTAATGTAAGAATGGATGTCTCCAAACCTTCTCCCAGCCTGGTTATTCCCTCTAACCCACACTGACCTGAAGAGCATCCACTGCTACGGCAGCCCCAAGGTCAAGGCTCCTGGGTCTGGGGCGGGGACTCATGGTCGCATCCTCCCCCTCTTGAAGTTGCTGCTGCCCCTCACTATAAACCAGCTCTGAGCCAAGAGAGTAAGATTCTCTCTCAGTCCCCACTGCTCAGTTCCCACTGCTCCCTGAGGGTCTGGATGATGATGGGCATTTCCCATTTCCCCTGAAGCCTCTGACCCAATTTGTCCTTATTGTCCCCTTCTTTGGTTTTCATTTACCAATGGCTTGTCCTTTGTGGTTATTCTCATCCCCTAAACCTGCTGACTTTCTTTCTTCCATCTGTTCCCTCAGTTCTGGGCTTCCAGGGTGTGGACTCAGCTCAGGCTCCTGCAGGAGACACACAGAGGCAGGTCTGAGCTGCAGGTCATGGGCAGTGTTAAAAACCATCTCCATTCCTCAGAGACTCAGAGAAAACACAGCAGGAAGGGACCTCAGAGAGGAACAATAAGCCCCTACCTTACTGACAAGGAAAGTGAAGCCAAGAAAGACTAAGACGCTCCCAGGCTGCCTCACCACATGGTGGCAGCAAATCGACCACACAAGCCTTGGCCTCAGCCTCCCTGTCCAAAGCACCTAACTCACCCTCCAGGAGCTCACTGCTGCATTTCAGAAAACTTTGGATCAAAAATAGCAATTTCCACCGTGAAAGCAAAAATAGTGAAAGGGCCTTTCCTTGGACAAACCCTTTATCACGGTTCTGTAGTCCTAGTATTTATACGCGGTCAGTTGTCATTTGCTGGCTGGTAGATCGGGGCAGGGAGCACATAAGGATTAAATAGTGCTTGACACAATCCTGCTTTCCCAGCCTGGGATCTCAGCCCCTCCATTCTGCTTCAGAAACTTTCCTCTGCTGTAACTGCTGTAACTGCTGGAGAGTCCAGGCCCTCATGTAGGTCATTTCTTGATGAAGATCCCTGTTACTTTCTTCCTCTCTTGAAGGGCAGAGATTGGTTCTGGGACTCTACAGTCCTAGGTTTTCTTCTAAGCCAGCCAGATCAGCTGAAAG
Source organism: Homo sapiens (assembly GCF_000001405.40). Taxonomy (NCBI): domain Eukaryota; kingdom Metazoa; phylum Chordata; class Mammalia; order Primates; family Hominidae; genus Homo; species Homo sapiens. Next base: position 152,013,343 of record NC_000001.11, on the reverse strand, counting down.
CAATCATGACTGAGAGAGGTCAGGTCAGTGAACAGGGTCCCAAAGGAGCAGGGGGTCACGAGGACAGCCCCACATGGAGATGGTCAGGACCATGACATGGGCAATATCTGACCAATTCTGCTAGGGAGGATGCACCAAGGATTAAGGGGAGGATGCTGCCATAAAGAGAAAGGTGAAGAACCAAAGGAGTTCAAGGAGAAGGAAAATAAAATGATTTGAATAAAGGACAGAAAGAAATGCAGAGCCCAGAGGCAAAGCCCCATGTCACACACAGAGGGTTAGTTCCAGGCTGTGGATCCTAATCAAGAAATTCCTGCTGGATTTTGCTCAGCCCCATTTCAAAATGGTTTTGGGTCAGTGACTTTGTTCCTTCCACTTTCCCTCTTTTTGAACAAGAATCACTAGCATTGTTATTCTATGACTGTCCCACCATTGCACGTTGAGGGCAGATAAGCTTTGTTCAATTTCACAGCTCAGCAGAGGTAAGGGAATTATGTCAAGGATCTGTACTTGGGCTGGGTGCAGTGGCCTATGCCTATAATCCTAGCACTTTGGGAGGCCAAGGCAGATGGATCCCCTGAGGTCAGGAGTTCGAGACCATCCTGGCCAACAGGGCAAAACCCCATGTCTACTAAAAATACAAAAGAATTAGCTGGGTGTGGTGGACATGCCTGTAATCCGAGCTTCTCGGGAGGCTAAAGCAAGAGAATTGCTTGAACCCAGGAGGTGGAGGTTGCAGTGAGCCAAGGTTGTGCTGCTGCACTCCAGCATGGGCAACAGAGAGAGACTCCCTCAAAAAAAAAAGAAAAGGATCTGTACTTAATGGACACCCTCAGAAGCCTCGTTCACACTTGGTATAGAAGATTTAGATGAGATTTTAAACTTTTGATCAGATAAGATCTACATGACATTTTTCGCTTTGAACTAATGCATTAATGACATGAAACTCGGGAACCTTAGGTGAGAGGATGAATGTATTTTGCATCTGGGAGAAACGTGAATGTCTGGGGACGAGAAGTTGAACTGTGATAACCAGAATTTCTAAAATGGTCTCCAAAAAGCTGTACCCTTCTCTCTGGGACCTGTTAAGGTGGTGAGACATCATTCCTGTAATCATGTTGTTACATGGCAATTATATGACTTGAAAGAGTGATATGGTTTGGCTCTGTGTCCCCACCCAAATCTCATGTTGAATTGTGATCCTGCATGTTAGAGGTGGGGCCTGGCAGGAGGTTATTGGATCATGGGGTGGTTTCTAATGGCTTAGCACCACGCCCCAAGTGGTGTCTCGTGATAGTTTCCACGAGTTCTGGTTGTTTAAAAGTGTGTAGCACTTCCCCCTTCTCTCTCTCTCTCCTGCTTCTGCCATGATTGTAAGTTTCCTGAGGCCTCCCCAGAAGCAGAAGCCTGTACAGTCCACAGAACCATGACCCAATTAAACCTCTTTTCTTTATAAATTACCCAGTCTCGGGTGGTTAATTATAGCATTGCAAGAACATACTAATACAAAGGCTGAGCTTTCCTGACTGGGCCAGATCTCATCACATCACTCCATAAGTGCCAGAGCTTTCTCTAGTGGGTAGGAGAAGACAAAGTCAGAGAGGATGGAAGCTTGAGAAGAATTCCGTGAGCTGTTGTTGGTTGTATGGTGGGAAAGGCCAAGTGAGAAAGAATGCAGGTGGCGTCTGGAATCAGGGTGTCTCCTGGCTGAGAGCCAGCACAGAAAAAGGGATCTCAGTCCTCCACCGACAAGAAGATGAATTCTGCCAATACATCTGTAGTGAACTTGGAAGAGTAGCCTGAGCTCTAGATGAAAGCACAGGCAACGCATAACTGGATTTCAGCCTCCTAAGACCCTGATCAGAGAACCCAATCACTTCATTCCTGATTTCTGTGGTTTCAAACCACTAACTTGTTATAATGTGTTAATAGGCAGCAACAGAAAACTAGTTACAGATGCCTATCTCTACTCTTTTTTTCTTTGAGATGGAGCCTCACTCTGTCTCCCAGGCTGGAGTGCAGTGGTGCAAACCCAGCTCACTGCAACCTCTGCCTCCCTGGCTCAAGCAATTCTCTGCCTCAGCCTACCGAGTAGCTGAGATTACAGGCATCCACCACCACACTCATCTAATTGTTTGTACTTTTAGTAGAGATGCAGTTTTACCATCTTGGCCAGCCTAGCCTTGAACTCCTGACCTTGTGATCCACCTGCCTCAGCCTCCCAAAGTGCTGGGATTACAGGTATGAGCCACCGTGCCTGGCTTCTACTCTTGATTTTATATTTTCACATACACGTATGCTAATCCTTGTAAGCACAAAAAAGTAGAAAAGCACAGGACTACAGTAAAGTGTTACACTCACCTTTATGTGAGTACTGCAAGGGCTGTTCCAGAGCCCTTGCAACCTGAAAAGATAATGAAGGGCATTTCAGGCAGGTGAGAAGTGTCTCTTCAATGTTACCAACCAAATTTCTGAAAGAAAAAAGATGGTAAAATACTTAATTCCTGGCCGGGCACAGTGGCTTATGCCTGTAATCCCAGCACTTTAGAAGGCTGAGGTAGGTGGATCACCTGAGGTTGGGAGTTCAAGACCAGCCGGACCAACATGGAGAAACCCCGTCTCTACTAAAAATACAAAATTAGCAGGTCGCGGTGGCGCATACCTGTAATCCCAGCTACTCCAGAGGCTGAAGCAGGAGAATCCCTTGAACCCGGGAGGCAGAGGTTGCGGTGAGCCAAGATCGTGCCATTGCACTCCAGCGTGGGCAACAAGAGCAAAACTCTGTTTCAAAAAAAAAAAAAAAATACTTAACTCCACATAACATTATCTGTAAATTCATCATCTACATTTCTAATAGAAGATTTTTTTTTTAGCTCTTTCACTTGTGCTCACCAGATAAGGTTTGATAGCAACTATCAGTCAGCAGCACGAATGAACCAATTCAAGGACAGCAATAAACAGGACTACTATTAAGTTCCCCCAAAGAAAGTCCTTAGAATACAATATCTCTTCTAGTTGCCACAAAAGTAAGACAATGGTCCATTACATAAAATTCCAATCTAATAAAAGTTTAAATTTAATGTTGTCTGTTTTCCAAATTTTTATTTTGTTCAGGCTCCATCATGGTGACCAGGGATTAGAAAATAACCGCAAAGAGGCTCTGGAGAATTTGGGAAGGTAAGAAATGTATTCTAAGAGGGGACTGAGGTGATGGCTGCAAAATTCTATATATCTACTTAAATGACTAAATTCTACATTTACAGTTAGTGACTTTTATTACAAGTAATTTTTTAAATGAAATTTCCGGTTTCTACTCCAACATGTAAAGAGTTAGGAAGTCACCACTTGTCCTCACAACAAGAAAAAAGCTCAACAAACTGAAAATTATCAACCCTTCTTAGATGGACTAGAGGAGAGGTCACAGGGCAAATTGCCACCCTGAAAACTAAACAGACAGGCAAATACAGGGAATCAGAGGTTAGCAGGAAGAGAACATGCTGAAGCCAGCAACTGGAAAGAGCACATAAATGATACTGACAGATTTCTAGAAGCTGAGGGTGGCCTGGCTTGAGCATTAAAAACTTGGGGCCCAGACTTAGGGGGAACTCACAGTTTTCTAAGTTTTACCACCAGGAGCCCAACCAGGTACTCATAGTAAAGATCAGAAAAATCCCCAGAGAACTGACACTGCCAACTTCAGTACTAATTATAAAGCTAAAGTAACCAAAACAGTGTGGAATTGGTGAAGAAAGAAAAAACAGACAAATAGGTTACTGGAAAAGAACACAGAGCTCAGAAATAGTCCTACATAAATAGTCAACTGATCTTTGAGAAAGGCACAAAAGCAATTTAACAGGGCAAGGATAGTCTTTTCAACAAACGGTGCTAGAATGACTAGACATCCACATGCGAAAAATAAATAAATCTAGGCACAGATTTTACACCTTTCACTAAATGGATCTTACACCTGAATGTAAGGTGCAAAACTGTAAGACTCGGGCCGGGCGTGGTGGCTAACACCTGTAATCCCAGCACTTTGGGAGGCCAAGGCAGGCGGATCACAAGATCAGGAGTTCAAGACTAGCCTGGCCAACATGGTGAAACCCCGTCTCTACTAAAAATACAAAAATTAGCTAGGCATGTTGGCGCACACCTGTAATCCTAGCTACTCAGGAGGCTGAGGCAGGAAAATTGCTTGAACCCAGGAGGGAGAGGTTGCAGTGAGCCGTGATGGCACCACTGCACTCCAGCCTGGGTGAGCAAGACTCTGTCTCAAAAAAAAAAAACAAAAACAAAAAAAACACTGTAAGACTCCTAGACAATAACATAGGGGAAAATCTAGGTGACTTTGGGTTTGGTGATGACTTCTTAGATACAATGACAAAAGCACAATCCAGGAAACAAAAAATTGATAAGTTGAACTTCATTAAAATTAAAAACTGCTTTGTGAAAGACACTGTTAGGAGAATGAATAAACATGTTATAGTCTGGGAAAAATATTTGCAAAATACAGATTTGATGAAAGACTGGTGTCCAAAATATATAAAGAACTCTTAAAACTCAATAATAAAAAAGCAAACAACCCAATTCAAAAATAGACAAAAGATCTGGACACTTCACCGGAAAAGATATATGGATGGCAAATAAGCATATGAAAAAGATGCTCAAAATCATTTGTCACTAGGAAATTGCATATTAAAACAATGAGATATCACTATACACCTAATAGAATGGCTAAAATCCAAAGAAGGGACAATACCAAAGGCTGTCAAAGATGTAGAGCAACAGGAACTCTCATTCATTGCAGTGGAAATGCAAAATGGTAGTCACTTTGGAAAACAGTTTGGCAGGTTTTTTTTTACAACGCTAAACATAGTATCGCAATATAATCCAGCAATGGCAGTTTTAGGTATTTACCAAAGTAATGTGAAAACATGCTTACTCAAAAAACTCGCATCCAAGTATTTAGAACAGTTTTACTCATACTTGTCAAAAATTGGAAGTAACCAAAATGTCCTTCACTAAGTGAATGGCTAAACAAACATGGTATATCTGTACAATAGAATATTATTCAGTGATAAAAAGAAATGAGCTATCAAGCCATGAAAAAACATGGAGGAACTTTAAATACATAACGCTAGGAAGAAACTAGTCTAAAAACTCTATACACTGTATGATTCCAACACTAGGACATTCCAGGAAAGTCAAAATGGTAGAGATAGTAAAATGATCAGTGATTGCCAAGCGTGAAGGAGGGATGAATTGAGTTGAATACAAGGAGGTTTTCAGCAGTGAAACTATTCTGTGTGATACTGTACTGGGGATTTATGACATTAGGTAATTGTCGAAACCCATAGAACTGTAAAACTCAAAGAATGAACCCTAATATAAACTACGGAGTTTAGTTAATAATAATGTATCAATACTGATTAATCATTGTAAAAATGTATCACACTGATGCATGATACTGATGACAGAGGAAATTGTGTGCTAGGGGACAAGGGAGAATAGGGGAATTCCCTATACTATCTGCTCAATTTATCTGTAAACCTAGAACTACTCTAAAAAATAAAGTCTATTAAATTTTATTAAAGTTAGGATGCAACAGCCCCAAATCAAAATTTTGGTGGCATCCTGTTATTATGTGGTTAATACGGGGTGTTGAGGTGCACCAACCTGGAGTCAGAACAGTTGGAGATGTCAACGCCTATGCCTTCAACCTCTGGCCCTGTGGGTGTCCCTGGAATCCAGAGAGCAGATCAGTTAGCTGGAGACAGCCTCAGTGCTCCAGACAGCACAGGCTTCTGGTAAGGACAGGGAGAAACCATCTCAGGGCAGAACTCGGTGAAGACTAGGAACCCCTGAGACTCAGCAGCTGCCCCAGTGATGCCCAGAGATCAAAGAAGGAGGCTGGGAAGAGCTGAGGGCTATAGGATGATCTCTCTGCTTAAAGAAACAAGTGGCTCCAGAGACTGGTAAATTTTGAGAGAGAATCAGAAGCCAGAAAAAAAAAGCTTAGGTTTCATTGCAGAGTGGTCAAGAAAGGAAAGGGGGAAGGGGAAGGAAAGAAAAGGAGGTAGGGAAGAAAGGAAAGGTTAGGGAAGGGAGGAAGGGACATAAGAAGGGAAAGAAAGGAAAGGAAGGAAGGGAAGAAAGGGAAAGGAGAGAAGGAAAATAAACTTGAGTGAAGGCTAGAACATCGTGGGTGGGCTTAAACCACCAGTATTTTCCATAAACAGCCCACGTGCTAACCAATTATAGCACAGAGACACAATAATGCTAAACCATATACTGTTACCATATGGTGACAGGGGGCTCCCCAACCCCTCTATACTCCTCTGAAACACATTCAAAATCGACTGGAGCCAGAGACATTGAGTTTTGCCTTTGGGCAAGTTTAGACATCCACAGGAATGAGTTGGGGCACTGCGACAGGGAACACCAGGCCACGACTTTCCCTGCTGCTCCTCATCTGCCTCAGAAGCTGCCCCGCTGCAGGGGGGGCCTCAGCCCCTAGGTCTGGAGTCATCCATTTGCCTCTTTTTTTTTTTCTTAAGACAAGGTCTCACTGTGTCACCCATGCTGGAGTGCAGTGGCACTATCTTGGCTCACTGCAGCCTCAACTTCCCAAGCTCAGGTGATCCTCCCACCTCAGCCTCCCGAGGAGCTGGGACCACAGACATGTGCCACCATGCCCAGCTAATGCCTTGCTTCAGAGTATTTCACTGCTTGCACTTGCTTCCAGTCCCCCAGGACCCAGTAGGCATGCACCTGGGAAGGACACAAACTGGCTGTGCCCCTATATCTCTGCCCACTTTCGATCCCTACAGAGGTGGGCTCCATGGGGCAGTGACCTGAGATTTGCTTACAATGGGATCCCTATCACAGAGTAGGGTCTGGCACCTTATAGGCGCCCCATGAATGCTCAGTGAAAGAAGGCATCCGCCACAAGGTCCTGGGTAACCAAGAATTATTCAATTGTGGCCTATAAATTTTTAATCCTAGAAGATATCGGAATGAGAAACATGAGGGGCTTTCAAAAGTGGCCAGTCTCTTAAACCATTATACTGGCAGGTGAACCATGTCACTTCAGACTACACCTTAAGTAGCCAGGATATCTAGTTATATCTATATACAGATAGATAGATATTTGGTGATATAGACATATGGCCATATCTATAGCTATGGAGCTATAGTGCTATATATATATCACCAAGTGTATTTACCAAAATATGCACAATGGTTGTCTCTGGATATCCCTTTTTTCTTTATATGTTTCTGTATTTTTCATTTTTCTCTCAGCGGATACTCAGTAACTTTATAATCAGAAATATAAATATATAAGTGTTAAACTTTCAATGTCTCCTCACTCAAAATAAGGCTCAAATGTCTTTATTCAGCATCGGAGGCTCTTAGTGATCTGGCCCTTTGTGGTTTCCATGTCCTGATCTCCTGCAGCCTCCGAACACACACCCCACGCACCTACAAACCTCCAAATCATCTGTATTTCTCCAGGGGCTTCTCCCTTACTTCATTTTCCTCACCTTCCTTGACTGGCTCTTACTTATCTGTCAAGATTTTCTTTGGCTCTTACTTATCTGTCAAGATTATCTTTAAGTACCTCCTCCTCCAGGAAGCCTCCCTAACACCCCATAAGGTCCAGATATCTCTGCTTTCTGTTCTGCACTCCAGCAACAATCAGAGTCACCTCGGCCATGATAATAAGAAGTAAGTGTTGCTTTATTTGTCTTCCTGCCCTGTTAGACTGGGATTCCAAAGGCAGGGACTGTATCTTTATTTCTGTATCCACAGTGTTTAGGTAGTGCCAGGCATAGAGTTGGCACTCAGCAAGTACCTGAATAAATACAGACAATCCCTAACCTACAATGGTTCAACTTAACAAAGACTTTTTGACTTTCTGATGTTGCGAAAGCAATACACAACCACAAAGTTTCAGACTTTAAATATTGGTGATTCTTTACCAAAAAGTCTCTGGGCTGAATTTTCAATTTACAATACTTTCAATTTATGATGAGTTTACCTGGACATAACCCCATCATAAGCTGCGGAACATCTGTATACAAAAAAATGGATTTGTAAAATATAATGGGTTTCTCAAATAGTCGTTATTATATATATATATATATATATATATATTCATATTCATTTTGAATATGAAGAAATATGTGCAGGGAGGTTAAGTGACTTGCCTTAGGTCACAAAGCTAATGAATGAGAGAACCAGAGCTCAAATCGATTGTCTAATCTGCCTTCCACTTCACCACAGCTGCCACCATGAAATAGTAACAAGAAAAAATATGCATGATCATGTGTCGGGTCAAGTTGATGGACAGGTGTCTCATACCAGGAAGCTTTTCTATCAGGAATAGACCTTCACAACAGTCACGGATAATGTATTTACTGTTATGGTTTAAGAACAGATTAAGCTAAAAAGTTTGAATGTGTTTTAAAACATTTTAACTCATTTCTTTGCTGGAATAGATGATAAATTTTAAGTCATGTTTTTCAAAAAAGAGAAACTGAGCATGCTCAGGCTGATGTGGGCTATAGGGACACTTCCATCATTGCACTCTTCCCTTCCTCAGATGCCTCAGGACCACTCTTCTTATCATCCTGTGTTGATCACTGATTTATGGTTCCTGCCAAAATCCACTGAGAGCATACTCTGCTCAGAACACACAACACACCAAGAGAAATCTCTCCCCAATGAACCAACAAGCATCAAGGGAGACAAATGAGCAGATAGGCAATTTCCCTACTCTATGATAAGGGCCACGAGAGGCTAAAGGAGCAACACCCAACCCCAGTCTAGGTGAGGTTGGGGAGGCTTCATGGTGGAAATCACATCTGGCCAAATCCTAGCGGCTGTCTGGTCCTACAATCTGTCCCCAGCCAGTATGTCTACCTTCTGGCCTCCTTTCACTGCCTTCCATCACCACTTGTCTCCTCACCTGGAGTGTGAATTCCTCAAACGGAAGGACCATGCCGCCTTCATCTGTGCATTCCCCACAGCACCCAGCCCAGCAGCTACAGCCAAATGACAGACTCCCAATCTAATGCCCTCACCACTAGATGGCTGAGCCTGGCTGGGGAAAACTATGCTGGAGCCAGACATCCTGCCAGAGTTCCAGCCTGACTGTAAGCTGTGCAGGGAGCCATAGAGTGTTGCCCAGGAAAGAGTTATCTATGAACCGACAACTGAGAGAACCAGTGTCTACACACCCTTCCTTGCAGGTCACCACGTCAGGGGTGGGGCAAACAACTTAAGACTAATCACAAAGCAGGTTGTTTTCACCTAAGAAACCCCACCAGCAGCTTAGCAGCTTAGTCTGCACCTTCCTTCCCAAACCAGTGCTCCTCCCTGCATTTGGCAGGCACCAGAGCACAAGGTGTCCAGGTCTGAAAACTTCTGGCAGTTCTGCTCCTTCCTCTCCCTATGGCCAAGAGCTCAGTAGCAGTAGCCTGCAGATTCTTCCTGTTCTTTCTCTCAAATCTGTACCTTCTCATCCACCCTTGCCACCATCATTCCAGGGTGGGCCTCCCTCATCTCCTGGCCCTCATTTTCTCCCAGCTTCACCCCATTCTCACATCACAGCTGCTCTCTCCTCCACAGCTGGCCGTGGTCCCTCCCTCTATGATTTCACTGTGTCTACCAACACAGTGATCAAAGGAGAAGGAGGCTGGGAAGAGCTGAGGGCTATAGGATGATCTCTGCTTAAAGACACAAGCGGCTCCAGAGACTGGTAAATTTTGAGAGAGAATCAGAAGCCAGAAAAAAAAAGCTTAGGTTTCATTGCAGAGTGGTCAATTTTTTAGCCTGGAATTCAAAAGCATCAATAATCTAGCCCTCATCCCTCACCCAATCCCTCTTTCTAGCCACTCTTGCTGTTCCTCCAGTGTGTCCTGTGCATACTCCCCTTGGCATCTTCCCTCGTGTTACTCCTCCCCCAGGACTACTCTTCTCTCAGCCCCTGTCCCATATGCTCAATCAAGCCTATCAAATCTGACCCAACCTACAAATCTCACTTCAAATCCTATGTCACCCATGAAGTTATTCTTAAGAGTCCAGCCAAGAGGGAGCCTGCTGTTCTGAAGTCCCCCGTGCAGCACTGCCCACACATGCTACCTCACCTCAGTGCTGGTTGTGAACACTTCTCATGTTCCTGCCCAGATTGTGGTTATGTTCCCAAGCAGCTGTCATCGCTGTGGTTCTACCAAGAGTAAGGCAGAGTCGGGTGGTGACAAGAGGGGAGGCTTTGAGACTAAGCTTATCTGGGTTCCAATAGGACTATATCAATGCCCTTAGGGAAGTTATGTAGCCTCTCTGAGCTTCCTTTCCACATCTGAAAACAGACTGGCTATCTATTTTACAGGGCTTTTGTTAGATTTACAGATAATATACATAAACCACAATAATTATTACTATAATCATAGCACTAATCGACCTAAAATATTTCTTGGAGTGATCATAAGAAACAAATAAGATAACATATGAGACAGAACTTCATAGAATATAAAATTATTGTGTTAATTTTTAACAAGAAGACTTGGAGTATGTTTGTGGGGGTTTTTTTGTTTTGTTTGTTTGTTTGTTTGTTTGTTTTTGGCAGAGTCTCGCTCTGTCTCCAGGCTGGAGTGCAGTGGTGCGATCTCGGCTCACTGCAACCTCCGCCTCCTGGGTTCAAGTGATTCTCCTGCCTCAGCCTCTCAAGTAACTGGGATTACAGGCATGCACCACCACACCAAGCTAATTTTGTATTTTTAGTAGACACAGGGTTTCACTATGTTGGTCAGGCTGGTCTTGAACTCCTGACCTCAGGTGATCTGCCTGCCTCGGCCTCCCAAAGTGCTGAGATTACAGGCATGAGCCGTGTCCAGCCCATTTGTGTTCTTCTATCAAATGGCCATATGTTGGTCATATGACCATACATTGGTCACATGATACAAGACCTCACAGATGCCCCACTAATTACCAGCCAGTACATCCTCCAACAGCTAAGCACTTTAGCTTTCAGAATATCTGTGCTCAAAGCTGTTAGAATGAATTCACTTAAAAGTCAACCAATAAAACTGGTGGAATCCTATGCTCAAACTGAGGTTTTGGTCCATATGGTACCAGACACTAGTTCAACTTAACAACCTATTTTCACCTATATATATATATATATATATATTTTTTTTTGGCGTCTTGTACACAGAGCATTACTTTTCTCACTGCTCAAGCCCAGAGAAATGCTGCCAAAAGCAAGAGAAAATGGGGTAGGATGTCAACCTAAATCACAGCCTCCATCTCAAGCCAACTAGGTAATCTTTCCAGCCCCATATTCAATCCTCTGGTTTCCAGCCAAGGATTTCCTGCCTGGGCCACTCAAGAGAAAGTAAACCCCACTGTCAAGCTATTCCCACTGTGGCCACCAGAGGGTCCCACAGCATTAGCTACAAAGCAAGAACACACCCTTTCCCAGTAAATTGTCCATTTTAAATATTTCCAGAAAGCCTTATGGCAGCCTCCCCAGCTTTCAGCCAATAGGACTGCCCAGAAACCCCAGAGCTAGCTGCTGCTAACATTGTTGAGGCGTCAGTTCATACCAAGCAGCCAGCATTTCACAAGGGGTTTGAGTCACTGGGGCCCCACAGAGTCCAATTTCTGTGGGTCTGAGCTCTCCCCAGCCACATTCCAGTATCATCAATGAACAAAGAGTATCTGTGGCTTCAGTAACTGTTTCCCTTTGACACAGCATCCAAATGTTTGCCTGGAACACCACTTGCTCTCAAGTTTTAATGAAGAGAGGAGAAATGCACCCTATCAGTCTGGCAGACCACAGTCCATGATAGGCAGGTCATGTCTTGCAGAGTTCTCCCCGAGTGCCAAACACTGGGATTCAGACAAGCTAGCATTCCGTTCTGCCTGATCACTTCACTGAAGGTGAAGAGTAAGTTGTCTTCTCCTTGGAAAAGGACATGTCCAAGATCACACAGCTAATGAGGGGCAGAGAAAACGTGATTTCCTCCCAAGCCTGTCTGAAACTCCAGAGTCTGCACTTACAACCACTATATTACATAATTGTTTTATTTTTTCCATTACCAACAAAAAGGGTTGACCAGATCCCTGTAGCTCAGCTGTACTCCCTCTCGGCCTCATCCCATGTCACACTTGCCTTGCTTCAGACACACTAGTGGTTTTTCAATTCCTCTAACAGACCCAGCTTCTCCTCATCTCTGGGCCTTTTCATGGGCTTTTTCCTCCCCTTAGGACACTTCCTCCCACCCCTCCTTTATTTGCAATCCTAGTTTCTCTTCCTCCTCTAAGGCTGGATTTAAGTATCCCCTTCTCAGAGAAGTCTTTCCTGATTTCCTACCTAAAATGGGTCCCTTCAATTCTCTCACTCAGACTCTTGATTTCCCATGATGGCACTCATTATAAACTTACCAAATTTTTGTATTAGTTTCATTTTCCCCTCTATTTCTATTTTATTTGCCTTCCTGAGGTAGGAGGTGGGACTTGATGCCAGAGGCGGAGCTCAGACACCAGATCAGATTGAGGACTAGCTAAAACAGGGCTTGGGCAAAAGCAGCTTTCAATCAGACATGCCCATTAGTGTGCCATGTCAATTTACCATTGCCATGGCAATATCTGGGCAGTTACTACCCCTTTCCATGGCAATGCCCCAATGACCCAAAATCTACTACCCCTTCCCTAGAAATTTCTGCATTAAACCACCCCTTAATCTGCATGCAATTAAAAGTGGGTTATATAAATACAACTGCAAAACTGCCCTGAGCTGCTGCTCTGTGCCTACTGGGTAGCCCTGCTCTGTAGGAGTACTCATGGAGCTATAACACTGCCTCTTCACTAAAGCTGTTTTCTTCTACCTCTGGCTTGCCCTTGAATTTCCTAGGCAAAGCCAAGAACCCAGTGGGCTAAGCTCCACTTTGGGGGTTGCCTGCATCATTTCCCACTATAATGTAAGGCCTGTGAGTGCAGAAATTTGTCTTAGTCATTGACATATCTCCAGGACCCATAACATGCCAGGAATTAGTAGGTACACAGTAAATATTTGATAGATTATAATTGTTAGAATTTGCAGCTCACCTGTAGGAGAAGACAGGTGGTTTTCGACCCCAATCTAACAGCTATCCTATTTTTAAAAACAAATTTAAAAAGCTACACTTCTTCAGCTTCTGCAGCTCCAAGAGATATGTTAGCACAGCAAGCACAGCCTTGGTGGAGTCCTCCCAGTACCCTAGACAGAAGTCTGCTGAAAGGCATTCACGAATCACACACACTAAAAACCCTGGGTGACAGAAGAGCCCTGTTTGGCTTCCTGACAACTGCCCCTCCACAGAGTGGGAGATCACACAGAGGAGGTGGGGATCTGCCTTCCAGAACCTGCTGCTTGCTGAGCTGGATGGCTTCAAGTTCATTAGATGGTTCAGTCTTTTCCATCATCCCAGAAGATAGGTGGAGACCCAGGTTCATAGTGGTGAAATGAATTGCCCAGAGCCATGCAGCTAATAATGCCCTTTTTCACATTCTTTAGCGGCTCTTATTACCTTAGGAAACTCCTTAGCAGAATATCTCAGGCACCCCAGGAAAGACACCTTCTCTCAAGACTCATCCCCATCCAAGACTCTAAAGGACGCTGCACTCTCCTCATGCAGAACAGCAGGTAGTTCCTGGCACAGACATAGTACCTCACAACTCCATCAGGCACATGCCTTTCCCTCCTGTCTGCCCCCACACAATGGGGCTTATTCCTACTTGTCCCTTAAAATCCACATAAATAAGTGAAAAAAGATAGGTCCTGATAGAAACATATCATAAGGAAACAAACATGAGGGCAGATATATTTATTCAAAAGTAGTCTCTGATATATAGTTAGCTTTGACAGTAAAAAATTAGAAACAACCGAAATGTTCAAAAAAATATGGGAAATGTTTAACAAATTATAGGATTTCCCTATTTAGGGGCTACTAATACAGCCATACCTGGGTTGGTTGGTTTGTCTTCCTTTTTGGATTGCCAGCAAAAAGTCTTGACCAGATCACTGTAAATCAGTGATTCTCAACTGAGGAGGCAGGAAGAAGTGCTAAGACTCCTTCCCAAGGTATTGCAATTGGTAGGTAAAGTTTATACAACTATGATTCATGCTGTTGACATGGTGTCTGGGCAGACAGAATGTTGAGCTGGGTTTTCACAGGTTTCCATGTGGTACAGGGCACAGCTTGATACACATCAAGAAACAATGACACTATGCATTTGCTAAGACCTGTGTGAACTTTGCTTCATAAGTATCTAAAAGAGTGACCAGGGCAGTAAGTAGTTCTGCTCAAACAATGACACTATGCTGAGGTGTCATCAGTATAATAGTGTAATTACTACACATGCAAATTAATCCTTTCAAATGTGCAGCCAAAAATACTAGCACTCAATACCAGCACTTTGTTAAGGTTATGCTGTAGCAAATAAACATTCAAATTCCAAGGTTCTTTCTCACCCACATAGCTAGTCCAATGAGGATGTTCCTGCTCAGCAAGTGATTTTCCTCCATACAGTGATTCAGGTACCCAGGCTCTTTCCAATTATGACTCTTCCATCCTTAGAGCCTTGGAGTCCTGTCAGGTGGAGAGAAAGAATATGGGAAAGTCACCTCTTTACTGCCTTGGCCTGCAAGTGACACATATCACTTCCAGTCCCATTGTGTTGGTGGCTAGTCACATAGTCCTACCTAGGGGTATGAGGTGGTAGAAATATAATCCCTAGCTGAGCGGCCAAAACTCTACACAATGAAAAGAGGAACACACATTTCTGGTAGATAGCCCACCTTCTGTGCCACAGCCACAAACCCAAAAAAGTTGAGGGTAATAGGATTTTGTGGCTGTGCCACATGGAGAAGTGGTAAAATTCCCAATACTGCCTCACTAGTGGATCAATCTCTCCAGCTCCCAACATTTTGTACATTGGAACCTACTTCAGCCCTGGTAGAAGATTTGAACATTGCTTTCTCATCATTTCAGAGACCACATGGATGGGGCCTCTGCTCTCATTCCTCCAGTGGCCATTCAGTTGGCTACCCTCCTGCTAAGACACTATCCTTGCTGGGCAGCTCAGGCTTAGGCACTGGTCCCTGATGCCATCAGTTTTCTCTAGGGAAGCAGAGCTGGCTTCACTGAATGCATGTAGTTGACAAGGTATAACTACTTCCTGGAGAAAGAACTGCCTGGGACCCCTTTTCCTAGAGAGACTATAAGCATGGCTGATACTTGAAGCTTTATGGACCTGCTAGTACACAGAGTCATTAAGAAACCACATGAGGCCAGGAAGAGCAAGGTGTGCTGACCATTTTCATCACTGTATTCCCAGTACTCAGCACAATGTTTTAGAAACCCTGCAGCATCCTCCTGGAGATGCACCCACTAGGGCCTTAGAGTTCTGCTGGCAGATTGGAGAAGAGAGAAAAAAGAAGACACAGTACAGTACAGTTGAACAGTTACTTGTCAAATAAAAAGGTGAAAAGAATGATTTAAATGAATAAACATATGATCTTGATAAATATTTAGTAACATAGGAAAGAGTAAGAACAAAAGGAAAAAGTATGGGACAAAAATAGAAACAGTCATGTGTCGCTTAATGATGAGGATACGTTCTGAGAAATGTGCCCTTACACGATTTCATCCTGCAATCATCATAGAATGTACTTGTACAAACCTAGATGGCATAGTCTACTACACAGCTAGGCTGTATGGTACAGTCGAGGACTCTGAGGCTACAACCCTGAATAGCATACTGTAGGCAATTGTACTACAATGGTAAGTATTTGTGTACCTAAACATGGAAAAAGTGTAGTAAAAATATGGTATAAAAGATTTAAAATGCTATACAAATAGGACACTTACCATGAATGGAACTTGCAGGACTGGAAGTTGCTCTGGGTGAGTCAGTGAGTAGTGAGTGAATGTGAGGGCCTAGGACATTACTGTACATTACTGTAGACTTTAGAAACACTGTACACTTAAGGCTACACTATGTTTAAAACAGTTTTTCTTTTATCAATGATAAATTAACCTAGCCAGATGCAGTGGCTAATGCCTATAATCCCAACACTTTGGGAGGCCAAGATGGGTGAATCACATGAGGCCAAGAGTTCGAGACCAGCCCGGTCAACATGGTGAAACCTCATCTCTACTAAAAAAAACAAAAATTAGCCAGGCGCTGTGGGACATGCCTGTAATCCCAGGTACTCGAGTGGCTGAGGGACAAGAAGCACTTGAACCCGGGAGGCGGAGGTTGCAGTGAACAGAGATCACACTGCTATGCTCTAGCCTGGGCGACAGAGGGAGCCCCTGTCTCAAAAAACCAAAATAATAATAACAAATTAACCTTAGATTACTGTAAATTTACGTTATAAACTTGGAAATTCCTTTTTCTTTCCTTTTTCTTTTTTTTTTTTTTTTTGAAATGGAGTCTCACTCTGTCTCCAGGCTGGAGTGCACTGCCACAATCTCGGCTCACTGCAACCTCCGCCTCCCGGGTTCAAGCGATTCTCCTGCCTCAGCCTCCCAAGCAGCTGGGAGTACAGGTGCGTGCCACCACGCCCGGCTAGTTCTTTCTCTGTAAGATGGGGTTTCACCACGTTGGCCAGGATGGTCTTGACCTGTTGACCTCGTGATCCGCCCGCCTCGGCCTCCCAAAGTGCTGGGATTACAGGTGTGAGCTACCACGCCCAGCCTAACTTGTAAATTCTTTAAATGTTTGACTCTTTTGTAATAACACTTAGCTTAAAGCACACATTATACAACTGTAGAAAATATTTTCTTTCTTTATATCCTTCTTATGTAAGTTTTTTCTATTTTTAAAATTTTTATTTTTTTTTAAGTTTTTTGTTAAAAACTAAGACACACACACACAAAAAAAAAAAAAAAAACTAAGACACAAACACACGTATTAGCCTAGACCTGCACAGGGTCAGGATCATCAATATAACTGTCTTTCACTTCCACATCTGGTCCCACTGAAAGGTCTCCAGGGCAAAAACACACATCTCCTGTGATAACAATGACTTCTTCTGGAATACCCCCTGAAAGACCTGCCTGAGGCTGTTTTTTAAACTTTTTTTTAAGTTTTACTGTTTTTTTAATAAGTAGAAGGAATACACTCTAAAATAATGATGAAAAGTATAGTGTAGTAAATACATAATGCAGTAACAGTCATTTATTACCATTATCAAGTATTGCATACTACACATAATTGGTATGTGCTATATTTTTATACAACTGGCAGCACAGTAGTTTGTTTACACCAGCATCACCACAAACACATGAGTAAAGTATTGCGCTAGACAGCTACAAGGTCACTAGGCAACTGGAATTTTTTTAGCTCTATTATAATCTTATGGAACCACTGCTGAATACATGATCCATCGTTGGCTCAAACACTGTTATGCAGTGAATGACTGTACTTAATTTTATAATCAGTATGATCACAATTATGCAAATATTTGTTACATATGCATAAAAAGACTAGAAATATGAAAATGTTTATCTTTGGCTCATGTATTTATAAATCATTTTTTATACATTGATATATTTTCCAAGCCTTCTAAGAATGGAATCTTTGTACAGATTAAAAAGTTACAATAAGTGTTATTGTTGTTTTTAAATTTCTACCCAATGTTGCTTCCTGCAGAAATTATTCTGTGACCACTCCAAGAGGACTTGGAAGCCCCTCCTCAGTGTTCTCCTAGTATCCAATAGTATCCTCTACCATTCACTAAGCACACTGGATTTTAATTGTTTGCTTATCTAACGCCCAATACTTGGAACTCTTCAGAGAAAGAGACTGATTCTCTAATCCCTGAATTCCCAGGCCTACCACATACACTAAAGCACTCCTAAGGTCTGTGGACCAGATGAAGAAATCAGATGAGTAGGGGTACGCAAACCCAGGCATTCCCATTCTAAACCCAGTCGCATTGCAATCCCTGCAACAAAAGGGATCCGAGATTTCCTCCACTGGTGACTGTGACCTGGGGACTGGGAAGTACTGTATACAGGAAGATCTTGAAGAGCTGTCCCCTTGAATAGTCAGCACCAGGGTTGCACGGAAAGTAATAGCTGAAATCCAAGTTGGGTTTTCCTGGCAACAGCCAATATTAGTCAGAGGTGGCACTTGGAGGATTCCCCAGGTCTGCTCATTCCTTTAGGATCATTCATTCCTCCCAAGGCCTCCCTTGGGAACAAAGGAAAACCCCAGAGTTTGGGATTGGGCTCTTTTCCACCAACAGCTGCTAGTAGTTTGTATTTAACCCTGAGTCACAATTAAAATAAAAGAGGGCGGGCGGGGGAGGGGCGAGGAGTTGGTAAGCATCCCCTAGGAAACACTTAGGTTTTCTCTAAATTTATTCCAGAAAATTCTTCTAAAGGACTTTTCAAGGACCACAGCATACTGCCTTGGAAACTTAGTTTTTAACCTTTTTCTTTTCTTTTTTTCTTTTTTCTTTTTTTTTTTTTTTTTTGAGACAGAGTCTCACTCTGTCACCCAGGCTGGAGTGCAGTGGTGCGATCTCGGCTCACTGCAACCTCTGTCTCCCAGGTTCAAGCGATTCTCATGCCTCAGTCTCCTGGGATTACAGGCGCGCATCACCACTCCCGGCTAATTTTTGTATCAGTAGAGACAAGGTTTCACCATGTTGGCTAAGCTGGTGTTGAACTCCTGACCTGAGGTGATCCGCCCGCCTCGGCCTCCCAAAGTGTTGGGATTACAGGCGTGAGCCACCGCGCCCGGCCAGTTTTTAACACTATTAGCCACACTGAAACTGAACTATTGATCAAGTGACGCCACACAAAGGGGTAAATCCCCTGTTCAACAAAGGGTTTGTGACGCCCCTGGGTGCTGACAAGCCAAACCGCACCCTCCCTGCGGCACCTCGCGGGCCGGTGGGGCGGGAAGCCCGGCTTCTGGGGAGGTGCCGCCCCTCCACTGGCGCAGGCCGCCGAGACCCCCAGACGGACCTCCTAGGGCTAATCTGATAGTGCCTCTGAGGTCGATAGGACTCCACGTGCCACTCCCTGCAGGGTCATCCAGCAAGTAATTCCTAGACCCGTAGGTGGCCGCAGAGCCGGTTACCTCTGGTTCTGCGCCAGCGTGCCCCACCCGCAGGACGGCCGGGTTCTTTGATTTGTACACTTTCTAAAACCAAACCCGAGAGGAAGGGCAGGCTCAGGGTGGGGATGCCCTGAAATATTCGAGAGCAGGACCGTTTCTACTGAAGAGAAGTTTACAAGAACGCTCTGTCTGGGGCGGGCGAGGCCTCTGCGAGGCGGGTCCGGGAGCGAGGGCAGGGCGTGGGCCGCGCGCCCGGGGTCGGGGGAGTCGGGGGCAGGAAGAGGGGGAGGAGACAGGGCTGGGGGAGCGCCCTGCCGAGCGCCCGCCAGGCTCCTCCCGCTCCCGCGCCGCCTCCCTCTACCCACCCGCCGCACGTACTAAGGAAGGCGCACAGCCCGCCGCGCTCGCCTCTCCGCCCCGCGTCCAGCTCGCCCAGCTCGCCCAGCGTCCGCCGCGCCTCGGCCAAGGTGAGCTCCGCCCGGCCCACGCGCCCCTCCTGGGTAGTCCCCAGGCCCGGACCTGCTGCCCGGGGAAAACCCTGCACCCGGCTTCGCGGGGCGTCCGGAGCACCGCGGGGCTGGGCGGGGAGCGGCTGGTGGGGAATCCGCTGCTCAGTGCTCCGGGCCACACCCAAACGAGGCCAGCAGCGCCCCTCCCCGGCCCGGGCGCGGCCGCCCCCAGACCCACGCGGACCAGAGGAGGGGGCACTTGTTCTTTAGGAGGGGACCGTGGTATTGGTGCGCCTGAACCTCTTCCCTCCTCCCTTTATGTTTGCGTTGCTTTACTCCCACCTTTCCTACTTTCCCACTCGTCTCTCGGGTTACCGAATCCCTCCTACACGCCCCTGCCCTGGCTGGCGTGTTTCTTGGTGGGTTCCGCTCGCAGGCCGGGTCTGCATGTTCGTAGCCTGCTCCCGGCTGTACCGCCCAAGTAGGCGCGGGTAGGACGAGTAGGCAGCTGGGGCGTCCCTTCCGTAACCCTTAGTCCGTCGGCCAAACAGGCGTTTCTGGTCGGGGCTTCCTGTTGTCTGCTCGACGGAAAGGGTCTTCCTGCTGAGGGAGGGAGGTCCACTTGTTTTCTTTCTACAGCAGTTTGGCTGGGGTTTGTGGGAGAGGGCCCTGTGTGACGTGGTTTCTCTACTGAAAGGGTTCCCTTGCTGTCTTAATAAGTGGAACCAGAAAGAGATGGAGGAAGAGCAGGCTTGATGAAGGATCTTCCAATCATAGATTAATTTGGCCCGGTGCAGTGAAACAGACAGACGTGCCTTTGGTACTTGGTTCACCACCTGTGCTTTGGCCGAAGGAATGGCGCTGCCCCTAGCCGTGGACACTGCTGCCTGTCCAGCCTCAGTCCAGCTCTGCCTAAGTGAAACCAGGAGCTCTGCCTTGTTGGCTGGGGTGGAATGCAGAGCGCTCCAAGCCAGGCCAGCACAGGGGAGCCCTAAGCCAGATTCTGGGATGCATTAAGCCCACCCCGTTTTCTGCCCCCACCCAGTTCCGTCTCTGCGGGAGCTTCTGCAGGGCGTGGTTAGCACAAAGGGCTCCAGGATTCTCCCAGTGGTCTGAGGCCTGTGACTCAGCTGTGAGACCATGTGGGTGTGGCCGGTTGCAGATACTCTCGGTGGATGGTTTGGACAGAACACTCCCTGAAGGAAAAGGAGAACTGTGCCATCTCAGAGGGCATTTTCCAAGAGGAAGTGAGTCACACCTGGTCTGGCTGCCAGTCTGCAGGAGAGGTTTCTCGACTGAACTGCCGGTGAGGGCAGTAATTAGATCTGCAGGGCCTTGGCGAGACCGCTTTTCGTTATCGGCCAGTATGCGCCTGGCAGCCTGCCTCAGCCTTACTTGGGAGGTAGCTTTTCCCGCTAAGAGGTTTGCAGTTGTTGCGGATATTTTTCCCCAGAAGCTTGAGTTTCAGTCTCCAGGAATGGAGTTTTATGTTGTGCGTTTTAGGTGAGGCCAGGCTCATGGAAACACCCAGTCGGTGATCTTTGCCTCCAACATGTTTCAGCAAATTGCAAAAGATAATGCCAGGGGTTGGAGTGGGAATGAGTTCATATAACTTATTGGAAGTTTCTTCATCGGCCCTGCCCCCACAGATTCCTATCCAGTTTCTCTTTAATCATCCCTTCCAAATGGTGTATTTGTTCCTTCACAGCCAGAGGATAGTTTCTTCACTGTGGCCCTTGATCCACCATTTGGAGTTTCTTATCTAGGTTCTTACAATTTTTTTGGTCTACTGGGCATGAAGCAATTTTTGGGTCTTACCCTGCTTTCTGGGTGATGCTCTTCCTAGCTTTTCTCCGACACATCATATAGGCCCCTTTCCTCCCGTGTGCTGGCCAGCCTCCTAAGCAGCCACTCCAGTGAGGTCAGGGTGGAGCTGAGACTGTGTGCCTCCCTGCTTTCTACTGACAGTTCAAAAAATGTGACTTTTGTAGAGCACAACCCACTTGGTATACCCTTGGACACAGTCCAGTCTTTTAAAGCGTAAAGTTGAGAGAAACAATGGAATTCTTTCAGGATTATAATGTATAAATTAGCACTCAAAGTGCTGAGAAAGCTGGACTAAAATTTTAACATCTTAAGTTTCTCATTTTTCTGGGGACTCAACAAATTTAGGAATCCACATCAAAAGCAAAAAGAAAGAATGTACTTCTTTTAAACAATTTTCAGCACTTTCTATCCCTTTACTAAATAAATACCACCCATCCTACCAAAGGATTTAACTAAAAGCAGTTTTGACAGTAGCTATGTTGGCTGATTAGGCTGATGCCTAAGCATTCTTTAAGGAAAAATTGATGTAGTTGGTTAGATTGAAGGAGGTTTCTTCCAAGTTCTTTCTTCCTATTGAATTGCATCTGAAACGTTCCTTTGCTGCCCAGTTCTTTAGTGGGCAAGTTTTAGTTGGTGAGAGGTGAGAGAGACAGCCTGGATCCAGATCCATTGCTTCAACTCATTTTTTCTGAATTCCCTTCAGAGATCAAATTTAAGAATGCCTTCTGGGTTCAATTTTAAAAACTCCAAAATTTCTAAAGCAAAAGGAAGGAAACCTCAAACATATTTTAAATAACAGATGTTTGTTTTTACTGACACCCTGCCGTTTATTTTCTGGGTGGGCTGTAAGAAAACTAGGGTATGGACAAGACACAGAGGAGCAAAGCAAGTCCGACTCACTCTGCAGAAGTGTCCTCTTTGAAACTGCAGCCGGGATCTGGGCATAGGTCCAAAGCAAACATTTGAGATTTTTCAGGAGCAGACACT
This sequence comes from Homo sapiens, assembly GCF_000001405.40. Taxonomy (NCBI): domain Eukaryota; kingdom Metazoa; phylum Chordata; class Mammalia; order Primates; family Hominidae; genus Homo; species Homo sapiens. Next base: position 151,990,955 of record NC_000001.11, on the reverse strand, counting down.
TTTCTGAGGAGGACTCCTGCTTGTCTGCTACTCGCAGGACAACCAAAATACATCATTATCAATTTCTTAACAATTCATCGAGCAGGCTCTATGAGGGCTGGGGCACTGGCTATTGGGACCCTGCTCAAAAAACCTGCAACCTAGTGAGGAAAGAAACAGAAACACAAATAACTAGAATTCAGGCCAAATGCTTTAATAGTATTCCATTAGCTGGTGAACTCCTCAAAGGCAAGCACCATGGAGAGCTTTGTGTGTGTGTGCATGTGTGTATGTGTGTGTGAACACCCTCATGCCTAACACCATGTCTGGGACATTCAAAGTAGGTGCTCAGGGAGGGAGAACCAAAAATGGAAAATTGAATTCCTCCTAAGGTAACTAAATTTGTGGAGTCCAGAATTGTTTTCCATAGAGAAAACTATGCAGAGAAAGATGTCTCCGCCTCCCTTCTTAAGACCTGTTGCTCAGACAAACATGTAGAGGGCATGTATAGGCATCAGATTAGAATACTTCAATAAAAGGTGAGTGGACAGCAAGGCTGTTATTATCCTGTGGAGCTCAGCAGTGAGATAGCAGCACTAGAAAAGCAAAAAGTAGAAGATGGGATGAATGAAACACGAGAAAATAGCAAGTGTTAGAAGAGAAGGAGCACAGTCATGTCATTCTGACTAGACCTGTTTAGCAGGACACATATTTTTCCTTTTGCGTATGGAATGTGCACTCCTGTGTACTCTATCTACTGTTCCGTTCATAGTTGAACACTTTTGGGGCCCCTTTCCTGGCCCTTCCCAGCTCTCACATCGTCCTCCTGAGCTCTGAGCTACAAGGCTTTCAGCCTAGTCCTGGGTAATCACACCTGCACCTCAGCTACTGCCCAAGGGATTGTGTGGTTCATTTATGCACATAACAGTTATATAGTGCTCCATGAATAAAAGCAGAATAATTTGTAGTTCTTAATCAAGAGAAGCTTAAATCTCAGGCAGACAAGTAAACAATTAAATGAAATTGAATGTTTCAGGTGCAAGAGTACGTTATTGGGGATAGAGAGGACACTGCAGCCCCTCAGCCCCAGCCCCAAGGCCCTCCTGTCAAAATGTGTCTAACCAGGATGCAGGAAGCCCACATCTGTCCAGGAATAGAGCTTGCAGAGTGGCTACGTGAGGGTGGAAATGCCAGATTGAAGTCCCTGAAGAACTTCAGTTTTGGCAGCTAGCAGTGCTGCAGACAGCCCTGCCCAGGCAAGCCCCACCCAAGAACGGAGGGCCAGGCAGGGCTGACTCAGTTGGGCAACCATTGGCTGCACTCAGACAAGAGTTACATGATTCATCCTCTAGCCAAGAGAACAGAGTTTTAATCACAACATTTCCCCCTTTCCTTTGTCTTATTTTAAAGCCAGTGTGCAACTCCTTCCCCAAAACAGAGTTCCTTGCTGTGGCCCTGGTCAGTGCCCTTTGGGGTACTGGTTGCTGAGGAGACAAGGGCTTCTCCACTGATTTTCAATGCTATTTTCACCTCCTGGCTACTCCCTCCTCTGCATCCTTATTGCAGAAGGCCTACTGGACACACAGGGAGTCAGCTGGCTGCAATATTCACAATCCATCCACTGAATAAAACCGCTGGGGGAGGAGGGGAGGGGAAGACCAAGTGGGAGAAGGATGTAACTTCAGAGAAGGAAGCTCCGTCACTTCGTAATGGCTGTGGGCAAGAGAGGCATGCGACTGAGTGACTTCAGACCTAAGCACTCACACAGTGTGAGGTAGACTCACCTTGCTCTCCTGAAGAAGATACTCAAGGGTGGCCAGGATTTCCTCAGCTGACAACTTGTATTTCTTAGAACCTCCTAAAATTAGCCTTTTTAAAATTTAGAGGTCCTTACCCTGCTGCATTCCCTTTCTTAATTCTGCACTTTCCTTCTGTCCTGTCATCTGAAAAAAGTAAACTAGGTACCCCACCCAGTTCCAATTTCTGGGATCTTTGGGAATTGATCCTGAAGTGCTCTGCTGCTCTGAACTTGAGCACAGGTATTTTTAAACCTCTGTGGTGTCTGACTCCTTTCCTGAGTTATTTAAGAACTGGGGTGGGATCCCACGTCCTTCTCCCAGAGGTGACTCGCCCAGTTCAGTTCTCTTAAATTGCTGGACTTGGAGTACCAGTCCAGGCAAGGCAGACTCTCTGTAAGCCCACTGCCATCTGAAACCCATATGAGGGATGGGGGATGAGCCAGATCTGAGCTGTGTCAGAAGAGAAGGAAAAGGGTGTGGTTCCCCTGGAATTCATCTCACAGCAGACCTTGAAGCATTAATTTGCAGCTCTCTCCAAGATAACTAACTGCCTTTCAGATGACTCATGCCAGATTCTGATTTATAGCATTCTTTGGCCTGCTGGTTCCCATACTTTTCTGGAGATTAAGGGGTAGAATTTACAATTCTTAAGTGTTAATTGCTCAATCCTCATGTTTACCCACTCCACCTTCTCCTCTGTAAAAGATAGCATTTGAGAATCAGTGTTGAACAGGCATCTCTCAGAGATAGGAACCAGACCAAAGCATGTCTCAGGTTCCCATTAGAGCTCTTCAGCAGAGGAATTTGCCAGCCCTTCAATCTAAGCTCAAAGCCTATTCTTGTGATTATTTATTTTTATTTTTTAGTGCTATATTACAGTCTCCATTCACGTTCACCTGTTTCCTATCCAGTAGTGATTTTAGGTGATATTAGCCAAAGCTTATCTGTTCTCGCCAAATGATTCCTTCCAATTAAGCCAAAATTCACTGAGGTTCTATTAAGTACCACGTACTGGGTCTTGTGAGACATATACCCCTAGTTCATTATACCCAAATGTAATGATCTGACATGTTTCCTTTCCTTTCTTATAAACGCTTCATGATGAAAGCTCTTGCTTTCCCACTGTACCCCAGACTGTGAGAGCAGCTCATCTGTCTAATGTCACTAAAAACATAGGAGGCCCTCAAATGAGTTAGGTTATAGTATTACTTGTTGCTTCTCAAGTGAACTAGACAATGGACTTTGAGTAGTTTTCTGTTTGGGTAGAGCAACTGTATTTTACTGCCAGAGATGCAACTGTCTTTATTGCAGTAAATAACAAGTTCAGAGCTTTAGTAAAGAATACATATAGGCCGGGCATAGTGGCTCACGCCTGTAATCCCAGCACTTTGGGAGGCCGAGGTGGGCGGATCACGAGGTCAGGAGATCGAGACCACGGTGAAACCCCATCTCTACTAAAAATACAAAAAAATTAGTCGGGCGCGGTGGCGGGCACCTGTAGTCCCAGCTACTCGGGAGGCTGAGGCAGGAGAATGCCGTGAATCCAGGAAGCGGAGCTTGCAGCGAGCCGAGATGGCGCCACTGCACTCCAGCCTGGGCAACAGAGCAAGACTCCGTCTCAAAAAAAAAAAAAAAAAAAGAATACATATATACCCAGCAGATAAATTCATTTGTAAGCAGATTTCTAAACCCTAGAATCACACTGAACCAAGTTACCACTTTAAGCTTAGAAGGGTGAAGTTTTCGTATTTACCAGACTTGACTGTGTGGATTGTTAGTATCAGCCATATCTAAGAATCCCATTTACTAGTGCCAAGAGAAATTATGAACTATCTGTTCTTTCAGTAGGTGCTTTGTCAGTTAAAAAGAGGAACACTGGGCCGGGCGCAGTGGCCTGTAATCCCAGCACTTTGGGAGGCCGAGGTGGGCGGATCACCTGAAGTCAGGAGTTTGAGACCAGCCTGCTCAACATGGCAAAACTCCGCCTCTACTAAAAATACAAAAAATTAGCCGGACATGGTGGCGGACGCCTGTAATCCCAGCTACCTGGGAGGCGGAGGTTGCAGTGAGCCAAGATCACAACACTGCACTCCAGCCTGGGCAACAAGAGCAAAGCTCCGTCTCAAAAAAAAAAAAAAAAAAAAAAAAAAGAGGAACACTGATGTTGCTTTTCTAAATTATTAGTTTCTATTCTTCATTAGATTATTCATGCAAATTAGCTGGAGTTAGCTAAACCCCTTTATTTACAGCACCAGTATCTGAGGTGTCTATTTCTACCAACAAGGGACCCAAACTGGGGTGGACTGGTTCTTAGATTCATTCACTGAATTTTAAAGCTGGAGAAGATCAGATGGATGATCTAATCTCCATCTTTCCAATTATCCTAAAAAGGCTGGCAATACATATGGCTTAAAAGTTAATGTAAATCTACAAAGATGAACCTGGAGGACGTTACGCTTAGTGAAATAAGCCAAGCACAGAAAGACAATTACCAGATGATCTCACTCATGTGGAATCTTAAACACTGAATTTCATAGAACTAAAGAATAGAATGGGCTGGGGTGATTGCATTTGAGTGATGTTGAGGAGCTATTGGTCAAAAGATTGAAAATTTCAGTTAGGAGGAATAAGTTTAAGAGATCTACTGTACAACAACGTGACTATAGTTAATTACAATGTATTGTATTCTTGACAAATAGTTAAGAGTGGCTAAGTGTTCTCACCACAGAAGTGCTAACTATGGGAGGTAATGCATATGTTAATTAGCTAGATTCAGTCATCCCACAATGTATATATACCTGAAAACATCATGTTGTACACATTAAATACATACAATTTTATCTTTCAATTTAAAAAAAATAAATTCATGCATAAAGTCTGCCAAAAAAAGTTAATGTAGACCCTGTTACTTTACATCCTTTAATAGGCTTCAACGGACCACACCAAAATGCCATCTCAAATGGAACACGCCATGGAAACCATGATGTTTACATTTCACAAATTCGCTGGGGATAAAGGCTACTTAACAAAGGAGGACCTGAGAGTACTCATGGAAAAGGAGTTCCCTGGATTTTTGGAAGTAAGTGTTGAAAAGCTTACAAAGAACCAGACATAAAAGTCAATGCTTCTAGGCCTTGGTTCCTTTTCCTTCTTGTTTCCATCCCTTCCCTGTGGAGGTCACCACTAGTGAATAAATGAATGTAGTCACCTGAAGGAATGAATGAATGACCTCATTCATTCATTTATTAAATAGTATTGAGTACCTGCTATTTGTAAGATACTGTTGAGGAAACAAAGTAATGAAGACACAGCCCCAACCTTCAAGGAGCTTACAGTCTGCAGGTGAAATAAGACTGCATACAAATAACCACAATATGAGCTGTTTGTTGGAAAATTCCATCGGGTTATCTGTGTCTGTTGTGACGATGTTGGGGACAGAGTTGGGAGAAAGAAAGCTTTTCACAAAAGAGTAGTCAACCAGAAAATGGCTACCTTCAGGTCCAAAAACCTGGTGGTGGAGATGCCACATCCTGGTCACATTCCATTTTGAGCAACTCGAATCTCCCTTCTTAAATCTCTTCAGATAAAGGGATTGTTTTTTCTTTTTCTAATACTACAAAGGAGCAGTGTCAGTCATCTACTGAATAAAAGCCACATATCACTCCAGAAATAACTGCTTTTCACATAATAATGCTCTGACAGCACAGGAGCAGTTTGAATTTATGTCTCACCTTTGACAGACTGAGAGATGCATGAAGACCTATAAGAGGACTCTGCCATCAGCTCAGATACATCACTCAGGACATGGGGCCACAAGGCACAGTTGTCCTTTTATATTCCAGGTTCTCGAGAGGTGGCTGTTGAATTCAACTGAAGGTGCAACATTGCATGACAAAATAGTAGACTGAAATGCAAGCCCTTCTTTCCCTACCACAATTGTAGTCACCTGAAAAGATTGTTTCTGTGCTTGGTGTTGAATAATGCATTAACCTGTAAAGGGTGAGAGGAGATACGGTAAAACGTTGGGTCCTGCCTCTTGTCATCTGACTGGTAAACGGCACATTAGTCCAGCCCCTGACTCCTGCAATCAATAAACATGAGGCTTTTTAGTATACTATAATTCGTATGTCATCAATATCAGTTAAATAAACAGATATAAATAGCCTAACTGCTCTCTCAGAGCTGCAGTTATTACCTAATGCTATCCCAGAATGAGTTAGAATATGCAGGTCCTCTGCTTTTGTAGAGTCCTGTGATATAGCCCCAGACCAGGAGTTAGAAGATCTGGCTCTGCCTTAACTAACAATGGGCAGGTTGCTTCAGCTCTCTAGTCTTCAGTTTCCTCCCCTGTAAAATTAGAGAGGGCTGGACATAATTATCTGCAAGGTCACTTTCACTTTCTATGATCATTCAAGACAAGCATTAAGATGCAAGGACAAAATGTGCTCATTGTAAGCCTGCCTGTCCTATAGACAAAGGCATTCTCAGTACACTAAACACTTGTTAAGAGTGTTGTTAAGAGCCAGAGTGAGTATCATGTAAGACACAGACCCTTTCTTCCTAAAGGCTTTGTGGCATCAGACACATAAAGGGTATATGTAGTGTGGAGCACTAACCATGGCAGGGTAATTTATTCCAGGCACAGAGTCATAATTCTGGAAACATCTAGACTCACTGCATTAACAGAGCATTTTGTTTCTAAAGTAGACCTCTTATGTCATCCAGATTTCACTCATTCTGACCACAGCCAGGAAGCTGAGGGTGAAGCCAGAATTAGCTGAAACCCACCAAGAGCTGCATAGAGCACGTTTAGCTAGAGTAGGAGTTTGCAGTGCTCATGTGGGAAATGCTGCTGCTATACTTTTAGGAATTTCTGAGTGCAATTTAGAAACATCTAGCACACTTGAAACACTGCGTATCATTTTCCTCACTCATGAATATAGTCATCAGAATTCATAAATAGTTTACCTGAGCCCTTTAACAACCTCAAATAGGCCATATTTCTCTCTCTGGTTGATGGCATGGACCCTACAGGAAAAACCACACCTTACCGCTTCTGACCAGCATCACTACAAAAAGGAGTGCTGAAGCCAATCACCATGTAAGCAAGATAAAAGCAAAGGGGGTCTTGCCTGCCCATCTCTGTTCCATACATTCTTACCAGGCACTGAGAGTCATGGGGAGTTTAAGACTCCATCCCACATACTCCTTTTGAAACTGGTCCAGTGTACAACATCCAGTGAAGAGTATAGGATGGCATAGACTTACCAACTCAAAGAATGAAAGGATTCTAGAAACATTATAGTCCAACCTCCTCAATTCATCGTTGATACACAAAGGCCCACTAAGCTGTGTGGTTCACTCAGCATCACGTGGCTAATATGATATGAAGCCACACTAGCTTGTCCTCAGCTGTGCCAAGAATGAGAGCTGCCTTCTCCAAACCTAAAACCAACCCATGGCATCATTAACACCTCTTTAAAATCCATAGGACAGTGATCCAAAACTTATTCCCTAAATCATAAATATCTTTTCATAAGGAGTTTCCTTTGTAAGGGATTTGACCATGCCATTAGGAATAAAATTTTAATAAGAGAATGTAAGTTTAAACCATAAAATGAGGAGCTTAGGGTGGTTCTTAGGCAGAATCTAAATATGAAATTACTGAAATGCTCCCACAAGGCAAAAAAAAAAAAAAATACATTTAGATGAACTCCAAAGGTTGCTTATGACCTAAAACAAGAGCTCAAGTAATTGGGAGATATATACACAGTTCTCAGCAGTACAAATCAAATAAGCTCCTCATTGCAACCTTTGACTTCTATTTCTTGCCTTTGTTCTTTTTTTTTTCAGAATCAAAAAGACCCTCTGGCTGTGGACAAAATAATGAAGGACCTGGACCAGTGTAGAGATGGCAAAGTGGGCTTCCAGAGCTTCTTTTCCCTAATTGCGGGCCTCACCATTGCATGCAATGACTATTTTGTAGTACACATGAAGCAGAAGGGAAAGAAGTAGGCAGAAATGAGCAGTTCGCTCCTCCCTGATAAGAGTTGTCCCAAAGGGTCGCTTAAGGAATCTGCCCCACAGCTTCCCCCATAGAAGGATTTCATGAGCAGATCAGGACACTTAGCAAATGTAAAAATAAAATCTAACTCTCATTTGACAAGCAGAGAAAGAAAAGTTAAATACCAGATAAGCTTTTGATTTTTGTATTGTTTGCATCCCCTTGCCCTCAATAAATAAAGTTCTTTTTTAGTTCCAAATTTGAGACAGAATGTTTGTTGTTCCCTCAGAAATTCTTGTTCCCCAAGAGGCAGCTTGCCCTTGGGCAGCCAGCACACAGCAGAGCTTTTCTTACACAGCAGAGCTTTTCTCACAGAACTGGCAAAATGAGAAAACACTCTTCATTCAGGCTTGGAGTCTGACTTCTCTAATTGTTCTGCCCTTGTAGCTGTGTCTATATGAAGGACTCAAACTTGAAGGATTAGGAGAAGGCTCTACAGGAATAGATGGTAAGTTTATAATTACTGGGCACAGTTTTGCCCAGTTAAATCAGTGCTTTTCTAGCCAGCACTTTGCATGCCTGCAATGTCTGAATCCAATTTTCATAGCAAAGTGTCAGCAAACCTAAGGCAGAACTAGGAGAACCAATCAGGAGAGGGTGTAGCTTGACACCTTGGTAATAACATCACATTAGCATCTATTAAGTCAACTCCCAGATGTCAGGAAATATGGTAGGCATGACTTATACACGGGGCAGTACACTTTTGTTGAAAATGAAGTGTCAGTACTGATGTCTTGATAATCAATGCAAAATGTTCCTCCTAGCCCTTTTTTGTGCCTGTTAGAAGCTTCAGGGTATATGTGCATCAATGCTATATGCTTATTAATAACACAGTACTCTATGCTTTTATGGAGAGGTGATATATGAATTCCATGAATTGGCACATAGCATTGTTCCAAGTAAATAGGTCAAAGAAGATGGAATATTTACTTTTTTTTTTTTTTTTTGAGACGGAGGCTTGCTCTGTCACCCAGGCTGGAGTGCAGTGGTGCAATCTCGGCTCACTGCAAACTCCACCTTCCCAGGTTCACACCATTCTCCTGCCTCAGCTTCCCGAGTAGCTGGAACTACAGGCGCCTGCCACCATGCCCAGCTAATTTTTTGTATTTTTAGTAGAGACGGGGCCTCACCGTGTTAGCCAGAATGGTCTCGATCTCCTGACCTTGTGATTTGCCCGCCTCGGCCTTCCAAAGTGCTGGGATTACAGGCGTGAGCCACCGCGCCCGGCCTGGAATATTTACTTTTTTGATTGGACACATCAATATTAACTCTGGGAAAAACTTCCATCTCACTCTGGGAAAAAGTGCAATATAAGGTTATCGATAGTCACAAGGAAAAGCATGCAAAAGAGAACAGGATAGTTCAAAACTGGCTTTGGTAGAAAGAAATCCATAATAAAAAAGGAAAACATTCCAACCATTTTATTTTTTCTCAGTCAACAAATGAACAGTGTAAAACAAACCATAGCTTTGCGGCTGAAGCATTATATCAGCAAGTTTACAAAGAGGAATTTATTACGGGAGTATTAATGAAGGAGGGGAGTTGATTAGTTAAAGAAGTGACTCTAGATTGACTCCAGGAATGACTTCCAAACCCATGCTACAGAACTGGGCCGCCAAGGAGCTGCTGGCTCAGGAAGCTGCCTGCTGAATGAGGAGCCATAGCCACAGCTGGCTGCTCCAGGACCATGGCACAGTCTGCACAAGCAAACGCACATCCCCATCACCCTCCCTCTTTCCACATACGGCTGGGCTCTCATATCCAAGTCTCAGTGAGGTGCATCTGACTGGCAGAGCCTTAACCACAACAAATTCCTAACCGCAAGGGACTCTGGGAAATAAAGTTCTAACATTTTCCAACCTTTGCACATTAGCAGCTGATTCTACCACAGTGACAATTCCTAATCCTACGTGAAGTCTTCCAACCTGGAAGTTAAAGAAATTGTGGCTCTAAGGAAAGGAGGCTCTGGAAGATGACGTCTGTAATAGAGACAAGAAAAAAAAACTGGCCCATCACAGTAAGGCAATCCATGAGAATTTGTGTCAGTCCAGATTCACCCCTTTGGTTAACCTGCCTCCTGGGCAACTGTGTTTACTGGGTATTAGGAGGATTAGTGGTCAACTCACAAATGAATGGGGAAGATTATAAAAGGGAGATATTATGAGCTCACATGTCCTGAAATCCATAGCAAACTTTCACACTCTAAGCCTCTTTTACCTGAAAACAAAAACACAACTATCCCAGGAGGAGGGAGGCTCTCAGGGTAAGAGAAAGGAAGCATCAACTCATCTTCACAGTGGGTGTGTAGATTCAGAAAAATTCTGAAGCAATGTGTTATTCCCAGCAGATTACCCCAAACTCTCATTCAGAAGGTGCCCAGTGCCAGGAAATGATCTGAGTCACTGTATTTGGGATGGATGTGTATGTGTATTGAGGGAAAGGGTTATGGCACCTTCCTCGCTTTGGCCTCATTGCTCATTTAGTAGGGAGCTGTATGAGGAAAATAAAAATGGTATTTATGGCTTGAAATCCCACATGGCTCTTTGTGCCAACAAAAACACACGGATCCCACAATCTGACCTGCTAAAACTGCTGTCTAGGCTTCAGGGGTTGCAGCCCAATGGCTCCCAAGGGGCAAAACTGCCATTATGCCAACAGTCATCAAGAGGAACCATCTGGAAAATTCCACTCATTCTGCTACATGGCTGAGTTGTAAAAAGTAGATCCCGCCCCTCCCCACACCCAGTTACAAAAAAAGAATGAATAGCAGTGCAGAAAGTCAGTTTCCAACACGCTGCAGAGCTGACCCTGAAAAACATCATTTTTCTCTCTTGGACCCACTCCCTTGTCCAAGTCCCCTGAACAGCGGCCAACTACCTGTGATTTAATAGTTTTCTACCTAACCCATCTCACTAGGAGACCGAGGACAAGTCTACAAACCTCTCTCATTCAAATTTGACCAATTCGTGATTGGTCAAGTAATTGTTCAAGTCCCTTCTCCAGCTCTTAACCCCACAGGGATAGTTGTGAATAGAAATTCATTCACTTGGCAAATATTAGCAAGGGCTACCATGTGAATGGCACCAAGCAATGTTCTGTATAAAGGCAGGTACGAAGAAGCAGATGACCACAGTGCCTGCTCAAGAAGATTACAATCTAGATTGAAAGATAATAGATAAAGCAGGCCAGGCGCGGTGGCTCACGCCTATAATCCCAGCACTTCGGGAGGCAGAGGCGGGCGGATCACGAGGTCAGGAGATCGAGACCACGGTGAAACTCCGTCTCTACTAAAAATACAAAAAATTAGCTGGGCGCAGTGGTGGGCGCCTGTAGTCCCAGCTACTCGGGAGGCTGAGGCAGGAGAATGGCGTGAACCCGGAAGGCGGAGCTTGCAGTGAGCCGAGATCATGCCACTGCACTCCAGCCTGGGCGACAGAGCGAGACTCCGTCAACACAACAGAGCATTGGCAAGGGAGACATGTGATGGGCACCTCTGGTCACTGTTGATAGGTATGTAATTCACACGACCTTTCAGAAAGGCAAAAGTTAGCAATATGTACCTGAATCCTTTAATGTGTTTTCTTTGACCCAGTATTTCTATTCCTAAGAATTTCTCTTAGCAAAATAATCAAAGATACTTATGATATTCATATACAAAGCTATTTGATGCAGCATTATTTAGAATAGCTAAAACCTAAAGAAAACCTCAATATTCAACAATGGGGTCATGGTTAAATAAGTTATGTTTAGATTGTTTAGATGTACATGGGATGCTATATGGCCCATCAAAACCATCACTTTGAAAAATATTAAATGAGATGGGGAAATGTCTATGTAAAGTAAAGCAGACTGCAAAATTGGTATATAATCGGATTCCTTTCTTTTCTAAATATGCGTGTCTGCTTGAGTGCATGCCTGCAAAGACACACACACACACAGAGAGAGAGAGAGAGAGAGAGCAAGAGTGAGAGCAAGAGCAAGCGAGCGAGAGAGAGAGAGAGAGAGAGAGAAACTAAAGGGAATACACCCAGCTGTATTTAGTTTCCAGAGTAGGAGTTACTGGCCAGGGAAATTGTTGCTCCAGAAAGACGTTTATGAGACTATTGTAATTTTCTTTATATACAGTGCTATATTATCTTAATTTTCTATGCAATTCCTTCCTAGCCCACCTACATGCACTTGCACTTTCACAATCCATAAAATTTTAAATAATATATTTTGAAAGAGCCTGTGTATTTATTGAGGGTCTACCATGAGTCAGGACCTGTATGAGATACTTTTTAAGCATTTATCTTACTTGGACCTCACAATAACCCTGTGAAGGTATTATAACATCCATTTTACAGATGACAAAACTAAGACTTAAGTAACTCCCTCAAAGTCCCACAGCACTTATTGTTTCAAGATTTAAACCCAGATATCAAGATAGTCTCCTTCCTTCCTTCCCTCCTTCCTTCCTTCCCTCCTTCCCTTTCTTTCCTTTTTTTCTTTTTCTTTTTTCTTTTTTAGAGTAAAGTGAAAAGCAAGGAAAGGAATAAAGAGTGGCTACTCCATAGGCAGAGCAGCTTGTATTCTGCAGTTGTCTCAAGGGGCTATTTGAGTAAATTAACTATCAACTGTGTTATTCTTTCAAAAAAGTAAGAGATTTCGTGGGTTAGATGAGGCTAGTCAGATAAGATTTTGTGTAAGAGATAAGATGTTATCTGGTCTTTGAAGATTGGAAGAAATTTAGATTTGGATACCAGCTAACATTGAGTTCTTACTACATTGCAGGCTCTGTTCTAGTGCTTCACAAGTATTAACTCGTTTGTTCCTCCCAACAACTATGAAGTAGGTACTATTACTGTTCCCACTTTACAGGTGATTTGACCAAGGTGGAGGCAGGATTTGAACACAGGTGGTCTAAGATTTTAGCCACTCTTCTCTGCTGCATCCCTGGACGTAGTAATGATGGAGCAAAGGAATGTCCAGGACACAGAAAACTCAGGAGGCCACGTAGAATCCAGCATGTCTAAAGTGGTGTATGCTCACTGCAGAAAGTGTGTGTAGGTGGGATAGGACAGGCAGGAGGTGTTAAAGGAATGATAAATGGAAAGAATAAAGGATATGTTGTGGGTGAGTTTGCTCAATAAAAATCTCTACAGGTCCTAGGTTTGGGTTATTACTACTCCTTCGGGAAAAAGAGGTGGCCCTCGTCTAAAAGGAGACAATCAGACAGTATGTTCTTGTGAATGTTCAACCCACTTTTCTCCATTGCTCACATTCCAATCACATTCTGGCTACAAAAGATAAAACAGGGATGGGATTCACTTTTATCTTTCTGAGAAGCTCTAAGTACAGAGGAAAAAAATTTGACCTCTGGCAAGTCATGCCAAAATTGAGAGGGAAAAAAATCAAGATGATAGGGCCACAGCGTCTAGGTGAGAAAAGCCTCTGATAGAACATTAGCTCATCTAGTTTCCCACTGAGATTCCAACTCATCTGAAAAACGGTATGTTCACTCTAATGGTAGCTACTGTATATTTTTTTAAATGCATGAAAGTGGGAATTAGCCAGGCGTGGTGGCGCATGCCTGTAATCCCAGCTACTTGGGAGGCTGAGACAGGAGAATCGCTTGAACCCAGGAGGGGCAGGTTGCAGTGAGCCAAGATCATGCCACTGCACTCCAGCGTGGGCAAGAGAGCACGACTCCATCTCAAAGAAAAATTAAAAATAAATGCATGAAAGTGGGCAAAGTCTGGAAGGGGTTATATAAAATGAAAATAAATTTCATAACATGGAAATAGTCATGTTATCAATGTTTTCTTTAGCATCGTTACATTGTCCTTTCAATAAGAGGGGAAATAATTTCAGTTAGCTCTCTGGACACAGAACTCAACCTGCTCAGTGTAAAAATCGCATTTGCCATGTTACCCAAAGCAGCTAATCAATGAGCAGCCACTGCATTGCCGGCTCTTCCTGCAAAAGCTCAAGCTACTCCCTTCAATCTCTTCTGGGCATTTCCATTAAGGCCCTGATGAGCATTAGGAGCACTTAGCCTCAAGCCTGTTTTTCTAGAAGGAGGAGAGGGTGATTCAGCTTTGCTCCCTGCAGGGAGGACTCTGCTCTGTCCTGCCCCACTCTGGGATGGGTCGCCACAGTGAGTCAGTCCACAGAGCCAGGAGTCTTGGTCATATTACAAATTTACAAATTAAAATTTCCCTTCAATGATGTGATTTAAAGCACCATAGAAAGTAGCAAATTACATAGAAAATGTGGTCACTGGCATACAAAGTTTACGGTCTCGTGGAATAAGACTTCATTTCAAAGCAACAATACTTGACAATACATATGAGTTAAAAGAATATCAGTGAGTGGTAAATGCTGGTGTTAGCTCTGCAGGTAGAGGGTTGTGTGAAAGAAGGATTCACGCGAGAAAGAACAGAGAGAAAAATCCACTATGGGCAGGGCAGTGTTGGGAGGACAAGGCGTCTGGCCTGGGGAGTTCATCTGGCCTAGGGAGGTACTTCAGCTGAGGAATTCGAGGCTGCAGTGAACTATGATGGCACCACTGCAGTGAACTATGATGGCACCACTGCACTCCAGCCTAAGTGACAGAGCAAGACCCTGTCTCAAAAAATACAAAAAACAAATTTAATAAAGTTATAATGTTTAACGTAATTCATAGCTTTTAAAATATTTTTAAGAACTTTTCTATTTGAGTAAACAAGCATTGTTTTAGTAATTATATATTAATGTGATTTTTAAAGGTTTTAAGTGCATATGGTAGTAATCCATGGTAAGAGAAGCTAAAGTTTGGATGAGAGTACTAAAACAGGAATGGAAGAATGAGATAGATGAAAACATCATCTCCAGGGTCCCTTAAGCCCAGGCTTATCTATGGAACACACATTCTGCTGAGCTCTTAACATGCTTTATCTCATTTAATCCTCACAGTGACTCTTTGAGTTGAATATTTTTATTGGCCCCACACTACAGATTAAGAAACTGAGCTGTAGAGAAGTAATTTGTCCAAGGCCACACAACTTTTTAAGTGGTAGAGTGTGGTTCATACCCAGGTCTGAAATTAAAGTCTATGCCTTTAGCCAAACAACTATTTAGTCCATGGGGAAGAAGTCAGAAAATCAGAATTGAGAATCAAGTCTAGGTATTCTCTTCACCAGAGACTAATTGTTCCTGCCTGAGGGGCAATAGCATAATTGTTTAAGAGCATAGACTCAGGTCAGGAGCCAGATTTCTGGGTTCAAATTCTGACTTTGATATTTACAAGCTATGCAACCTTGAGCAAATTTCTCAGCCTCTCTGTTCCTCAAATTTATCCTCTGTAAAATGGAGATAATAATAGAACTAGGATTAAGTTACTATCCTAGAGCACCTAGAATAATGCTTGGCATAAGTTGGCACCATATTAATATTGACTAGATTAGTCAATATTATATAATATATATAAGATGTCCATGTTGGTGCATCTCAGTAGCACAGAGAGGCAAAAGCAAGTGTGTTTATTCTAGCAGGCATACTCAGGAAGAAAAGTCAGACCTTTGGTACTGAGTTAGTCAAACATTAATTGAGGGCAGCTTCTTTCGCTAGATCTCTACCAAATGGCACTGTATGTTTGCTCCAGTAAAATCTCTTTGCATTCTAGCTTATCAAGTCATAAAACAAGGACCTAACTAAATTCCAGTCATTTTCAGGGCACTCCCTATAGGGAACTTAAGCTTTTAAAATATTGCAGGTAAGTGAGCATTACACTTTGGGGTCAAAGCAAGCATTAATCTTGGGGTCACGCCTAGGTTCTCCTGTGTGACTTTGGGCAAGTTACCTCACTTTTCTGGACCTCCACTACATCACGTTCAAATTGGGGGAAGCAATATCCACCCTCAGAGAGTTGTGTAAGGATTAAATAACAATATATAACCTACACTTGTCCTTTCCTGCTTTTCTTCTATTAAAAAGAACTAGAAACCTTTATTTTCCTCTAAGGTTAATCCCTCCTGCCGTACTCTGATCTCATCTCCTCCCGGCCTTCTGCAAGATTTCACTCCACCAATCTGCTTGCTTCCTTATCTTCTTTCCATTGCTCCCTCTACCAAGTCATTCTACTCCTTCCCATTAACATTTTATATATGTTTAAGTCTCTTCCATTAGAAGAAGAAAAAGAAAGAAGTCCCTCAAATCCCATATCCTGCAAATCTCTTGAAAGAATTGAGCTTACTTGCTACCTCCATTTTCTCACCTTTCTCAATTATTTCTGATCTGTATTATCCCTACACTGCTTCTTTAAAAATGCTTTCACCCAAACTACCCAAAATGTCCTGCTAATAGACGATTTTTAGCCCTTAATTTATTTGACTATTCTGCAGGATTTGCTCTTTTTGGCCATTCTCTCTTTTAAAACACTCTTCCCTTGGGCTCCATAAGGTCGCATTTTCCTCCTGCCTCTCGGGCTTACTCTTATTCTCCCTTCCTCCTTTTTTTTTTGAGACGGAGTCTCGCTCTGTCGCCCAGGCTGGAGTGCAGTGGCGCGATCTCGGCTCACTGCAAGCTCCGCCTCCAGGGTTCACGCCATTTTCCTGCCTCAGCCTCCCGAGTAGCTGGGACTACAGGCGCCCGCTACCACGCCCGGCTAATTTTTTTTGTATTTTTAATAGAGACGGGGTTTCACCATGTTAGCCAGGATGGTCTCGATCTCCTGACCTCGTGATCCGCCCGCCTCGGCCTCCCAAAGTGCTGGGATTACAGGCGTGAGCCACCGCGCCTGGCCTGTAAGACAGTCTTCTTAGCATGGCTCACAAGTCCCTTCATCATCAGGCCCCTGCTTCCTTTTCAAACATTAGCCCTTGCATTTCTCAGTTTGCACTTAATTTTCAAGGTACATAGAACTTCTTTCTGTCCCTTTCATGCTCTCCCTCCTCCAGTCCTTTGCACATACTATCTTTCTCCTCCTAAAACACAATCCCTAGTCTTCATCTAACTAACTCTCCTTCAACCTTTTTATATCTACTTAAATGTCACTTTCTCCAGGAAACCATCCTGAATTCCCAAGTTCACGTTTTATGTTCCTTCTATCTGCTCTCAAGGCGTCCTGTTCTCCAAAAGTTTCCTTAATTCTCTGCCTCCGCCAGTAGTACTCTGTTAAGTTTCAGGAGGGCAGAGACCATCTCTTTCTTGTTCATTATTGCACCAGAACAATTTAGCACAGTTCCAGGCACAAAGTAAAACTTTATAAATAAGCACAGTACATATTAGGTGCCAAAAATATTGTGGAAATTAAAAGAAAAGAACTGAAACAGTGCTAAAAACAAGTTATAGCGTAACTTAGCCAAACTGGAAGGAGGAGCATGAGATGCTATGGCTCAACTTTCTCCTAGTTTCCACCTCAGTTACTCTGTGAAATATAGACCTCCAACTCAAGAAATCATGGAGGGCCAGGTGTACCACATTTTCTTTATCCAGTCTATCACTGATAATCTTGTAATCCCAGCACTTTGGGACCCCGAGGTGGGAGGATTGCTAGAGGCCAGGAGTTCGAGACCAGCCTAGGCAACATAGCAAGACCTCATCTCTCCAAAAAATTTAAAAATTAGCCAGGTATGGTGGCTTGTGCATGTAGTTTCAGCTACTTGGGAGGCTGAGGCAGAAGGATAGCTTGAGCCCAGGGGGTCAAGCCTGCAGTGAGCCGAGATCGCACCACTGCACTCCAGCCTGGGTAACAGAGCGAGACCCTGTCTCAAAAAGAAAAAAAAAGAAATCATGGAGATAGCTTTCAACAAAAATGACAGAAGTTATGTAGGTCTATGGATAATGTTGCTGCCAAAATAATTTATAATTCATGAACTGATTTAGAGTTAGCCTTAATGACTTAGCTGTAAGTCCTCAAAGTCTAATAACAAATTTATGTAATTTGGCAACAGAACAGACAGGCCGTATCACAGGAGGTTAACTGCTGAGTCAAACAGCACATTAAAGTACAGTGAGTCTGGCCGCTCTCCTTCAAGTGGTGACTCAGAGACTTCCAGTCAGCAAGAGGGAGGGAGTAAGAAGCAGGGACAAGAAAGTGTGAAAGAACTCACATCTGCTACTTAATTGCCTTTCATTTATGTGCCACTGCTGAGAACTGGTGACATCTTCCTCTGTGACTACTTCTTTAAATCCACACCCCCACACACAACAGTAATTAACTATTTTCTCCTTGGGGCCACCACTTTTCTTTGTGCATGCATTAATTATCACACTCGTCACATTATACTACAATTACTTGCTCATACGTCTGTCCCTATTATACTGTAAGTACAGGGACCAAGTCTTTCCACTGCTGTGCTTTCAGAGCCTGCTATAACATCCAAGATGTACTAGGGGCTCTGCAAATGTGTGATGAAGAAATTAACACTCATATATGCATGCGAAGGAATCGCCAAGTCATGCAGAGCAAAACGTGAATGGTGACATTCTTTTGTTGCTTATGGAAGCCAGCAAATGAAGATAATATTTCCAAGCCAATAAATATGGCTCTGGGGCATCTAATCTTAATGCAGCTGTGACTACACAATTCATGAACAATTTCATTCTAATTTCAGATTAAGGTGAGGAGTCAAAGCAGTATTTTCTCATTTCTACTTATTCTTTTATACCTATTCATAAGTTTAAACCCAACGTGAGACACCCAGATAGAACAGCAAGCAGGAGTAAGTTCCTGACCAATGAAAAATCAACACAATGATGAGTTTATGCCAAGTTTATACAACTTTTTATGGCTGAGGATAGATTGAAATTTTGATTAATTTTTTTATCTCCTTTTTATAACGGTAAAATAGGTAAACTGGTTTTGTAAAAGAGCTTTTTAGGGAAAAAATGTTGAATATTCATACTTTTTCTCAATCAAAATGTCAATGCTTACACCAAAAATAGAGGTTTTTTTTGTTGTTGCTGCTCGTTTGTTTGTTTGTTTTTAAGACGGAGTCTCGCTCTGCATGCAGTGGCACAATCTCGGCTCACTGCAACCTCCGCCTCCCAGGTTCAAGCGATTCTTCTGCCTCAGCCTCCTGAGTAGCTGGGATTACAGGCGTGTGCCACCACGCCGAGCTAATTTTTGTATTTTTAGTGGACACAGGGTTTCACCATGTAGGTCAGGCTGGTCTTTAATTCCTGACCTCATGATCCGCCCACCTAGGCCTCCCAAAGTGCTGGGATTACAAGCGTGAGCCACCATGCCTGGCCCAAAAAAATGGAGGTTTCTAAGGAGCAGAAGACAATTAATATAACCTTTCCTAACCTGCCTGTTAAACTTTAAGTCATACATCTAGGGTCAATGCTCAAGTTTAACTATATATTCACAGTTCCATTCTTCGTGGCTCAATGCTGTTTATTTTATTAACCAGAAAGACACTAGGAATTAACATTTACTAAAATGTAACATAAGGTACTATGTTAGATCCTTTTTCTATGTCATCTTATTTACTCTCCCTAACAACTTCGTCAGGAGGTGCTATAGACCCTGGATGGGTTTTGGGCTGCCCAGCATCTGAATTCCCTTCATATGTTTGACGAATTCCCCATCTTTTGAGTCTTGTTGGGGGCAGAGTCTTCTTTCCCCTATAATGGCTGAAAACCCAGGTAGTCAGTTCCAAGACTCCCTTGCTACTAGGAAGTTATCTCCAGGCTTAGGCCCCATCTATCAGGTAAATTGATCCAGACTTCAGTCAGGAGCTAGTGACCCAGAGAAGCAAGTACTGGGAAGAATCTCAACTAATGAAATTATTACTGTGGTCACCTGGATAAATAATCCATCAAAGGGAAGTGTTGAGGGACAAAGTAGTCATAGACCAACATGAACAACTTGAGGAATTCAAGGACTATGGAATGGAGTGGTTTCCACTAAAGTCACCGGAAAGAAAAAAGACAATAATAAGCTCAAATTCTTATGATTTCCCCAATGACATGGACTGAAACCCAAAACTTTATATAATTTAAAAATAAAACATATATATTTTACAATTAAAAATTTTTTAAATAAAATTCTTATCTCTTTTGGAGACAGTCCAAAAAACACCACAAAGTTTGACTCTGTGGATCACCAAATTATTTGTTCAATCCACAGCTTGGTAAGATCTTTTGTGTGACATTTAGGACACTGAACAGGAAGAATTTAACCTTAAGTACTAATATGGTAGAATGTGGCAGACACAACCCCCACTCTCTCCCTCCTTGTCTGGTGAGTGTTTCATCCTCCCCTGAGGATCCTGCAACCTGGAGGAGGGATCAGGCCGGGGAAGCCAGTTCATCTCCTTCTCCGCCCACACTCACACCCCAATGCCCCCCACCTGCCCCGCCCATCTCTGTACTTTTAACTAGAGTCAGATCTTGGCATGCCCCAAAGAGCCATTACAAAGTCAAGCTCCGGAAAAGAAGCCTGGAGATTATTAAGACTCTGCTTATATATATTGGAAAAAACTTGGAAGACTCTTCTATGCAAGTGGGAGATGCTGCAGCAGAAATGAACTCCCTGATTTCAACAAGAATACTAGAATCCCAGAGCTGTAAATGCCAACTAGCAGGACTCTAGTGTCAGATTCCAATTCAACAAAATAGGCTATTTGGCTGGCCAGGTTATCAGAATAGTTTGTCCGAGGGGATCTTTGGTGGTGCCTTGTTAATCATAAGGTCCCAAAGACTAATATACTTCAACTATATCTGTATATCTGAAAATATTTCAGGTCTGAACAGAGACCTGACTTAAGTCTGCATGGTAGAACGTCATTGCCTCTAAGCCACCTCCCACGCCTGAGTCAATGCACAGACACCTAGCCCCTCAATGAAGAGGAATTCAAGTACATTTGAGCAAGAACCCTACAATAACAGATCAAGCACTAGCATGCATCTTCTTCCAAGCTCTCCCCTGAGGAACCTCAGTCATTCACTAGGAAAACCGTTGGGAAGTATCGGTCTTTAGCTCTGAGCTAACCCTAACTCCTAGAGACCTAAAATGTCATTAAAGTCCACCAGCCAGAGTGAAATATTGTGGAAGTAAGTCACTAATGATTTTTTTCTTTTATAAATATTCGTAACATATTTATTGAAAGTCCAGCCATCCTAGAGGCTGCTAAAGATATTTTTATCATTTTTAGTTTTTATTATAAAAAAGTTCTAAAATATACAAAATTAAGTGTATTTAATATAAAAATAGCAATGTACCCATCATTAGCTT
Source organism: Homo sapiens (assembly GCF_000001405.40). Classification (NCBI taxonomy): domain Eukaryota; kingdom Metazoa; phylum Chordata; class Mammalia; order Primates; family Hominidae; genus Homo; species Homo sapiens. Next base: position 151,969,909 of record NC_000001.11, on the reverse strand, counting down.
TAACAATGATTAACTCAAGGCTAATCTTATTTCCTCTTTACTCCCTAACTTCCTCTCTCAGATTATATTGAAACAAATTTAAACAGCAATGATTTTGTCTATAAATATTTCAGTGAGTACTTCCAAAAGACAAATAACTCTACTTTTTAACCACAATACAATTACACAAAAAATCAACAGGTTAACCGAGTTTTAAAAAATAAGCTACTATATCTATCTTAGATAATTGAGCATACAAGAAAAACGCTCAACACTTGGTAATTGTGTCAATCAGGATAAGTCAGGAGACAGAAACCACACAGTAATTTGAACAGAGAAAGTTTAATATAAGCAATGACTAATTAGTAACAGGAAATTAATAACTAAGGGGTAAAAAGAACTCTAAAGAACATAGAAATAGCAGATACAGGAGGAAGTTACTACATCTAGGCTTGAGGCAGAGTGCCTCTGGAGATAGAAAAAATATGAACCAAAGTGTTTTTACTATTCTTGCACTCAAAAATCAACACAGAATACTTCTGCAACCTCTGGTTACCAGAATGTGTGGGGATTTCTTCCCACCAGCAACCAATTAATTCTGCAGCAAATTCTCCAGCAAACATCAGCTGGGTGTCTTCCAACTCAGTTCAGTTCTGATACTACATTCCCGGAGATAGCATCAGATTCCACAAGTTGAGGGCTCAGTCCCACAAAACTGCCTTCCACTTCAGATGTCAGTTCAAAGCATAGGTTGTGACCTGTGCCTCTGACCAACTGGCTATAAATTAGGGTTCCTATGACCTCCTCCTGGGTTTGATTAATTTGCCAGAGTGGCTCGCAGAACTCAGGGAAGCCCTTTACTTATGTTTGCCTGTTTATTATAAAGGATACAGATGAACAGCCAGATAGAAGGGATGCATAGGCAAAGTATGGGGGAAGGCAGTGGAGCTTCCATGCCCTCTATGGGCACAGTATCTGGAAGCTCATCCAAACTCAGGCCTTTTGGGGTTTCACGAAGGGTTCATTAAATAGGCATGATTGATTACATCATTGGCCACTGGAGATCAACCTGACCTTCAGCCCCTCTTCCCTCTTGAGAAGTTGTCAAAGGTAGGGTGGGAGGTTTAAAGATTCCAACCCTCTAATCGCATGGTTGGTTTTTCTGGGTGACCCGCCCTCATCCTGAAGATAGTTAGAGGCCCCCAGCCACCAGTCATCTCATTAGCATACAAAAAATCATTCATTACTCTGGAGATTCCAAGAGTTTTAGAATCTTTTTGCCAGGAAACTGGGACAAAGACTAACTAAATGTTTGTCAATATCACAGTAACCAAGGAATTCAGAAGAGTCCCCCTCCCCCACCCCTGCTGCTGCCAGTAAGGCTGGTTAGGACTTCACTGGAAAGGATACAGCCATGGCCCATTGGAGAACATATAATTTACTGAGGTACCACAGGCTGGGGCTGGTAACCAGGAAACCTCCTCCTAGGGTGCTGAAGGAACTTGGTGGGAAGCAGCTCACTGGACTATTTGCAAGACTTGCTGGATGTTTCTCGGAAACCTCCAACAGGGATGCCCGTGGAACTCATTGGGAAGCCAACTTCTAGGATACCAATGGAATCTGCTGGGCATCCACTCCCAGGGGTGCTACTGAAATCTGCTGGGGGGGTGCCCCGCATGGTGCTAACTGCTGCATACTGCAGGTGCAAGCAGGAAGGAAGGCACAGTAGGCGCAGGAAGAGAAGCCCCTTTCACCTTCAGTGTTCCTCCAGCTCCCTCTATTGACAAAGCTAAACATTGCTGTGGGTGGCAAAAAAATATTTACAAGGTCCAGCTCCAATATCACAAAGCAAAGCAATAAAGGGAAGGGTACATTTGGAGCTAAGAGGGAACTCATTGATAATGGGCACAGTGATATTCTTTGGATGTAGGAGGCAATACATACCTCAATTAGATGTGCTGCTCTTTTCCACATACAGAATAGACCTAAAGACTGACAACTCTGATTGAAGCCCACAGAAGCAAAGGCTCTCCAGCTGGTCCAGGCTATAGTGCAAACAACTCTGCCACATGGCCCCCATGACCCAGTGCATCTAATGGTGCTCACACTGACTGTGGAAGATCAAGATGCGGTGTAAAGCCTAGGGCAAGCTCCAATAGGAGAATCATAGGGGCATCCCCTAGGTTTTTTGGAGCAAACCTATGTTCTCTTTAGGCAGTTTTTATTATCCTTTTGAAAAAAAATTATTGATAGCCTGACAATGTGTGGTAAGGCATGGTCAGACTTTCTGCACCAATTCTTTGATTCAGCCCCATTATGCAGTAATGCATAAGATGTGAAAGTAGCCAAATCATACAGTCGCTATACAAGAAATTTCTACTATGCTAGTACATTGGATCCTTGAGTGCTATATGGCACCACTCTGCAACCTAAAATGCTCCAAAAGGCAGAAAGCTTGTGGTTCTGGGCTCCTTTATCTCACTGAATGTCTTACTCTGCATTGGCTTCTGAGACCATTGAACTTCAGGCACAAAGGAAAAAGAGAGGAAGTAAGGAGCCTGGGAAAGAAAGTATCTAGTATTTCATACCACCATACTCGAACTGGTGACTATCATGTGCTTTGCTTGTCTTCTGGTTCTGTAGTAAACTAAAATGAAAGTAACCTTGATCAAGTCCTAATCATCATTCCTACTAATCCTTGAAGCTGGCCTAGATTCTGTGGTTTGGTCAGACTCACCATGGAATATCAGAGCACCATGTGATCTGAACTGCCAATCATAAACTTAGGTGTTATTTTATCCCCTTAGCCAAAAAATCAGAAGTGTTCAGCAATGCCCTATCATAAAATAGAAGTGGAAGAAATGAGGCCAGGCCCTACAAAGCACAAATAAATTGTACTTTCAAGGGGCTCACACTTAGAGCACCTACTCCTGCCACAGTGTCACCTGTCCTTCAATCCTCCCCTGCAACCTCATGGAAAGTTATTTCCTCTTTTTGAGAAGGAAAATAATAAAAATTTAGTTTACTAATCACTGAATTTTTTCTTGACTTTGGAGGGAAAAATTAGAGCCTAGTTTGTAGATTATTCCACATGATATGCTGACATCAACCAGAAGTGGAGGCAGCATCTCTTTGGCCCCACTATGGTGGCACTGAAGGATGATGGGAAAGAGAAAGCCTTCCCAGAGCATGACTTTGAGCTGTACATCTCATCATCTACTTTTTCTGAAAAAAGAGATGGCCTCATGTAAATGCCTGTGCTAATTCATGGTCAGTAACTAATGGTTTTATCTGATGATCAGGAATTTTGACCCTCCCTGATGACAAGGAGGCTTGGGGAGAGGTGTGGAGATGGTCCTCTAAGAACGTGCTTCGAGTGTGTGACTGTGTATATCCCATAGGAATGCTGACCAGAAGGTCTCCTCCATAGAGAAAGGTTTTATTAAACAGATGGACAAGATGTGACCTGCTCTGTGGATATTGTTCCACCTCCTTATCCATCTCAGTGAGACTGAGATTTGCTGTTTCATAGGTATTGATATCCAAAGGATCCTACCAAAAGAAGCAGTTTTTCAATTTAATTGGAAACTGAGACTGTCATTTTCAGATTTCTTGTGCCACTGGGAAAACAGGCTTTGTGCTTGTTACTGTGTTATTTGAGATGATTAATCATAAATATCCTGAGGAAATTGGGATGCTGCCACATAATGAGCTGGGAAGAGTACAGCTGGATCCAGGAGATCCTTGGGGCAATTCCTAGTACCACCATGTCCAATGGCCAAAATTAAAAGGTATAGATATATAGATAGAGTGTGTGTGTGAGTGTATGTGTGTGTATGTGTGTATCTACAGAGAGAGAGAGAGAGAGAGACAGCATGCCAAATTCAGTTGTATGATCCAGAAAAGGCCACTGATCAAGCTGCAGAAAACTGTATCTTAAACTGTTTGTTAGGGAGATATACCATAACAAATAGACAAATAGCCTCTAAAGATCTTCATCTGGTCAACTAAAGAACCCATATGTAAGGATAGTAGTGTTATATCACAATGTTTATGTGGAACTGACTGCATATTTGGTAGCATTAAAAATTATATAAAGATAAAAATTTTAAAATGAAAGATATATTGGTAGAATTGCCAAGGACCTAGATCCCCCAGGAGTGAAGGTTTGGGTAATACCACTGTGTGAAGAATGTCAGCCAAGGTAAAGGTTGAAGGTAAGGGGATATGGGATGGGGAATGAAGGAGGGAAATCTAAACTACTTACTCTGGCCTTGTGATCTGATGCAGAAGCATGGAATATAGCATCTATCAATATTTTCTTTCTTGTTATATCATGTATGTATTTACAAATTTTAACTAATTTTCTCTTTCCCCCTCTATTTTATATAAGATATGCCAGTGATGGTTAACTCTACAATTCAGTCTATATATTATACAACACTGAGATGGGATCACGTCTGTATTAGTCTGTTTTCTCACAGTTCCACATGGCTGGGGAGAGCTCACAATTATGGCAGAAGGCAAAAGGCACTTCTTATATGGCGGCAGACAAGAGAGAATGAGAGCCAAGCAAAAGGGGGAACCCCTTATAAAATCACCAGATTTCATGAGACTTATTCACTACTACTAGAACAGTACGGGGAAAACCACCCCCATGATTCAATTATCTCCCACAAGGTCCTTCCCACAATACATGGGAATTATGGGAGCTACAATTCAAGATGAAATTTGGGTGGGGACACAGCCAAACCATATAAATGTCAGAACTGAAGGAGGAATGGAGACCACCTAGAGACCCTAAATTTGGAGATGAACCCAATAACTGATGAAACTGGTGTGTGCTCCTTGAGGAAGGGGTGAGAGCATTTTCAGTTACACAGCATAGTTACATCAGGTTGGATGAGAAACCTTAAAGTGTAAACATAGGGAAAAGGAAATAGGGCAATGTTGGACAACCAAAGGAATGGACCAGAGCAGAAATTTTTTTCTTCTCTTTTCTTTTTTTGGTGATGGGGGAAGCCACCTGGTGTCTGACTCTCCTTATGTTTAGAAATTCTCCATTCCTAGGAGTTTTGGTGGATGGGAAGAGCCACCTCACACTATAGAAGCTGAAATACTAGATACTGGCTTTCCTAGACTCCATCACTAATAGGAAATAGCAGATGACCTAAGTCCTCCAAACAGACACACCCTGCCCCAAACACTGAATTGGAAGTGAGCACCACTAAGAGACTTCAGAGAATCCACTGCGTTGGCAGGCAGGGCAGAAGGGCAGCAATCCTGAGTTCCTGAGCAGTTCTGCTCCTGAGCAGAGGGGCCATGAGTGCCAATGAGCATTAGTGTCCAGCTATGGGCATCGCCATCTCCACCAGACCAGCTCTGTAACACCAGCTGCAGTCCTGGTGGCTCCCTGGCTTACTCTGTTCCTGTATATTTCCTTTCTAGAGACTCTGTGAGCTATCCAATACCCTATCAGTAAACTCCATTCTGCTTAAATGTGCTTAAATAAATAGGCAACTAAATGTGTAGTTGGGCCAGAAGCAGCAGCTCACGCCTGTAATCCCAACATTTTGGGAGGCCAAGGCAAGAGGATCACATGAAGCCAGGAGTTTGAGACCAGTCTGGGCAACATAGCAAGACCCCAGCTCTACAAAAAATAAAAAATTTCACCCGGGCATGGGGGTACACGCCTGTAGTACCCATGGGGGTACACACCCAACCTGAGTGACAGAGCAAGACCCTGTTGCAAAAAAAGAATATATATATGTGTGTGTATATATATATATATATATATATAATTAGTTGCATATATACATAATTAGTTATATATATATAATTAGTTATATATATATAAAACTGGTTTCTGTTGTTATAAATTAAGAACTCTGGCTGATATAGGTGGATAGTATCTCATTTCCTGGCTGTGGAAATTGAGGCTTTAGAAAGGTTAAGTGACCTACAAATAAGACATAGCTAAGGCGTGGCAGGGTTGGGTTTGAATCCAGGCCTGTTTGTCTCTCGTCTATGCTCTTTCCTTAGCATTCTGCAATATCCAGAACTAAAATGTTTTCCTCTATGAAGAAAAATTGCTCAAGTCAACGATGCTGTCAAATTAACATAGAAAAATGTCATACACAACATTTTAATGGAAGATTGGGAAAAATCATTTTTTTCGAACATTTCCCAAATTCTGCTTATCAAAGTCAACCACCAGAGTGGAAAGCATTAGAATTCAATACTTCTATCCTCTTCAAAACAAAATCTGTTTCCTTTCTCTGCCAGAGCATGCTAGAAAAAACTGTTGTTCCTAAGAACTGCTAAGAAAATGTTAAAGGACAGTATCTTTTTTCCTCCTGCTATGAAGTGGAAACAATCCTTTAAATAATTAATTGACTAAAGGGGCATAACTCTAGGAAGAATCAGGTTCCTGTCTTATTATTAAACAATTGAGGGAGGTGCACAAATTCCAAATGAACAAGGCCAGCTGTTTCACAGAACACCGAGTTGGCTAGATAGCTGTTTTGATTAGAACACCACCCTGCCTGGTCCTTGGAGATGTTCGGACTGCTTGGTCTTACACACAGCAGGCACCCAATAAATACTTATTGAATGAATGCATTTTCACCATTCCTGTATTAAGAGTTCCAAGCTATCTATCCTGGAGTTCAGATCAAAAGTAGATTGAGGATCTGAAAAATAGAAATTACTTCAATCTTTTTAGAAGGCAAATTCATTTTTCTCAATGCCCCAAATTCCATTCCCTTATGTTGTCGCTGCTGAAGATGAGCTGGAGGCAAATTAAGCATGACCAACAGGGCCAGACTTTCTTTCGAAAGGATCCCTAGAAAAGCAGAGAATTCTGTGGGACTGGGATTGAAAAAAAAAAAATCTGGCCCAGAAGAGAGGTTGTGTCAGTCACCGATGCCTGCGCTGAACGAATATACACTAATAGAATTACGCATGCTATTTTCTTATCCCTGAACTAAATAGAAGAGCAAGACCTAGAATTCTCAGTGCCTAGGAATCTACTCTACTTACCCCAGGGAAACCATTTATATTAGATACATATTTTCATCTCTCCCAGGATCAATATTCAGTGACTCAGAAGACAAATCTATGACTTACCTAGCACAAGCACCAACTCCTATTCCTTGTCTTTAAAAAAATCTTTCCCTGGAGGCATAAAGTAGGCAGAATAATACACCCCTCTCCCAAAGGTGTCCTCATTCTGAGAGAATCTGTGAATGTATTACCTTACATGTCAAAAGCAACTTTGCAGGCCGGGCGCAGTGCTCACGCCTGTAATCCTAGCACTTTGGGAGGCCAAGGTGGGTGGATCACCTGAGGTCAGGAGTTCGAGACCAGCCTGGCCAATGTGGTGAAACTCTGTCTCCACTAAAAATACAAAAATTAGCCGGGCATGGCAGCACCCTCCTGTAATCCCAGCTACTTGGGAGGCTGAGGCAGGGGAATTGCTTGAATCCAGGAGGCGGAGGTTGCAGTGTGCCGAGATCGCGCCACTGCACTCCAGCCTGGGCAACAGAGAGAGACTCTGTCTCAAAAAAAAAAAAAAGAGTCTTGATTAAGGTGAAGGATCTTGAGATAGGAGATTATCCTAGATTATCTGGGTAAACCCAATCTTGTCATTGTTAGTCCTTAAAAGCAGAGAAACTTTCCTGCCTGGGTTAGAGATGAAAGGGGAGACAAAGGAGAGATTTGAAGTGTGAGAGGGATTCAACCTACTGTTGTCAACTTTGAACGTGGAAAAAGAAGTCATGAGTTAAGGAACGTTGATGGCCTTTAGAACAGCTCTTAGCTGACAGCCAGCAAGGAATCAGAGATCACAGCTGCACAGCAGCAAAGAACTCAATTCTGCCAAAAACAGAAATGAGCAAGGAAACAGATCCTCCCCTAGAGCCTCCAGAGGGGAATGCAACTCTGTGGACACCTGGATTTTAACCCATTGAGACTACGTCAGACTCCTGGCCTATAGAACTATAAGAAAATAAATGCGTTGTTTAAACTGCTAAACTTGTGTTAATTTGTTATTGCAACAATAGAAAACTAATTCAAGATATAAGCCTCCACCTGAGAGTTAATTATTCACTCCCCATTCAAGTTCACTTTAGAAACAAATATACAGGCAAGCCAAGGGAAGGGAGCCTGTTTCTATTGTTGCTGTTTGATTTCTCATTTGTTTTCCTCACCACCTATTAAAGTCCCTGAGTCCCTCTGGAGTAACTGCTAGTACCATCTTTCCTGTGTGAAATTACTAAAGAATGAGTGGGCCACTGGGGTGCTGTAGGTCAGTATCTGGGCTCATAAAGAGGGCAGTTTCTCAGAGAATGTAGGAACTAGTTGGCATCCTTGAGGCATCTAGTTGAATCTCCTTATTTCATAGCAGAGGAAACAGTTGCCCAGAGAGTTCAGATGACTTCCCCAAGAACACACAGCAGGCTGTGTCAGAGCTGGGACTCTAAACCCAGTCTTTTGGCTTCCACTTCAGGGCTTGGTTTCCAACACACTGGTGGGTCCCAGCCCTAGATGTGCACAGAATCACCTAAGGAACTTTAAAAAAAAAAACACCCAGAGATTCTGGCCTCTACCCTAAGAGATTCTGAATCACTTGGTCTGGGGTGGGGCCCAAATCTGTATTATTTTTTAAAAGCTCTCCTATTCTAATGTGCTATACACAGTGTCTCTAAATTTTGGCTTGCTCTCAGCACACACTGAATTCTACTTAAAGGTCCAGATTAATGATAATAAATGCCCAATATAACAAAGAAACTTGTACCAGTTTTATTCCTGGTTACTATAGGTCTTTATTAGATGTGAAGTAAAAGCAAAATATCCCAATGAGTTTCCACAGGTGCTTTCCTAAAAGAAGTTCTTTTCCGCGTGCTTGTTTACCTTGTGAGAGAGAACATTTTGCCACTTATAATTTCTGGCATCCAACTCCATTTCCTGCCCCTAGCCCTATGCTGTTAATGTTTCCTTTTCCTCTCAGTCTTGTCTACCTAAATAACAGACAGAAAGAGGCTATGTAAAAGAAAAATGACACTAATTCAGAAATGGGCATTGCCATGAGAATATACATCCCACAGTAAACTATGTGTGTATTCAGGGAGGTAAAAGAAGACAAAGATAAAAAAAATAGGATTACATAATTGTTTGAATCAAGAATCAATTAACCTTGACTACAAGGATCAATAACAAGGGTGGCACCAGTGACCTCCACAGAAGTATTTGTGCAAGGTTGTGGTTTTTGCAGTATTTGGTGATAGTTCTTGTTATCAGGTACTGGTGCATGAGAACCCTCTCTTTATAGCCTTCCCTGGCTCAATTCATCAGAGTTTTTAACAAAAGCCACTTCATTTTTGATTCTGACAACTTTCACATTTCCCCTTTTTAATCAAGATCCTTCTCCAAAAGCATTGCTGATCAGTTATCCTGTAGTTAGGTTTTGATTGTCCCCTCAGTGTGTCTCAAGTTATTGGTCTGGTCCTATGTGGGAGGGAGTGATTGGCAACTGGGAATCAGTGTCAAAACCCTTTTAGACATATTTGAGCAATAAAGGAGGCTTGGAGGGAGTAGCTCTCAGGCTAAGTCTACCTGGAGTCCATTGCTAAGTTTAATTTTGTCTGTTCCATAGGTGTTGGTTATAACCTTAAAATGCTAGGCCAGGCTGGGCACAGTGGCTCACACCTGTAATCCCAGCACTTTGGGAGGCTAAGGTGGGTGGGTCACCTGAGGTCAGAAGTTTGAGACCATCCTGGCCAACATGGTGAAACCCCATCTCTATTAAAAATACAAAAATTATGGTCGGGCGCGGTGGCTCACGCCTGTAATCCCAGCACTTTGGGAGGCCGAGGCGGGCGGATCACAAGGTCAGGAGATTGAGACCATCCTGGCTAACAGGGTGAAACCCCGTCTCTACTAAAAATACAAAAAACTAGCCGGGCGTGGTAGCGGGAGCCTGTAGTCCCGGCTACTAGGAAGGCTGAGGCAGGAGAATGGCGTGAACCCGGATGGCGGATCTTGCAGTGAGCCGAGATGGCGCCACTGCACTCCAGCCTGGGCGAAAATGTGAGACTCCGTCTCAAAAAAAATAAATAAATAAAATAAAATAAATACAAAAATTACTATTTTTTTAACTGGTGGGTGCCTGTAATCCCAGCTATTAGGGAGGCTGAAGCAGGAGAATTGCTTGAACCCAGCAGGCGGAGGTTGCAGTGAGCCAAGATCACGCCATTGCACCCCAACCTGGGTGAGAGTGAGACTCTGCCTCAAGAAAAAAAAAAAATGCTGGGCCAACATTATTGTTAAGAGTTGTACTTTTATAGAAATTTAACAAACTTTAGTGGGCACAAACTTTAAAAATAAAAATACAAAGTTAAATTAACAGTAATATGATCATCTCACTTTGAATAATAGTTTTGAGCCATGAACCTAGACTTACAGGCAACCAATTGAATGAATCAAATGGCCGTGGAGAGTTAGGTAAGCCCTGTTGTAACCAGGTGGTCTATTTTCTTATTTTGTGTATATGGTTCTAAACTTTCTCAGAGGAATTTATCCAGATATAGCATGTAGTATTAGTAATAGTACAAGACATTTCATTATTTAACCAATAGAAAATGTAAAACAATCTTATTATCTAGTATCCCATGACTGGGTTGAGCTAAAGCAGAGAGTGAGCAACAGTTGTATTAGAGATGTTGCCAAAGTTACCTACTAGGTAGACTAAAGAACCCCTTTGGTCGGGTTTTGTCAAGTTACCAGCAGAAGCCACTGCTTGTGAAATTTCAATTACGCCATCATCCTGTCAAGTGAGAAAGAGGGATTAAGAGGGCATTAAGAGGGATAAGAGTATCATTATGATATGGATTCTGGTTCCAATGTCTTGGAGAAAGCTGTCTACAGTGGGAACCTGTCAACTTCTTATCCTGCTTTGCAGTTTGAATGTCTCTGGTTATGGCATCAGACAGTTTGGGGGATTTTCTGTGTGGTTCATATATCAGGCATGAGACTTGTCCCTTAAAATGTATCTAGTTTCAGCTTATAGAGCTTCAGGAGAATAACAGTTCCATTTTTAGTAATTCAGTGGAAGAAGGTTGGATGGAAGAACCTAGAAGAATTTAGTATCCAGTCCAGCCTACAGGTAAATAATGAAAACTAAAATACAATATATAGGGCTACAATATAATAACAAGTATATTAAAACATTTTTTAGAAAACATAAACTTTTCTCTCCATAGTTATCCTGCTTGCTACAAAGGTAATCAGAGTAAGACAAATTTGTTTATAAAAAAGTTTAGTTTTATCAAATTTTTGTTTGATCATTTACATAAGTGTAGCATGAATAATGACTGATCACATAGAAATCTCAGATTTAAAACTTCTCAAGGTTAGAAAGCCAAACCAAGGCAGACTTTAGATTTTGCCTACTGTCTTAAGGTTCCTGGGCCTGCCAGGAAGTGACAATTTTTATTCACTCAGTGTAAGGCTGGGAACTCTTGAAGTCAGGCATTTTATGTGTATTCTCAAATATGATATTCCAGTGAAAGCCTTGGTAATATAACCAATGTTTCCAATTGTATCCTGTTATAAAAAGAGAGCAAACTTATTGAACTTATGCAAAGAACCATATTGCCTTAAAAAAATAAGAATGTTCATGAATAATTTCTGAATTGTGGAAGGATCAAGTAGAAAGAAAAATAAATGCTTTTAATTTTGTTTATAAAAGTATACCTTGGCCAGGCACGGTGGCACACACCTGTAATCCCAGCACTTTGGGAGGCCGAGGCAGGTAGATCACCTGAGGTCAGGCGTTCGAGACCAGCCTGGCCAACACGGTGAAACCCCGTCTCTACTAAAAATACAAAAAATTAGCTGGGTGTAGTGGTGGGCACCTTTAATCCCAGCTACTCAGGGGGCTGAGGCAGGAGAATTGCTTAAGCCTGGGAGGCAGAGGTTGCAGTGAGCCAAGATTGTGCCACTGCACTCCAGCCTGGGCAACGAGAGCAAAATTCCATCTCAAAAAAAAAAAAAAGTATACCTTAAAATTACTGCAAACTATAGATAGTTTAGGAGAAAAAGTTTTCTTAAATGTGGAAAACAAAACGTTTAAGTATTTCTTTCAATAATACATTTTTTAAAAATTTAAGTAAAGAACCAACAATGTTTCAAATAAAATATATAAAAACGTCTTTACCAGTTATTTAATCTCATGTACTTAATTTTCATTTTGTTTGATCTTGTTTAGCAGTTTCAAATTCATCAGTTTTTTCATTTGAGTTTTGGAAATTTTTACTTAGTCCATTGGTAAGATCTTAAAGTTATTCGAAACCTGTATTAAAGAATAATTGTTAGAGTTTTTTCCATTAATCTGATCATAGATGTTTTTAGAAAAAAATTAAAGCAATGATTACAGATGACAAAATCCTTAGATTAGCCATGATTAAAATTTCGATGAGAGTTCATAATTGACAAGGAAACTTAGTTATTTTTGTGACATACATACATAATAACCAGAATTATGACTGAGGACATATTAAATGTTTAAGAATTTTATACAATTTTTGAACATTCATATCAATAACATACCCATAAGTGTAACTGAAAGAAGAATCTAGCATCACTTATTATTTGACAATGTTTTCCACATAATTCAACATCTCAAATAAGCCTGATTTCGTTTAATACTTCTCTTTTATAAACTTTTGAGATGTTCCAGGGCCCTCTGAAACATCCCAACATTAGTTTGAGATCAAGAAAGACTTAATTTAGAACTTGATCCTGGGGAAGCCTGCCAAAGATGCCAAAAGGTTTAAAATACCTTATCAAAACAGGATCACAGATTACTACAAAATATTAGTCATTTATTTAACCAGAGTGATAATCAAAGGACTTCAAAAGCAATACATAAATTTACATGGATGCCGAAAAAACTCTTTCTAACCACAGTTCTCCTAAGTAATAAAAAGTAATAATAAAAGCAACATGAAACAGAGGGAATTATCTTGATAAAACACAAAATCTTTGTTTCTTGGGCCAGTTACCAAAAAGGTAAAGAAAAACCTCCTACAATGTGATTGCTTCTCCTTCTGGGAAGCTCATTTAGATAACCTGGAAGTCAAGCCTGATGAAAAGGTGTTTTAATTTAATCAGACATAGGAAGAGTGTGTGTCCAAGGTTATGAGTGAGCACCATATTACAGATGAATGCAAACAAGAATACTAGTACATTGAGTGTGGGAATACATGATTCTTAGTAAAAGCATGGAAAATTACCTGGTCACAAGGAATAATTCAGACACAAGAGAAAAGCCAAGAGTACAGAATCAAGTTCTATTAAAGAAAATATTGCTGTAAAGTTCAGACGATGGCTGAAAATTTTTTTAAAAAAACAGATTTCAGAATTAAATTAAAACCTCTTGCAAATATTACTAAGAGCAGATTAATACTTCAAGAAAACCTTGATGTTTTAACATAGGGGACCAAATTTTAGTTTTGTATCAGTGTATTTATATGTATTTTTAAAATCAGGCTGGGTGCAGTGGTTCACACCTGTAATCTCAGCACTTTAGGAGGCCGAAGTGGGTGGATCACCTAGGGTCAGGAGTTCGAGACCAGCCTGGCCAACACAGTGAAACCCCATCTTTACTAAAAATACAAAAATTAACTGGGTGTGGTGGCATATGCCTGTAGTTCTAGCTGTTTGGGAGGCTGAGGCATGAGAATCGCTTGAACCTGGGAGGCAGATGTTATAGTGAGCCAAGATTATGCCACTGCACTCCAGCCTGGGCGACAGAGCAAGATTCTGTCTCAAAAAAAAAAAAGCTCAATCTTTAGAAAGACTTATAAATAATTACCTTTTAATTATAGCCATCTTTATCACATACAAAATTTCTTTCATAAATTCATCCTTTACTTCCACGACTTACTCAGACCTTCCACAACATACTAAGACCATTAGTTTTGTCCTATACTTCCTCTTTTTTAAATAACCAATCATTTTACTTTAGGACAAAATTTTACCACACTTGATTCTTTCTCATACAAAATTATTCTCTTTTATTTTTAACCTTCTTCACCAAAAATACATCTTCATACTTATAACTTTTTTTCACATCTCTGTCTCTCATACTTACTGGCTTCTTTTTATCTTGTTTTTGTTGCTTTTTTAAACTTACTTTTTGAAACACTCTTAAATAAGGTCTGAATTTAGACAAAATTACTTTTTAATAAACAACACATTTTTATACTTCTAAGTATTTTTTAATAAAAAAATTGTTAACATATATATATATATATATGTATTTGAATTGGTTTTTTATTTTTATTTTTGTTTTTGTTTTTTGAGACAGGGTTTTACTCTGTCACCCAAGCTGCAGTGCAGTGGTATAATCACAGTTCACTGCAACCTCGACCTCCTGGGCTCAGACAGTCCTCCTGCCTCAGCCTCCACTGAGTAACTGAGACCACCAGCATGTGGCACCACGCCTGGCTAATTTTTTAATTATTTATACAGACAGGATCTCCCTATGTTGCCCAGCCTGGTCTTGAACTCCTAGGTGCAAGTAATCCTCTCGCATCAGGCTCCCAAAGTGCAGGTACAGGCATGGGCCACAGCATCTGGCCAGAATTATCAACTCTTAATAACATTAATGTCTAGCAAAAACCTAGGAAGCAAGACATTTTGAACTGTCACATACATTTTATAGACAAGAACCATTTAATAATTTTTAGAAACATGTTTTTCTATATATTAATAAGCCCAAATATATTTAGTCTAGTCTTTTTATTAAATTTAAAAAGCCAGCCGAGCACGGTGGCTCATGCTTGTATTTCCAGCACTTTGGGAGGCCAAGGTGGGCGGATCACTTGAGCTCAGGAGTTTGAGACCAGCCTGGGTGACATGGTGAAACCCCATCTCCACTAAAAATACAAAAAATTAGCTGGGCATGGTGACAAGTACCTGCAGTCCCAGCTACTTGGGAGGCTGAGGTGGGAGGACTGTTTGAGCCCAGAAGGTAGAGGGTGCAGTGAGCTGAGATAGCGCCACTGCACTCCAGCCTGGGTGACAGAGCCAGACCTTGTCTCAAAAGAAAAAAAGCCAAGAACAAACTTATATTTATGTTCAACAATTTGTGTTTTAGTATTTTATCTTATCTGGAAATGACCCAGACATTTAATGAGTATGTATTACTTAATTTAATGTAACATAACTTTCAGATTTTAAATTACATGAAAAATTTATTTAAAAATATTTATCCCATTATGTTTACCTAATTTATTGTTAACAATTATACCTAGATTACTTATGAAAACTGAGCTATTAGACAAAGCTAGTCATCATTTCAAGCTTTTGTTGTTGTCATTAACTATTCTTACAGTATGTGAATTTCAGGTATTCACCTAAGTAAGAATCTTACAGATAAACATATGGGTATTTTGCTGAGAACAAGATAACAAAAATTTTGCTGATAATAGCTGTTTTATTAAATTAACATTATTAAATTTGTCTTACTTATTAAAGTTACACAAAGATCATTTTATTTTTAGACTAGATATACAGTTTTATAAACTTTGTGTCAAATCCTGACCCCTTAAAACATTTAGCAGAGACAAATATAAAACTGTCTAATCGGTAAACTCAGTCAAAAATATATGCTGACAATTCTGAAGACATTTCTATTTTTATTTTATCAACAGAATTAAAACTAGCATATTTATCAAAGATTTATTTAAGTCACATGAACTAAAATGCATTTGGGTTAGTTACTATATATTTTAACAATTTATATGAGCATTCACTTATCTAGCCAATCTGAATAGAATTTCTTAAGGGAATTCTACTGACTACATCAGGTTTTACCATATAGATACAACACAGAAAATAATAAATGTACATATGTGTAGGCACACCTAAACACAAAGATTTTGTGGCTTTTATTTTAGGATTTTATTCATGAGACAGTAAAACATAGTAATACAAACTCACCCATTGTGGAGGAAAAGTTAAATATTAAATTTGAACTCAATTAAACATGAACACAAACAATAGTCACCAAGTCCTGGAACAGGTTGTTTGAGCCCCTTGAGGCATTCATCCAGCGCTGTTTCAGAAAAATCTCTATTTCAATCTATTCCTGTACATTAGTTATTGAAAAACAACAGACAATCACAAAAACAGGTTGACCTTTTTGTGTTCCTTGAGCCCAGTTGCGAAGGGCCCTCCTGACTGGACCTCATGCCAAACAACTCGTTACAAAAAGAGATAGGGTCCCAGACCGCACCGAAGCTTCATGAGGCCGCTCCTCATCTGTGCACGGATGAGTGGTGGACTCTGGAGCCCAGGCTGTTACTTCCCAGTCTGGTGGTGAGTGTCCAACTCTGGAGCCCAGGCTGTTGTTTCCCAGTCTGGTGGTGAATCCTCCACAGTCTGGTGAGTGTAAAGATATATATATATATCTTTTTCCTTCTCCCCTTCCCATTGCAATTTGCTTATTATATCATTTGCTTATTTTATCTGCGCTGCCATTTACGTGGGATAAAGGTTGTTTACCCTTAAAGATATTGTGTGTGTGATCTTTCTTCTCCCTTCATGCATTTCCCACACAGAACACCCATTTATAAAAGACAGTTGTATTCAAATTATATTTCTGACAAAATGGGACCTGTTCACATGGCTAAATTTTATTTTCTCTGATAGGTAATCTAACAAAGGCTGTGGACCAAAATATTGGGAAAAGTAGTTTGGATTTTTTAAATCTCTTTTACCCCCTTTTTTGTCTCAAATGAGTTTAGGGGGTTAAATTTTTAAATGTTTACATTTTAGCTAGAACTGGCTGAAGAGTATAAGAAACCAAAATTTCCAAGCAGCCTTGAATTAGTAACAATCTATCTTTTGTTTGTCAGTCTGGTTTGCTTGACTAGTCAATGCAGTTGTGAAAGCATTTTAGAAAAAGTTATTTGTAGGTTTTTTCCTAGCTATTTCTGACCCTTGCATGGCAGATTAATTTTTTTTTATGCCAGACAGAGTTACCTTATATTATTGCTCAAGATTTTTACCTGTTCGACCTATGAGCCTAACTTTTATAAATTTATTTAGTTTATTTCTTTCAGAATAGCAATCCTTCAATTAACTGTTTCATCACTCTAAGCTATTATTAGCCAAATTTACATTTTCAAAAGGTTTGACTCTTAGATGTCTAGGTTATTTATTTCCACAGAGCTATTGTAATTTGTAAAGTCATTAATTTAAAAGTCTTTTAAGATTTCTTTTTTTATGTTGGCTGGAATGTCAAAAGCAGAGAATTTGTCTTAATACCGGTAGAAAAGTCAGCAGATTCAAAGTAGGCAGAAAAAAATAGAGAATTTAAAGGCCCTACATGTTAGCTCTATAGTTGCTGGCAGTTTAAAAACTAAGCTTACAGAGTTCAAATAATGTCCCTTGAGCTCTGAATTTTTCTTGATGTAATTTTCCATCAGTTTAAAAAATGTGCTCAGCCAGGCGTGGTGGCTCACGCCTATAATCCCAGCACTTTGGGAGGCTGAGGCAGGCAGATCACGAGGTCAGGAGTTTGAGACCAGCCTGGACAATATCATGAAGCCCCCGTCTCTACTAAAATTACAAAAATTAGCCCGGTGTGGTGGTGCACGCCTGTAGTCCCCACTACTCAGGAGGCTGAGTCAGAAGAATCACTTGAACCCAGGAGGCAGAGGTTGCAGTAAGCTGAGATCATGCCACTGCACTCCAGCCTGGGCGACAGAGCAAGACACCATCTCAAAAAAAAAAAAATATGCTCGAAAATAAGCCATAAGTTTTGAATGTATAGCCAGCTGGAGTACTAAAGGGTTTGATATGCTTTTGAATTTTGAAGATCCTGTTCCATTTCTTATTAATCTCTCCAGAGCAAAGAAAATCTTATAAATCCTGTCAGAAAATACCAGGAATTTGGACTGGTGCTTTGATGGTGGTGACCACCATAGTGGCTTTTCATTCCATCTTGTTTCCACCATTTAGAATATTTATTTTTTGCTCTTGAAAGATTTTCAGAAATAGGAGGTACGGGCTTTGGAGGGTGGAGTGGGAATTTAAAAGCCAAATCATTTACAGATACATATAACAAAACCAGATGAAACCAAAATAAAAGTTCTCACAAACACTTTAAGCCAGGCATGCAAACCAAACAAAATATTGAACCAAAATTGAAATAAAAGAACAAAAAATGAATTCACAAGAAAAGACACATCTCACAGATAGAATGTAATTCTGGTGAAACCATAATACATTCCAAAGGACATGGCTTGACAGCAAAGTCTTCTATAGTCCTAAGACGGATGCAAGGTCCTTTACTTAAAGCAGCCTTATAACCAAACAGATCCTGAATAAAGTCAAAAGAACCCACCCAGCCAGGCGTGCTGGCTCGTGCCTGTAATCTCAGCACTTTGGGAGGCTGAGGCAGGTGGATCACGAGGTCAGGAGATCAAGATCATCCTGGCCAACATGGTGAAACCCCATCTCTACTAAAAATACAAAAATTAGCTGGGCGTGGTGGCACGTGCCTGTAATCCCAGCTACTCGGGAGGCTGAGGCAGGAGAATCGCTTGAACCAGGGGGTTGGAGGTCACAGTGAGGGCAACTGCACTCCAGCCTGGCGGACAGAGCAAGACTCCATCTCAAAAACAAAAAACAAACAAACAAAAAGAACCCATCAAAGGGTGGGAGTCTGAGAATCCAAAATAAAATTCAGCAGGGCAGAACAGGTGACTCACACAAGCAAAGAGCACCAACACCTCAGTTGGAACTGCACTCAATTCCAGTATCTGTGGATCCATCTGAGGTGAGCTCGCTTTGGTCTTGCTTCTGGCACCATTTATGTCAACCTAAATAACAGACAGAAAGAGGCTCTCTAAAAGAAGACAAGGCCCACCTAGAAGCAGTTTCTCGGCTCCTTCTCGAGTCTCTATGTGGTTCCACTTGCCTGCCTCCACTTCTGCCTACACCATGTCTACCAGGGTGACCTGGAAGTCCTACGGGGTGTCCCCCTTGGCCCCAGGGCCCTCAGCAGCTGCTCCTACAAGAATGGGCTGGTGCCTGCATCAGCTCCTGGAGCTCCTCCCAAATGGGCAGCAGCAGCAGCTTCTGGAGTGGCTGGGTATCAGCATGGGTCTGGGTGGAGGCTATGCCAGGGCCAGTAGTATGGGAGGCATCACAGCCGCCATGGTGAACCAGAGCCTGCTAAGCCCCTTAAGCTGGAGGTGGACCCCAACATCCAAGCCGTGAGCACCCAGGAGAAGGAGCAGATCAACACCCTCAACAAGTTTGCCTCCTTCATCAACAACGTGGGGGTTCCTGGAGCAACAGAACAAGATGCTGAAGACCAAGTGGAGCCTCCAGCAGCAGGAGAGGAGGCTGGAAGCAACATAGACAGCGTGTTCCATAGCTACATCAACAACCTTGGGTGGCAGCTGGACACTCTGGGCCAGGAAAAGCAGAGGCTGCTGGAGGACTTCAAGAAGAAGTAGGAGGGTGAGACTGATAAGCCAACAGAGATGGAGAATCAATCTGTCCTCATCAAGAAGGACGCGCATGAAGCTTAAGTGAACAAGGTAGAGCTGGAGTCTCGCTTGGGAGAGCTGACTGATGAGATCAGCCTCCTCAGGCAGCTGTATGAAGAGGAGACCTCCAGACTCGGACACATCTGTGGTCCTGTCTATGGCCAAAAGCCGCACACTGGATGTGGGCAGTGACATGGCCAAGTCCCCAAGTGGGAGGAGATAGCCAAAGCAGCTGGGCGAGGCTGAGAGGGCACCAGATCTAAGTGTGAGGGGTTGCAGACACTGGCTGGGAAACACAGGGATGCCCTGTGGTGCACAAAGATGCAGATCTCAGAGATGAACCCGAACATCATCTGGCTCCAGCTGATACTAAGGGCCTCAAAGGCCAGAGGGCTTCCCTGGGGTTCACCATCGGAGAGCCAAGCCGCTGGCTATAAAGGAGCCAACGCCACGCTGGCAGAGCTGGAGGCCACCCTGCAGTGGGACAAGCAGGGCATGACATAGCAGGTACGCGAGTGCCAGGAGCTGATGAACGCCAGGCTCCCCTGGACACTGAGTTCACCACCTACGGGAAGCTGCCGGAGGACAAGGACAGCAGCCTGGAGTCTGGGATGCAGAACATGAGTATCCATACAAAGACCACCAGTGGCTGCTCAGATGGGCTGAGCTCGGCCTACTGGGCCTCACAAGCTCTGGCCTCAATCACAGCCTGGGTTCCAGCTTTGACTCTGGCAAGAGCTCTGACTCCTTCAGCCGTACCAGCGCTTCCAAGGCCACGGTTTTGAAAAAGATCCAAACCAGCAATAACAAGCTGGTGTCCAGCCCTCTGCTGTCCTGCCCCAGTGAACGGCCATGGCAGCCCCTCCCAGCCTCCTGCTCCTGTGGCTGCCCCAGAGCCTGCAGGGGAGGCCGCTGTGTAGGGAAGCAAGGGGAACAAGAGACCCACCTGAGGCTCAGCCCTAGCCTCCCCTGGGGTACCTCCTCTTGCCCATACCCCCAACTAAAAAACAATTCAATTGTTTTTTTTCCAAAATAAAGCAACAGCTAGCTCTGAAAAAAAGAAGAAGAAGAAGAAAGAAGAAAAAGGAAGAAGAAAAAAAAGAGGAGGAGGAGGAAGGGAGGAGGAGGAGGAGAAAAAGAAACAAGGAAAGAGAAAAGAAAATGAGGTCAGGCACAGTGAGTGGCTCACACCTATAACCTCTAATCCCAACACTTCAGTAGGCCAAGGCAGTAGGATTGCTTGTGGCCAACAGTTGGAGGCCAGCCTGAGCAACATAATTTTTCTACAAAAAAAATTTTTAAAAATTAGTCGGGTATGGTGGCACACCCTGCAGTCATAGCTATTCAGAAGGGCAAGCGGGAGGATCGCTTGAGCCCAGCAGTTCAAGGTTGCAGTGAGCTATGATCGTGCCATTGCACTCCAGTCTAGGTGACAGAGCAAGACCCTGTTTCAAAATAAATAAATTATATTATATCATATTTATTTGGGAATAGGCATTGCAATGGGAATACACATGCCATAGTAAACGTGCATATTCAGGGAGGTAAAGGAAGATAAAGATTTTTAAAGGATAAAAGAGGGGGGATTACACAATTGTTTTGAATCAATTATCCTTGGCTACAAGGATCAACAACACTAGTGGCACCAGTCCCAAGTTGGACAGGCAGTGGCTGGCAGATGTCCTCACAAAAGTATTTTTTTGTGTAAGTTTGTGATGGCCTTTTTAAAAGATTGTGGGTTTTGCAGATTCTTTTCTAATAGTTCTCATTATCAGTCATTTGTGCATAAGAACCTTCCCCAGCTCCATTTGTGAGAATTTTTAACACAAGTGATTCAATTTTGATTTTTTTTTTTTTTTTTTTTGAGACAGAGTCTCACTCTGTAACCCAGGCTGGAGCGCAGTGGTGCGATCTCGGCTCACTGCAACCTCTGCCTCCCAGGTTCAAGCAATTCTCCTGCCTCAGCCTCCCGAGTTGCTGGGACTACAGGCAGGCGCCATCACGCCCGGCTAATTTTTTGTATTTTTAGTAGAGACAGGGTTTCACCATGCTAGCCAGGATGGTCTCGATCTCTTGACCTCGTGATCTGCCTGCCTCGGCCTCCCAAAGTGCTGGGATTACAGGTGTGAGCCACCACGCCCCGCCTCAAGTTTGATTCTTATAACTTTTACAATACCTTGAGGGACTAAAGTCCCTCCCCAAGCCCCACTCCCAAGGACTGACAGACCCTATATCTAGTCTCCCACTACCGCCCCTGCTGGCCTGAATCACCTTTGGCCTCCATGGACACCCTCCGTACTGTGCTCACCTGCAGCAATCTCTGCCTTTCCCATTGCAGCCCACCTCCCCTCCCCCGCCCGACTTGCTCCCCTGAAGGTCTGCTTCTAAAACTGGCCCCAGAGTGATGTGGGGCTGTTGGTGTCCTTGAAGGCAGCAATTGCACATAGAAAAAATTATTTGCAAAATTTTGATTTTTAAAATTAATATTTGCCTTATTAAAATTAAATTTCCGAAACCCAGGTTTGGCCGGGAGCAGTGGCTCACACCTGTAATCCCAGCACTCTGGGAGGCCGAGGCGGGTGGATCACGAGGTCAGGAGATCGAGACCATCCTGGCTAACACGCTGAAACCCCATCTCTACTAAAAAAATATAAAAATATACAAAAAATTAGCCGGGTGTGGTGGTGGGCACCTCTAGTCCCAGCTACTCGGGAGGCTGAGGCAGGAGAATGGCGTGAACCCGGGAGGCGGAGCTTGCAGTGAGCCGAGATCACGCCACTGCACTCCAGCCTGGGCGACAGGGTGAGACTCTGTCTCAAAAAACAAAAAAGAAACCCAGGTTTTTCATCTTTTTGTACCTTAAGTATAAATCTTCATATCCTAGTTTTTAATCAAGCAAAACTCAACAATCACTTTTAAAGGTTGCCTTTCATAATAATCAAATGCCCTTAAATATTATAAAACTGACGTTGAAGATTGAGTATACATATTTTTCTGATTAATCACAGCTTTCATTTGGCTCTTGAGTCACTATAATGTCACCATGCCAATTCATCAGATCCTTCACACCTTATAAAATTATGTTGTTAATTTCTGCGCTTGATTGTATGACTTGGGTTGACTGAAATCTCTATTCTTTTCACTTTTTCCTTCCTTGGCAGGCCCATAACTTGCAAGTTTTTGAATAGCCTCCTTTGGATTCCACATAGTTCTTCTGGTTTTGTTTGGCTCCACAAGTACTACCCTCTGTATTAATGACCCTCCATGATATGCTAATAGCACCCCACTTAAATGACTTGTCTTGTCCCCAGTTTCTGGCCCTCCCTTGGCCAGTCCTCACATCCTTACATGGACCAAGTTCCAGGGATGAGGCCCAATCTTTGTGCTGTTGATCTTTTCCCCTTTCCTGAATGCCCTCACCCTCTTCTCTACCCATACTTCAAAACTCATGTCAAATCCCACCTCCCTTGACCACCACAGCCCATGGTAATTTCTCCCTCCTCTACACACGTATCACCCATTTCTGGTACTATTCATTTAATATTACCATGTGCATCATATTATTGCAAGTTATTTTTTCCTATGTTTTTTTCTCTTCCTTCTCACCTAAGATTATAAGCTCTCAGTAGGAAAGAGCTGTGTTTTACTATGTTTAAACTCCTGATTATATCCTAGCATTGTGCCTTTCTCATGGCAACAGCTCAGTAAGACCTAGTTAAGTGATTGAGTGGTTGACATTTATTAGCATGTCATTTCCTAGAGGGTATGTCCACACTCTGCTCCTGCCCAATATGCTATGAGTAGTCAATGAGAATTGAGCAATATTAATCATAACTAACCACTTGAGGTGTATGACACACCTCAGGAGGCAACATGTAACCACTTCTCAGCATGCTTGAGGCAGGTTTACTGACTTCAACCAGCACGAAATTTCAGAGGAGTCATGTAAGGTATAGATCCTCCATCCTGAAATTACGTTGCCTATAGTTGTTCAAACACTTCCTGCTGAAAAGTTTAGGATAATGCTGAATAATATGTTTCAGATGCCTTACTTATGGACAATGAATATGTGCAAAGACACGGGATGGAAGAAAGTCACAAAAATCCTTTCACTAGCTTTAGTTGTGTCAACGCTTCACAGGAAAACAGAACTGATTTTATCAGAACTTAGTTGGAAGTTTTTTATATAAGCGGAAGAGCAAAAGGGAATCTACTGTATCGCTCCCTCTACCCAGAGGAAGGAAATAGAAAATGTCCACACAACAAATGGACCAAGTGTATAACAAAACCCTCAGCCCCAAGGTGTCTCTGATGTACTGCAGGAACCAAGGCAGTCTCCCAATTCAACTATTATTGGCCTGTCCCTTTTAATTGAAAGCAGTTGCCCTTTCCCCACCCATCCCTGAGTATGACTCATTAACTGCCCCCGGGCCAAGTGTTTTACAAAATACTCTGCATCACCATGGCAACAGCCCAGCATCTGCCCTCACGTAGGGTGTGGCTAGAGTAAGTACTACCGCTTTTTTGTTTGTTTGTTTCTGTTTGTTATAAATTGGAAACTTTAATCACAGGAAGAGGCTGTTTGGCACCCGAGAGCTGTCACATAGCAGTGCAAGAAGTAAAGAGAAAAAGGGGAGAGCCAAAATAACATAATTACTTCTTCACAGCTAGGATATGTCTCTACCAGATTACACTGAACTACCTGAGGATGACTGGAAACAGAGATAGTGGTAATTATTAAGGTCTTACTATGAGGCACTCTTAGTCTTCAATTATCATTATTCCTATTTTAAAGATGAAGAAACTGAGATACCCAGAGCTTAATGTTATGTGTCTGGTGAGTAACAGGGCCAGGATTCAAGCCATGCAGTCTTCTTCCAGGGACCCACACCCTTAACCATTATGTCTGATGACCTCGGGTTATAGGAAAGGAAGAGCCTCACAAGTTATTGATGGATTTTGTTCATTTGTTTGTTTCTGCTGACTATAGTTAAATTATATCAAGGCTTTAAAGACTAAAACAGGATGGATTTCTAATTTGACAGTTAACTGCTAAGGGAGCAAAAACTGAATTGTGTAGTGGAGACCTGGCTACCAAGATGGACATGTTCCAGTCACAGGCATAGAGAAAGTTCTCTGTTTGGTGCCCATCAACTTAAGTCCTTCCTTATACCTGGCAGTGTCACCATCTTTCACAGTCACAGATTCTGCCACTTTGGCCAGGCGTCTCATTAGTCCCACCCCTCATCACAAAAGAGTCTACTGGGGACAGGTCAGCACAAACCCACCAACGTGACCAGAAGCATAACTCACAGAACCTATCCTGCTGGCAGAGGGGAGCAAGGGCACCAAGGACAGCCTCATCCCCTGGAGAAATGTCCTCATTTGCCAGGATGCCTCATTGGCTGCTTGAATTGGTTGGACTCAGGAAGTCTATTAGCTCTGAGTCCAGAGCTGTTGTTTGAGACTCAAGATGAAAAAGGAGGCAATTTCTACATTTATCTAATGCACAGCTAAGAGTGGAGGTTGGGTGAACCTGATTTCAAAAGCAAACTGAGTATTAAATTTCACCACTTTTTAAAGCGCTGACGTGATGTAAGGATGCTGTCATTGTTGGCTAACAATTTTCTTAGGTCTAATTTGGGTCATTAAAGGTGACATGAAGCTCCTCTGGGCTCACAGCATTGTGCTGTAAGCACTGTAGCTATGCTGTGTCACAACGCAAAAGCATCGTGCCACAGTAAGCAAGTGTGATAGGTTTTGTCACCACATTAGGTCTGCCTTGGAGAGGTCAGCAAAACGTGCTTGCCAGAAATTCATCTTATCATCAGAGTACAACCTTCAGGCTGCCTGGATCTATGCCCCACCTCTGCCATTTACTAGCTGTGTGACTGGGCAGTTACTTTCCCTCTCTGTCCTTTGGTTTCCTTACTTGTAACAGGGACAGAAAAATATTTCCTACTTTTAGGGCTGCTGTGAGGATCAAAGAAGTTAATTCATGCCAACTGCTTGTAAGAGTTCCTGGCATGTTTTGCCACACACTTCAATCTTGGATTAAAGAACTTGCCATTCAGTTGAACTTACGGTATTTCTGCCTGAGCGCCCCTCAGCCTGCCCTCTGAAATAGGGTATGTAGGGAATATCAGTTTGCTTACTTACTGGGACACTGCTATATACAAAGCCATGTTTATCTAATTCTTCTCTATTTTGCTCATGTACAGTTTTTCTAAGTATTTACAAGCAAAGGGACCTCACCAGAATTTTGGAGGCTTAACAGGGCTAAGTCAAGCATGATTACTTTTAAAAATAATTCTGGGCCAGGCACAGTGGTTCATGCCTGTAATCTCAGCACTTCGGGAGGCTGAGGTGGGAGGATCACATAAGACCAGGAGTTCAAGACCAGCCTGGCCAACATAGCAAAACCCCACCTCTATAAAAATTTAGAAAATAAAAATAAAAAAGAAATTCTGATCACAGTTCCAACCAAGCACCTGTATCATGTTCAAAACAGGGAGTCAGATGGACTTCAGCAAAACAAACCATAAAGCCACATTATTTGCAATAAATTCACTAGTGCAGGGATGAATGATTCTGTGGAATGAGACCTAATTCCTGTTGATTTAATTCACAACTCCCTTCAGAGAGAGGGGTATAGGCAGCCATCAACCTCCTCATTGTCCCTTGGAAATTTCTAAAAAGGAAGGACGTAGGGTAATAGTCTGGGAAGAGATGTGGCACTTGGGCACTTGTCTTGCCCCTCATTTGCAATGGCAAAAAAACCACTATTTTACTTGGAATGAATATTTATTGGGGAGTGGGGTGTCTTTGTGGGAGTAAGGGGCTGAAGTCCCCCAAATTGCTACTTGGTTCTTGCCACTTTGCTCATTCCCTACTAAATGACAGAGTGTTTAGTTAAATCAAATATTTACCTTAATTATGTTTTAAGATTATTTTGAGAATTTCAAACATTCCTATTCTTCCCTTCCCCAAATAAGATCAACGAGGCATCCTTGGAGTATTTTAAAATTAGACTTTTCTAGATGTATTAGAAAAAGGAAAAGACAAACCATAGAAACGTTGTTTGACCAGAGCCATCTTCCTGATTCAAGGACTTCCTTTTGAGTATGTAACTGAATGCCCTGATATGACAGGCATGAAAACACATTCTTGTTCACTAGCTTGAAACATTTCTGATGAATGGGCCTAAATGTTTCCGGTGAATGGCTAAGATTACTGATGCTCTACTTCAGTTACAGGAGTTCTTAGATGATGTGGTTAGTAATGCTCAGTATTGGGTTCTTGCTTTTCTATCTCCTCCACATGAGAAGGACTTGACCCCTGCTGGCTCTTATCATTGCTATGTGCAGTTATTGGGTAAGATGTTCTGTGTGCCAGGCACCAGTCAGTTCAAATGCCTTTGAGCTGCTGATCACAAGTACTTAAAGAGAGAATGCCCTTGGAGGTAATCCCTACCCAGTTCCTATCTATTGTGGCCATATAGGAAAGAGGGCAGAGGATTTTTAGACCTTCCCACAGTTTCAAGAGAAGCCAAAAATTCAGGTTGTTATAAGAAATCTCCTGAATTTAAGGTAGGCAAATTACTAAAATGTTTTTAAAGAACTACATGGGCCGGGCGCAGTGGCTTGCGCTTGTAATCCCAGCACTTTGGGAGGCCGAGGCGGGAGAATCACGAAGTTAGGAGTTTGAGACCAGCCTGGCCAACACAGTGAAACCCCATCTCTATTAAAAATACAAAAATTAGCCGGGTGTGGTGGCATGCACCTGAAGTCCCAGCTACTCAGGAGGCTAAGGCGGGAGAATCACTTGAAACCAGGAGGTGGAGGTTGCAGTGATCCGAGACTGCGCCATTGCACTCCAGCCTGGGCGACAGAGTGAGACTCTGTCTCAAAATAAATAAATAAGAACTGCATGGACGACCAAGCATGTAGAGACCCCTAATTCATAAACTCTAGCCACTGATGGCACCCCCTGCACATTTGCTTCAGACCTTTAAAGTTGGGTGACCTTGGAGCACACGTGATCTTTACTGCTTGTTCCATCCAATCACTTGCCTTGGGTACCCAATGTTCTTGTTGTTGTACACCCATCCTCTCATTTCATTCTCCACACCTACAACACTATGAGTTAGGAACTAGTGTTATCTGCCTTTACAGATAAGAAAACTGAGTCTTGAGGAGCTTAACTAATTTACGTAAAGTCACACAGAAAACACACAGCAGGGTTTTGTCCTGGGGGAGCCCTCTGTTCTGAGCAGGGAGTTCCCTATTTCCTCCAGCCCTAATGTCCTAGGATTCCACTGAGCCCGCCTCTCAGAGTAGGGAACTAAAACATCCAAGTTCAGTGTGGTCAGGTGTCTTCCACTCAAAATATGAAATTTATTTAATTATTCTCCTTTAATAAGGGACAGCAGTGTTGAAATTTTGCCCATAAATATCTAAAAATAGTAATTTTAAGAGCTATTAGAAGTGTTTTCATGCCATGGGTTCGAATTCCTAACTTGCAGAACTTGGCAAAAGAGTGCTATGAGTGGATGCCAAACACAAAGGAGGAGTGTGGGCAAAGGTATGACATAAGGACTATGGGATTTTTGTTGCCCTGTTACAGTAGTGAGAACTAGAGGCTGCAAAAAGAGGTGGAAAAATCTCTGTGGGCATTCACCAGAGCCAGTTTTTAAGGATTACTTAGAACAGTGTATAGTTACCAAGCAACTGTAACCAAGTTACTATATTAGTGGTGAAAATACAATACATACACTTACACAATCTTTCCAATGAATGGCTCCTGACTCATTTTCACCAGTCCTTACTGTCATCATTCACAGACCTGGAGCAGCTATGATATTGTCATTTCTTCCAGTGAGCCAGACAGGGGAAGAAATACTATGAGAGAGAGAGAGAGACTGTGTGTGCGTGTGTGTGTGTGTGTGTATGTGTGTGTGTGTGTGTGTGTTTAAGTGAGAAACAGGCAGGGCAGCTAGAAAGGGAGTCAAATGACCTTGAAAAAGACTGTGTGTGTATGTGTGCGTGTGTGTGTGTGAGAGAGAGAGAGAGAGAGAGAGACAGGCAGGGCAGCTAGAAAGGGAGTCAAATGACCTTGACCGATTTCCCCAGCAACAGGCTTAGTCAGATTCACTTAGGATACACTAATAAATTTTATTTAAATCACTGTATTTTTGGGGAACTGATTCAGGACTGCCCAGCTTCTACCATAACAGAGTGGGGTGCAATGGTTACTTACACAGGCTCTGGCACCAAACTGCCTAGGTTTGAATTCTGATTTCTTTACTTACTAGCTTTGATTTCATGGATGAGTTACTTAACCTCAATGAGTTTTAATTCCCCCATCAGTAAATTGGGAATAATAATAGACTCTAGACTATAGGGTTTTTGTGAGGATTAAATGAGTTAAAACAGACAAAATGTTTAGAAGAGCATATAACACATAACTAGTGGTCAACAAATGTCAACTTTATTATTGTCATCTCTCCTAATGAAAATCCCAGGTAACTCAAAAATGCTGACCCACTGACCAATGATTCTCAACCGGGATGATTTCACTTCTAGAATGAGTCTTAATTTTTTTTGGTTGTCACAATGACTGGCAGGCACTGCCAGCATTTTCTGGGTAGTGTTAGGGTTACATATTAGATGTTCTGCAATCCATGGGTCAGGGCAATGGTAAACTGCCCCCATGTCCTACACAACTTTATAAATCCTCTCAGTCTTTATGTAAGTAAAAACACTGTTTATGATTATCTGAACCTGGAGCCTAATTTCATTTTACATATAAACACAAAGCATTTTTGTACAGCATAAATATTACCAAATTTTCCAGGAATGCAACTGTCATGTAAATCAAGTAAAACTAAACTTCATGTTGTTTGGAATGTTCCCAAGAGTTGTTCACATTTTGTAAAATTAGATAACTAACAACAAATCTGATTTGCCAGCATAATTAATCTGTATCATCCAGTACCTGTAGTTATTGCAATCACAGTGATTCTGTGTGTACTTGCAAGAGTCTTATTCCATCATTATGTCTTCTAAGTAGCTATGTTTGAGAAATTACATATTGGAATTAACAGCATTTTTTTTTTAGGTTATAATAGCCATATTCTTTATTACTTTATTGAGATATAATTTACATGCCATAAAGTTTACCCTTAAAATATACAAGTCAGTGGTTTTAATAATATTCACAAAGTGGTACAATCATCATCACTTTCTTGAAATTAACAGCATTTTATCATAAATTACTTCCCTTTTATTTCTCATTTACATGACCATTTGGTTTTTTAAGTTAGGCAAGTATATGCTACATTATCTGTGAACTTCATTTCAGGAGAGCAAAGGGAGCATTACAAAATGTTTGCTACAAAAAGAGGATGTTGGACCATTATGATGGAAGGACATACTTACAGAGCCCACGTTGTAAAGGGAATTCAAGGCTGGGAGCAGCAGCTCAGCCTGTAATCCCAGTACTTTGGGAGGCTGAGATGGGAGAACTGCTTGAGCTCAGAAGTTCAAAACCAGCCTGAGCAAAATAGTGAGTCTTCATCTCTACTAAAAATAAAAAAAATTAGCCAGGCATGGTGGCACAGGCCTGTAGTCCCAACTACTCAAGAGGCTGAGGCAAGAGGATCACTTGAGCCTGAGGAAGTCAAGTTTGCAGTAAGCTATTACTGTGCCACTGCACTTCAGCCTGGGTGATACAGCAAGACTCCATCTCAAATAAATAAATAAATAAATAGGACATTCATTAATTGCCAGATTGTACAAACAGGTAAATTCCTTTTTTTGAGACAGAGTCTTGCTCTGTGGCCCAGGCTGAAGCGCAGTGGCACAGTCACAGCTCACTGCAGCTTCAACCTTCCAGGCTCATGTGATCTTCCTACCTCAGGCCCCTGAGTAGCTGAGACTACAGGCACATGCCACTACACCCAGCTAATTTTTGTATTTTTTGTTGAGTCATGTTTCACCATGTTGCTCAGGTTGGTCTCAAACTCCTGGGCTCAAGTGACCCACCAACCTTGACCTCCCAAAGTGTTGAGATTGCAGCCGTAAGCAACTGGGCCTGGCCAGCTAAATTCTTTAACTAGTAAAATGATGTTAAAAATGTCAACTATGTTAGTACTCGATGAGGAAGGCAGAATAATGCCCCCTGCCCTGCAAAGATGTCCATGTCCTAATCCCCAGAACCTATGAGTATATGAGGGTACATGGCAAAAGGGAGCTAAGGTTACAGATAGAATTAAAGTTGCTAATCAAATGACCTTGCAATAGGAATTATCTAGGTGTGCCCAATGTAGTCACAAGAGTCCTTAGAAGTAGAAAGGAGAGGCAGAAGAGTGAGAGCCAGAGGAAGATGTGATTATGAAAGTATGGCACAGAGAGATGCAATGTTGCTGGTTTTGAAGATGGAAGGAGACACTAGCCAAGAAATGTGGGTGGTCTCTAAAAGCTAGAAAAGGTGAGGAAACAAGTTTTTCCATGGAGCCTCCAGAAAGGAACATAGTCCTGCTGACACCTTGATTTTAGTCCAGTGAAACCCAGTTTGGACTTCTAATCTACAGAACTGTAACATAATAATATATTTGTGCTGTTTTTCTTTTTTATTTTTAAATTAATTTTTTTTTTGAGACAGGGTCTTGCTGTGTTGCTCAAACTGGAGTGCAGTGGTGCAATCAAGGCTCACTACAGCCTTAACCTCCCAGGCTCAATTGATCCTCCCACCTCAGCCTCCAAAGTAGCTGAAACTACAGGCACATACCACCATATCCTGCTAATTTTTTTTTCTTTTTTGTAGAGGCTGGGTCTCGCCATGTTGCCCAGGCTGATTCTGAAATCTTGGGCTCAAGCAATCCTCCCTCCTCAGCCTCCCAAAGTGCTGGGATTACAGGTGTGAGCCACCGCACCAGGCCCATGTTGTTTAAACTACTAAATTTATGGTAATTTGTTACAGCAGCAATAAAGAACCAATATACCTGAAATAAACATATATGAAAAAATCAGAATTCGGAAAACACACACACACTGCCTGAAGCTGAATTTAAATAGATAAACAGATGAAGAGTGTGGAGCTGTGGTGACTCAAAATGAACAAGCCATGAGCTTCAAGTCCATGACGAGCAAAAAGGACAAAAAAAAAATTTTTAATGGACAAGGCTCAGGAGACCCCAGTCCTAGGCCCATCTCCACAACAAACTTGCTATATGAAGTTATGAGTCAATTATCTCTCTGGGCCTCACATTTTCTCATTCAGGTAAAAAATATTTACAGAACGCCTAGTACTAACTGGGCTTGGGGCTTGGCTTTCTACAGACAAAGAACAAGACATTGTCCTTGGTCTCAAGGAGTTTCTGTCACTCTGGAAGAAAAAGTCTCTGAGGTCTCACTCAGCTTTAATAGTCTGTGATTCCATTAATCTAAATAAAATTTAATGCTTCATACCTTTTATGTATGTGTGTGAGGTTGCCTGAGTTCATAATTTTTTTAGATTGCTGGGAACAGTTTTGTGAAATCAGACCACTGGAAAATTTTCTCTAAAACAGCAAAAGAAATCACAATCGCAATTTCTCTTAATTTAATTTCCATGTTAAACTTTCCTTTTCTCTAAGTTATAAGTATTGCTGTTACTTTTTTTTTTTTTTTTTTTTGAGACAGAGTTTCGCTCTTGTTGCCCAGGCTAGAGTGCAATGGCACGATCTTGATCACCACAACCTCCGCCTCCCAGGTTCAAGCGATTCTCCTGCCTCAGCCTCCCTAGTAGCTGGGATTACAGGCACGTGCCAGCACGCCTGGCTAATTTTGTATTTTTAGTAGAGATGGGGTTTCTCCATGTTGGTCAGGCTGGTCTCGAACTCCCGACCTCAGGTGATCCGCCCGCCTCGGCCTCCCAAAGTGCTGGGATTACAGGCATGAGCCACTGCGCCTGGCCGTATTGCTGTTACTTTCAATTACATTTTATTTTAATTCATTTCTCCCCCAAGCCCCCCAAAATTAGTGAGTACCTATTAGCACTCTCTTCTCTTGGTAGTAATTACATTTTTATAATATTAGTGCTGCTAATATTATCAGTTACCTTCAGTTTACATGTATAGAGACAATTTTAAAACAGTATATTTTAAATTTAAAATTTACATTTTAGGAATATATTTAGACACTTAAAAATAAAGGAAATAATCTTAAGAGGGAAAAAAGACAGGGGGGAGGGTGGATTATAAGAAATAAAGAAGCTTAGTTAAAGTAAGAAGCAAATTATAATTATAGTGGACAGTGTTAGGAAGAAAAGAAAGGGAAACGTGATAGGGAAACAGCAGGGAGGAAATTGAGACATCTCCTCTCTCCATCTGGAAGTTTCCCTTTGTCTTACTCCTACCCTTCATCCCCCAACAGAGGGCTATCCCTATCACCGTGCCCTTTGGCCCTATTGAACTGTGCTAAAGATAAATGAGTCGCAAGCTTCAGGGGGTGTCTGATGCTCCCTGCGGGACCTCAAGGCTACTTGCTTTCTTTTACTTAACGAAGCTTATCAGACCATGTTTGACCTTCATATAGAAACCTGGGTCTAACAATGAGAGAGTAAGTACAGGTTTCAACAGTTGTATTGTTGCGCGATTTTTAAGGAATTAGAGAGACTGATGGGGTTTAGAAGGATATTTATTAACTATTTAGGTGTATTGGCCCAGTCGGATTAATATTTAAAGGACTGAGTTTTGAATAAAGAGTTATTTTTTAAGTATTTTTGGGGGCAGGGGGAGATTTGTGCAGGGGGAAGCATATTATAGAAGAGAGAAACAAAGGCAGTTATTTAGTTAATTGAGACGTATTATATTATTTTTTATTTTTTAAGGAGAAACATGTTTTATGACTTGAGTTTGTTTAGTGACTTTGTAGTTGTATAGCTAGGGAAACAGGGTTTTTACAATGTTTGGGAAAGGAGGAGAGATAAGGCTTATTGGCCACAGAAAAACAGGCAGTTAATTTTTAAAGGACTCCAGCTCTTTCTCTTTCTCAGGGGGAATTGGGTTTTTTAATATACAACTGAGTTTTTGCTTATACACTCCTTAATTTCTTTTAATTCCTGTTCCAGTATGTTTCTGGGAATGATAATGAGATTAGCTTTGGCACTCTCCATATTTATTGAGAGATTTCACCAACATGTATAAAAGACTGGTAGTGTAGTTTGCTGTGATTTAGTTAAAAAGCATGAAACTTGTCAGAGAGATTTTGGTTTTAATTCCTGCTCCATAACTTACTAGTTGTGTGATCTTGGGAAAGCTCATAAATCTCTTGGAGCTGTTTCCTCACGTTTAAAAATGGAGGTATCTAAATAGATGTGTGAGAATTAAATGACATTATGGGTATAAAATGTCTCTCTTTCTTTTACCTTTAAACTCTGTTGAACTTGAAAAAAGTGGCTCATTTAATATCTAGTACTGGGAGCTCCTCAGTAAGTGGTTGCTTTTATTACCTCATTCCAAAGAGAAAAATATATTGTGGCCAGGCACGGTGGCTCACGCCTGTAATCCCAACACTTTGGGAGGCTGAGGCAGGCAGATTGCTTGAGCTCAGGAGTTCGAGACCAGCCTGGGCAACATGTCAAAACCCCGTCTCTACAAAAAATACAAAAATTAGTTGGGCATGTTGGTGTGCGCCTAGCTACTTGGGGAACTAAGGCGAGAAGATTGCTTGAGCCTGGGAGGTCGAGGCTGCAGTGAGTTATGTTCATGCCACTGCACTCCAGCCTGGGTGCGAGACCGTCTCAAGGAAAAAAAAAATTGTTAAGTGCTCTACAACCCTTGTGATACCAGAAACCAAGGGAATATAAGTAATAGTCTTGTGATAATCTCCCGTTCTTTATTCTCCCCACTTTGTTTTCCCCAGCCCTCTCCATGATGAAGATGGCTGCAGTTTCCGTGGTTTCTGCTATGGAATGAAAAATCCTAC
Organism: Homo sapiens; assembly: GCF_000001405.40. NCBI lineage: Eukaryota > Metazoa > Chordata > Mammalia > Primates > Hominidae > Homo > Homo sapiens. The sequence continues at coordinate 151,935,390 of NC_000001.11, read as the reverse complement.
AGGCAGAGCCCATGCTTCCTGCAGCTGCCAGCTCTGCCCTGCCTCCTTCCCCTCCCAGCTCCCCTGTGAGAAGCACTATCCTCAGAATGACTCAACCTCATTTTCCAGGAGGGTCTTAGAACTCATTGTACTTTTTTCTTGCAACCGTAAATTTTCTGCAGTTTGTTCACCTAAAGACTTTTCACATGACAGGTTTCTATGTCTTAGAACCTACTTTCTCTGATCCTAATCCCACTCAGGGGAGGACACAAATATTGCACTTCAGTCACTTTTAATGTGTCTGCTGTACAATACCACCTGGCAGAGTACCCAAAAAGCAACAACTCAAAATCTAGCCCACCAGATATTCCATGAGATTTGATGGTGATGAGCACTGCAGTCCAGGGTTCAAGGAAAGCTAGGATGGGTATTCCTCATGGTAATTTCTGAGCAACTTTGAGTCACTCAACGTATTTCATTGTCTTCTAGGCGTATTTAGTCTTTCTATTGAATGTAAGAACTGGACAGAGAGGTGGGGAGCATCTTATCGCTCACTTTGCAAAAGAGGAAACAGCTCTGAGGTCTCATTTTACGTATCTATTGACTATTTTATACTCAGTTTGGAAACAAAATGATAAATAATAGAGCAATCTATCACTTTGTAAAATCTAGAAGACTAAGCTTTGAAGTTCTTCCAAGTCCCTAATTAGATAATAGTCATCACTTAAAGAATAAACTGTTAGGTATTGAGATAGATATAACCTGTTCATTTATTGACGAATATCAGCCTAAAAGTTTACCAGGAAATAATTTAAAATGTATAA